>NC_000008.11:59052265-59677265 GCF_000001405.40 Homo sapiens | reverse complement strand
ACACAGACACATAAGTGGGTTTAGGAGCAGAGGTTTAATAGGCAAAAGAAAGAGAAAGGAGAATAGCTGTCTCTCCTGCCAGAGATAGGGTCTCCCAAGTGGGACTTCCGGTTTTATGGTGAAGTGCATGGGGTTTTATAGACTAGCTTGAGGAGGTGGCATCTGATTTACATAGAGCCCAAAGACTGTTTGGACCAGGTGTAACATTTGCATAGCACATGAAGAAGCTGGCAACCCCACCCTAATCTTCTATTATGCAAATGGCTTCTCTACCTGGCTGGTGACATGTCGCCTGCTCCTTACTGTACATGTGGTTGGCAAAGAAAAGGGAAGACGGAGCCGCCATTTTGAACATGCCTAGTCCCCAGGTAGCCCCTTTCCTATTGGCACAACTGCCGGCACTCACCCAAGCTTCTAGCTTGCCTTTGTATGTCTGCAGCTCAATTTTACAGGCTGCTCTTTGTTAGAAAAGAAAATGATCTGGAGGCTGCTTTTCGTTAAAAGGAAAACATTACTTCCTTACCCTCACTATCTGCCTAAATAATTTTTCTTAACTTCTATATCAGTATATGGTCGTGCCATCACCTTTTACTCTCAATTTTTCCTCCCCATTTATTATCATTTCCACTTGCTATCTCACCTCCTGCAGCTGTCATCTTTACCCTAGAGTGTTGCAAGTGCGGAAACTCTTCCTTTCTTCATTCCCCAAAGCACCACTGATTAACACATTTTTACTATAGATTTGAAAATAACAAAGGATAATTCTAGAACAGAAGTGGAAACAATTTCCAATTGAATATTTGAAATCACTTTTCCAACAACTCATTCCATAAGTAAACTTTTATTTAAACACTTTTCCTAAGGCTTAGTCAAAACTTCCTCATTTAAATTTCTTTTGAAAAGCACAGCCCACAATTTAATTTGATTTTGCTAGAACAAAGATTCAATTACAATAGGAATGAATGATCATTTAAACATAGCATTCATATGTAACAGTCTTGTTTCCCTCCTCTGGTGCTTTTCTCACCTCTTAGGATCAAGCAAATTCCAAAATTTCTGTTAAAATATTTTCTTCATCAAAGTAATTTCTCATCTAGCAGAACCAGGGATTTTACTGAACATTTCTAACCAAAAGACCCATCAAGTGTTTCGGTAAAAGAGAGTTGTCCAGCCTGGTTCTATATGGCCCTATTAACACAAAGAACTGGAAGTCACCTGAGATTAGATTTTTGCTTCACAATACCCCAAAAAAATCTTAGACCGAGGTGAAGGTCAAAATATATGTATTCCTGTTCATATCGGTAGCCTAAGTGGATGGAGAACAGTTAAAAAAGAAAAGTAGTATTTTCTACCTGTCTGTAGCTGAAATCAGCAGTTTTTGTCTTTTATTGTCAGATTTCAAGGTTTTTTTTTTTTTTTCTAACAGACTGGACCTGTGGAAATTTTGTCTTAAGTAGCTTACGCTAGATCATGACTTCCTAACTTTTGTATGAGGACTTTCCTTTCACATCAAAACTTTTGTGTACCTTCACAGGAGAGTATATTTGTTTCCAGTATTAACTCAAAAATTCATAAAACTCAAAGGATTCTATGAATTCAGGAGCATTATACATAAAGTTTATTTTCTTAACCACACAGACTCTACATATAAATGTATGTGGATATACATCATCTATATAGTTACAGACAACGTGTGGTTCATGTTCAGTGCCCAACTGGTTTCCCTTTCTTGCATAACTAAACCATGTGAAGGTAGATCCTCTATCAAGCAAATGTCAGCCTGTGTGTTGGACTCAGCCCTTTCCCCCTCTATGTGGACACCAGAAAACTGAGCATTTTAATATTGGCTTTTGGGCATAATTACTTGACCCAAAATTAAATTTCCAGGGACTAGAATCATATTTTTAGGTGGTGTAGCTCCTATGGTACAGCTCAAATCTTGGATATAGAGATGATATATACACATATAACTCTTAATGTTTATAGCAATTTTGCCTTATGCAGACTGTCAGGTCATGGAGAGACATGTCAAGCTTATTTTTAACCTCCTTTATACAGCACATAGCAGAGCTCCTATAGAAGATATTAAGGGAGTATTTTAATAACCTATTATTACTGCCAATTTGAAATCTCTTAAAGTTCAGACACTTTGTTTTTAAGAGTGAATTGGCTAAATAACAGTAATTACCTCATCTACCAACATATGGCCAAGTTAATATGGTTATTATATATGTTATATGGGGTATGTAATTTCATACCAATATGTATAAATACAGACATTTCCCCTGGGATGATTAAATGCATAGAGAAAGAATTTTCAACATGCAGAAAAAGTAAAGTAATACATCGTCTTATTGATTTTTTCTAAGATATAATTGTTTTTCATTTTTAAGTGCTTCCTAAATTTAGTATGTGATACTTCTAAGACTGTAGCACATACTATTTTTGATATATTGCAATCATAATTTTAGGTTTACCCCTGCTCTAAGTTTTACAAAATATTTAACTGGAAAAGTACAAAAAGGTTAATCTGCTGCTAAATTAGCACGAGTCAAGATCACTGATTGCATTATGCATAGAAGTTGTTCCATTCCAGAAAAAGGAAAGAATTATACTTCGAGTCCTTACAAGCAATTGAATGATGCTTTCAGGAATACATCTGCAATATAGAAACGTTTGATAGACATTGTCATTAAAACCTGTAGTTCAGCAATTAACATTATTTGCTTCATAAAAATGGACTTTGGTTTGTGTCTTTTATGCTATTCTGACCATCTTAAAACTTTCTGAACCAATCTTTAATCTATAAAAATGATAGAGATTATAAGGTACAGCAGAGAAAAAGTAGGGCATTTTAGAAGAATTGTAATCTTCCAAATGTCTCTTTTTGTTAAAGCAACTGTAAGTGTTTTAGAAAGCAAATGTTTTAGAAATCTTTTGTGAGAGTTGCTGGGTGTCTATATGTTCTCCATGTCTTAGCTCTAAAAGAAAAAGAAAAATCAATGATATATAAAAATAACTTGAAAAAGATTCAAGAGAAAATTGACTTAAATTTAGCATTTTCTAACTTCTAAAGAAAGAAAATCAAGTCTGCATAATTTTATATGAGAATAAATGGGACAGAAACATCAATTCAACTAATGTATTTTGATTTAATCTTCACACAAAAAATAAGTTTACATTGCATCTATGTCTTGGCAAATAATTCTGATTCTCACACTCATCCCTTTATAAGAGATACAGAGATTCAACTAAAGGGTTATGGACATCTGACCCTTTGGGCATATATAAACAGCCTTCCAAAGGAACCAAAAAATATTCAAATATTCAGATGAAATCATGGAACAATATTATTGCTTCAAAATTAAAAACCAAATTTCAATGACTCAGCATTGATCAGGGCTTGCTTTAGTGTATACGTTACTAAATGTCATGGACCTAGAAACGGCATTTATTGTCTTTCTTGACAAAGAACATTAGTCATTAGTGATGGAGACCCTTTGTATAAAGTAGTAGATTTTTAAATAGATGTATTTATTTAAAAATATTGGAGTAAAAATCTACTACTTTAGATGACCATAACTTGGTAAATATAAAGCAGACATATTATTAACAATTTCTTCTATAGAGTCATAGGAGATTAAAAAGTAAAAACAGAACATATAAAAGATCTATCTCGAATAACAGTGGCCTCATAGGACATTGAAGATCTAAATAGATCTGAGGCAGAGAAAGAAGACAGGGAGAAACTGGGAAGAGGCAGAGAGATGAGAAAAGGAAGTTGATATTCTTTCTGTGGACAGTTATTGCGTACCTGTCCCAGGTTAGCCATCATGCTGGGTGCCAACATAAACCACAAATAAGGGATGCTTCTTGCCTTCAAGAAGCTCAAAGGACTGTAGTAAAGGCCCACATGTCAACAGGCAATTACAATGCAAAGAAAATAAATGTTATAATAAGATTATACACAGCATACTATGGGAACTCAGGAAAGAGAGCAACTGATCATTGCCATCCAGCCCAACATAAGTCACAGAGAGGATTCTAGCAGAGACACATAAGGTTCTTTCTATTTTTGGTTCTCTGTATTTCTTTCCTTTTTAACTATTCCTATAGCATGGAAAGAAATGGAACAAGATAGATGGATTTATCCTCACAGTGTATTGAAAGAGAATTCCACCAACACATTAAAAAAGAATTTCTCTTTCTGAAACGAATGACTTCTCTCCGGAAGACATATTTTTATTTACTCAGGATAGGAGTAAATTATGCTAGGATTTCCTGGCATAATCCTAGAAGAAAGCAGAATAATTCCTTAGAAATGAGATAAAATATTGGTCAGAAGAAATATAGACATTCACCAGAGGCAGGACATTGTTGGGTTTTTTTCAGCCTCTTCTGTGTCAGGTGGCATCCCAGGTACTTTATATACATTATCTCATTTAAATATTATAACAGAGACTTTCCTTAAATTTAGTCCGCGTTGACAGAGGACTCTCTGGAAGCAGGAAGACTCAGAAAACCTCTCCCTCATTTCTGAAAAGGCTGGCCATATGACTGAGAGGGGTGAAAACAAGTGTCCCATGGGTCTAAATGCCAGGCAAAGTGACAATGTCAACTCTTTGAGTACTGAAGCATTAATCTGATCAAGTATGCTCAAGTGCCATATTCTTGCAGACTTCTTCTAAGTTATACCTGTTCTATGCACATTTCTAACTTTTATATCAATCATACATTCCCATTTTAAATGTTTTTTTGTTTCATTTTTTTTTCTTTTTTTTTTTGGAGAGACACCTAATACAATCCTTGCAGGAGGGCTGTTTGGAAGCTGGTTATTTCCTGTCTTTCCTACACTTCTTTGTCTACCTTGAGCCACTTGGAGCCAAAAGCTGTGTCAAAAATACTACGTAGGCATTGATGTATGCTTCCCACTGCAAAGATGTTAGTTTGTCCCATTATTCATGAGGTTAAGTTTGATCACTTGTTCAAAATGATGAATGCTGGATCCTTTCATTGTAACAATATACTTTTCCTTTTGTAATGAAGAGGTAATATAGAGAGGGCTACATTGATATAGCATGAATATCCTGCTCCCAACAACTTTCCATCTAGTGATTTTAGCATTAGTCCATAATACTTTCCTAAGCCATTTATTCTACATATGTAAACTGGTTCTCCTTTAATTCTGTCATTCCTTCTGCATTTATTATCTGTCATTCTTCAATATAGAAAATATTTATCCTATTTTCCACCACCCAAATACACATCCTATGAATATCACTTTGAACTCATTGATTCAATTTTATTCAATATGTTCTAATATATCACTATCTTGATTATTTTGCTGCTCATATTGTTCAACATTTGGTCAGTGGGAGTTCCAACAAACCATCTCCTATATCCTTCTGACATGTGTCTGTATTTTCTCTGCTCCAGCCCTGGCATCAACCATTTCTCTAAGAAAACTTAAACCCTTTAATATAGTAAATTTCATTATTGACTTCCAAATATAATCATCTTTACACTTTTGAAATAAGTCCCACATGGTTATTTTTCAATCTGTTCTTTGTTAATGCCTTAGAAAAACATTATATTAATACTTCAATGTTCACAAGTAAAATTGGTATATGGTTATCCTTTTTATGCCGTATTTATTGGGTTTTTGAATAAATGTTATACTTGATCCTTATAAACAATTTGAAAGCTTCCCTTCTTTTTCCTAAGATCTGGAACAATTTAAATATCATTGGGGATATCTGTTCCATGAAAGATTATTAGAATTCTCTTGTAAAAGTGCCTGGGTCTAGTATTTCTCTTTCTTTTGAGGGGAGGGGCATTATTAACTAGTTCTTTGATAATTTTCATTATTTTGTCTACGAATATTGGTCTGTTTAATTGTTTATGCATACTGAGGTCAATTTTAGTAAACTATATTTTCCTAGAAAATTAACTAATTTCTTCTATATTTAAAATTTATTTGCATAATATTGTCCATAGCAGACCTCTATGAAATTTTAGTACCTCTTTTTCAATGATTGTTTCTCACTTATGTATACTTGTGTTTTCTTTTTGTGTTTACTTTAGGTATTGGTTTGGTTACTTTGTCTATTTGTCCCTCCAAAGAAACAACATTTTAATATATGTATTAATGAAAGTGCTAGTTAGTGCTTTTTGAATTCATTTTATTTACCCAATGGGTTGCAACCTGCACTTTGAAAAGTACTGCTGCAAGATCTATTCATTAGATCTAAAAGCTAGAAACTTAACATATGCCTACAAACATTTTAAAAGCCAACACTTATGAGGAATGTACTTATGAGGTACAAAAATTCTGCTTGGTTTATGCCAGTTATTTTGGGAGATCGAAGAATGGACTCTAAGGCCTACTCTGTGTGTGTGTGTGTGTGTGTGTGTGTGTGTGTGTCCTTAGTGTAGTGGAATTCTTGTCCCAAAATATACACTGGTAGTAAAAGAACCATAATGGGTTAATCTATACTGTTAGATTCAAACCTACTCTATTTCAAATCAATGAGAATCTTTTCTGTTTTTAAATGCCTCTGAAGGAGAGTATTTTATCATGTCATCCTTTTTAAAAAGTATTGATTATCTACTAATAACTGGACTTGTACCCATTCCCTGTTTGACTATAAGTACAAATTTTATTCTCCTGCATCCTGTTAAATCATTCACAGCTACAGCCTAGAAGATGTGGGGAAGAGGAGACATGTGGATCTGCTTCTCTGTGCAGTAACTGTGCTGTGATTTTTCACTTACACTAGTCATTTTGCTATTGTTCAATGAATCCAAACACCTTCCTCAAAAAGAGCCTTACCTGAAGTTCAGATATCAGTAGAGCAAAATATATTTCTAAAAGGTCACTTTGGTAATGATAAAAATGAAGTTAAATATACTGTAGAGCTTGCAGCCAAGGCAAACTACAGAGAACAAGCAGCCAGTTGACATTTGTACAATCAGTATCCAGTAATATACGAAGTATTTCATGAATCTCAGTGGTGGTCTTAATAAAGTACAAGGCAAAGTTCTAGAGAAAGCCAGGAAAAAATAAAACGAAACCAAAGATCAGCAGCAATGATTACCTATTAACAAGCATTTGACTAACCAGAACCATAGGAACCTCAGCAGTGCTTCAGAATTAAGCATCTTTTCATTTTTTTCTTACTAATTCTTAGGACTATTTCCAATAAAGTCAGTCTTTTGCTATAGAAATTTATCTTTCAATTTTTCATTTCTACTTATTTTCTTACCTTTATTTTTCACTTCTTACCTACCTTGCAAATAATAGAAACTATACTCATGAACAGAAAATTGAATGCATGAATAAATATTAAATTTATTTATTTACCTTTTACATTCTTACAACTATTATTTAGTATTAAGAAGTCTCCTAAAGTGAACATATCTAATTTAATTTGGTAAAGTTTAAGCCTTGTGAAATTAAGTGGGTTTTTATCAACCTATATCCTTAGCTTATTTCCATTCTGCTACGGCACTTACATATGTTTGTACTTTGGCATTATCTGGGGTGAAATGAGACCAAAATAATTTTAAAACTTCTATTTTATGTTCTTCTGTCTGTCACTTATACTTAACTCACCACATTATTACTACAATTATGTAACTATCAGAGTTAATATATTTATTTAACTCTAATATCCTGATCAATTTTTCCATATCAAATAACTTGCCCAGTGTACCCCAGAGAAAGAAGCACAGCAACTTTTATTCAAAGTTGATAGTTTTCTTAAAATAATAACTTTACGGTCTAGATTTCATATTACATTTTAATCAAGACAGCAGAATAAGATGAATTTCCTTGTAGTAAAAATAATAATATTTTACTTTTTTATAGGCTCACATTTATTACAAATTAATTTTATAATCCTGTTTTCAATAATTATCAACATTTCTTTAGATATATATTTTTTCTTCCTCCATCAAAATTTATTAGAGAAATGCAGCATCAGTACTTTTTACGTAATTGGCTTTTTTTTAACATGTGTTTTAATAGGTAAGATAAAACATCAATTCAGATACAATTATATGTGGGAAATACTGCAAATGGAAAACAAATTTTGCAAAATGAATATGTTTATTTTTCAATTTACATTAATGAGACTGAAGCATAAAGGAAGAAAGCATTTTTAAAAAATTTACACAGACCAATTTTCAAGGTAAAAATTTTCCTTAATTCTCCCAAAAGCAGTTAATATAAATGAAAAGTCATGCAGTATGCTATATTTACCTATCACTCATAAAGAATTACACATGACTTACAGTCTCTCAAAATAATCATATATATAGGTATGTGTGTGTATATATATATATATATATATATACACACACACATATACACATAAAAATGTGTGCATTTGTTTGTGTGTGTGCATATACATATACATGATGCCAAGCATGTGACAACAACTCAGTACTGAAAGACAGTAGGTTACCTGGTTCAATTACACATTTCCTTCCTGCCACCACTATATATAACTATACTATATTGAGATGAAAAAATTCTTAGAGATTGTATGGACCAAACCCCTCCATTTACAGAAGGGAAATTCAAGGGCCTATGGTGTTAAAGTTGTGATTTGAAAATGCCCAGGTGTGAACCCTGAGCTACTGAGGTGGGGGAAAAGCAGAGGAGACCTGTTTTTCAGGGTGTTGGATTAAAGTTCTGAGGTCTAAAGACAATGGTGTATTACTCCCAATGGGACAGTAATCATAAGTTTCTGTATGTATCAGAAAAGTGTGGTGCAAGAATTCATTATTATCAGGAGGGACATCACCGTCGGCCTAATTCACGAGGCAGGACATAACAGTCAAGCATTTCATGAAGTTAGTCTGGGCCAGTGGGTGATGGGAGGTGGAAGGAGAATATGAAAAGTGAGAGCCAGGGTAGGTTCTAGAGGCTGGAAGAGCAAGGACCCTATAAGAAAAGGCTTTTACAGGATACAAGGAATTAAAGGAAAAAAGGAATTAAAGCACAGTTTTCAAATTGATTTAGCATTTTCCGTGAAGGAGGGGACAAAGGTAGGTGCTATGACAGGGAAGCTCGGAGTTGGTGCTATGGTTTGAGTGATAGCAAACCCCAAGTATGAGATAAGAACTTAAAACCTGTCATTGTTGTCTCCTTTATTCTACGTCTTTAAAGCTCCCCCTGACGTGTGATACGAATTTATTTTCTGAATACCACACTGCCTCTCTGGCTCAAATTGCATAGGTTTGTTGTTCCTCTTTAGAGCTTGTACATTGATGCAATGGAACACCATATTTAATAGCCAAACATCTTATATATGAGACATAATCTTGGAAGGGCAGAAATGATGAATAGCCACTGTAGCTTTATTCACTCAGGGCCTTAGTGTTTAGTTTATACTGTAGGACTGGCAGGAAACTAATAGTAAACTGTGGTAAATGGCATAAAAAGATACTAACAGGTGTACAGGGTTGAATATTGCCTCCTCTAAAGTTCAGAGAGAGCATGGGCCTGCCAACACCTTGATTTTGGCCTTCCAGCCTCCAGAACCATGAGATAATACATTTCTGTTGTTTTATGTTGCCCAGTTTGTGGTACTTTGTTATAGCAGCCTGGGAAATGAATACAGCAGGGTACCAGAAATCTAGAGGAAGGACATCTAACTCAAACTGGGGAAGGTTTGTAAGAAAGATGATATCTGAACTGTATTGCAGAGTAAATGGGACTATTTTGATGAAGAAGATATTAAGTATAGTTGGACCTCCATGTCCATGGGTTCAGCATCTGTGGATTCTACTGAGTCAAAATTTTTTTTTTAAAAAAGCATCTGTGCTGAACATGTACAGATTTGTTCGTGTCATTACTTTCTAAATGATGTAATATAACAATTATTTACATAGCATTTGCAATGTATTAGGTATTGTAAGTAATCTAGAGATGATTTAAAGTATACGTGAGGATGTGCCTAGATTATATGTGAATACTATACTAGTTTATATCAGGGACTTGAGCATCCACGAATTTTGGTGTCTGATAGGGTCCTGAAACCAATCTCCCATGGATACCAAGGAACAAGTATGTATGATAAGAAGAAGAAAAAAATACATAGAAGAGTTTGGAGGTGGAAATGATGTACTGAAACTCTGTATAACTTGAGCACAGGGTGGGAAGGAAAGTTAGGAGTAGAGGCCAGGAAAGACACCAGGAGATAGATTACAATGGGGCTTGGATACCGACTTAAGAAATATGAAATTTATCTGGAAACAATTGTAAATCATTGAAATGTTTAAGACAATGGTTTGATGTTATCAAATTTGTGGTTTTTTGTGAACTCATTGATTACAGATGAGCAGAAATATTTGAGAAAACTGGAGTTGTTCCAGGGACTTTATTTAAGAGACTATTGAATGATCCAGGGAATAAACACTGAGAACTGGAACAAAAGCAGCAGCCATGGTGAATGGAAGGAAGATATGCATTCCAGAGATACTAGGAAGTTAGAACCTATCAATCAAAAGTGTGAATTGACTTTAGGAAGACATGGATAAGAAGAAGAGCTTTATAGACTCTGAGTGTCTAAGTTAGGGAAGACTAGATTTAGGGGAGCACTGAATTAGGAATGTCAAAAGAGGGTAAGATTAAGTGAAACGTGTTGCCCTGCGATGCAGAGGGACAGCCAAGTGGAAATGTCTATTGAATGACTCACCAGACTTATGGAAAATAAATGAATTTGAGAGTCATCAATCTGTAAATAGTACTTGAAGTCATGGTATAAGGTAAGTCATTCACGAATATATAGAGGCTATGAAAACCACCGCAAAGAGGATGGAACTCCATGAAATGCTAAAATTTTAAACGGCAGGTAAAAGAAAAGAAACATTAAAGGGGGTACCCAGAGGAAAAGGTGTAGGGTCCAGCCCTACGGGGCTTAGCGGGTGTTCTCCCCGTGTGCGGAGATGAGAGATTGTAATAAATAAAGACACAAGGTAAAGAGAAAACAGCTGGGCCCGGGGGACCACTGCTATCAAGACGCGGAGACCGGTAGTGGCCCCGCACGGCTGGGCTCGCTGATATTTATTGCATACAAGACAAAGGGGCAGGGTAAGGAGGGTGAATCTTCTAAGTGATTGACAGGTGAAGCAAGTCATGTGATTACAGGATGGGGGGACCTTCCCTTTTAGGTAGTCCAAGCAGAGAGAGAGAGAAGGCAACATATGTCAGCGTTTTCTTCTCTGCACTTACAAGAAAGATCAAAGACTTTAAGACTTTCACTATTTCTTCTACCGCTATCTACTATGAACTTCAAAGAGGAACCAGGAATACGGGAGGAGCATGAAAGTGGACAAGAAGCGTGACCATTGAAGCACAGCACCACAGGGAGGGGTTTAGGCCTCCAGATGATTGCGGGCAGGCCTGGATAATATTCAGCCTCCCACAAGAAGCTGGTGGAGCAGAGTGTTCCCTGACTCCTCCAAGGAAAGGAGACTCCCTTTCGCAGTCTGCTAAGTAAGGGGTGCCTTCCCAGACACTGGCATTACCGCTTGACCAAGTAGCCCTCAAGCGGCCCTTATGCGGGCGTGACAGAAGGCTCACCTCTTGCCTTCTTGGTCACTTCTCACAATGTCCCTTAAGCACCTGACCCTATACCCACTGGTTATTCCTGGGTTATATTAGTAATGCAACAAAGAGTAATATTAAAAGCTAATGATTAATAATGTTTATAATAATGATTGATAATTGTCCATGATCATCTCCATATCTAATTTGTATTATAACTATTCTTATTCTATTTTGTTTATTACACTGAAACAGTTTGTGTCTTCAGTCTATTGCCTCGGCATCTAGGTAATCCTCCACCCACAAAAAGGAAAATTTAATGCCATGGAAATCAGAAGATAAGAAAGTTTTTATCTGGGAATGACGCCAATGTAGTAGAGTGCCCAGCAGAATGAGGACTGACATGTGTTTGATTTTGGCAATATAGAGGTCACTGTTAATTCCACAGTGGTCTGAGTGAGTTAGGGGGTTAAAAGCTTGGGAGCTATGAATCAAAGGGTAAATGGCCAAAGATATAATAACAAGAAGTTTATACTCAATACGGCAACTAGAAGGAAACAAGATCAATGACAATTTGTTTTACAAGTATTATTTTTTAACTGAACTATTTTATTTGAAAAAAAGTGTGGATCTACATGTAGTGGAAAAAAAAAATCCCACGTACTTTTTAACCCATTTGCTTCAATGTAACATTGTACAAAACTATAGTGCAGTTTCACTTTTTGTGGTTTCAGTTACCTACAGTCAACTGTGATCCAAAAATATTAAGTAAAATATTCCAGAAATACAGAGTTTATGTTTTAAATTGCTCACTATTCTGATTAGTGTGATGAATTCTTGAGTCATCCTACTATATCTTGCCCGAGAAGTGAATAAGCCATTCTTCCAGCATATCCATACTGTCTACACTACCTGCCCCATGTCACTAACCATGGCCATAGCTTTTGCAGTTTGAAGTGCAACAGCGAAACTAGTACCCATTTTTTTTCTTTCTTCACAGTTTCACTAATAGAAGCTTAATTCTCACTGTAGATTGGGCAACCTCAGCATATGATTTTTTTTCTTTCCTTAGTTGAGAACTTTCACTTTTTCACTCGAAGAAAGTACTTTATGGCTTCTCTTTGGCATATATGAATTTCATGCATCATTATTCTTGCACTTTGGGCCCATTATTAAGTAAAGTAAGGGTTACTTGAATACAAGCACCATGATACCAATACTAATACCAATACCAAGAAAGTCCTCTCATAACCCAGAGGGCTAAGTGGCTAAAGGACAGTTAAATTTTTGTTTCTCTGGGATAAATATCCAAGAATGAAATTGTTGAATTGTATGGTAGTTGCATGTCTTGTTTTATAAAAAAACCACTGACTGCTTCTCAGAATGGTAGCATCATTTTATATTACCACCATATACCAGTAATGTATGTGGGATCCAGTTTCTTGGCACCTTGCCAGCATTTAACGTTACTAGTTTTTATTTTAACAATTCACATAGGTATGTAGTGTATATCCTGGTCTAAATTTGCTCTTCTTTGATTGGAAATGGTGTTGAACATCTTTTCATGTGTTCTTTTGACATCTGAATATCTGCTTCAGTAAATAGGTGTTCAGGACTGTTGCCCACTTTATAATTGTATATATTTTTAATATATTGAGTCTTGCAAGTTTTTTACATACTCTAGAGACTAGTCCTTTCTGGTTTGTGAATATTTTGTCTCAGTCTGTATCTTGTTTTTTCATGCTCCTATCAGAGCATTTCCAAAACCAAAAGTCTGGAATTTTGATGAAGTCGAATTTATCAAATGTTTATTTTATGAATCACACTTTTGGTGCTAAGTCTAAGAACATTTTGCTTAGCCCTAGATTACAAAGATTTTAATTTTTCTAAAAAATTTATAGTTTCACATTTTATATTTAAGTCCTTGGTGCATTATGAGTTAATTTTTGTACAAGGTATAGATTAAGGTTCATATATTTGGACTATAAATATCCAATTGCTTTGGACTACAGATATCCAATTGATTAACTAATTACTATTTGTTGGAAAGTTATCCTTCTCCATTGAATTGCCTTTGCGCTTTTGTCGAAAATCAGTTGGAGATATTGGTGTAGGTTTAATTCTCACTCATAAATATGAGTGAAAATTGTTCATCATATTCTCTTAGTATTCTTTCAATGACTGAAGAATTATTAGTTATATCCTCCATTTCATTCCTTACATTGGTGCATTGGTCTTGGGGACCCTCAGCATAGAGAAAAAATGCATACAGATGTATATTTACTTAAGTTATAGGGTAAAGACATTTAATTATTTCCTGAATGTCTTGATTTTTCTGATGAAAGTAGAGGAAAGATCATCTGAAACTAAAGGGAATGGAGGGAAGGATAGTTTTGAGAAGATAAGCAAAGGCTTAGAAAACCTATGGGAGCAGAGGAGAGGTAGCCGATAGAGGACTTGTAGAATGATTTCCTAGCAGTATGGAGGACATAGCTGAAGCAAGAGACTCCTGTTCACATGGTTGTGTGGCATATCTCCATCCGTCCAGTTTTAGGAGTGAAGACCTGACATGTTTGTATTGATCCAGTGCTGAGGTGCTCTGGGGAGGTAGGTGTGACAAAAGGAGAAAATAAAAGAGACTTTAATGGTCTTTGTTTCTCCAAGTCACTGTCTGCTCAATGTTCACAACTCTCATTAGTTTAACCTATTGTCATTGATAGTGTAGTCCAATTATCCTTTTTAAAGGCATGAAAACTTAGGCAGCAAAAATTACTTGAGGCAGATTTGGAAAGGTCTTAAAGAAAAATTTTAATGACAGCAGTCTGTATACCCTCTTCAAACTGTTTTCTTGCATTCTCTTACCTATCCCTTACTTAGAACAAAGTCATAAGAAATGAGAATCACTCACTACACATTAAAATAGGTTTAGATTGACTTCTGAAATATACAGAAGTAGTTGAAGCAGTTTAAGGAAAAATATATTTATTTTGAAAAACTGAAAATAGAAATGTGCATCCATTTTCTAATAAAATAAGAGTTTATGTAGTATATTTGCATACATGTACAAACACAGCATATGACCAACCATATGCTAAAATCATTTAGTAGCCAGTAAGTATTTACTGAATTAATGAGAATGTGGTTTTGCAGGCAGAAACCTGGATAACACGTCTTATTATTTTACTTTTCATTGAATGAATGCTATACATATTTTTACATTTGAATCTAAATAACCTTTCATAGAGGTCTTTCTTAATGACTTTTAATTTTTCTATTTTATGTTTGCTGAGTGATGGCTTATCTGGCAGTAACAAAACAACTGTAATGAATGATTGAAAAGCACATCTTGGCACATTGGCTTCTTAGTCGGTAATGTAGACCGAGGCTCGCATTGCAGGCATTTTTCTTTCAGGGAAATACAATCTAGATACTCGTGATTCTTTTGCTTTATTATTGCAGGTTTGTATGAGCTATTTTAAAGCCAAGAATTCTACTGTGTCCCTGATACAGCTCTCTATATTTTCTTACTCTTATGTTTTTTTTCCATAGAATGGGAGCTTGGTTTTGTCAGAAAGAAAACAAATTTAAACTCTCTGAGGCTGAAATCAAGTTAAAACCATTAAAAACAAAACTGTATAACCAATCAAAGACTAATACATAACCTACCTTGCCTTCTCAGGTACATTATGTCAAGTATTTTAAATGAATAATTTTAAAATAAGCATTTTTGTGCACTGTTTCTCTCATCCCAACTCATATGTTATCTCAGTAAACACACCTTTCTTTGTTTCTTTGTCTCTATTTTCATTTCAGAAATAGCAGCCCCTTTAGTTTAACTTACAGTCATTGTGTTGATAAGCCCAAGTCAATCATGGTTAATATAACAAACCTGTATTATTGTAGGTATTAATAAAACTTTAAAATTTATTAATGTTAGAAATGAATACAGTTCCTCTAGTCATCACATTATCAATACTTACACTGCATTTAGAATTTTTATTTTCCATTTATATTTTCACCCAGGTAATCAAATGAAGGCATTTTTAATAACCTATTTTTCAGAGCAGGTTGATTGATTATAACAAATGTAATTTTCCATCCTACTTGAAGATCCATTTTCATATTACACAAAACATTTGTACACTGAGCTAGTGCCAGATAGCAATTGCATGAAATAGCATGAAGATAATGTTTTTCTATAGGAGGGAAGAATGCATGCTTTTCTATTTTATAATATTCTGTAGAGGTCATATATGAGTCCTTGTATTATCTACTTTCCCTGACAATGCCATCATGCCATTACAAACTACTTTCTCTCTAGCTTTTCTTTTTAATGGGCCAAAGAAATTGGATACTTGTCTTAGTTGGCAAGGGCTGCTATAACAAAGTATCACAAACTGGGTAGTTTCAACAACAGAAGTGTATTGTCTCGTAATTCTGAAGGATTGATGTCTAAGATTAAGGTGTTGGCAGAGTGAGCTCCTTCTGAAGGCTGTGGTAGAATAGTCAACTCTAAGCCCCTCTGTTTGGCTTGGAAATGGCCATTTCTCCCTGAGTTTTTATGTCATCTTCTCTCTGTATGTGCCTGTGTCCAAATTTTCCCTTCTTGTAAGGACACCAGTCATATGGGATAAGGGCCTCTCCTAATGATCTCATTTTAGCTTGATCTTTGTCTACAAAGATCTTGTTGCCAAATAAAGACACATCTTGAGGTACTACAGATTCAGGCTTTAACATAAGAGTTTTTTTAATTGCAGAGGTGGTCAGTGGAACACAATTTGACCTATAACAGTTGTTTTAACTCTATTTTGTCCCATCTCTGGGCAACATATTTTATTGGACATTTCAGAGTAAGAAATATACTGGAAGAAGAGTGTTTTGAATGTTTTTAAGACAAATAGATGATAAATGCATGAGGTGATGGATCTGCTAAATACTCTGACTTGATTTCTACAGTGTGTACATGTGTTGAGACATCACACTGTACCCCATAAATATGTACAATTATTATGTGCCAATTAAAAGCAAAATTAGAAACTTTAGCTCTCCTGTGACAAGTTTGGTTAAAGAATTTAGGCTTGGCATCAACAATTCGACACAATTCAAACATTTACTCAGGACTAGAGACATGCTGGTTTCTAAAATCAGATGATTCAAAGATAAATAGGAAAAAGCGTCTGTAGACCTCAAGTGGGGTTACAGAGACAAACAGAATTAACCCAATCAGTGCTCTGTTATACAGGCACAAATGTAAAAGAGACGAGGGAATATGTGATTCATTTTTGGGGTACTCAGGGGTATCAGGGATAGCCTCATGGAGGTGAAAACACAGAATTCGGCAGGGACTGCACAGTTGTGAGAAGATAAGTTTTAGGGAGAGCTAAGTAAGGCTGTCCTCTAAGCCTCCTACCAGCCTTACATTTCATGCATTTAGTCTTAGAGACATTTGGTTAACTGGATTGCTGGGAGTGGTCTAGAAGAATGTTGCTTGCTAGAAAATGCATGTCCAGTTCCCTATGTGTTAGAGGGGTTGTGCTAGATGCTGTGGAGACAGATGTGAATATGTTGCTCCTGCTCTGAAAAAGCATGTTATTCGCCCATGCACTCTGAGCATTCTCCGAGTTCTGCCACACCTCTATGGAGCATGTGAGACTGGTTCCTGTACTAAACCCTTTGCCACCGGAATAGTATAAATGGCCTTCATTTTCCTCTAAAAAAAATACCAATTTCCCCCTCCCCATTCCATGTAGTTATTAATCATTCAAGCTTTACTGTTCAAAGGAAAACATTTATTTATTGGCTCAGCTAGCACTGAAGCAATATACTGATATGATTATATTTTGGTAACCATTGTCAATATTGCTGGAGGCATAATTTGCTCTAATATGCTAAAATTTGTGAGATCATTGGCTTTCACTAGGGTTTCTCTGGCAAAATCTGTTAGATTTTAGAAAAGATCTTTTAGAACATAGGAAGGGTTTAATAGCTTGACCATATGATGAAATGGCCTTTCTTTGTCAAGCATAGTTGGTTTCATTTATGACTCAATGTGAAAAGACAGGTTCCTAAAGAAAGTTTCCACATTTTCATACTGTTCATTAATATTTTAACTTGATTTTACTTAGTGCCCAAATGAATAACCCATGAAAAGATTTGATTTTATGCCATTAATTGTCGCAGATTTTAAACCCTCTGTAAGGGTCGACAGATGCAGCGTTATTATGAATCATAAGGAATCTTAGCAAGATGCATTCCCATTGTCACTGAACTAGTTAAAGCCAGTGAGGCAGGACTAAATTGTTGTGACATTTTCCCAGCCCCACTATTACCTGTCAAATAGGAAAAAAATTCAAAGCATCAGGACAAGCTTACGTATTGATGGGTTCACTCTTGTTATTAATTGAAGTAAATGGATAAGCTTGTCCATCAACAGTAACAAACACATCTGCTCATTGTTTAAAGAAAAATCTCCTTAACCTTCTTTTTCTTACAGGTCCCTGCGATTTGAAAAATGCTTCGTTCTGTATTCAAGAACCATGATGACTATTGTGTTTGTTCTACCTTTTTTTTTAAATTTGCTGACAAAGTGAAATATGGAATACTGTATTCACTTATTTCATGTTTGGCTCACAATGGATTGAGTTATATAAAGTAGGACATGGACAAATTACAAAAACCAGAACAAGCAGGGTCCCTAATAGTCTTATATAACTGCAAACACTCTACATCTGCTTTAATCCATCATCGTCTTTGCTTTTCAAATAAAATAGTGTGTGTTTTTCTCTCTCTGATTTTTAAGTACAAAGAGAAAGTTTTCCATCCTGTAAAACTGAAAAACTTATGATGAGAAAGTACCTCAAAAAGTGCAAAGGAGGAAATCTCTTTGGTTATTTCATTTGTGTGATTCTATTAACTCCAAGAGTACATTGCAAGCTGTGATAAAGCAAAGCTATTCTAAATCTTCTTTTGCTTGAACAAGGTGTTTGTGACAATATTTCATTGGCATGGAAATAAAGAATTCATCCCAATGCCATGCAATGTGCTAGAGTTCTCTTCCAAGTTGGTAATAGAATGACTAATGGCAATGTAGTAAAAAAAAAAAAAAAAAAAAAAAAAGAAAAGAAAAGAAAGAAAGAAGAAGCAAAATGATTTAATTATCTTCATCTATGACTTTTAGCTTTATCAAGAATATGTTTATTAGAGCTGGAATAAAGAATGCATCCAACATCATGGCTTCCTGTTTTCCTTATTGAAATCCTATTAATAAAGACAACTGTTTTTCTCCTGCCTCCTGAATATATTTACAATTTCTATTGAAGGGTAGAAATAATAATTCTGAAGTGTCTCAATGTTTGCAAAATATTTGATACTAAACATTATGAAGCCACAGAAAGTGAAAAAGCAATTAAGATTCTCTAATACAACATGTCTTTTTTCGTATAAGAAAATAAGACAGCTGAAAAAAAGTAGTCACCCTCTAGAGAGATGGGGGAAATTGTACATACAGAAATGAAAGCAAGAATAGTTTAGAGGTTTCTCCATATGTTTTTAGGCATTATATTATTGAAGAGTTCTTCCAAGTTCAAATAAACTCAAAGTTCTATTGATGCTTGAATACTAATGAAGAGGGCAGAGATAGCAAATTAAATCTTGTCTTTTTCCATTCCATCTTCCCTTTTGTGTAATCTATATTGGCAGTTTTTCCTCTTCCAGAAGAGTCTCCCAAGCTTCCCAAGGCTCTGCCTGAAACTCCAGATTGTGGCCTTTGTAAATAACGTACATAAAGAAGGGCTGTTAAACTCTTGTTGAGTTATTTTTGTTTTGCACTTTGCACCTTCAGTGCATATGAGAACTACTCCCACACCATTTCCTGACAAACCAAATCTTGCTGTGAAGGCTGAAAACGTTAGTCAGTGGCACCCTATTTTTAGGACTTGTAATGAAGAGAAAATGTAGTGTTATAACACCCATCCAAATGCTGGCACCCCGGTAGACAACTGCAGAATTTTAAGAGCTAATGTAGACAATTTATACAAAAAGGACCAAATTATGACCAATTCTGCAAATAAACAGACAACAGATCACTAGGAGTTGTGACGGGATATAGCTGCGGTTTGGAAACGCCAAACGTGGTGCTATTGAAGATCACAGATGGCCTAGAATAGCAACAGCAGTTACCCAGGAACTGGACTTGGAAGCATACTAATTTTAGTATTAAAAGAGGAGAGTAGAAATAAGTCCAAAAATCTTTTCTGCTACTGCTTTGGAAATCACATTTTAAATGCCTTTACTTTCCAAATAATAATAGCTAACTTTTTATTGAGTGATACTGTATGTCAGGCACTGTCGTACATGCTTTGTATATATTAGCTCATTTAGTCTTTATGGCAGCCTTATGAAGAAGGGAATATTATTGTTTTTGTTTTACTGTTAAGTAAACTCAGGTATAGAGGGGCTAACTTGGCCAAGGCTCACAGCTTGTAAAGAGCAAAAATCCAGACCCAGGTCATTCAACTCCACGACTTGCTTTCTTCTGACCTACCCACTGCCATGGAGATCACTTTCTTAAGCTTCCTTTCACTTTCTTGGTGTATTCATGTCTTTTCCTATTACTTCTTTGCCCACATCCAGAGGAGAAGCCATGTGTAGAACAAAAGGGGGAAACTGGAACATGTCCCAGTTACAAAGTGTCAAAGGCTGGTAGAATTTCTACAAATTTAGGCATGTCGTGCTTGGTGATGCAGAATACGCTACCAATGGGCTGCAAGCATGGTTTTTATCTTGTTGAATCCGTGCTGGCCAGTCTCTAACCCTTAGCCTTTTAAACTCAACCACTGGAGATCGTTGGGATTCTAGATCTAATCAGATTCTGACATTCCTTCTCTTTCTTCCCATAGATTTGCTGCGAGACTAAAGAAGCTCAAGCTTCAGGGTCCTTAAGTAACATGGGCCCTTCTAAGCCCATGGGAAGGAGTCTAATAATGGGTTCACGGGATCACACCTTTTACTTACAATTGGTTGAGACCACTGTCTCTTCCAATGCCACTCAATACTTTCCCAGTGTCATTGAGTGGCATTGGAGAGGTCCCTGGACCACTTTAGGAATCGTTTTAAGGCCAATCTGAGTTGGGAATGTATTTAGTTTGGATAGAGTACAATTATATTTAGATGGTTTGGTGCCATTCCTATGTTATTATTGCTAGCTGTGCAAGTAGGAAAAGCTTCCGGTGATATTCTAACCACCGCCTGCATTGACTCAGTGGATTTCATAATCAAAGTGCAGGACCTGAGGCTGTATCTCCACACGAATGTGCACCACAGCACCCAGCACCAGCAGTGTGCGGCTAGTAGAGCAAGTGCACAGAAGCAGAAGCTAGACCATTCATCTGAATTTTGTGATGTTTGTGGTACTTGCAAGCTTTTTTTCCATTTATAATTTGTTGTGGTTTATTGTCTAGATATAGATTCACCTTCACACCTAAGAAATTTATTCAAAACTTTATATTCTTTTCCTTAAAGATTCCTCCCAAGCAATTGTGCAAATTCAGCTCTATTAAAACCTAGATATGCCCTTGCTCACAATAGACTGATGAATAAACCCAGAAAAACAAATTGTCAACTTACAACGCTAAACATAAATGCCAAGTGAAGACTTACTTGATCTGTCTAGTATATTTTCTTCCATCTAGGCATAGTATATTCCTCAGGTTCTTGGAAACAAGGAATAAAGTAGTTGAGAGATACTTATTTGATTTAAATGTTTAACAGCTGCAGGTTCTGCTGGTTTAATGCAGTGGTTCTTAGAGCGTGGTTGTGGGAACAGAAGCATCAATCAACACCACCTAGAAACTGTTGAAAACGGAAATTCTCAAGCGTCACTCCAGACCCACAGAATCAAGAATTCTACTGGTGGAGTCCAGAGTTCTGTGTTTTAAGCACCCTTCTATGTGATTTGGACGTAGGCTATGTTTTGAGAAACATTGGTCTAACACATATGTTTTCATAATCGTGAAAATGAAGATCAGACTGGCAGGCTAATCTTCCTAGAAAAGATTTATCTGGACGTTGTCAATATTTGTTTATCTGAGTCTAGATTTTCTGTGTTTTCATTGAAGATTTTCTCCTCTCCTTTTTGGTATCAAATCTTACATGCACACGTTGATTTTGAATATTTCTGCTGCAATCTGTTAGGTTAAGGCCCCGTCTAATTGTCAGAAGGCAACCCATTTCCCTCATTTTCAGACTCTACCCCATTGTTTCCATAGAGAGTAGACTTCCAATGTTTGAGAGGAATATAATCAGAGGTATCTGTAAATCCCCACATAGCCCTCTAACACAAAGCACTCATGAAACAATCAATTGTACCATGACTATAACTTTTCACCTGAGTTGCTCCTTAGTGACCTGGGATTTGTAGAACAGGAGCATAAGCCTGACTGAATCATGAAGTTTGCTACTTTACTACAAATCAGAATAGTTGGGCTATGTCTCTTAATTCTCCTTCAATATGTATAACTGTGAAAGCCTTCTATTCTCAAATAGTCAGATTTCATCTGTGATAAACGCCTTTTCTTACCTAAAACATTTCTTGTCTACAAACAGTTTTAGCTGTTTAAACTCCACAATATGAAAGTAAACATGCATCTTGAAAACCTCAAAATAACATTTGGGTCAGTAGTCATACTAAGCCTGTTGCTTTATGTAAATTTTGAAGGGGTACCTAACATTTGATGCAATTCCATTTTCTGCCAAAAGTCATATACTGTTTCATACATACTTATACCATAAGTTAACCATTTCTTCAGTTTTCAAAAAATGTTCGCAGGTTACTTCATAATCAATTTTCACACTGATTGAAACCGATTTTTTCCTAATACAAGGAACCCACTGAGGTTAAGGCAATTGAATGACACATTTATAATGTCGCTGAAAACTACAAAGGCAGAAGGCACTCTATTGGTATTATCAAGCTGCAGGAGATTTGTAAGCAGCCAGATTTTCTATTTCTTCATGATTCAATCTTCATAGGTAGCAAGCATCTGGGAATATATCCATTTCTTCTAGTTTATGAAATTTGTTGGTATATAATTGTTCAAATTAGACTCTTAGGATCCTTTTTATTTCTCTGGTATCAGGTGGAATGTCCTTGTTCCCCCATATTTTGGATCTAATCCTCCAGCCCAGAACTGGGTCTGACTGAGAAGGACTGAAAACCTATCTTAAAGATATCGTAAGGGATGCATGGACCATTAGGGAGGAGAGAATCAGAAGGCATGAGGAAAAATGTGTTAAAAGTGGGAGAGCTTTTATCCTTTAAGAGTGATGGCAACTGGGTCATTAATGGTGAATGGGGAAAGGTTGAAGAAGTTAAGAAAATAACTGCAGGACTTCATCATCATGTGACCTATGCAATTGGAATATAGCTCTTGAGTGTTGAGTAAGGCTGCACTTTCTTTCTTTCATAAGAAGGGGAACAGCGAGTCACCCCTGCACAGCAGGCTTTCTAATCCATACTTCAGCCTGATCACCATGTTCCATGTGTGCTAAGGAGCTCCATGATTGCACTGGCATCATTCAAATGATCATTTCTAAATTTTATATTTCAAAGAGTTAACATATATGTTATTCTCTAGGAAACATAGAATTAGCCATTTCTTTCTTTCACGTAGGAAGAGATTATATGAAGAATGTGTGCCAAAGACATATCTCAACATGGTTAGGGTGTAATTTAAGGCTGTAGTTGCCTCTTCAATTATCCTCAGATTGAGAAATTTTGTTGGAAAAACCATTCTTAGGAAAAAATATGCAAATAAATAGATATGAAAATGACATGTTAGGATTAATTTGGTATTCTATCGGTAGAAATGAGTAACTTACTGTAAGATATTTATTTTGTTTGTGTGTTAATGGGGGACAGAGTCTCACTCTGGTCACCCAGGCTACAGTGCTGTGGCATGATCACAGCTCACTACAGCCTCAACCTCTCGGGCTCAGGTGATCCTCCCACCTCAGCCTCTTGAGTAGCTGGGACTACAGGCATGTGCCTGGCTAATTTTTTTGTACTTTTAGTAGAGACGAGGTTTTGCCATGTTGCCCAGGCTGGTCTTGAACTCTTGAGCTCAAGTGATTCACCTGGCTTGGCCTCCTAAAGTGCTGGGATTACAGGTGTGAGCCACTGTGCCCAGCCAGGAAAATATTTCCGTAGAGATTTTTTTCCTAAGTAATACAGTATAACAGGTGACTATGTCATCAGCTACTAATGCAATTGGAAGGATATAACAACAAAAAATTCCGGATTTACAATTAACTATCTAATGTGACATCTAGCCAGCAGTTAGAAGACATCTTTGAAGGGAAGCAATATGTGTTTTGTAATTTTGATGAACTCCTCACTTCTGTTTAAATATTTTTGTGGTATAATACTATTCAAGTCCAGACCTATATTTTTTCCCAGCAACTAAAGTATGATTTAAAACTTCTGGGAAGAATTCGTGTTCTTCTTTAATCCCTTCAGAGCCCTTCTACCCATTAAGCTTCTTTCAAAGTCAACAAAAATGTCATATGAGGTAAAGAAATCAAAATTCAGCAAACTAATCTTGGGCAAAACTACAGCTTCTACAAACTTCATTTCATCATTTCCGCATTCAACATGATCCTTTAGAGGGAACAATGAAGGTCAAATATACCACTGAAGTTGTTACAAATACACACAGCACACACACACAGAGACACAAACATGATATTTGGTCAGGATGTAAAAAAAATCATTATATATGTGTGTGTATATATATGCATATGTGGACATAGCTGGTGAATATATATATATTATCTAATACATATATAAACGTGTATTATATATTATATATTATTATGTATTATATATTATATATTATTATATATTATATTTACATATATAAACATATATGTTTATATATAATAAATATATAATAGCATATATAAACATATAAAATATGCTTATATATTACATAAAAATATGTAAAATATATTTTATATATAATAAATATATACTTATATATAACATATGTGTTTTTATATGTATATATAATATATATTTATATGTATATATTATATATATATTTATATGTATATAATATATACATTTATATGTATATATTATATATATATTTATATGTATATATAATATATATTTATATGTATATATAATATATATTTATATGTATATATAATATATATTTATATGTATATATAATATATATATTTATATGTATATATAATATATATATTTATGTATATATAATATATATATTTATATGTATATAATATATATATTTATATGTATATAATATATATATATATTTATATGTATATATATATTCACCAGCTATGTCCATGAAATATCATTGGCCAAAAAGGGACTAATAAAATATGGAGATAACCGTATATATTTTTTATTACATTCTCTACTCCCCCTACAAAACATTCAAAAAATGATTATCAGGTAGGGATATTGATGTATTTAAACTTTTTTATTAGTTGCATTCTACCTTCTTTAACTTGGGAAAATTTTGTTCAGAAGCAGAATGTCTAAAAGGTGACTAGGAGAGAACACAGAAATATTGAATTTGTTTTCCTGGATCCTATAATGAGGTTCTTAAAAGAAATTACATTTGGAGGCATTGGAGAGAGTAGTGAATCAAGATCTAGGAAACCTGTGTTATCTAGCATAGTCCCTTATTAGTCTAGAAAATTCTTTCTCAAGTTACTTAATTCAGTGGTTACCAGATATTTGATTTCAAGAGCCATGATATGTTTTTAAAAGAAATGTCATGACAAGTAGTTGATTATTTAATATGCTGTTCAATAAGGCTAGTAAAAATTATGATGTCCTTCAAAATTATTATTGTCATTATTATATAAACATTTGGCATAAAATAACAATGTTAAATATTTAAATAAATAAATTTTCCTTCACAAAAGCTCCCATCATTTTAAAATTTCTTATTTTTCCATGAACTATTGAAAATTTTCAAGGGTCGTCATGTTCTTAAGAATGACATACAGACAGTACTCTCTTCATCTACTTGCTCATCAGTCTCTTCATTGGAAAATAATGGAGTTAGACTAAATAACCTCAGAAATGAAATCTGATGTTTAAACTTGCTTTTATAACTTCATAAGAGAACTATCTCATTTCTTTATTTATTACTTAACTGAAAAAAAGACATAGTACTTCCCATGTCCTTTCTTACTTTAAGCACTGATTATTATACAACAAACGTTCACCATATTAATAGTATCATTGAAGTTTCGAGTCTTAAATCTTTGGACATGAAATGCAGTTAGCCATTTATTACATGGGATGAATCATACTTATACTAAGCCCTAACTTAAATATTTTTCTATGAAGCTCAACATCAGGAAAAGTATCTTTCACTCTGTTTTCATTTCAAGAAAGAATTTGTGTTTTGGAAATAAAAGGTAGCTCAAATTATATCATTGCCTTGCATAAAAATCCTTTAATAGATTACTATGGTTTATTGAGCATTTACTATGAACCAGGTACTATACAAACAGTATTTATTTAATGCTCATAAAAGCTCTAGAAGGAAGATGACATTACATCTAATTTATAAATGAAGCCTTAGGTTGTTAAAAACAAGTCCAAAGTCTCAAAGTTCATGGTAGAACTAAAATTCAAATTTTCTCTACTATTTAAACAATTTCTACTGCATACCGCTGTTTCCAAAATTTGTATTATTGAGCACCCTCTGTCATGCAATTGTTCATGCTGTTTTTTCTCCCTAGAATGGTTTATTTTCTGCATTTTCCTACCATTTCTTTATCTATTCAATTTCATATACCAAATTCACTTCCAGAAGGAATTGGTCTCTTCTTTGCTGAACACTCACAGCACTATATTTGTATCATTTATATCATTGGAGAGAGTAGTGAACCAAGAGCTAGGAAACCTGTGTTATCCAGCATAGTCCCTAATTAGTCTAGAAAATTATTTCTTAAGTCACTTAACTCAGTGGTTACCAGATGTTTGATTTCAAGGCCATGACATGTTTTTAAAAGGAATATCATGAGAAGTAGTTGCATTTTTCATAGTGAGTCTTATAAACTCTAGTGTTCTCCACTATCTTTCTACCTCTCCGTAAGTGATGATAAGTACTCTGAAGACTTCCTGGTGTCAACCTTCTGAGAATAAGGTGTATGTGCTCAGTTACAATGTGATCATCTCATAGCTCTAGGTAAAGAGAGAATAGAAATAGAAAAAAATTGAAAAAAGCATAAAAATCTCTAAAGTTCAAAGATATTTTACATAACCAATGCTATGCTGTGACCTTATGAGGGTCTTCACTCTTTAATCATTTTATTGTTTGAATCCCTGAGTCCAATTTTACACATTTTCAGTGCCCATGTGGGAAAGCAGCAAGTTCCATATACCGTATAACCCTTCTCAAGCTCTCTTGTTTCTGAAGACTGTTATAAGAGTCTATCATCTCCAGCATCCAGTCAAGGAAAAGCCTCAATAATCAAGAATTAGCAATATTTTTGAATCATAGATGAGCTGTATTTTCTTCCTGAAATTCATCTACCTAGATATAGAACACTCCTGTGAGAAAATATTCCAGGGGATCAGGAAGGATTTTCCTGATCATGTGAGAGTCAGAGGTAGCTGGTCTAAGGAAAATAACAATACATTTTAACCCAAAGAAGCAAAGCACAGGGAAAAATCTAGACTCACAAACTGGAAATAGGAACATTTGAAAGCTGATATGTGAATTGTTGCTATATTTTAATATATCTCTAAACAATTCATAAAGTTTGTGACAAAAGTTGACACCCCCTTACAGTTCTTTTTACTTTTTATTTTAAGAAAGGTTATTTCAAGTTTTTATAAAACAATGTGTGGAAGAGAGATGCTTGATTTGAAGTACATTAATGGGTAACATGCTCAGATAGCTACATACATAGTGACTGGAAGTTAAAAATGAGTCCTATTATGGTTCTCAAAAACATGAACAAGAATATTTTCAACTAATTCTAGTTTTTCCAGCTCTTTCATGTTAAGTGGCTAAATATATGAAATTATTAACAAAATGTAAACATTTGAAAAACGGTAACCTGTCATTATTTAAAGCATTTCATAAATTCTCTCCAACAATGCCATCAATATGACCAAAAATTAAAGGAAATACTGTAGCGGCTCTAAGTCCAAATAAAATGTTTTATTTGCAGCTTTACTGGACCAATTTTGAATACCATCTTGACATTTGTGAGCAGGAAGACTGGATGACAGTGGCCCCTTGTTTCTCCTTGATTATGAAAAGTCTTATATGAGGGTTTTTTTTTTTTTTTTTTTTTGCCTCGTTCTTTAAAACTAGTAATGTCAGGGGGAGAAGGCCATAATCCAGGAGCTGGGAACATTTAGCTTCAGGCACCAGCAGAAATGTACCCAAGTACAGGACGCAATTGATGTGAATTAAAGCAGGGGGAGGAGTCTTTGTTGTAATTGTACAAGCATGGTGTTGGGAAACTAGAGACAAAAAAGAGGCTGAAATTTTGCCATGAGTTTCCAATCTTCCCTGTGACTCAGAAAAACCTAAGAGGTTGCAAAAGTGGGGAGCACGAGGCTATAAGATCTGTCTCATGCTCAACTTCTGAAAACCTTGGCTCACTTAGGTTTTGAGATCACTAAACTCTCATTGTGAATATTCACCAAGAAACCAAGAGGTAAATGCTGTGGGCCTTTTAAGATTAGGAAAAAAGTCAATAATTATAAAGAAGAAATAAATGTTAAAAGAGAATATTCACTACTAAGAAATATAAACTAAGTATACATTATTTTTCTACATTTGTAACTTAATTTACTTGAAAGATGACTTTCTAAGTTGCCAAGAAAAACATAAAAATGCTAAAAAAAATTTAATAAATATGATATGCATTGAAGCATATTCATGCATCTCATATGCTTCCCATAAAAATTCACTCCTGGGATAAATACCAACCTGAAATAACACTCACTTGGCTCAGATTTTTATGGGTGTTAGATGCTTATTGAGTAGCCTTCATTTATTTTGAAAGTTGGAAGCTTGATATTGCTTTTAGGTGAGTTAAAATGTAATTTGATGAAGAAGGAAGTTCCCAACTTAACTACTGTCTATTTTGAATGTAATGGCTTCTTTTATTAATAACTTCCTTATAGAGGCAGGCTCAAATTGTTTAAAAAAATTATGAGTTCCTAATTGGACAGTTAATCCTATTTTTTGCATGGCTAGTCAATTTAGTACAGTAGGAATCAGAGCAAGTGCTCACCGAGTAAATGAGTTGCCTTTAGTTTTCTCTGTTCCCATGATGTTGAGCTGAGAGATCCTGACATGCACATTGTCAGAGCAGCCTTATGGTCAGAAGAGTGGATGGTGATTTTAGGGACACTTGGGAGTTGATTTTTCTCTAAAGTATTTTAATGATGGTACATGTAATACCATCATTAGAGACATGTTTGTCCACTACTTTTAGTTGCTTTTGAGAAAGCAAGCACTTTCCATAAATTATATAAATGGTCATTTATATTTATGTGTGAATTGGATTTTCAAATGGCATCATGAGAAAGTAGTTCCTGCACATGAAGTTGCTAAAATATGGGGCAAGTTACGTAAAGGAGAATTGAAAAGCATGAGAGACAGGACTGCTGATTTCTAAACTTAATGGGAGTCTGTGTGTGTCTGGGAAGATCTAGAAGTTTCTTGCACTGGAACGGCAACAGATGAAAAAAGTGCTAGGTCATGCACTCAAGGAGTGCATGTTCATTCCTTAAGAACTCTGGAATCAGATGCATCATGTTGATGCTTATTCACCTTGTTACAAAGTCATTACAACAGCAACACTTCAAAAGTGGCCCTCAAGCTACAATACAGAATGAGTGACAGCATGCAAGTCCTGTTGTCTTCCACCGTGAAGAGATAGCTTTTATCCTGAGTTGAGTTTGAGGCTGAGATCTATATGGTGGTGAGTTCAGATGAGCATCAGATAACTTAGTATCATCCTTGGAATAGTAAGGAATGCAAGAAATCACTAGAAATTTGATCTTCCTCATGAGGTGATTCAGACTAGACAGCTAGAAATACTCACAGAACTGACTTAACAGGCTCTCAGAATAGCTTAACCTAGTATCATCTAGCTGAGGCATGACCAAGGCTGGGTGGTCAAACACCCAACCCCCCACCCCCCCCAAAAAAAAAAAAAAACAGAAAAAAGAAGAGCCTTAGGCTCAGGGGACTAGATTGGCCAATGACAGATAAAGTCACAGTGCCATTTTCTTTGTTCCTCATTTTTGACCTTCCTGTGCTTGTCCTAAAAGAGAGAGGTCAAAGTTTACAAGGTGGTGTAAGCATGCCCTAATGGGCACATTTTAGACATTAATTTTCTGCTTTTAATTCCTTTGAGTTAATGTGGAGATCAGTGATATGTAAAGTGTACACTGTGGAAGGGTTGGCTATGGGTGGAGGGCCTGTTTGTTCCTAGTCCACAAGCTAGAACACAAAACAACTCAGTCACTGAGCACACTGCTTGATTCTGCTGAGATCTCCTCTGTGGATGAAGGAAGCAGTGTGTTGGCACATCCTGCGGTAAAAACTCCTTATCACATCGCTTTGAGTAGAGCTGATTAGATGACCTTTAATTAATCAAAGAATCACTGTGAAAAGTGCTTAGATGACAATACAAACAGTACCTTTTAAACTTTGTCACATCCCACACTCCTAACAAATAATAAGAGCTAACATTCATTGGATGCTCACTAAACACTAGTGACTATTATGCAGTCAGGTCTTCTGAACTGTTATTTCCACATCCACAGACTCAACCATTCAAGAATCACAAGTATTTGAGAGAAAACACACACACACACACACACACACACAATACAATAACTAATGATACAAATAAAGAAGAATATATTATAACAATTACTTACATAGCATTTACATTGTATTAGGTATTATAAGTAAACTAGAGACGATTTAAAGTTTACAGGATGATGTGCATGGGATACATGAAAGTACTATGCCATTTTATATAAGGAACTTGAGCATCCATGGGTTTTGGTATCCATGGGTTTTGGCATCTTTGGGGAGTCCTGGAACCAGTCCTCCACAGACAACAAGTAAAAACTCTATACAATTTAACAAGTGAGGAAACTGAGTTTAAATGCTATCAACTTGTCAACATATACAGCTAGTAATAGTCTAAACACTGGCTTGAGCACTTCAACATTACACCATATAGGACACTCCTGGACCAAGTAATATATATGATGTAGTTTGGCTGTGTCCCCACCCAAATCTCATCTTGAATTGTAGTTCCCATAAACCCCATGTGTTGTGGGAGGGACCAGGTGGAGATAACTGAATCATGGAGGCGGGTTTCCTCCATGCTGTTCTCGTGATAGTAAGTGAGTTCTCACAAGATCTGATGGTTTTATAAGGGGCTTCCCCCTTTGCTGGGCACTCAATTCTTCTCCTTCCTGCTGCCATGTGAAGAAGGATGTGTTTGCTTCCCCTTCCACTATAATTGTAAGTTTCCTGAGGCATAGCCATCCCTGTGGAACTGTGAGTCAATTAAACGCCTTTCCTTTATAATTTATCCAGTCTTAGGCAGGTCTTTATTGCAGCGTGAGAAGAGACTAATACAATATGATCAGTTATATTTTATATTTGATTTGGAAATACCAAAATCTCAAAGATATATCTGACTCTTCTTCCTTCCTTATAAAGGAGAAGGATATATGGGATATATTTTTTTCTAACTCTTCATATTTCTAGCTTCCAATCCATCTTTTCTGTTTCCACTGTCATCCAAGGGCAGATCTTATCACTCCTCATCTGGATTATTGCTATGGGTTCCTAAGTGGTCCTCTTACGACCTCACAGTGCCAGGTACTTGTCAAACACCTAACAAATATTGACTGTTATTCTCATTTTTATTATTAATATGGCACTACATAGCTACTTACATACAAATCACATCTCATATGCTAGAGTCTAAATCATGTCTTACATAGATAAGGCACTCAGTGTATATTTGGTGAATTAATATACAAATATTTTCTATAAAACACTTCTCAAAATAAGTTTCAAGCTAGAGATATAAATTAGTTTATCATTGGCTCAGTAAAAATTAAAGAATGACTATGGAAAGGAAACCTTCCAAGCTAAACTTTTTCCCCAGATTCAAAACCAATGCCTAAACCTCTTTTCCTGTTGCTTCCATCACTTTTGGAGATATTGTGATGTCCCTTAGAGGTCTTGTAGTTTAAGAGCATAAGAATGAGTTGGTGAATATCTGGCCAGGGGCCAGTTTCTGACTGCCCCTGCCCAACACAGCTTAGCTTCAATCCACAGTGCCTTGAGGAAGATGTTGAACATTGGCAAGAAAAACTAAATGTACAGCAAACTGAGACCTGTCCAAAGAAACAACTGGAAATTAAAGAACAACACACTCCAGAGATGGGTATGCAGAGTATCTGCACTGTAGTGGTCACTGATAAATTCCATAGCATAACTATATAAATATAGCCACACATTTTTAGATTGACCCCCTTAGTATGCTTCAAAAATCTACAAACTTGGATTTTCTGAAAAAATATTGGGCAAAAATGTCATTACCTGAAACTGATAATTTTATGTCTTTCTAGAGGTGGCAGTGGGGATTCTGGAATAATGTGTACATAAATTAGCCTTTAGGAAGCTTCCTGAAGGCTTTGTGAAACACTATTGAAGTCATTTGCTCTTCTAATCAAGTTGTAAATTAAAAATTAAGTTGGTATTTGTAGCAAATAAACTGAATCAGTCAGCTTAATAAACTGAATATTGAAAGATATTTTTGCTCAATTGTTAGAATAATTCAAGAAATAAGGAAAGGGAGAGGGAGGGAAACAGAGGGAGAGAAAAGGCTTTAAGAGAGAATGAAAAAGAAAGAGAGAGATCAATAAATTATTTTAAAATAATATTTTGGTTTAGTTGTAAGACAGTTAAGGAAAATCATTTTTCATATCATAGATGGCTAAAGAAACTTCACCTAAGCCACATCTGTCAAAAGAATATCTGCATGCACTAAGTAGTTTCTAGTAAGATGGTCTAATGGTGAATAAGAAGACAGTGAGAAGGGTCTGACACTTGAAAGGTCTTTGACAGTCTGTGGCTGATTGCTGATAGTGTTAGAATAGACTTATTATCAGCTTCTATGCACCTTATCAGAATGAACATGCCTCTTTGAAAATTAAAGTATATGAAAAACGACATCTTGTATTTCGTTTTTGATAGTTTTCCCTAAAATGTACATTTAAAAGAAGACAGGAGAAACTCCTTATCATTTAAAGTACTTTTTCTACTTGATTGATTAAGTTCTCTTTTCCTCTTTCTGCCAGGGGGAAGGAAAACTCAGGAAACATCTGGGGGGAGAGTCAAGGGCACATTGTTGGTATTATTCAACGCTAGAGTAGGAAAATCAAACCGGAGTATTTTTGATTTGAAACAAGGAGTTTCATAAACCAAAAGAAAAACACAAACAGCAGGGATTTTTTAAGCTTTCTTTGTTTGTTCCTTTGTTAATATCTTGCTCTGCTAGGTTTACAAATCCTAAATAAATAGAAATTAGTGCTCCTTCCTTTGCAGTCCATTTGCTTTAGATGTTTGCCTTGAGGGACATTTGTGTATTCTGCTAATGGCTGCAGCAGAGTGCTGTCTCATTTTCATTCTGACAAAAAAAAGGCCGTCACCATGGTTACAGTTTCATTTGCTGGAGAGAAACTGATGGCTGTTAGTGATCCCATCATAAGCAACTTCTGTCAGATTTCTTATCAAGTAGACATATTTTGACAAAGTGAAAGATAACACCATAATAAGAGAACTGAGTTGCTACTCTATGTAATGAACCATTTAGCATTAAATGAAATGTGAAACCACATTTTAAAAACTGAAGGTGGGGAGAAAAAGTAATATTTATAATTTACACACACACAAAAGGAATATTCCATAGTAGAGTAATGATGGCTTGTTTTCTTTTTGTTGTCACAGTAACTCCACAAGGATAACATTGTCTTATATTGAGGGTTTCAGCAAACCATCCTGCAGCCAGTCAGAGCTTGCATGGGAGAGTATCAGGCTTTTGCATTGACCATTTACCTTAGCGGAGCCCAAGGCCATGCCAGGAGGCAAACGTTAGGGTAGTGGGTCAAAATAGTCTGATAAAATACCTAGCGAAACATTGTGCCCACAGCAGCCTATAAATTTGTCTTGCTCTGCAGCAAGGGTATCCTAATCCCAAAGCAGATAATCGGGATCAACTGAAGCACCTTGTCCATGTTTATGAACGCTATTATGCTCCCAAAGGTCAGCCAAGATGACATGTGCTGATAGCACCACAGAGAAACATCTAGCCCCCTAGGTTCCCATCCAGATGCCAGCAGAAACACCCAAGATCAGTCCACACAAAGAGGGTGGGGGGAAGAGAGTTAAGATTAGAAAAATATGAATTTAAAGCCATCAAACAAAGCTCCTGACAGCATGATCTATTGGATTGTGACTATGTATCTCATAGACACAATTGAGGTTATTTTCTTACGTATAAAACTAGAGCCTAATTTAGGAAAACCTCCTAAGAAAAAGTCCTAATGTCTTTACTTTTCCTGACTTTTACAGTTTGACTTTGTCTTGTCTTATAATGTAACCCAAGCAATGGTAAACAGGGTAGATACTTATTTAGAAGGAAAAAAAAAAAGCCCTCTTACATACAAGATAAAGAGACAGAATTTCCCCCACTATTACCAGCCCTGCTGGCACAGAGGTATGGCACTGCTCATAAAGATCTTTTTTTGGACTGGGCGTCATGGTGTGTGCCTGTTGTCTCAGCTACTCAAGAGGCTGAGGTGAGAGGATCTCTTGAGGCCAGGAGTTCAAGGAGGTTTCAGTGCACTATGATTCCAACTGTGAGTAATCACTGACTCCAGCCTGGGCAACACAGCAGGATCCTGTCTCTTTAAAAAAATGCCTATTTGGAAGAATTCTTATACACTTTGTGTATGGAAAGAGTAAGATGCCAATATATTTCTATTACTTTTATTATGTTTATGCAAGATTTTCACTACATATGAATGAAAATATATAAGGTAAAGTGCACTTTTGATATATATTCTCTTCCTTTCCAGTTTTAAAAGATGGCTTTATTTTAATTGTTTCATTTTTGTTTTATTTTATATTTTATCTTGTCAATGAGGGTAATAACGCGATTAAGGAGTGCAAACCTTGCCCAGAAGTAATCTGGATAGGATCTCTTTCTTCCGGAACATGTAGTTTTCTAATTTTAAATATCTCTACCTGTGATATCCACAGATGTGTGTACATGAAATGTGAAGAAAATAATGAGAACCGCTGGTTGTTAGTGTAACAAAGAATCAGCAAATTAACAGTCAGTAATATAAATCTACTGTAGCTAAAGCCATCTACTGGCAACCATGTGCTTTAAAAACCAGTGCTTTTTTGATATTTTTGAAATTTCAGTGATGACACTCTTCTCTAAAATTTAGGATTGCAAGAAGTTTACCAAGTCTGCACTTTTAAATATCCATTTCTAAACCATTATAACTAACACTGCAGAGTGACACAGTGTTTTTAATGAACATAAATATATGTCCCTACTTGTGTTGCCAAGGGAACTTTAAAATTCATGCATTAATTTTTCTTTCAAGGTTTTAAGTAATGTTTTTCTTAGTCTAATTTAAAAGATATGTCTTACTGTTTACTCAGTAGCCTATCGAGAATAGGGATCTTGGTTTCAAAGTTTGTGTTATACCAGGTAGCCTATTACACAGAATAGTATATGATTTTGTTTTAATTCAAAGGATATAAGACCTCAGGTTTATAAAGTACAAAAGAGATGAAATCAGTTTATGAACGTTATGTTAGTGACAGATTACCTATGTTTACCTAACAAAATGGGAACAAATCCAGGATATACAACTTGCAATACGGTTCTCCCTCAACTACAAAAGAGAGTTGTTCCTGAAAAGTTGAACATAAACCTCACTTTTGCTGGTCACATACAATAAATTGGAAATTGTTTGCAAAAGAAAGGACATTTTCAATGGAAAAAGCTGTAAGCAAAGAAATAGCAAGATGGTATATAATCCCTAGCTGGGCTTTGCCCCAAGGACATCTGCTCTTGGCATGTTTTGCAGGGTGGGAGAGAAATTCCTGGAATCAAAAATGCTCAATATAATATTTCTTTCAAATAAAGATAGATCTCACACTGCCTCTCTGCCAACTCCCAACACAAGCCTGGCTGATCTGAGATGCACTCGACCTGGAAAATAGAAACAATCATGGTAGACATTGATTTTAAAGTATTCATAAACTCTCCCCTAAAAAGTCCCTAGTTATCACTATTCTGAATTATAAAACAAGCTCTTTAGTATATATTTGTATGAATAAAGAGGACAAACAATACCTTGCAGAGAGAAAAACAACATTTAAAGAGAAAATGGAATCTGTTGAAAGATTCCCAAAGTTTACTTCAGAACTGTCACGTTGTCAAGAAAGTTTCCATCCAACCCAGTTAAGTTACGGTGTTCAATTTCTTTAATAGACTCTATTTTTTTAAAGAATTTTTAGGTTAACATCAAAATTGACTAGGAAGTCCAGAGTTTTCTTATATACCTTATGCCTGACACATGCATAGACTCCCCCTTCAGTAACATCCCTCACCAAGGCAGCATGTTTGTTACAACTAATGAACCTACCCTGACACATCATTATACTGACACATCATTATCACCCAAAGTCCACAGTTATCAATAATGTTCACTCTTGGTGTCATACATCCTATGGGTTTGGAAAATGCAGAGTAATATGTATTCACGACTATGGTATTATATAGAGTAGTTTCACTGCCGTAGAAATCCCCTATGCTCTGCCTATTCCTCCCTCCCTTTCCCCAAACCCCTGGCAACCACTGATTTTTTTTTAGTGTCTTCATAGATTTCCTTTTTCAGAATCTTATACATTGGAATCATACAGTATGTAGTTTTTTTCAGATTGTCTTCTTTCACTTAGTAATATGCATTTAAGGTTCCTCTGTGTCTTTTTATAGCTTGATAGCTCATTTCTTTTTACTGCTGAATAATATTCTATTGTCTGAATGTATTACAGTTTATTAATCCATTCACTTACTGAAGGACAAATTGGTTGCTTTCAAGCTTTAGCAATTATGAATAAACCTGCTAGAAACATTCATGTGCAGGTTTTTGTGAGGACATAAGAAACTGTCAAACTGTCTTTCAAAATGGCTGTACAATTTGCATTTCCATCAGCAATGAATGAGAGTTCCTGTTGCTCCACATTCTCACCAGCATTTGGTGTTTGTCAGTCAGAGAATTTTGGCCATTCTGGTAGATGTGTAGTGGTATCTCATTGTTGTTTTAATTTCTATTTCCCTGATGACATACGATGTGTAGCATCTTTTCATATGTTAATTTGCCATCTGTACAACTTCTTTGGTGAAGTGTGGTAAAGATAAGTTCTCCAACGTTAAGGAGAAAAAAATTTCTCTCATGTCAAAACCTGTTTTAATCATTTTTACAACAGTGTTTCTTCTCTTGCCATGGTAATTGTACAATATTTCTACTTATTAATATATCATTTCACAAGGAAATGCATTTTTTCCATGTTTTAAACAACTGCTTTACAATGAACTTTAGAAATATCATCTAATTTTAAATTAGATAATTCTGAATGCAAGAAGTTCTATACTTGCTAGATAATATAAAACTTCTGCTACTTTATGGTAAGATTTTTCAATAAAAGCAGTTTTTCAAGGTTAGCATTTTAAGGTACTAAAGACCACGTGATAATAGGATTTTTAAGAAAACTGTACCTATAATTTTTTCTAAAAATTCTTTTTTATGTTTTCATTTTAATTGAATTACTCCTAGTTTTTCCAAATGCAAATACATAATAACACAAGGTACATACAATTTTGAATAATTTAAATATTTTACTGAGTGCATAATGATCTGCTGAAATTAGATGCCATAATTTACATAAGCATTCAATATTGTTGGACAATTGGATCATTTTCCAGTTTTTGCTATATATTTTCGCAATGGATGTCCTTTTTCACATGAACTTTTATTTCTGCTTAATAATTTCTATCTGAAAAATTCTAAAAGTGAGATTGTAAAGAAAGTAAGTTTTCCTTTGACTTTTCATTTTATTTGGAATTTTTAATTTTTTTGACATTTGTTCATCACTTTTGAATTTCCAAATGTTATTTTGGTATTGCATTTTCTTTTGAATTTTGATTTCACTTCAATTGTAATTAGGATTGGATTATAGTTTGTCTAAGTAGTTAATTTAAAAAGTTATCTTCTCTAGCTGATTGGTTGTAGCCAATACTTAATAATATAGGGAATTTTAACATTTGCAAGGAATATGTACAAAGTGTAAATATTTTCTACTCTATCGATTTCACAAGAGCTAATTTTTATATTTTTAGTTTACTTACAATAATGGCTATGTGTGGTTTACTATCCTCTTAAAATATTTTAATATGGGAAGTTCAACATTTGCTAGGAATATGTACAATGTGTAAATATTTTCTACTCTATCAATCTCCAAGAGCTAATTTTTATATTTTTAGTTTATTTACAATAATGGTTATGTGTGGTTTACTATCCTCTTAAAGTATTGTAAAATTATGCCAACATTCCCTTTACAGATCACTTAAAAAGAATCACAAATTCAATAGGTACCAAGTTATTAACAATAGAATGGTACTCATTTGTCATAAGAGAATGATGCTGAAAACCACAGTTACCTTCTTAAGTACACAAGAAAAACGTTTTTTAAAAAAATATTGTTTGGGCCGGGCATGGTGGCTCACGCCTGTAATCCCAGTACTTTGGGAGGCCGAGGCGGGTGGATCACGAGGTCAGGAGATCGAGACCTTCCTGGCTAACACAGTGAAACCCCATCTCTACTAAAAATACAAAAAAATTAGCCAGGCGTGGTGGCCAGCGCCTGTAGTCCCAGCTACTCGGGAGGCTGAGGCAGGAGAATGGCGTGAACCTGGGAGGCGGAGCTTACAGTAAGCCAAGATCATGCCACTGCACTCCAGCCTGGGTGACAGAGTGAGACTCCGTCTTAAAAAAAAAAAAAATTGTTTGAAATTTTTAACCTAAGATGTCAGAAGCATCATCATCCAGAATCCCAACAATAAAAAATCAAGATTCAGTATTAAAACTGAAGCTAAGTGCTTAGAAAAATAAAGCTAATAGTGTTATTAGAATCTGAAAATGATTAGTTCTCAATCATATATCCCTCTATTTCTTCCTAAGTTCCATGTCAAAAATATATACCATTTCCAATGTAGAGTCCAAGAAAGTTTATTAACAGTTACATGTGTTTCATCAAATATCAAAATGAAGAGCCTCCTATAGCATATAATGTAAACCCAATAATCTACTGTTCTAAAAATATGTACTCAAGATGGAAGATTTCATTCCCATCAAATATTACTTTTGTTGCCACTAAGTTTCATCTGCTTATTATAATTAGGGTGGTTGGTTTGTTTTAAAAAGAAAAGAAACCTTGATTCATATTTCCAAAGTATCTTGGGCAATAGAAGATCAATGAAGAAAAGGAAATTTGGGTTTTGGCAAATGATTTTTCATTTTCAAGTTGAAAATAAGTAACTACAACCCATATACCCAAATATAGCCATCTTCCCTATTATTCTACAAAGGCCAAAATCTCTTTCAAATAAGCTAGTCCTTAAACTGCAATTCTGCAGCCAATTTTAAGAATAGTCAGCGCAGTTGAATTTTGCTTCTCAAAATCGAAGTTTTGAATTTTGGCCTGTCATCAAGGAAAATGAAATTGGATGTTCAAACCAAAAATTAGCCAGAAGCATCTGTGGTTTGCCTACTCTGACTTCTGCCTGAAATTGAGAAATTACTTGATGAACCCCAGTTTTTCTTCTTAACCCCTACATCATGATGAAAAATGGCTTCAGTTTTATTTAATATTGAGCAACTGCAGAAGCATATTTGAAAAATTATCGTAATCAAAGGTAAAATTGAGATAATCTGAAAGGACATGGATCCACAATATTTACTAAAAGCTTGCTCACAAATAAAACAGAGATAATAAGAACAATTATCCAAGCCAGAAGCCAAAACATCAACTGAACTAAAAAGCTTAAAGTATGAAACAAACAAAAAATATTGTCTACAAATAATCTAAAAGCAACTTGGTAAATCAAAGATAACTAATGGTAGGATAATAAAACAGAGCTTTCTTCTTGCAAGGTTCATCTTTCTATAAAGTAAAATATCTGCAGAGTTCTCTGATTTTTGTTCCTTTTAATATTTGTTGTATAGAATTGCACAGACAAGCCAAAATACTCCCTGGGTTTCAGCTTTATCTCCAAAACAACTGGATGGAAGAGACCTTTGAGCATCTTTCTATGCACTATGTTCTATATTATGTTCTATGTGTCCATCATAGTAAAAAGAGGGACTTTTATACAGTTTTCAATTCTTGAAAAGAATTTTCACTGAAGCCACAAAAATGAGGCAGTAACTTCTAATTCCTAATAGTATCTTGTAAGATTCTAGGACAAAATCCAATTTCATAGAGTCGTAGCTTTTGCTAAAATTACGTTTAAAACACAATGACTTTAAGTCAGGCCACCTTTTCATCCTACCTAAAAGGTTATCACTTTTTTGTCTGAAGTTGCACTCGCTATAGTCATAATGGAAAATTGTAGAATACTGAAATAGAAACTTAGTGGTATTAACAGATGTGATCTCATCAGGGTTCCATTTGTTAAAGAAAACATTGAATATTAATTAAAAGTTAATTAGAACTAATTGCCAATTAGAAAGAAAAAGTAATTTGAAGCTACCCAAAGCTCTTCTATTATTATTACCTTTGAGAATCCTGCCCACCCAAGGGCTGCCAAGCATGCTACCTTTCCTTCCTCTGGTATCACTTCTATGCTTCATTCTGTTAAGAGTTAACTCATTGCATTAAACTACAGATTGTGATACCCAAACACATAATTGCATCAGTCATGAAATATAGTCACAAAGCAAGAGTTAATATTATACTGAGAGAGAATTCCGTGTGCTGCAGAAAACAAGAACTGCAAAAGCAGGAAAGCAAATGCAATACTTTTAAAGTATAATGGAAGATGGAACATTGACAATGATTGTGGCTCTGTGTTGAGTGCCTCACCCACATGTATTCCTCCTTCTTCTAGCCCCATATCCTGATTTTCGTTTGAGGATCTATACGTGTTAGGAGGCTCATGTTCAGAGTGTAGCTATATCACCAAGAATCCAGAGGCAGTACATAAAATGCAGGCCTAAACTAGAATGACTTCACTCTCTCATCCCTATGATTGAGTCCCATTAAGGACAACAAGCAGAATGAACCTCAGGGATGTTTTCCTAGAGTTTCCTTTAAAGGGCTCACTGTTTACTACTGGGATTTAAATGAAAGGAAATGAGGCTGAAGCTGGGAGCCATTTTGCCAGCAGACAGAGCTGTGACTGAAAGGTGAGCTGGAGAGAGACAGAGCTCCAGACATCCTTGAGCCTCAAAGCCAGCCACATCTGGAAACTGCCAACAATTTTTTTTTCTTCTGGAGCTAGTTTGGGTTGTATTTCTAGTCACTTAAAACCAAAAAGTCCTACTAAAACAACAGCATTTTAAAGATATTTAAAAAATAGATGCAGAAGAGAATGTAATATACAAATATACTAATAATTCCTTTCAAATATAGTATAATGTAATATAGTAATAGTTCCCTTAGAGTTTAGCAAAGTATAATCTTCCAAGAAAACTATTGCTGCCATACCTATTCTTTGGTTTTATTCTGAAAATCTCAGATTGACACTAACAAGATGACTGTGAAACTGTGATTTTGTTTCTCAGCAGTTAGACTGAGAGCCTTAATCCCAGAATGCATTTCCTGTGCATTAGGTCCCCATTCACAGTAGATTTTCATTCACTCAAGACTTGGGTAGGATTTAAATCATTGACCTAATGGAAACAGTATGTTTTTTTAAAAAGGAAATTTCATGTATCAGAGAAATGACAATTTTGTTTTGTTTTTCAAGAAAATGCTTTGTGGTGCACTTCTCTGTCCTCCCTTTTGTGCCCTAGTTTCGAGACTTTGACTTTAATCTTTTAGACAGCAGGTAGCTACTGAGAATAAGAAATCCACTAACATTTTAATAGTACTCTAAGTAAAAATGCAGTACTAGATGGCTAACTTGAATTTGCTTCTCTCAATTCTTAGCTTTTATTTTAAAGTGCTTCTCTGAGCCATTATGAATATTCATATAACACCTTAACATGTGTAGTTAGAAGGTGAACCATGATGTTACAAAGATTGATCCTCTCACTTACCCAATACCTTTACAAAAGGAAGTCATGATTTTTGCCTTATTGACATAACTTGAATGACCTGATCATTTTAGCTCCATTTAACAGCAAAAACATGGAAATTGATTAGAAATGATACCGAACATGCTAATATTGACCTGGTTTGCTTATATATGACTTGTGATTTTGAAACCTTTACATAAAAAAGAGTATAGAACAATTCTCAAATTTATATTTTTCAATTTACAGATTGGTTTTGTGGTTTTACCTTCAGATGGGGTATAAAAATGAAAGAAAAATGAGATTTTGCCTTTTCAAACATTCTTAGCTTAAATGCTGGACTGAGTTCATATATTTAAAAAGCTTGTCATTTATTAGAAGTATTATTAGTCTGAGCCTTCAGGCAGTTCTAAGAAGGTTACACAATGAAATGAAATTCACATTACTGAATCTAGAAGTTTCATTCTGACCTAAAAGCTCCATCAATGATGTTTAAATGTGGCACAGAAAGGTTGCTCAGATTTTCAATACCTTAATAGTATTTTTGCCTTGGAGGCTGTAAGAAATATTTAATATTTAACTTGTGATTCACAAAGGCAATATGCTTTTTTTTTCAAGTTTTTATATCTTTGACTTTTTGAGAATATTCTATAAGAAATGTGAATAATCTGATTTCCATTTATAAAAACCTTTCCAATATGGTGTTCTTTAATTATGACTATTTTAATAGCCTGTTTCAAAGGGAAAAAAAATAAGCAATAAAAATATTGACCAATCAGGATTCTAAGAGGATTCCCTTGGAGTCTATAGAGAACTTTATCATTAGAGCTTTTCTCTAGGTATGAGAAGCTTCTGATTAATAGAAGATACCTGAAATTTATCATCATATAAAAATTGTTAAAATACACACACACAGATTGAGCAACAGATCTAAATTAGCCATATTCTACAAATTCTGTCCTACATGACATTGTTGCATGTGTGTATTTTAAGGAAACAATTGAAAAAAATGTTATAGTCTTGATATACAGCTCAAATTTAGGGTGTATTTCTATTTTCAGGATAGAATTTATTCAGTCAAATATGTCTGTTTAACACAATAATGAAAACCATATTTAACTTGTATTTTTAAATTACCTCCATGCAGGGAAGTCTTTGGAATTTGCTCCTGAAGTGCCTAAACTCTTACTGTTGCCACTTACACAGTTTGATTTCTTGTATAACTTTAGTCAGCTTCAGATTATCCATGCCAAGACACAGCAATAGTGCACAGATAATGTAAAAATGGCAGATAACGCCAGTGTCATTTATATGTATGTCAGGAACGCATTTTCTGCTGCCCTTCTTCCCCCACCCCCAGAACATTTACCTTCCTAATTATGTTTTACTCAGTCTAATCTTTAAATTAATTTGAATTCCCTGAGCTCCCAACTGACAGTGAGAAGAATGAAGGAGAAAATTTCCTGAAGGGGAGGAGAAATTAGATTAAATACTAATGATCACTCGTGTTTCTATACCACTTCAGAGTTCACGATGTGATTTTGTATATTTTCACCGAATCGGCCCCCACATTATGAAGTGGATGGAGAAGGATGCGAGTTAGTGAAACGGCATCTGCCATGTTCAGCTCCTTCAAAGGAAAATGGCGGCTGCTTACGGAAGCCCACAAGGGCAGGAATTCGTGGCACTTTGTTCACCAATGGGAACACAGCCCCAAGTGCCTCAAACAGTGCTTCGCCGTCATTCAAGCACAGTTCAGATTTGATGAAGACATGAATGTTACATTTCCTGTGGGAGCATCAGCCCTGTGCCATCCTGCTGTGTCCCATGTGACTCCATCACCACCTGGCCAGCATGGAGTGGACCAAGAAAGGGGGCCCAGGGACTAAGCTGATGAAGGGACCAAGGGGAGCAGCATCCCGGCACAGCCTACAGGGAGGCAGTCCCCCAGCTAGAGAAGGGCCCCCAGGGGAACGTTCAGCCCAAAGAAGGATGAGACGAGCCAATCCATTTCTCACAGCAATTTTAATTAGAAAGTAGAAAGTTAAGAAATACTAAAGCAGGAACAAGCTGAAAGGAAAGCCAGAGGAAGGCTCAAAGTTAATACAGAGCCATGAACATTTTCTATTTTTGTACTTTATATACACATATGTATTTTTACAATGTTTAAGTCTAGTATTAATCATAATCCTAGTGGGGCAGGAGGAGGCGATAATAAGGGATATGGCTATAACAGTGGGTACTATTTTGTGAAACCATCCACTCAACCACAGACATACTCTTGAGGAAGCCAGAGTTAAAGTAATTGTTTTGGAAAACTGATTATGCTATTTTAAAATATTATCAATATTAGCATTCTCAAACAAATATTATCTTCCTGGATAGTTACCTTGTAGTTTTGGTCTCTAGGCTGACTGTTGTTCATGTTATATTTCTATGAATTTATAATTCTAAATAACCTCCAGTTTTGATGATACATTATTTAACATTCTTGAAATATGTAATTACACACTGTTTGCTTTCTATCCTTATAATACAATATGTTAATAGTCACTGGCAACATAATTTTTTTAACCTAAACAGGTATGAGTAACATGTTCAGTCTATTGTTAAACTGATTTTTTGATGTTTTTATTAAAAGATTTCACTCTTAGCTAAAATTATTATTAATGACAGATCTGTTTCCATTTCAGTATTTTATATTCATTTTATTTGTGTGATACTTTTTTTATGTGGAAGCAATGAATAAGTTTTAAAGCAATTTTATGTTTAAATCCATTAAAGATGAAGCAAACAGCCACCATCACAATCAAATTACTATCATCGTTATAAACACATTGGTGCTCAAGCTCCGAAAATACATACTTGCATTTCATTTCTCCACCCCTCCCCCAATGTTGATAAAATCCAGGCTTTACAATAGCGAAGACATCTTCTGCTTTTGGCAGAAATGGATTAATCATATTACAGCTAGCTAGTACCTGTTTCTAATGGAAAAGTAATGACACGCTAACTTAAAGAAGAAATATAGGTACAGAGATGGGGAAATTATGCCTGGCTATGTTTGAAATAAAATGTATAATTTTCTAAGTGCAGTAAAATTTTCTCATGAATTTAAAACCCAGAAAATATAATATTTAGCTTATTCTGTGTTTCCAAATGTAAAGTACAGCTAAAGATAGAAGAAAGATAATTAGACTATTCATGAATTCTGGAAAAAGCATAAAATATCTTATTTTGCTGCTCTCATTTGTAGCATTGTTACTTCAAATATTAAAAAGAAATATGAATTAAGCAGTAAAAATTTTATTATTATCAAAACAAAAGATTTTTGACTCAATTTAAATTTCCATCCTTCAGCGGAAATAGAATTTAGGTAATTATAAAAATGTGTACTATGGTTTTCATGTTACTGTTAAAATTTTACAATTTATTTATGGATATTTACTCAGGAGGATAAATTTGCCATTTTATAGCACAAATGTATTGATTCTTCTATTCTGTTCTAATAGGATACACATATTACTCAGATACATAGGTAGATATGGCAAAAAAAATCATGTACTTGTGAAAATACTACACAAAATATATTACTTTGTAGTATACCTGATGGACTTATAACCAATTGCTCTATTTGGAAAGGCATTCTTTTTATGTCTTATTTTATGTTTTTCACATTTGCAAAGAGGATTCTTCCTTTGTGCCTTAATTATTCACAGAAGAAGAAAACATTCCAAAGTATATTCATCAGAAGACACTGACTCATAACATAGAAGAGGGACACACCAAAATTAACATAACATCTGATTCAAATAACTTATTGAATATACTAGGACGATTGAAAATACTCTCTTATGTCTTTGATTTTAAGTACTATATTAAAGTCATGATGGTTTATAATTTTAAAACATTGGAGAAGTCACTCTACAATTATTGCTACTTACTTATTATAATGAGTCATTGTTTACCATCTCAGGCTATTAGTTTAGCTTAGGGTCTTGAGCCTAAAAGCACTATTTTTTTTTTTTTTTTTTTTTGCTAAACACTTAAGGCAATCATAAGTCCATAGAAGCCTTCTGTATAACCTATTTTACTGACAAACAATTACATTTTAGATTGAAGAGGTGAAATGATTAAGAATATTTGACTTAGTTGCCATGACAGCATGCATTTTTCATCAGGCACAGTGTAATTACTACAATTTCAATGATGTAAAATCAAGAAAGATGATAACAAACAGCAGAACCGTGGAGATATTGCCATTGCAACCAGGTTGCCATAGCAACAGTGATAATAATCCCAGTGATAGATGTTTTCTCTTGCTCTTTCCATTTTGTACGGTTATAACATTCAGAGCCAGTTTTTACCACAGCTTTTTATAGTTTATTAGACTGTCAAAATAGTTTATGAGATGTTGTTGCAAAGGAAATGACTGAGTTCCGCAGCCTAATAAAAATGCCAAATACTCTGTTTACATACTGCTCCAGCACTTAACAAACATTAAAAAATTGTATGAAAAATGATTTGATATTGTATCTGTATTAATCAATCTGCAAGGCATAAGCTTTGTCACTGAAGGTCAAATGAATAGTTTCCAAACACTACTTTTGGAGAGCCTTTTTAAAGTTTATTTTTTGATGTAACACTGGCAACCCCCTTCACCTGGATGTGAGTATAAACTACCGGCAGGAAACACGTTGTACAACTAAAAGATAAATAGTTATAGAAAATTAAAACCACGTTTGCTTCTCAAGTTGTTTTGGGAGAAATATTTAAAGTGTATGGCCAGGAGTATTCTAAATTAAGTTTTTAAGACAATGATTTTTCAAAGTATAACCAAAGATAACAGATATTAATGGAATGGGCTCAGAAATAAACACTGCGAGTGTAAATAGCTGACAAGAAAGCATATAGTAATACACAACAGTACGTAACTACATAAAGTACATGCAAAATGTGTAAAGAACGTCATTTGCCAATGTACGATATCTGTGCCAATCATTATAAGCAATTTTTAAATGGGCTGTTTTTTTGCTTCTAATGGAAACACATTACAGCGAATGTACTTCAATACAGACCTACCATGAGGTTTGTAAAGGTATCCAAAGATGCATGCATTCACATGGATCTGGAGGGTTTATAATTTATTGCAGTCATGTAGAGTATTCATGAATAGACTGCAGAAAATTGAGTCAGACATTAAAGCTTTGGGACCTGCTTATACGCGGCAAACAGAAAGCACTGAATAGTTTCAAAGATATGTGTGATTGTGAGATCACAGGCAGTTTTACCAAAAAGTTTAAAGGGTATAGAAAGAATTTTCAATGATAAGTCCTCCCCCTTTATTCATTCATTTATTCCCTCCACCAATATTCTTCACTTGTGTGGAGTGCACTAGATCTACTCAGATTGGTGTTTAGAAAAATTACACTAATGAAAGTTAGGGTTATGGCCTACGCACAAGAATACCTGTTATCTTAGTGTTGGAAGACAAAGTAAAAGGCTTTAGAATTCCCAAAGTGTTTCCTATTACTCTCATTTACTGATGATCTGCTATTTAACTGTTTTATACTTTCGTTATTTGTTTTAAATGGGTATGATCAGGTGAGGCCTATGGATTTAGAAACAGGAATTTTGGGTTACCTACAGCTCTGTCAGCTTCAGTGTCCTTGTGTAAATGGGTAATAGGAAAGCTTTTGTCACATAGCATCGAAGTAAATTTGTGCCTGTAACATGGTAGATATTGGTTGAATCCGATAAGGCTGTCCAGCACCCCTACAGCTGCTGGGGCCTCACAGAGATGCCTGGTAATACGCCCTTTTGGTCCAGCTGCTAGAGTTGGGATGTGAAGAGATGAAGATGGTAGGATTTTCTTTGTGCTTTCCATCAGGAGCAGCTCCAGAACATGAAGGAGGGGACTGTAGATCACACATCCTGCCACAAACCACTCATTATATATTAACGCTTCTTAGGAAACCATTTACCAAGTTACAACTTTTAGCAACTTAAATAGAAAGTTAAAATAGTTAACAAGACTTTAAAAGTGCATATTACTTTGTTCATTAAATACATCTCCAACACTTCTCCTGAAAACAAATCAACAGGTGTATTTTATGATCGGAGCATTGTATTCCTATCCTGCACACTGTCTAGTCATTAAATGAAGGTCTCATTGGAACAGGTTCCTCTCACTAGCAAATAATTACTAGTGAGTTCATAACCAGGAGTGCCCAAGTTTTTAGTAAGTATTTTATCTGCTTAGAGAGAGATAATATCCCTCAAATTTGGCCTGAGAAACATAATTCTAAGTATTCAAGTGGCCCTCTATTTCCACCCTTTCAATAGTTCTTTTACTCCTACCCTTTAGTTGTGACAAATGTCATGTTTTTCACTATGTGGTCAAATGCTATCAGACTTCTAGCTATTTATTTCATCTATTAATAACAAGCACTCATAGGAAACTCCTTCCAAAAAGGGTCAAAGAACTCAAAACATATACGGAGATGCTCAGAGTCATTAAAACAACAATGAAGGCAAGATCAAAGGCCTGAAAAAAGAAAGAGAGTTGTAAGATGGCCCAAGATTGAGGGCATGTTTAAATCCTCAAAAGAAAATTCTCACCATTGCTCAAAGTCAAGTTAGCCTTTATTCCTTCCTTAAGAGAATGTTCTTTATCTATAATCTTAAGTGAATGTTCTGTCCCAGGAAGTAATATGTGTTTCTTAACTTGAATTGCTTTGATGTACGGTTATGCCATCATATGTAACTCACAAAACTGCCCTGCTGGGATGTTCGTTATTTAGTATCTAAAGAGCAATAACTCTAATCCTACAGCATTTGAGTTAGTTGTAAAAAAAAAATCGATCTTAACAGAGCAGTGAATATCTAGTTTTAATACCTCAGAATGCTGCGTACAAAAGGGCAGAGTATTTTTTGGTTTTATTTCTACAATTATTCTCTACTAATAGTTTTAGGTTTACACTTGACTTCATTTTTGAAAGATTATACAAAAATGTCTATAAAATGTACCTAATTGTTTTAGCTGATTCTATTCCATTTTCTTAATAGTTCCCAGTTGTGAGACTTTCATTTCCATTACCCTGGAAATTTTATTCTATTGAGGCACAAGACATTTATGCATATGGCAGTATTATACACAGTGCATTACATGAACCCAAGGAAGCTCAATGGTTCAAGTCCAACCTCAACCCCCTTACCCCAAAACTTGTATATAATCCTCAAACAATAATCTGGAAAATTCAAGTATATATGTGTGTGTGTGTGTGTGTGTGTGTATGTGTGTGTACTTGTGAATATCTATAATTTATGGAAAATTTCCTATATTTTCTATTTCTTATTGCATTAGTCCTAGTCTGAACTGTAACACTAAGTTAGTGTGAACCACTGAAACTAAAAGAACTTCAATATACTCTAAGATAGAGATAATAAGAGATACCTGGTTTATCTTATAGGATTTTTCATAAGGTTTGAAAGTGGTGAGAGATGAGAAAGGATTAGCAAAGTTAAAAATGTAATTTACATAGATATGAAGCTAAGAAGTCATAATAATTGTTATTATTTGTTAGCTGACACCTTCTTGTTTAATTTTACAAATAATAATACATGCTGTGAAGTTCATAATGCTTGGTCCTCGTGGACCTGTGAAATTCTATGAAACTTGGTAATAAAAACATTCAACAGAAATGCAACTGAAGTGACCTTCAGCCTTGAAAGAATTATTACAGTGTTATTATTGTAAGAAAATAATCTTGCTGAAGAACGTGAGGACAAGCAGCATTTTCCTGGTAGTCAGAAGCAAAAATGCCAGGAATGGTTAATGAGGTAATTTGAGATGCACCCAACTAAGAGTCAGGCTCAGCATTATTCCATGGGATTGTTCATCCCATTGCATACAGGGTGGCTCACATTAAAGGAAACTTAGAAATCAGATGCTGGACCGTTTTCTACTTTCCTACCCAAACATTTAAGTATTTTCTGATGAACCATTATTGTTATTATTTCACAGGGGTAGTCTTGCTTCAGAAGACATTTGGATGTCCAACCTTCATTCTCATTTTAAATTTGCATCCATGTCATAGTTTTCTTCCTGTCTCAAGCTGTATCCATTCTTAGTGTTTCAGAGCATTTGTACTTAATATATCATACCCCTCCCCAGACAGATCCAGGTCTAATTCAGTACTTTGACAAGTAAATAATTAACGTTCTGATATATCAAGTTTTCTTGGTTTGCTAAGGAGAATTATTAATTAATTAATTAATGTAAAGACGAAATGGAATGATCAGAGTTGCATTAGCTCATTTTATAGTAATTCTCAACCACAGAAGTTCTTCCAAGACTTTCAAGCAGTGTCAGAACTTAGTGTTCAGCTCCAAAGCAAAATACAGCCCTTTTGCAGCTGCAAAATAAAGATGTCCAGCCCTGTTATACATCTTTATTGCAAAGTCTATAACATGTATGGTCTTTATTGTCATTATATCCATTTTGCACGTAAAACCAAGATAACCGCTGCTTTGCTTGCTCTGACTTTAGATTATTCTCCATTTTCCTTTGCGTGCTCTCCATGCTTAAAGAAGCTGAACAAATTTTTAATCTCCCCCATATAAAATCATTTGAAGCTTATTTTTCACATACTAGATTTTTTTTTATAAAAGTTCAGAATTCTTACAGCAAGGTTTTTCTGTAAATGGGATGTGTTGTATATCATGGATATCTCTGATAGTGCCCCAAATATAACTTTTTAAATTAGTGAAGCCTTGGCTCTAAAGCTATATATATCTTTTACATTGACATCTGAATTTCCAAGTTTTATGGAACTATCTTAAAAATACTTCCAACTAATTCAGAGAAAAAAAAGGAAAAAAACTAATTCAGAAGATCCTTTCAGTATCCTCTCACTTGACATGTGCTTAAAATCAGAAACATGAATTTCACTAATATTAAAACATTTTTACAGCATTTAGTAATTTGTAAGTCTAAAAAATATATAAAAAATTAAAACAAGATTTAACAATGACGGTTGAACTTACAAATCACTTCTGTACATCTGGGATTTTACAGTGGATATTTCTGTCTTGTACATTTCATCTTGTTATATTTCCACCAACTGTTATTCCTTTTGCTCTCATTTAGCTTTATCCTGGATCACAGTTTAGAGGAGATGTAGTCTTACAAGACAGAAAGTGTTTCAAGATGCCAGAGTATATCTTCTGTTTTCTAGATGAATATTTTAAGGAATTTTGGGAACACCAGATCAGATTACTTCTTCTGAGTTATACAAACAACTTTGATATCCAGGCAGCTCCATAAAACTTTACATACTTTACTTCATAGCTCCTGTTTTCCTTGACACCTCATCTTTGGTTGTTATTGGTTCTGTATTATTTTTCTAGCCAGAAAAATGCAAAGGAAATTGCAATGATTCATGCCATGTGAAAACTTAGCTATAATACTGACTATTCATTTCTTAGCGTTCTCTGAACTGTAAACCAGGAGGACTTGATTAAATCATTCTATTAATTTAATGCCAATCTCATGTTTAAAGACAAAGAAGTCCTTTAGCAATTAAAACAAAGAAAAAAACATTAAAGAAGTAAAATTCAACTTCAAATGTTTTCTTTGGCTCACTAAGCATATTTGCCATTTTATTGGGTTCATTTCCAAGAAGTAGAATGAGACAATCTGAAATTTTGCTAGGATGGAATGCTAAAAATGAGAAATCACATTGTCCTGAAAAATGCACAGCACTGGTGTGCACTGCTGAAATTCTGAGCCTCCCCTCTTCGAGGTCTGATACATTCCTAATCTCCAGCTACATAGAAGTTATTTTACGTCATGGAAGAATTAATACACTTCCCTCAAGAAATCTAATTTACTCTAACATGATAACAGTTCCTGGTGAAAAACACTGAAGGATCTTAGATAACCATCTGTGTTTCTAGCTGTTCCTTTATAAAAAGATAAAATTGGGACAGGGTCAAACTTAGACACTTCGTAAGCTCACCATTACTCCTATAAAGGATATAACAAACACCTATCTCTTTTACATCATACCATTTAGTGACAATTATTATACTCCTTAAAATACATTGTATCAAGTAATAACTAGTGATAAGTTTTTTGTTATTAGTTATCTTACTGTTAAATCATGGATCGTGATGAAGTATCCTTGATTCTTTCTCAACTTAACATGTCATCACTTAATTGTGTCAAACAATTTTTTTACTATTTCATAAATTGCTTTCTTCCCTCCATCCCAATGCCATTGCCCTTGCCTGGCCTGTGTCACTGCCAATCTTCCTGTAACCACTCTCACTAGCTGTTCTCCAACCCATCCTCAACCCCACAACCAGAGATAATTTTCTAAATGGCATCTCATCTTAACCCATTGCTTAACATCTTTGAGATACCCAAGGCTTCTGATTCAAAATTAGAAATTTTCATATTTGGATTTCCAAGCTAGGAAAGAGTGAAAAAAGTAGTAGAAAGCCAGGGATCTAAACTGGAAGACAGGATGAGGGCTGAGTTATGGCAGTAATGCCTAAGTCTAGATTCCATGACTAAATTTAGCATCATTAGGATTTAGAAATATTACAAAGGCAGTTTCATCCTGAGTTTAAGATCAGGATCCCACTTTTTGAAGATCAGGCCTTGTCCTAGGTCTTCAAAGTGGGGTGTCCAGAGAAGCAGGATCAGCACCATATGGGGACTTGTTAGAAATGCACATTTCAGCCCTGCCCCAGACCTGGAATGGGAAATTATCAGATGAGGCCCCAACAATCTAGTTTTTGATAAGCCCTCCAGGTGATGCTAATGCCTGCTGACGTTTGACAGCCATTATCTTAAAGAAGGAGATCAATCTAAGCCTGCAAATTAGAATTAAGGGGCCCAGCTATAAAGGAAGACATTCTGCCAAGTCTACAAAGGAGGAATTTTATCCTGGGAGCACTTAAAGCAGTGGATCCCATCTACACTGCACGTTACAATCACCTGGGAAACTTAAAACTACTGATGCTTCAGTCTTACCACAGGCCAATTACATCAGAACCTGTGAGGGTGGGGGCCTAGCAGTGAGGGGCTTTAAAGATAACCCATGTGATTCACAGGTGCAGTCAGGACTGAAAACACTCATTTAGGAGGATCTAACCCCACTTAGGATCCTCCACTGCCTAGCTGAAACATTCTGGTACTCCAATTTTTAGGATTATAGCTATACTGCAGCTCAAAATCTGGGCCAATTTACCTACCCACACTTCTAGAACCAGCAGCTTAAATGCAGGGCCACTACACTGCTCAGTAGCAAGGGCACCTTCCACCTGGTCAATGCGGCTGTCCCAGCCAGAACTCCTGAGAAGTGCTGGTGACACGCTTGTTCCTGCTCCTATACCTCATCCTGTACCCTGCTCCAGGCTGCTTCAAATAGGTGCTCATGCATCATGCCCTATGGAGATAAGCAACTCTACTGTCATGCCTTACATTTTAACTCAGGCTGGAAAATATAGAGTAAGACCTTGTTCTGTGTCTTCGACATAACTCTCCTCTTTTTAAAGTTCTATTATACTGCTTCAAGTCTTAGGTCATAAATCATTCCAAAGTAATCTTTCATAGTTTGAAATAGCTTTTAGTATTAAAACAACAAACACAAAATGATTATCTTTGATGTTCTTTTACTCACCTCTTTTGACTCGTGATAAAGGTAACTATCAACTTAATAATTAATTGATCTTTAATTTTACATAACCATCATTGATATACCATATCACTTCCTATGCTTAGCCATGCAATGATCTAATTTACACAATAAAAATTTAGTATTTTACAACACGAGGTGGTGGTCTTGGATGTTGCTAACCAAAGTGTTGTTCCCCAGCCCAGCAGACTGTTACCACTTCGGAGTATGGAAGAAAAGCAGAATCTCCTGCCCAACTCAGACTTGCAGATGCAACATTTATTGAGAATCTGTATTTTAACAAAATCCCATGTAATCTTATTGCATATTAAAATTTGAGAAGCGCTGGTCTTGGAAATGCTGTAGAAATTGATCCAAATTCAGATTAGAGAACCAATTTCACTTAGCAACAATGAGTCCCCCCAAAATTTGACATGCTAATTAAAATTACAAATAAATTATTTTTCCTTTGTTTAACGGATAATGAGCTCAAAATTAACATACATGGAGGAAACTATGGTCTCAGAAAGTTAAAGCCTATAGAATGATTCTCCTAACACAAAATACACCCTCTAGTTACCTAGGAATATAGCACGTTTCAGGATGCAAGAAGCCAGCCATGGGGTCAAGGCACATCAAGGCGAGGATCTACTGCTACCAGTGCTGAGCCAGTGGAAAGAATGTGGGCGCACTTCAGCACTTGATTTAGCCACTTAACAAACATTACGGAACATCTGCCATATGCCAGAAATGGGATTAAGTACAAGAAATTCTTGCCTTCAGTTTGTTCACTGTCTAGATTTTGGAGACAGTCATGGCAACAATTACAATGCAGCTTGATAAGTGCTGTAAGATAGTCAGGCACCAGCATTATAGGGGGTTAAAAGAGAAAGCCCTAAATTGACTTGAGAAGAGTGAGCATAGTCAGGAATAATTCTTAGGAAAAGGGACAGGTGTCAATTCAAGTACTTGGAGGTGAGTGTAGTTGAATTCGAGAAGGACATAATCATTTGTTTATGAGTTATCTGAAGTCGTTGCAGAAAAATGAGCCTTGCAGGTGAAATCAATAGTCAGGTTTAATTGAATGGTATTTAACGGGAAGCCTTTTGAGAAAAAGTGGCTGAAGGAGAGAAAGGAGTTATGATGCAGGCCACAGATAGAGAAATAAAACCTTGAAAAGATCAAAATACTGCATTCCTATCACTAGAAGAAAGGTAAGTGATTAGGTTGTAAGTGGAGGAGGACATTCAGTTGAGAGGCTTTGCACTTGAAGGCTCCTATTTTATCTTCTCACTGAGGAAGAATGCAAAATCTTCCTTTCAGAAAAGAGTGAGATGGGCTGGAAAAGGCAACAGAGAGGAGTTTTGCAAATCAAAATTGCTCTTTTACATAATGAGAAATGGAATTTACAAGAGATGCTTTAAAAGGAGCTGGTGAGGATCCACATGCGGTTGGAAATCATGACTTTGTAATAACAACAGTCTTTCAGGTAGTGGAATTTTGTATAACAATGTCCAGCAGTGTAGACATAGAAGCGTAGATATAGATGTTTGGATTAATTGAAGGTTACAGGAGTGTGCTGCACATGGAGCAGAAAGACAGAGATAGAAAGATCCTGAAATGATGTCAAGAGTAATTAATGTGATGTACTATGCACTTTTTAAAACTTAATTTGTATGTGTATCACCTGGAGCCTTTGTTAAAATGCAGATTCTGATTCAAATCCCTATTTCTGAAAAAAATCCCAGATGATGTTTGTTCTGGTATTCCAGAGACCCCACTTTGAGTTAACAAGTTTCTAAGCTATAAAAAGGAAGAATTAAAACCAAAAGTGGTGATGGCCTGGAAAAAAAAAGAGTTGGAATAAATATACTGAATGTCAAAAAGCAATTATACCATTTTATACTCTTAGAATGGCTATTATAAGAAATATTTTTTAAAACCCACAGAAAATAACAAATGTTGGTGAGGTTGTGGAGGGATTGGAATTCTTGTACACTGCTGATGGGAATGTAAAATGGTGCAGCCATGGTAGAAAACAGTATGGCAGTTCCTTTGAAAAATTAAACATAGGATTAACACATGATCCAGAAATTCTGCTTCTAGGTATATTCCCCAAATAATTGAAATCAGAGACTCAAACAGATATTTCTCCACCCATGTTTCAGCAGCACTGTTTACAAGAGCAAAAAAAGGAAACAACTCAAATGTCCATCAACATATGAATGGATGAACAGAAAATGGTATACATCCAAAAGAAAACTATTCTTCTTTAAAGAAGGAAATTGTGACACATACTATGACATGGATGAATCTTGAAGACCTAATCCTAAGTGAAATAGGCCTAACATCGTATGATTTCACTCATATACAGTACCTGGAATAGTCAAATGCATAGTGACAAAAAGTCGGTTGGTGGTTACCATGGGCTGGCAGGGGATGTGCGAGCATAGGTTGAGGGGTAGGAGAGTAATGGGGAGTGATTGTTTAATAGGTACAGGGTTTCTGTTTTGGATGATGAAAAAGTTCTTTCAAAAATACAAATGCGTAACTTTTACCTGCAGATAGTCCAGCTTAACCGGTTTGGAATGCAACCTGAGCATCACCCAAATCCCATCTTGAATTGTAGGTCCCATAATTCCCACATGTTGTGGGAGGAACATGGTAGGAGATAATTGAATTATGGTTGGGGGGTTCTCCTATACCGTTCTCATGGTAGTGAATAAGTCTCAAGAGATCTGATGTTTTTATAAACAGTTGCCCCTTTCACTTGGCTCTCATTCTCTTTTGTCTGTTGCCATACAAGACGTGCCTTTTGCCTTCCACCATGATTGTGAGGCCTCCCAGCCATGTGGAGCTGTGAGTCCATTAAACCTCTTTCTCTTTGTAAATTACCCAGTCTCAGGTATGTCTTTATCAGCAGTGTGAAAACAGACAAATACAAAGTCCCCAAGGTGATTCCATTGTGTAATAAAATTTAAGAACCACCAAATCAGAGGAATTTCAAGAGAAGACTGAAAGGATTTTAAAAATTAAGAGTTATAACCACAGGAGAATAGTTTTATATTCAGCTTTGAGGAAATGATGCAGCATACTTTAGATGTCTGCTTTTGTTTCTGGAGACTAGTTTTCAGAACTGTCTTAAAAGAAAAAAAATGAGTTTGTTGGTGTAAATCTACTCTGTCACATATTTTGAATGGGATGATAGAAGATCTTATCACTGGCTCTGTTTGGTCAGGGTCAGCCAGGAGCTTGGGCTAACTCAACATGAAGGTACAGAGAGGTGTGGGGTGAGGAGAAAACTTCCCCTTTGCCCTTCGAAGGTTCGCTAAAAAAAAATCAAGTGACAAAGGACAGATTAATAGGAGAAAAGGCATACAAATTTATTTGATCATAGTTTTAAAAGAGACTTCAGAATAAAGACCCAAAGATACAGGGAAAACAATCCATTTTTACACTGACATTCAATGATGTATGGACAGCCATGTAAAATACAACTGGACAGAAGGGGTATGATCGAATGCTTAAAGACTGAGTGGGGAAACCCAGCAAGGACTGTCCAGCTTCTTGGCGTCTCTGTGCAGCCTTCCTCCCTCTCAGGCATGCAATAGGACTCTCTGGAATGAAGGTCTTAATTTCTTTATGGCCAACTGTTACACAAAAAGGCGGGGTTCCTGGAGGGGGAGATGTTAAAGCAATATTTTGAGGCTTTATGGTGGACTTTGGGGGAAAGGGGTTCTGGTTTCTATGACCCACCTTGGGGAAGAGGAATTTTAGTTTCTATCTTGCCTCAGTGGAGAAGGAAGGGAGAGAGGATGGGAGGGTAGGAGAAGGTCAGAGACTTTACTTTTGGGGCTGCTTCTGAGGACTTCACTTTGGGGTACTGTTTTCTGAGCCCCAACGGGGGTATTGAGTTCACTTTACAAAGTGCTTTGCTCTCTTTGTGACTGCATTCAGCTTCTGACTTCTGTGAATTTATACACTTCAAAAGAAAAACAAGATTTGGAATCAAAAGAAAATCAATTGGGTAATAAACATTGTTATTTTCTTACCATCCTGTTTTTGTTTGTTGAAGAAGTTGAAATTTCTGGGAAAACCGGCCTATAGCAATGCAAAATAATCACGAAATAATCACAAAGCTACCTGTAATATGTGATACAAAATTACCTTGTCTGAAGAGGAAATCTTTTAATACTAGCAACTTTCTGTGAAATTTATTTTAAAAGTCCCTGCGATGAGGTAAATATCATAAAGATGCAAACTAAGGTTGTAGAATATACCCAATCAGACTCTCAAGATCCTTGATGTCCCCTTTTTCCAAAGAGTACAAAAGGTTTTAGAGGTCCAAAAGGTCTAAACTCTGATAGTTTAATTAGAATGACTTTAAGCCATCTTCCTTTCAAGGATACCTATATATGTTCTTCTGCATTTATACATAAAGCCAATGATTTCAGTGCAGTCTTTGATAGGGCATAAGATTACAGCACTGACCCTCTGTTTAAATACAGTAGCCACTTTTTGTCTACGGTGCTGAGTATTATTCCAAGTTACTTAAGTTCTACTTTGAAATGTGGAAATAAGGGAAGAGAGAGTCCTTTCCATTTCCCATATATTTATAATGCTGAGAGACAGTATTTGTAATTTGCCCCCAGTAGTAGAGGCAGGTGTCAAAACCAAACCATGTCAGCAAATGGACATGACCCAAACTACTTTCTTCTGATTTGAACACTCTTACCAGAAACTAATATAATTAGATTCAAAAGCATCTCTCAAACCCTAAAAGAAGGTATTTATATGCTTATTGATCTTAAGGCAACAGAATATACACAAGCAATACATACTTCAAAGGCATTTTGCTACTTGTGTTATATTGTATGTAAATATATTATTAATAATGCCATTGGATAGGATAAAATGAAGCTTATTTTATGAAGAAGTATGTTCCAGGTTTAGAATCTATCCTTTTTATGTGGCCTTGATCTACACAGCCATCCACAGAAACTTTCCAGCGTGTTTAGCTAAATTCTCCCAGTTATAAGTTACTCTCTAACAGTAACTTGGGCACTTTCAAAGGCTCATTACATCTTTCTGGGCCCTGGGGTATCACTAAAGAAACTGCGACAATAATTTGCTAAATGGTATCCTCGGGACTTTAAAAAGTTCTTGTTCCTTACAAAAGGACTAACTGACTCTCAAAAAAAAAATTACTTCCTACCAGGATATGGCTAAGACCCTTTGTTTATTGTTCCAAGGAGGATTTAAGGGGGTTAAATCAATTATTTGCTTTAGAAACACTCTGTGATCTAAAAACAACTACTATATTTTTTTATTATCAGAGTAAAAAAAAATGCACTAACCTGACTGTTCTCTACCCACTAGTAAGTCTGCCCGTGGGGAGAATTGTCTATTTAAATGGTATGAGGAGCTTGGTCTGCCTTTAATTCCAAATTGGCTGCCCTGGAAATACATCAGCTGTTTCTTTAAGGCCCAGAGAAGTTTTATAAACATTGCTCTAAGTTTAAGTGAAACTAGAACTATCTTCAAACTCTTAAATGACATAATCTAAATAAACTAAACTAACATCTCTAAAGGAATTTCCATTACAGTAATGGAAGAAGAGATGAAACGCAACGTTAAAAGTTATGTGATCTTGCTTCAGTGTTCTTTCAGTGTTTGTATTTGTTAATTTGCCTCCTCTACCATCTTGTACTGTTTTTCAACCAAATAAAGTATAGAATCAAGCTCATGTGGCTTCACATGCCTAAAAATAACCCCCAGAATACAGTTCCGTGGAACTAGCATTAAAGAAGAACCGGGAGAAAGTTAGACCTAAGAATTAAATCTGGCATTCATGCACAGATCAAAATTAAAATCACAAGGAGAAAAATCAACAAAAGCCCCTAGTATAGCCCTCAACCTCCTACCCTATTCTTGGCATTCTGTACAAAGGGGAGATTGGAATCTAGCCGTGTGTGTAGTTAGTGATATGCACATTCCAAAAATACAGGTTTGGGGAAGTACCAGCATGAAAGAAAAGAATGTCATAAAAACTTGGTGTAGGCAACACCCGCCCCATCCTTACACACATGCATACAGACCCAGGCAAAACAACAGGTAGGTTCTAAAAATAACTTGCCAGATACCACAAAGTTACCTCTAGCAAAATAGCTTATGACTGACTCATAGGACACTCATGACTTTAGTATAAGTACAGGATTTTACAAAGCCACAAGTGGTATTATTATCCCAATTTACAGATTAGTAAAGTGAAACTCACAAAGAGCAAAAAACTTGCTGAGTCACAGAGCTAGTAAATGGTAGAAGCAAGATCAAGGATTCCTGTTTTAGCTCATTCCAGATCCCACGTTAATTCTACCATATTGTGACATCTAGAGAAGAGTCCATTTACTTTAGAGTAGTAAGTATTACTCAGGCTCTGCAATCTCCTACTTTTGTAAGCATAAGTTACCAAGGCTTCCCAGGTCCTAAAAGCAGAAACATTATCAAATAAGTGCATAAAACACTGAACCAAATGTGTTATTCCTATAGGACTATTTAGAGCCCTTAGTATAGAAATGTGCTCTGTGAATCTCCAAAATGTGGGCAAGAGAAGCTTTGGTTTTCCTCTGAAGGACATTTTATAGGACTCATGTTCCAAGAAATACATTTCAGGTTTGTGTCTGCAAAATCTTGCTGGCCTGGAAAAGTCAGTTTCTTTACAGTGGATTTGTATATCTCTGTTCTCATCTATTTTATGGTGATTTAAAATTTAATTCTCAGAGGTCAATATACATCCCTTATGTCCAAAAACCATGAGAAGACTCATTCTTCTCCCCTGTAGCCTACAAGTATTGAAACTATTTATGGAAACCTGAAGTGTGAGAGCAGAAAACTTCACAGTTCCTTCCCTCTCCCCTGAGAATAGTGAAGTTATTTTTAGCACTTCGTCTAGAGTTGTGGACCTAGGGTCAACGCAGAGGAAGACCTTCTATTGTTTTTTCACACTTCTGTCCTCTGATTTCTCCCTCTGCTGCTCAATTGTGTTTTCTCTATTTAGTCTTCATACATTGCTATTTTCTTTTCTTCCTCCCGCACTTTTAAAGCATGTATCTGAATTTGATACAGAAGTGAGGAACATGTGTACTTCTGAAGAGTTTTTTGCCAGGCTGTAGGACACACTGATACTCCATTGAGAGCACTGGCCTAGAAAAAATGTAATCTTTCAATAAATTCTCCGTATACAAACAGTGAAAGCATTCACCAGTGTTGTTTGGAGCTGCAATGCAGTGGGGCTGGGTGTGATGTGGCTTTGGGGTGACTATGGGCTAGTTACTGACTTATCTATGCCTTGCTTTTCTCATCTTTAAAACAAGGATATAGATAGAATTACCTACCTCATCAGGTTATTTCATGTATTAAATACATAAAATGTACTAAAACAATGTCTGGAACACGGTAATTACACAGTAAACGTAGCTGTTGTTTGTATAATGCTACATTTATGAAGCTCTATTCCACAGGAACAGCTGTGACCAAAATTAGAGCAAGGTCTACTATGGTTCTCCTGCCCCAGTCACTTGGCAAGGGCTTCCTCATCCTGGAAGAAGCCCTTCCTCCTGACTGGGGCAGAAGGAGAACCATAGTAACCAGTGTCGTTCACATTGTAAGATGGACTGGAGGGTCAATCTGGGCACGTATTCAGTAGAAGCGTATGGTGTCATTCAAAGAAGCTGAGGGTTGAAAAACTGTGGCCTGTAAAACTGACTCCTACCTTGAAGATTAGGTGGGAGATCTCACTGCATCTTGTTAAGAAATTAAGTAATTAAGAAAATCATTCTTGAAAGCATTTGTTTGTATTAGTGCATTTTTCCCTTAGGTTAAATTTGTACAAAGGGGCTATAGGAGAGATGGAATTCAAACTCATATTTTAAGACTTAGGTTCATATTAAATTTTTTTCCACCAAAAAAAATTGCCAGTTCTTGCTCCTATCAACAGTGTACATGAATGCCTATTTTCTTAGCACCTTGACCACACCAGGCTTCTTGTATTTTCAAACATTTTCTATTTGATAAATAAAAATGTAACTATTAACTTTGTTTGTTTTGAATCACCAGTCAGGTTGAACATCTGTACATTGTCTACTGAATATTTGCATTTCTTTGTAAATTGTCTGTTCATAGCATTTGTTAATTTTATAATTATCTACTCTTTTTTTCTTTCCTGAAAACTATTCTTATTTGGTTGGAAAAGCATTGTATGTTTTCTTCTGATTTTATGGTTTCCTATTTTTTAAATTTATATATTTCATATTTTATTTTTGTGTTATATTTCCCAATTATTTTAAAGATAAGCATAAAAAAGTGTGATCCTCTGCCTTTAATGGAAATACATCTAGATTTAATTCTATATAGATTATTGATATAAAATATACTATTTAATATAGTAAGGAAGTATAATCTAATAAGATAGTTTACTAAAGTAAACTATTAAAATGATTAATTATATTTGTAGATTTCTTTTTTCCCCTTTTTTTGTAGATGTCTTAATATAATGTATCCCTGCACTCATCATAAACTCTACTTAGTCATAACTCATTATTACATGTTCTTTAACATGGTGATGGATTCAATTTTCTATTTCATTTTTGTGAATATTTTCATAAGTGTAATTGGCCTGCAATGATCTAACATCGTACTGAAAGTTCTAATAAATAAGAAATAGGAATTATAAATATTTATGTTTGTTTGGTTTTACATATCTATCTCTGGACATACACACACTAGAAACCATCAGAAAGCTGAAAAAGCAATTTCAGTTCAGCATCTTTTAAAAATAATCCTATGACAAGACTTTTCTTTTAAAGTAGCAACATAGTAATGTTCCATTAAACTTTTTCTCAATCTTAGTTGGTTTTTTAGAATTAAAGTAATGCATTTTAATATGAAATCATCCATTTCATTAATACTTTCTTATTTATTAGGATAGAGTTTTATATATTTATCTTATAATTATCTACTAATTCATATTTTTCTACATCTGTGTTTGTTTTCTGTTACTTATATAACACATTTACCTTATCTGTTTAGTTTTCGTAGTTTTCAAACAATGTGCTTTGCTTTAGGATTTATTAATCAGTTAGTCTCTTATATTCTAAATCATTAATTTTTTACCACTTATACTAATTGCTTTCTTTTTTAATATTTCAATTTATTTTATTAATTCCTTTCTAATATACAAACTGACTCAGTATTTTTTTCTTCGTTATCTAAATACTAAAAAGCTTAATATTAAGATTTTTAAGGGTACTTTCCTACTAGTACATACGTTTCTCTTAGGATTTTAATATGGACTCTTCCCACTACTGTTACTTTCTGATAGTCTTTACATCCAAGTGGTTAGAACATTTTTAATTTTTTGTTATTAACTTTATATATAATTTATTTCCTCATTGAATATTTCCTGTAATTTTTCCTTTGGAGAATTTCTCCTTTGTTGGGAATCTATTTTATTTTTATTTTTAAATTGCCAACTTTACTGAAACCAAGAACATGTTAGTATACACACACATATACATACATGTACGTGTGTTTGTATATATATCAACATATGTACACATATACATCCTTTATATATAATCTCATAATTATATTATTCAGATTATCTAAAATTATTTAAAATTTTCCTTTTTCTGTCAAACACTGAGAAACACCCATTGCATTTTTTGCTCCTTATATTTTCACTAGTGTTTTGCTATATATATTTTAATATTATGTTATTTATCTCAGGCAATAACTACAGATCTTATCTCCTTTAATCAGGAAAATTGCTCTCTTTATTCTGGTAAATGCGTTTGGCCTAAAATTCCACTTTGTTTCATGTTAATATAACCCAAATGACCCCAGACTTCATTAGCCTGTGGGTACTAAAGATGCTCCATTAATATTAATATCCTAATTTGCTAGCTCATTAACCCCTACCTGTATAACAGTGGGACCTTGACCTCTACTTAGGAAGTCCCTAGGCAGTATCTGACATGTACTATGGAATCAGTAATCTACTCTTCATCTCTACTGACTGCTCTTTGAAGACAGACTCCGGCTCCTGTTAACTTTTGCTGCTGCTGCTGCTGCTGCTGCTACGTATAACTGCCTCCAAGCCACAGAGACAGTCAATCCTCCTGGTGCATAACAGTGCGAAGTGTCTTCTGTGAATGCAGAGAGAAAATCTCTTAGAGGGGTTCCCCCGTGAAGTTGCTTCATTGGGGAATCAGTGAGACCCTTAGTTGTGTTAACATTCAGCCCTTCTTTTTCCCAAGACACATATCTGTTGAGAGAAATTTGAGTAACAATTGCTTAATTCAATACAAACATTCCTCTTTAACTCCTGGCCGGATGTTAATTCTGATCATCATGCTAAATAATCTCTTTCCACAGATGACTATTCTCTCAAGGTCCAACCTCCTTAAAATTTGCATTCATTTGGAATACCTTCTCTTACATTTTGAAAGATAAGACTCTAAAATAAAGTTTTTGTTTTTAAGAGTGCCCTTTACTGTGCTAGGCATATTATGAGTTATCTTATTTAAATACCATAACAACTGTATGACATAGGAGCTCTTATTCTCATTTCACAAATATGAAAAGTGAATATAGTGAGGTTAAGTAACTTGCCCACATTGAAAGATTTAGCTACTACCTTAGCCACAAGTCTTCCATACTGCTACTTGCTACTTCTTCAATCTTTTATTTTATTCATCTTTCTGGTGGCTGAAAAATATCATCAAATGCATTTTTCATGAAAAGTATTTTAGGTCATTTACTTCCTGACTATTTAAATAGAGGCATTATATAATGTCTTTACTGTGACTATATTTATGATTGACAATACGTGGGTCATGATTTCTCTCATAAACTAGCATATAGCATAATGTGTAAAACTATAGCATATAATTTTACTGCATAGGCAACTACAGAACATAGAAAGTATAGCATTTTTGTGTAAAAATGTAGAAAGATGATCACTAGGGTCATTTCCTTAAAATGGAGAATTCTGGCAGGAGTGTGTATAATTCTCATGCAGATGGTTTGTGGCCACATCTGGAAAACCACTGTATGATGTTGACATTACTGATTGGCATCAAAAGACAGTTCAAGTCTCTACTCTCATAATCACTAGTTTGAAGACACTAAGCATATTAACTTCTCTGAGCCTGAGTTTACTCATCTGTAGAATGTGACTAATGATAATGTCTATAACTTACAGTTGTTTTGAGGATTAAATAAAATAATGCCTGTAAATACATAGCCCAATTCTGAAAAAAATTAAGTGATAAATGTTTGTTATTTTTAGAATAAATATTATTATAGTTGCTATGCCGCTATCTACCTTTACATGCTGTAAAAATAATAATATATTCCCCATTTTTTCTTTAAATGTTTTTCTAACTTTTTTTCTATTTGGATGTAAAGTATACCTTCATCTTTAATTTTTTTAAAAAAGTACATATTTAAATGTGTTTTTGTTCTCTTTATTAATTTTTCTGGTTCATAATATCCTCATTGATGCTACTGTTTAGTTCAAGAAAGTTTTTATTCTATTTTGTTTTTTAATAATTTTTCTGTTCTGAGAATTAATTTTTGTAACTATTTTTGGAAAGCTTCAAAAGTATGTAAATTACATTGTTAATTTGAAGGCAATGTTGATTCTATTTTTTTATCATTTCTAGTCCCATTTAAATTATCTTGTAGTGTTATTAATTTCTCCAATTCTTTCAATTTATCTGTATGTCTTCCAAATATTCAATCTATTGTCTCACTTTTCTTTTTTCTTTGATAAAATTGACATTTTCTTGAATTTATTTAGGATTTCAAAACAGCACGAATCTAAAATTTATGTTTCTCATAGCAAATATCTTGCGCTGGAGGGAATAAAGAGATAGATCATACTTGGAGTTATGGAAGTATGACTTATAGCTTTTCCACTTAGAGGCCTAAGAAAGTGATGAAATCTAGAAGAGCAGTTAGGCACATGGTAGAGATGCACATTTTGAATTTACTGAGTTTTAGTTATACTTGAGAAATCCAAATGGAGCTGCCTAACAAAGCACTGGATATTCATGTCTGGATTTCAAATAAATTTTATCTAGAGATGAGTATTTCAGATACTACTGTACACTTGATAATTGGAGCAAGGGAAATCACCCAGAGAGGAGCTACAGAGGGACATGAGACATGGCTCACAGTGGAACACTGGAGAATAACCTTGTTTCAAGGATGAGTTGAAGGATGAAGAATGTCCACCCGACTATGAAAAGAGTAAAGAGAGGGAAGAACATAGCAGAGAAGACTGAAAGAGAACCAATATGACAAATGCAGCAGAGGCCAAATAGTATGAGAAATTGGAGACCACTGGATTTGCAAAACAAAATGTGGAAGAATAGACATGGATGCAACATTATAATAAGAAAGGTAGAAAGAGATCAGCTATGAGTTTAGGCTATGCCTTCAATAAATTTTCTACATAGAGAAGAAGAGAGACAAAAATGAGATAGATCCAGTGTTCATTCTCATTGAAGGTCAGGGGCCAGTTGAAACAAAGAGGCTGGAAATACAGGTAGAATGAGAATAATTAGTGGAAAGAAGTTCAAAGGATATGAGAAAGAATGGGGATAAAGTGCAGGTGAAGATGGGTGTTATTCCTGGATAGAGGACACTTCTGAGACTGGACAGAAGAGAGAAGTACGTGTGTGGACTCAACAGATTTTTTGGGGAGGAGAGGCAGAATGTTAGAAATGTCTGTGTAAGAGTGTGTCAGAGGATTGAAAGAAAATTATAGAAATGTTGTATTAATTTCAGTGAAGGTGCTGGCATTAAAGAATGTCAAAGTGATTTGCGTGTCCCTATCAGATTGACAATAGTAAATTCTTAAAACCACCAATTTACACAGTTGTGTTGCTTTTTTTCTAAAAGCATTTTACATCTTGGATACACTGGCAAGTATTTTCAGGAATCATGTGCCAGAGAAGAGGGAAAGGAACTGGATCAGTACAAAAGGGAGCCCAAAGTCTTGACTAACTGGGATCTAAGCTAGAGAGGTATACTAGACACCTGACATATCTATGGTGCTCTTCAGGAAAAATGCAGCTGTGGATTCCCATGCTTCATGTTGGGCCAGCACTATCATCCAGACACCCATTGGGTCAGTCAGGAATGGGTACCCAAAGGCAACCAACTATGTGTAGAGCTGTGAAATGTACCTAGCATGAAAGCTCATCCCAAAAGTGGTGCCTTAGCTTGTTGCAACATAATTAATCCACTTTCGCTGCAAGATGTACATGATGTAGTAGGAATATGCATTAAAAAACAACACATGAATTACAGTATATGGCTATAAGATAAAACTTAACAAAAAGAAAAGCAAAACAAAACAAAACATGAGGAGCGAGTTGGCTGGAAACTACAAAGAAAATGAGAAATATAAGAGAAAGAGTAAGTTAAAAATTTTTTAAAAATTCACCAAGAGTAGCTAAGTCCTGAGTACCAAAAATGGTAGTTCTTAACTACATCTAGTAGACTATTAAATGGAATTTTAAGTTGATACTTTTTTCATAATACTTTGTAAGATTCTGGAGAATAAGGACCATATCATATTACATATTATATGCATAAAACATAGCAATTTTTTATTCTACTTTGTTTATTAGCAGAAGTACAGCAACATAAAATAATGTAGTATTATTTCTTACATAGTAGAGTCAATAATTAACACCAGGATTCGGGGTGGGAGATTCACTTACTTTGTCTTTTGAGGCAGAATTTCGCTGGCTTTATCACCCAGGCTGTAGTGCAGAGGTGCAATCTCAGCTCACTGCAACCTCTAACTTCTGAGTTCAAGCGGTTCTCATACCTCAGCCTCCTGAGTAGCTGGGACTACAGGCGTGTGCCACCACACCTGGCTAATTTTTTGTATTTTTGTAGAGATGGGATTTTGCAATGTTGGCCAGGTTGGTCTTGAACTCCTGAATTCAAGTGATCCACCTGCCTCGGCCTCCCAAAGTGCTGGGATTACAGGCATGAGGTACCACACCTGGCTAATTTTTTATATTTTTAGTAGAGATGGGCTGTCTCCATGTTGGCCAGGCTAGTCTGGAACTCTTGACCTCAACTGATCTGCCTGCTTCGGCTTCCCAAAGTGCTGGGATTACAGTTGTGAGCCACTGTGCCTGGCCTGCCTCACTTACTTTCTAAAAGAAATATAGACTTGGAGACATTTTAGTTCTTTACATACGGGCATTAACATTCAAAAGCTGATACTAACTGGCTAAGATATTGTTTTAAGTTTTATCAAAATTCTTTCTCAAACAATCCTGTTTACAAAAGAAAAATTAGTATGACCAATGTGGGTTATCTCTGATGTCTTAAATATCTACTGCAGTGTAGTGGGCTTGAGATCTGGCAGTTGATAGAGGCAATCAACTCCCATTGCAGACTCTTTAAAAATAATAATAAAAGTAATAATATCAACGTAGTTGACTCGAGCAACATGAGGGTGGGGATGCTGACCCACCCCATGCAATTAAAAATCCACATACAAACTTTGACTCCCCACAAATCTTAATAGTCTACTGTTGACCTAAAGATTTGCCAACACAAACAGTTGATTCACATATATCTAATATGTTATATGCAAGGTACATATTATACTGTATTTTCATAATAAAGTAAGCTAGATAAATATAAATATTTATATAAATTATATTTATATTTTTAAATTATATAAGTCTATATAAATTATATAATATTTATATTTATCTAGCTTACTTAATTATATATGTTATACTGTATTCTCATAATAAAGTGCGCTAGAGGAAAGAAAATATTAAGAAAATTATAAGAAAGACAAAATATATTTACAATTCATTATGTGGAAATGTATCTTAAAGGTCTTAATCCTCATTGTTTTCACACTGAGTAGGCTGAGGAGGAGGTAGAAAAGGAAGGGTTGTCTTGCTGTCTCAGGAGTGGCAGAGGAAGACATAGAGGAGGTAAAAGCTGAGGCAGGAGAGGCAAGCACATTTGGTGTAACTTCACGGAAATGTAGTATAATTTCGGTCTGATATTTTTGCTTTTTCATTTCTCCAAAAATATTTCCACATAGTATCAATCCTTCTTCCATCATTTTAGTTTCAGTACCAATGTCATCCAAGATTTCTTGTCATAAGTCAATAGCAGTCTTTAATAATCAGAACTTTTCTGCCAGATTGTCTAATGTCAGTTCGCTTCTGTCTTCCTCATAATCTGGCACTAGTTTGGAAGCACTCATCTCTGTCAAGTTGTTTTCTGTTAATTACTCTGGTGTGGTGTCTATTAGCTCTTGAATTTCTTGAAGAGTCACATCATGAAACTCTTCACCACCATTGCCACCATCTTTTTTTTGTCATATCCATAAATCTCTCTCATTATTTTATTCATTGACTGTTGTAAATCCTGTAGAAGTCATGTACAATGTGTGGACACAGTTTTCTCCAGCGGGAATTTATTGTTTGGGGCTTGATGGCTTTTATGGCTTTTTCCATAACAATTCTGGCATCTTCAATAGTGTGATCCTTCCAGACTTTCATGATGTTATCTCATCAGACTGCTCTTCCATAGCATTGGCAATCCTTTCCATATAATATTATGTGTAGGTCTGGATTAGAAATGTTGTGTTTCAACACAAGTAGACCACTTAATGCTGTCAGTGTTGAACTCATGGGATTCTGGGTGAGTAGGGGCATTATCCAATTTCCAAAAATTTTAAAAAGCAGTCACTTATTGGAAAGGTACTTCCTGACTTTAGGGGCAAAGCATACATGGAACCAATCCAGAAAAAGTGTTCTCATTTTTCACCCCTCTGATTATACAACCAAAATACTAGCAGCTGGTGTTAGTCTTTCCTTTCATGGCTAGGGAGTTGATGGCTTTATAGATAAGGGCCATCCTGATCATAAACCTGACTGCATTTGCCTTCCCAAAAAATAGAGTTAGGATATATTTTTAGAGTTAGGCTCTTTCCTGCCTTATATTGTGCTCTGTTCTCTTCCTTGCTATTAAATGTGCTTTGTGGCTATTCTTTTTTCTAGAATGGGGCATTTTTGTCTATAGTGAAAGCCTGTTCAGACCAGGTGCAGTGGCTCGTGCCTGCAATCCCAGCACTTTAGGAGGCCAAGGCGGGGTGGATCACAAGGTCAGGAGTTTGAGACCAGCCTGGCCAATATGGTGAAACCGCATCTCTACTAAAAATACAAAAGTTAGCCAGGTGTGGTGGCGGGCACCTGTAGTCCCAGCTACTCAGGAGGCTGAGGCAGGAGAATTGCTTGAACCCGGGAGGCAGAGGTTGCAATGAGCCAAGATCGCACCACTGCACTCCAGCCTGGGCAACAGAGTGAGACTCTGTTTCAAAAAAAAAAAAAAAGAAAAAAAGAAAAAGAAAAAAGCCTGTTTAGGCCAATGTCCTTTCTTTTCAGTGATTTTCTTATGGCACCTGGGAACTCATCTGCTACCTTGTGGTTGCCAGAAGCTACTTCTCCTGTGATCTTGACATGTTTTAAGCCAAATGATCAAACCATCCTTTGCTGGCATTAGATTATCCAGCTTTAGATTCTTCACCTTCCTTTTGCTTTAAGTTGTCATATAATGACTTCACTTTTTCTCAAATCATATTAGTCTAGAGATGCTTTTCTTACAGCAATTCTGCACTCACATAAAAACTGCATTTTCAATACAAGATAAAAAGATATTTCACAAAAAGTACAAGCATTTTGCACCTACTGGCATAGCTACAGGGACAGCTTCACAAGGCTCCTTTTATTTTTTACAATGGCCCTTAGGCTAGATTCATTTATCTTGACATGGCAAGCAACTGCAATTGCAGATCTAAACCTACAATACACATCAAGCAATTCAACTTTTTCTTTTCTGACTTTTCTCCGATTTTTGGGAGCACTTCCAGCATCACTGGTGACACTTCATGTAGGTCGCATAGTACGATTCAAGGTTTACAGTATTACACTAAACACTATGAAAAATACACAAGAACCAAGAGAGATCACTTTTTACCACAATAGGCAATTTACTGGAGAGACAAACTGCTCATGGGAAGATGATTATGTCACATAGGCATTTTAAGTAGATACTTGCAACACTTGAGCTCACTGCAACAGCAACAAGGGGTTTCTACATAATTGCATTAGTACAGAATGTACAACAGTTAATTTTATGCAGTTATAATTTAATACTGCATCTTTACATTTGTTTACATTTCTCTCTACTGTGAACAGCACCATGTATGATGTGTAAGTATTTGTGTACATAAGTTATGATAAGTTCTTACTTTTTATAATAGATTTGTGTATATTTTACGGTAGTGAAAATGTATGTAGGCTCATATCTACATATATTTTATACATTCATGACATAACTTTTTCTTAACTTGTTGTTGTATTTTTAGTCTATATGATTCATCACAGGATTTTTCAAGTTATCAAAAATCTCCAAAAAATTTCCAACATATTTATTGAAAAAGTCATGTATAAGTGGACCTGTGTGGTTCAAATCCATGTTGTTCAAGGGTCAGCTGTACTACAATAAAAACAGTCACTGAATAAAAGCTCCTGTAATTTGGTCTAGCACATTGGTAAAATTGTATTATATGCAATGTGGGTATAATAGTACTTGCCATATAAGGTTGTTGTAATTATCATAGACTATATATAGTGAGTACTATATCCTTACCAGAGAGTAGGAAACTGAAGTTTAGAGATGTTTTATGACTTGTCTGAGTTCTTACAATTACCTAAGTGTTATCCCATGGATTTTTAATGTAAACATTCACCTTCTTCCCTCTCTTCTTACACTATCTGTCACACATGACTTATGGCTCAACAAATAGTAGGGACTTAGTTATCTGGAAATAGGTATCTCTATTCTTAAAAGTGCCAATGTGATATTTATGGTCCATTTCTAGGGGCATAATCATAGCATTGTAAGGGAAAGATAATTATCATTTTTAAATTATCCATGCTATATATACTAAAACTCTAAGACCAAAGATATTGACCAGCCCTTTAATATTTGGGAGTAATGTAGTAATATGTATGTCCAATACAAGGCAAATAAAATGAGAGTGATTAGCTTATATACAAAAGTTTTAAATTTTTCATCAATGTATGCTTTTATAAATTTATTTTTGGTGAATTGTATTTATCATATTTTAAAATAGTTTGAATGTTTGAAATGTGTATTTATTCCTATTTAGATTAGAACACCATTTAATTTGTTGATACTGGTTACATATACTATATATTTTGTAAAAAACAATTTTATTACAGATGAACATCATGAGAAAATTATATTTTGCAGGAACACTTTAAGACAATTATAGCTTAATTTTGCATCTCTAGAATGATGAATAGCAAAACTATCCCCTCCCCTTTTGCCAATAACATTCTAAAGTCAGAAGGGACCAGGAGATTAGAATATAAATTCTAATATTTCTTGCTACAGTAAAATTTTAATGTCATTACAAAAGAATAACATTCAGCCCTCTGGTAATTATTAAATTAAGTCCTAAATGTTTTATAACATGTATGAACTTAGAATAGAATCTGTGGTATGAGAAAAACCTGGAAGGATATCTATTCTAACACTGCCTCAGCACCACAACCATTATCTGATAAAGGGATTGACCAATTTTCAGTTGAATGTGTCCAAGTTGATAAAATTCTCTACCTATTATGACATCCTATTCCAAGAATGTTCAGTTCTAATTCTTAGAAAGTACTTCTTTGAACTGAATTCTCCAAAAGTTATATTTGTCTGTCCTAGTTCTACCCTCTGTGGTTAAACTAGCAAGCTATAATCATTTTTCCATATGGAAGTACTTTTTCTATTTGAAGAGTTTTCAAATCTCTTTGGATAATCTTATCCCAGATCCTTCAACTATTTCTCTTGATTTTGAGAACTTCACCGTCTTGATCACTTTCTGTGGAAAAGCTCTGCTTACTGAACAACTCTGAATGAGGGAAAGTAAGATAGTATTATTTCTCACTCTTCTTAGGCTTTTATTCAAAAGATCTTTAGGGTGAATAGATTTTACATCTACCATATTGACTATTTTAGAGCAAATTCAAAAGTGCATGACATGCAGTGATAGGTAATTTTTCCAATTGAAAATTTTGAATTGCACAGGTTGTAAGGCTGCTGTACAGATGCAAATCAGCTAAGGGGTAAGAAGAGGGCACAAGGAAACCTAAATAGTCAGCATCCACAACCCTGTGTAGGTTTTTGATTCTATAATCCTCAGCATGCATACATAAGGTGACTTTTGTTATTGTGTGTGTGTGTGTCAGTGTAAAGTGATCACAAAAATAAATAACTGCTAGTGTTGTGAAAGAAATAAAGTAACACTAAAAAATCTAAGAAGGTCATGAAAATAACCACAAAAAATATTTTGATAATTCACTACTTAAATTAACCTGATATATGACATAAGTGAGTCCACTATATACGCTCTACATAAATTTTTGAAAGGCAATTAATAAAAATGTCAGTGATTTCCCTACCAGTGTACATTCTCTCTGTTAGTGATGAATAACAATTCATTAATAGGCAATTAACTGCTGGGCTGATGATATCCCAACAAATGCAGGACTCCATGCTGAAATGTGATTTGAGAAAGTGTCAAGATTTTAAACGTTTATACCTATAGAAACTCATGGGTTCAATACGGTCTCAAGATATGTCCTTCACAAATATCAAAGATCTACAGGATTTCATATAAAGTAAACTAACATGATATCAGAAACCTGCAATCATACACACACTGTTAACTGAAAATAAAGAATGTAGGTTACAGCATTGCAAAAAGCCTCAACATTGGAACCATGTAGGAGTCTGGAAAATGAGTACCCAAAGATATTAGGTCAGAATATATAAACTCTTACAACTCAATAATAAAAAGAGAAATAACCCAACTTAAAAATGGCCAAGGGATAAAAACAGACATTTCTCCAAGAAAGATGTTCAAATGACCAAGAAGCACATGAAAAAATTCTTGATATCATTAGTCATCAAACAATTGCAAATGAAAACTACCATGAAGTAGCACTTCACATACACTAATAGGGCTAGAATCAAAAAGCCAGGTAATGAGTGCTGGCAAGGATGTGGAGAAACAGAAACCCTCATACACTGACCCTGCTAGTGTGAATGTAAAGTGGTACCATTACTTTGGGAAACAGTCTGGCAGTTGTTCAAATGATTAAATACACAGTTACCATGTGACCCAGCAATTCCACTCTCAGGTATATACCAAAATAAGTGAAAACATATGTCCACACAGAACCTTGTACATGAATGTTCATAGCAGCATTAATCCTAATAGTCAAAAGGTAGAAGCACTCTAAATGTTCAACTGGTGGATGAATAAACAAAACATGGCATATTCATACAATGGAATATTATGCAGCCATGAAAAGAAATGGAATGCTGATAGTGCTACAACTTGGATGAACCTTGAAAACGTTATGCTACATGAAAGAAGTTAGTTACAAAGGCCACATATTGTATGATCTCACTCATGTGAATAAAGAAACCTATCGGGCAGAAAATAGGTAAGTGTTTGCTTAGGGTTATGGTGGTGAGAACTAGGGATAAGGGGCTTTTAGCTAAATCATATGGGGTTTCGTTTTGAGGTAGTGAAGATGTTCTAAAATTGACTGTGGTGATGGTAGCACTTATCTGATATTATACTAAAAATAATTGAATTTTATACTTTAATTGGGAGAACTATATGGTATGGCAATAGTATCACAACAAAGTTGGAAAAAAAAAGATTGGGGTCCAGCTCTATGTGCTGAGAGGAAAAGACCCCCAAGGTGCATTGTTAAGGGTTTTATTTTTTATTTATTTATTTATTTATTTATTTATTTATTTATTTATTTTTTTGAGACAGAGTCTCGCTCTGTCAGCCAGGCTGGAGTGCAGTGGCACAGTCTTGGTTCAGTGCAACCTGCGTCTCCCAGGCTCAAGCAATTCTCCTGCCTCAGCCTCCCGAGTAGCTGAGATTATAGGCGTGTGCCACCACGTCCGGCTAATCTTTGTATTTTTAGTAGAGACGGGGTTTCACCATGTTGGCCAGGCTGGTCTCAAACTGCTGACCTCAGGTAATCTGCCTGCCTCGGCCTCCCAAAGTGTTGGGATTACAGGCGTGAGCCACTGCGCCTGGCTGCACTATGTTTAAAAATAGTAGTTCAAATGAAGGAAATCAGTAGTGCTGATTCCAAACCCCACTAACAAATGCAATGGTGTTTTAGATAGAGGAGCTGAAGGGTTATTCTGGTGGGAGAAATTTCTCCTTTATCTTCATTTCCTTGCTCAAGTTAACAAATATTAACCACATATGAGGTCCCATAAACTATAGACGGGAATTCAGGTGAGGGCCACACAGCAGTCTTCCCTTTCTGTGAGAGCATGACACCATTCCCTTCTGGCAACAAGTAAGGCTGACGAGAACTCTGTTGCCCATTTGAGTATTCTTTTGTATAAAATCTTTTATTTTGTTGTTTTTTTCCTTACAGGAAACTTATAGAATCTGCTCTTTATCCTTGGGAATCTGAAATTTCACAAAAATACTTCTGAGAATGGATTTTGTTTTTTATTCTGTTTAACTATCTAGCAGCCTTTTAATCCAAAGGACTTTATCTCGCTTCTTTTATGCATCTCTCAATTCCCTTCTTACTCAACTTTGCCTCAAAACACTCAATTTCTTTTGATATTTTCAATCTGCATGTTTGTGTTTAAAATCTGAAGATAGCGTCACTCATAGCTCTGGACACTACCATAATTTTTTAAATTCCTGGCAGTTATATTCTTTTAATTTTTAAAAACTTTTTCTTATTCTATGATCTTTCCTTTTTGTCATAGAAGTCTGTTTCTATTTTATGGCTATAAACTTCTTTGACTCTTTGGGTACATGATGACTATATCAATTGGCATATTTTACTTTAAAATATGACACGCGGAAGCTTGCAGGTGCAAGCAGGAGCACCTCAAAACAGAATAAGAAGGTCTGTACTCTGGTAGGTTCAACTCACCAGATTCCTAGCTATTTCTAGGCAGATTGGTTCATATATTTTAGGGATGCTTCTCCAGTTTTCATCTCATGTTACAAATTTCAAGCTCGCACTCATGCTACATTTATGGGGCCGTGGTGGGGCTGACACGTCGTGAGGGTTCTCCAATTATTACGCCACTCTTTTGCTTCACTGGGAAGTGCTCCTTTTGAGTCCTTGCTGACGCTATGCGGCGCCTCTTCCTGGAGCCCCCAGAAAATTGCCCCAGATATGGCTTTTTAAACAGAGTCTCTGTTATTCTGGCTTGTAGTTATTTCTGCTTTGTCTCCCTTGTCACCACACACATCTGCTTTTTGTCTGCCAGAATTGTATTAATAGCCTTAGTTCACTGTTGGCCCTTACTCCTATTATCTTGCTATTATGGGTTTATTCACTTTTGTATACATTTATTTTCATTCTAGTGATATTTTTTAAGAGCCAGGAGGCATATAAATGTTCTCAGGCCACCATCTTGAACCAAGAGGTATCAGAACCAAGAAAAGTGTTAAATGGTATGTATTTTTACAAACTAAATCCGTGAATACTAAAGCCATACCCAGAAGAGAAACAATGGAGTGAAGGAGATAATACCTTCTGGAAGAGGCTTATTTTTAATAAAGTTGGCAAGAAAACCAAGAGCATGGTTTGGTCAAAACCACAACCACAAACCAGATGAAGCCATGGGATGTTGTAAGGTATAAAGGGACACTATATCATATAAAAAGGACGGGTCTATAGGGGAAAAGTGTTAAAAAGAAAAAAAAAAGGACCCCTGTGATGTGGGTTTTTGAGTGCTAAATGTTTGATAACACAGATAACAATGAGGCTCTGTGTATTATTGAAAAGGAGTTTGACAGGAGGAATGCAATGTTTGGAGAATATTATCATACCAGTTGTATAAGCAATAGACTTGATCAAAGGCAGACTGGAGCAAGGGAGAGTGCACGTGAGTTTGTTGATGTAGTCCAGAAGAAAGGGTCTAGGAAACTAACAGAGGATTGTAGCTGTGGGAACAGAGAGACGAGATGAGCAGCTTCACACTATGTCCTGCTGCTGCTTGACTTAGCTCCATTTAGTACATTTTACTTCCAAAAGGCAAACAACAAAACAACAGCAACAACAAAAACATGACAAAATGTCAGTATTTGTGAAATCAGAGTTGGGGATGAAATAGGTAGCTGTTATGTTATTTTTCTATTTTTCTATACTTAAAAATATGTAATACAATAAAATCAAGGGAAAGAAATGAAGGGGAGGCATACGAATTTTAATTGATAAGTGTTATACCTACAAAAGTACAGTATGATTTAAATCCCAACTCTACAACTTGTTGATAAAACTGACCATTAACTTAACCTCTCTGAGTCACAGATACCTCATCTTTAAAATGAGGTAAGAGTGCCAACTCCATAGAATTTTGGGGAAAATAAGATAATGCATGGAAAACCAAGTTTGCCTATTACCATTATATAAGCCTTGCAATTTTTAAAGAAATATGGAATCTTACAAATAAATGAGACATAACTCAATCTTTGCAAGCTGTTTTTTAAAGATCAATAGTATTTTGCCATGATAATTTGTGTTAGTAAAAAATAGAACTAAGGAAACTATATTAGCTAAAACAATTCTAATTTTAAAAACTACTCACTGAATCTTGATTCTTATGCATGTTAAACAAAAACATAGTCATTTGACCATGACTAAGTTTCCTTATTAATTTAACAAATACAATTTAATTATAGGATACATTACAGTTTTACATTTTATGTACTTCCAAGTGATCTAAAATTATTGTTTCTAAATTTTCCCATATATATAGTCACTAGCATATGTTGTCTACATGGCTAATTCTGTCTGTAACATACTGCTATGAGACTTCCTTATATTACACATTAGTTTTGAGGACACAATTTCCTTCTGGAGTTGAAAGGCTCTGAAGCAAAACCAAGAGTACCAAAGTTATTCAAAGGTACAAGATGATAACCATAAAAATACAACACTACTTGTTGTGATTAATTTTCATAATATTATTTCAGTTTCTGGTTTATGTCGAGGAAATACAGTATCCCCAGAATGTAACATCTCACTCCTGTTCATTCTTTGCTCATATGAATGACAATTTAGAACAATTAACTAAATAGACCTTATTTAGCCTTGTTTCATGGTTAAGGAAAGCTTTTTGGTTGTTACTATTCTCTATGTTAAGTTGAAGGAAAGAAATAAATTAGCTAGGAAATAAGTAAATTTTCTTTCTACTGAGAGCGTAGTATTATCATGAAGAGTTACCAAACCAAAACTTTACATGGGCTAACAATTAAGCATTATAGTTGAAAAAATTCAGGAATTCTTCCCCTTTGGTTAATTCAAAATAATCCTCAAGATTTGTCAGAGACTCACAATCATAATTACAGTCATCAAGTACAATATCACTGTTAAATTTAGTGGCAAAAGAGAGTTTTGGATTTTAAAAATATCATTTGACTGACAGTATTGTATTTACCATAGTTTTCTATTAAAAACTTTAGAATTGCTCCACGGGTCCAGACGTTAAGAGGTACATGGAGATAGTTGAAATGTAAAGAAGAAACAAAAAGGGAATCAGGAGGGAACCAAGGCTGCATCATTGCAATGCTGTGGCTCCAACACCATCAAAGTGGTTCGTCATAGTCAACAAATGTAGCATTTTTGACTCTCTTAAATCATCCCTATGTTCATCAAGGTTAACCCTCAGAATGTTGAAATTATACTGAACGTTTATAATTTATTCAAAAAATATTTCCAGCATGAAAAATTAAATCTCAACCATAGCTATGATATGGGGAAAACATGTATTTTTGTGTATAACAATGAGACGAAATTTTGGTGCTGCAGAATTCTTTCTCTTGGAGTCTTCTAACCTCTCTGAAAACTGTGGCATACTTAATTATAACATAGAGATAATCATACCTACTTCCCAAAGTTTGAACGAAAAAAAAATTCATGATTTGTGATACTATTGATAGAGACAGGAGACAGTCAATGTTCCCCTGGAAACCTCACCTTCATGCCTAAAACAGCCTGAAGGCTGAAAGACTGGACTGCTGGTCCCAGGAAACAGGCAACTCAGAGGGAGAACTGCCCCTGTTTGGCCACCGTTTCCGGACTGATTCTTTCTGAATAATGCCCACATGCACACTGGGGGAACATGGTGGAGTCACGAGCAGTTCGTACCTTGTGCAGTGGGGAGGAGCCTGGCTTCTTCAGCTCATGAGTGTGGTGGCCTAGTATTCAATCTATGAGGTGGGAGCCTATTAGCAGGACCTCTTCTTTTTTCACTGAGAGCTTTCTTTTAATAAATTCCTCTCTCCTCACCTTTCAACGTGTCTGTGTGCCTAATCTTTCCTGGTTGTGTGACAAGAACCCAGTTTTAGGTGAACTAAGGAGCAGAAATTGTGCATCACTATTTTATATAGAATAGTTTAGAATAAATTAATGAGGGCCAAGTCATTTGTCCATAGACTAACAAAATTAAATATTTTCAAAGAGAAAGAACTTTTACAAGGAAATTATAGGAAATGCTCTGACATAACTAGATTTTATTTTCCTGATTCTTGCAACTCATACACATGAATGTCAATAGAGACTAGTCAATAAGGTCATTTCTTTTAAGAAAGTTTTAAAACTGCGAATGGGGTATTTGTGTGTAAGTATGAATTGAGCATTTGTTAGTGAAATCGGTTTGCATCATATAGATTGCTTAGGGGCAGGACGTGATCTTGATGGATAGTAAGGCTGCCTGGTACCGCCTCTGTGTTACATAGCAGAGAAACAAAACAGTGCTTTTTCTGAGGTGCTAGATCTCAGTTGATGTTGCTGTCTTTTGCTTATCACAGTCTGTTGCTAATCATTATGCAATTTATTTTGATTTGGTGCCTTTTTGCTATCTTATTTCAATTTTATGCTCCATCATGAAAATGGGTGATAAACATACAATGAATTTGTATAAGAATCACTGGGCTAATCCTTGTGTTCTGGTGATTGATTGCAATTTAGCAAATACTGAATTTGCTAATCAAATGGTAGATTATCTCAGTGATATTTAGGTTTTTATACGCTTACAACTTTTAAAAACAGTTATTATTAAACATTCTTGGAGGAAAAATAACTTTTATTGCAGATTTGCTGGTCTCTAGTCCAACTCACATGTTTTTTCATTAAAATTTCTTTTATGGCTCAAATTTTTAATAACTTGAGATTTCTCAACTTCAACTCTTGAGTTATACCAGAGCAAACTCTGTCCAGCAGTAGTATATGGCATGTGAATTAACTCCACTGACTACATCCTTCTAATGAAACATTTTTACACAAACACCATGCTTTCACACTCACACAAACCTGTATGCCCCCACAATAGCTTAACTGCTTGTTCTCTTCTAAATAAAGGAACAACTTTAAAAAGAACTTTATGAAAAACAACTTAATGTAAATTCTGTACAGAGCTTATGATGGAGAGCTGCTTCTCAACATTTCTCATCCAAAAGGCAGTGGTATCATATCAGAGTGAATGCCAATAGGGCTATAAAATGGTTTCCACCTGTCATTAATTTTACCCTGGCCAGTTTGCAAACCAGTGCTGGTCCTATGGAACTTGCAGGAACCTTTCATATCCTGATGCATAATTTAAATATTAATAGCAATTTATCTTTTATGATGAAATATTGCGACTTATTCCTACCCATAATCTTTTTCTGGTCATTTTCTGATCATGCTGCTCTTTCACAAATAAGTAGATCAAAATAATGACAACACAAATGTGCATTTTTTTCATTATCTTTTTACTTGATGCATACTTTGGGAAATATGTGTGATTATTTCTGTCTCACAATTAAGCATGCCACAGTATGCAGAGAGGTTAGAAGACTTCCAGAGAAAGAATTTTGTAGCATCAAAATATCCTCTCATTGCCATACACAAAAATCCATATTTTCCTCAGATCATAGCAGTGGTTGTGATTTAATTGCTGGAAATATGTTTAGAATAAGTTATAAATGTCTAAAATGACATAAACATTCTGAGAATTAACCTTGATGAATATAGTGATGATCTGTGGGAGTCATAGACACTAAATTTGTAGAGTATGACGAAACACTTTGATGATGTTGGAACCACAAAAATGCAATAATGCAGCCTTGGCCAACTCTTAATTCCTCCCTCCATTTAAAAAAATTTCTGTTTGTTTCTATTCTAACTAACTCCATCTAGCTCTTAACATCTGGACCCATGGAGCAATTAAGTTAAATTACTGGTTTTAGTCGCAAATGAAACGAGCAGGGTTTAAATATTTTCAACTGCTCTCAGAAATCACAAAATTATATTTAAAAAGAACCATCTTCCCATTGATACAAAATTGTTGAAAATATACTTTTATTTTTCCTGTCACTATCTGTTTAAAACAGGAAGCTCACATACACTCGGATTATTTCTCTTTCCAAAATTCATATGCAATAATAACATGAATATGCTAAATCCCTCCATTTATCTTTGGATAGATGCTTGGAATTAGTTTTCTAATATCTTTAGACACACAAGATCAAGTGGAAAGGAAAGGAAAAAGAGATTAACTCTTAACTGAGTGCATGTACCACAGACACTATACTACTTAACATTCACTATTTTATTTAATCTTTAAAGCTATTTTTTTGGAAAAGATGTTAATATTCCCGTTTTTATAGATGAAGAACATTGAGTGTAGGTTGGCTAAGTTATTGGTCCAAATTGTCAGAGTGGTGAATTGTGGTTTTGAACAGGACTATATTAAAAGTCCGTGCTTTTCTACCTTATAACATTGAGATATAATGGTTAAGGGAATAAGACTGGCATTTTCTTTTTTTCCATTACACTAGCTTTTAAGATAACTTTAAAAAAATAATCATTTTTAATACTTGGCAAATATGTTAGAAAGCATCTCTGACTTTTGACAAAATTTAAACTGTTAATTCCAGAGCTGGTACTTGTCAGATAACAAAAGTTTTTTTCCACTTAACATTAAATTCATTAATAATACCACAAAATTACTTCTGCCTAAAACCTCATAAAACAGGAACTAATCAAAGCAAACACACTTAACAGCTAATGATGATTTTAATTTAGCTGTAAATGCCTCAAAGGCTAGTAATTAGAGAGCAGTTCTACGCTTTTTGTTTTGCAAAAATAAATTATTGCTGCACGTTTTGCCACAATTTTCTCTATTTAATTTTGCTAAAACAGTGTTTCCTTTACAAAATTTTAAAATAGATCTAATGGCTAGATGACTTAAATCACCATATTACAATAAATTTTGTTTAAAATAATGTCTCCTGAAGATGTTTTGAACAATAAAACTGGACACAAATGTGTTATAAAAGAACAACAAAAAGAGCCAAGAAAATAAACTCTTCACAGCCCTTGATTGCATGGTACTACTCACTTTAGATTTAATGAAAGGTTATTTGTTTAGCCATAAAGATGTGAGTCATATATCCTGATGATAGTGTGGCTCTAAACAATGAAGCTTGATCTAAGATTACATATTTTCTCCAAATGGATGTGATTATCTGTATTTTCTCTTTAGCATTTAAATCTATAGCTTCAAAATTGCAAACCTAAATTCAAGGTCAATTATATTAAGTTAGCCTCTCTTATTTATTTATTTATTTATTTATTTATTTATTTATTTATTTATTTTTGAGACGGAGTCTCACTCTGTCACCCAGGCTGGAGTGCAGTGGGCAACCTCGACTCATTGCAACCTCTGCCTCCTGAGTTCAAGCGGTTCTCTGGCCTCAGCCTCCTGAGTAGCGGAGACCAATGGCGCATGCCATCACACCCAGCTAATTTTTGCATTTTTGGTAGAGATGGGGTTTCACCATATTGACCAGGCTAATCTTGAACTCCTGACCTCAAGCAATCTGCCCACCTCGGCCTCCCAAAGTGTCGGGATTACAGGCGTGAGCCACTGCACCCGGCCTGTCCTCTCATATTTATCCATGGCTGATCCATAGGTTTCAACAGAAGGGGTTGGGGCGGGGAATTTGTCTTCCTAAATGAGAACCCTGAATGTAGAATTGCAAATAGTGCCAACATTATTCATGAAGACAAAGCTAGTTTTCAGGAGAATGACCACTAAAGAGTAAGGAAATCTGCCATAAATTTAAACACCAGAAAAAGGAAATGCATAGGATCTAATTCTGAATTATTTATTTGTGTGATGTATTTATCTATTGCTATCCTAATACAGTAGCTCCCCCCTTATTCATAGGGGATAGGTTCCAACCCCCTCCAGTGGATGCTTGAAACCATAGACAGCACCAAACCTGATTGCCATCAATCCATACACGTTTCTGTTCAGGTCTTCCACTTACAAATTTAGTACTTTTTCCAACTTAACTAACTGCTTGACAAGCATTGGGCTGTAACTTTTGCATTTTGAGGTGCAAAAACTAGCACAAATTTATTTTTCCTTCTTCATGATTTCACAGATAGTTTCATTCTTACCATAGATCTTAGCGACCTCAGTATACAATTTTTTTTCTTTTCTTATTAAGTGGAGAACTTTCACCTTTTTACTTGAAGGAAACACTTTACTGTTTCTCTTTGGCATAGCTTAATCGCCAGCAACACTACTCTTGTACTTTGGGACTTTTATTAGATAAAGTAACTGTTCCTTGAACACAAGCACTGCCATACCAGAAAGTCGATGTGATCGCAGAAAGGGCGGCTAAGTGACTCACAGGTGAAAAGCTGTTACAGCGTGGATCTGCTGGACAAAGGGAAGATTCATGTCCTGAGAGGGACGGAACCTGACGGCCCAAGATTTCATCACACTACTCAGAACTGCAGGCAAGTTAAAACTTACGCATTGTTTATTTCTGGAATTTTCCGTTTAGTATTTTCGGCACAGGGTTGATGGCAGGTAACAAACCATGGAAACTGAAACTGTGGATAAAGGGTGACTACCGTACCACACTGATGTGATGAACATATAGTGCGTTCCAATATCTGGTAAGTAAGTCCGCTCTCAATTTTTTTATCTTCATAACTTTATTATCTTTTCTAAGATATTTATTATCCACCGTGAACTTTTATCATTTTATACATTTTCAAATGAGTCTCTGAAAATGCTCATTGACACTTCATTGAACTTATATATAATTGTGGAAATATATCATTTAATATTTTAATCAATATTTTAAGAATATTTTAATATTTAATATTACATTTCAATTATCAATTTTGTTAATTTAATTAAATTTGAATTATTGAATATTAACAACATTCTTAATATTTTTAATATTATAGAAGGTTTTTGGTATCTATTATAAATGGAATACCTTTCCATTTTCACTTTTAAAATTTTATGCCAGGGTATATAAAAGCTATTAATTGGGGATATTTATCTTGTGTTTTTTCACATTATGAAATTCTCTTAAGAATTCTGCTTTTTTCTCAATATTTTTTGACTTTCTAGGTACGTAATAACGTCAGGAATAAGAAATAAAAGTAGCTCTTCTTTTTAAGTATTTATATTATATATTTTTTGGTATATTGCATTCTCTAAAGCCTCAAAGACAATGATAGTAATATCATAGTAGAAATTCTTAATAGTTTCTAATTTTAATTAAAATGATTGTAGTGCCCCCATTTTAGATATTTGTCTTCAGTTTTTGATAGTTTTTATTATATGTAAGTTGTTCTTTTATTTCTTTTTATTAAATTTTTTATTAGCAATGGCTGCAGTATTTAATAACTGCATTTTGTCACATGATATGCTTTTTCTCTTTTAACTTATTAATTCAGTTGATTATATTGATGAATTTCCTGATCTTGAACCACCCTTGCATTCTTTAAGAGAAACTGCTTGCTCATAGTGTATTATTCTTATAATACATTGCAAGATTCCATTTACTAAGTTTTTCCTTTGAATTTTTATAACCTTAGTAATAAAAAGATTGATTCATAGTGTCATATTTGCTTTTCCTTTTCAGGTTTGTTTGTAATGATGGCTGTATAAATCACATGTGGAACTTTGTTCTTTATTGATTTGAATAATCTTAGAGTCATTTGTTCTTTAAAGATTAGATAAAACTCAACTCCGGAACCATTTGCCTAGTGGCCTTTTTCATGTTAACTTTATATCTCTCTAATGTCCACAAATTCTCCACTTGTTCTAATATCAGTTACGATATTTTGGCAGAATGTTGTTAAGCAAGCATGTAATTTCTTCAGGTCTCAAATTTCTGCCAATGTAATGTCTGTAGTCATCTCTAGTGGTTCCTTATCTCCTTTCTCATTTCTAGTCTATTTTTGCTCTCTTTTGTTCCTTTATCAAGATTGCAAAGATATCTGTTTTATAGTATTTTCTTCTCTTTTCTGCATGAATACAGGCACTTAAAATCATACTATTCCCTGATACACCACTTTTACTGTATTCCATAAGTTTCTTTTTGACAAAGTATTCTATCCATTGGTTTCTAGATAATGAGTACTTTTTGTTTACTTCTTGTTTAATCTAGGAAAATATTTTTAATTTCAAAATATTTAACATATTTCAATTACTTTCGTTATTTTTAAAATTTATATTATGACATAGAAAATGCATTTAAACACTTAATAAATGTATTAGGTTTCATTTATAGGTCAAGTTTATATTTTGTTCTTAAATCACTTTATTGAAGGTATGATAGACATTTAAAAAACTTTATTTATTAATAGAATGTGTTGTAAGGAGTTTGGAGGTAGTATAAACCTGTTCAAAACAATCATCACCATCAAGGCCATGATCATATGCATCACTTTCTAAAAGTTCTCTCTCATCCCCTTTATGATGATGATGATGTGGTATTTTTGTGTATATGTGGTAAGAGCACTTAACATAAGATTGACCAACATAGCAAATTTTAAGTATACAATATAATATCATTAGCTATAGGCACTGTGCTGTATAGTAGATCTCTAGAACTTATTTATCTTGAATAACTGAAACTTTGTATCTTTTAGCCATTTCTTTTTATTATTAATTTAAATTTTTATCTTTATTGATTATGGTCATATCCTAACTACAATATTAAAATGTAAAAAAAGTATTATAACTGATATTTTCATCTACTCTATGTTGATTTTAAATTTTAGATTGTTTTACCTTTTCCCTTAATTTTACTCCTTTGACAACTTGTTCTTCACTTCATTTTCACCCTTGAAAACTTAATAGATATTAATCTCTTTTAAAATAATTTTTAAATAACTACCACCCAGTACATTTTTCTAACGATCTTTATCTTCTTTCCTGTCTTTTTCATAACATAGAATATTATGTCTCTCATAATTTGCATTCTTCTCTCTTACTTTTTCCCTCCCTTCAGTGAGAAATTTAGAAAACTTTTTCTGTTTTTTTCTCCATCTCCATTTATATGATTTGGTGGGATAATTTTGAACTTAACAGAATTTACTTTGATGTACACCTCTTCTGTTTCAACAGTTTTTCTTTTTTTCTTTATTCTTTTTTTTTTTTTTTTTTTTTGAGACGGAGTCTTGCTCTGTCACCCAGGCTGTAGTGCAGTGGTGAGATCTGGGCTCACTGCAAGCTCCGCCTCCGGGGTTCAGGCCATTCTCCTGCCTCAGCGTCCTGAGTAGCTGGGACTACAGGCACCCACCATCACGCCCGGCTAATTTTTTTGTATTTTTAGTAGATACGGGGTTTCACTGTGTTATCCAGGATGGTCTCGATCTCCTGACCTTGTGATCTGCTCGCCTTGGCCTCCATAGTTTTTCCTAAACTCATATTATATATTTCCAGATGGTCTGTACTTATCATTAAATGCATGCTTAGTGATTGCTCACCACCGTGTTCTCTTCCCAGGATCTGCTGTCTTCCCAAGGTCCCTGATTTATAGCCTCATATGCTGTTAGAATCTTTTTCAAATATTTTTCTTTTGGTGGCCACTTGGGTAATATGCTAAGTTCTTGAATATTCTTGATCTAAAATAAAAAACAGTCTGTCAAGTGAATAATATCTTGGTTGAACACAGGATTCTGAAATAAGACTCTTTTTATTTCACTAGTCTGTTGATGCTATTCCACTGGCTTCCAACTTTCATAGTTACCAACAAACATCCCAAAGGCAGTTTGCTGTTGGGAAAGAGGGGGATGATTTGTTCTGTCAGAACTGTGTGTGTGTGTGTGTGTGTGTGTGTATGTGTGTGTTTGTGTATTTTTACCAAAATACTTCTTAGTGGTTGGCTTTTGTTATTATTTTGGTATTAAAACACAGTATTCCTTAATCTTTAGAAACAGATCTCTTATTTGCTGAATGAATTTTTTTGTATGTATATATAGTTTTTTGATTGCCCCTCTTATATCTATTCATTTTTCTCCTTCTGGAGCACTTTTTCTTATGTTAGATCTCCTAGATCCATCTCTAAGTTTTTAATCCTTTTCTAAGTGATTTTTTGTATCATTTTGCTCTATACTTAGAGATATTTCCTGCACTTGATTTTCCAGGCCATTAATTCATCAGAGACCAACTTTACTTGAATTTATATACTAGAATTTTTAATTCAAAACCCATAGTGTTCACCTGTGAGGAGTCTTTTTAGTGTTGTTTTAGATATCCTTAAGTGTTCTTCCTTTGTTTATTTGTAACTCTGCTCTTGCTCTAGCTCTTCCTGAAGTTGAATTTCATTAAGTGTTATTTATGATTCTTTACTTGCTCCTCCTCTCAGTCAGACTTCTTGGGAGCGTAACAAAAGAAGACTAAGAATTTGTCACTAGTTGACTGTACTACAGGAAATACTAAAGAAGTTCTTCATTATGATAAGAAATTATTCCAGTTCCACAGAAAAGGACAGGGAGCATCAAAGTGATATATATCAAGTATAAAATCAAAAAGCTGTTTTCCCCCTCATAATTCCTTTAGAATTATAATTTCTTTATATATTATACAAACGTTTAAAGCCAAATTTGTAACATTGTCTTGTGTTGTCAAATGATTTCATATATTTAGACCACGAGAGTTAGTAAACAGATGAACAAACAAAAAACAGCAACAACAAATGTTGGAGCAGGGGGAATGAGACTTCAGAGAAGTTAAATTATATGACCTTAAATGCCCAGCTTTTAACCAAAAATTACAAGGCACTCACAAAAAGCAAGAAAGTGTAACCCATCCTGGGTGTAAAATAAAAGCAGTCAATGCACTAATTTTGATTGTCCCTAGAATCTCAATGTATCAGAAAAATAATTCAAAGCAACTGTTATAAATATGTTCAAAGAAGTAAAGCAAAATCATATTTGAAGAGTTAAAGGCAAGCATGACAACAATGAATCAGCTAATATAAATTCCCAGACATAATAATTACCAAAAGGTATTAACACGATTGATGAAAATTTCACATAAATTCAGAGACCTGTGGGATAACATAAAGAATACCAGCAAACATTAAGTGGGAATCAAAAACAAAAAGACTACCTTCTGTATTATTCCATTTATAAAAAAATTTGGTAAAGCAAATATAGTGTGATGTAAAGCACATCAGCTGTTTCCTGGCACTGAGGTTCATGGGAGTGGGTTAGCTATAAATGGGCTCTACCAGGTAGCCAAAGAGACTAGTGCCCTGTTCAATTTCACACAGCTCAGCAGAGATCAAGCAGCAAATTTAGTAGACTTTAGTGAAAACCATACAGACACTAGAAGGAAAATACCACAAAGAAAATAATAATTGCTTAGGGCAAATCCTCACATTTTTTCTAGATTTGCTCCTTGCTTTACCTGTGATCTATATCTGTGTTCTGCCCTCATTGGAAGCATCTCAGAACCTTAGAGTCTGAGCAAGATTGATCTCCTTTTTATAAGGAAGACAAGTTTTTTAACTTGCTCAACTAAGGTCCGCTTACCTTTCCTGCCACCTGATTGCAATATTCACTAGATATACCACAGTCCTATCCATAACAATATGGTCTGGCTTCATGTTCTAAGATAACCACATAATGGTTGCATTGTCCTTTATTTCCCAAACCTTGTGTTTTTCAGTATCAAGTAACACCATATTTAAGACATCAATAGCCCAAGGCATACTATGCTGCTGATGCTTAATCCATTTTCTTTTAAGTCCATCATCATCAAGAGTTCAAAACACCCAGGGTTCCATTTCCAAACAGAATTATGTTGTGTGAAGGCTAAATAAGACCATAGGGACAATATTTGTGAAAGTTTCTTCACCATGCTGGCCACAGATATATGTGGAGCAAATGTTGTCTCTTTCTCAACTTTTTTTCCTGAAAGAAGTATTTGAATTTATCAGTAGGCCACCAAATATTTTAATCATTGAAGTACTTAAACAGAAGTGTGAAGGGCAAGACTAATACCTAGGAGACCATTCACTTAAGATACAGGCAAGGAAACATAGTTAAAGAGCTAAGTGTAAGCTACAAATATACATAAATTTTAAAAAGTGATTATGTAGGTAATGGAGAGATAGTGAAGGTCTTTAAGATACTGGGGAAAATGATAAAAACCTTATTTTAAGGGCCTCCCTCTAGGTTGATATGAGGAAAATACCAGAGAACTCCAACTGAGGCAGGGAGATGTTAGAATTTTGTGATTTCCTAGGTGATAAAGGCTTAAAGCCTGACTAATGGTAATGGAAATAATGATGATAGCGGTCTTCAGAATAGTTAGATTTACTGAATGCTCACTCTGTGCCACCATGCTAGGTACTCTTTCGACAGTCATTTAATCTGCACAGCACTGAGTACTCTTGGTACTACTGTTATCTTCATTTGGCAGAAGTTAAGTAACTTGTTTAAATTCACAAGTAACAGAGTCGAAAGGCAAGAATCAAGTCTAGGCTGTCTAACTCTAACCCTTATGCTTGCAAACACTACACTAAGTAAAACATTGTAAAGAGAAAATTACTTGATTCCAGTGGTCAAAGACCAGTGACATGTGATCAAGAGATTTCCAGTCTGAGGGAAGTTGGAAATAAGCCTCTTGGGCTTTAATTCTTCTTAGAATTATGATTCAGTCTCCTTCTTCTCTTAAATTGAGCTCATATTTTTCATATTGTATACCCTCTAAGTTTTCTCGTTATTGTAACTGCACTTTATGTGAAAGGTATGTTGTATTTCTTTTAAAATATTCTGATTTAATTTGATCTGGCTGAGCCCTTACTCTTGCTGAAGTTTGTGGAACTTCAATATTATCATTATTGGAACTTCCCCTCTTACACTGCATCATACAAGACCCAGAGAAATGAAAAAGGAATATGTTTTGCTGCCCACAATGGATTCCTTTGTCCAACCTTTATCATTGTCACCCTTAGCCCCCCATCAGTCAGGCACTATTTTAGTGCTCATAGCCAGCAGTGATGTTCAGTGCCATGAAGCACCCAGAGCAGAAGCTAGTAGATGGAACATGCTTCTGTGTGCCAATGTAGCTATTCCCACACAAGGCATTTTATTTCTATGTCCCTGTATTTGAGAGGGAACTAGTCTTCTTCCACCTGTGAAACTTGAAGTACCCACTTTTCTTTCCTTCATCTTTCAAAATCCATGGCATCTCTATCACTTCCCTCTCTCAAAACATGTAGCTAAATCCTCCCATGGGCCTTAACCCACTGTTAAACACCATGGTCAATGGGACAGGTCTAGCTGACTGCTGTGCTTTGTTGAGTCAATAAAGTACTGACCCATACATTAGTATACATTTCCAGCAATTAAAATGTGGATATTTTACATAAAACCTAAAGCCCAAATTCTCAACTAGCAAAACCAGACTGGGGCTTTAGTGGTTTTCATTCTTGCATGTGGTGTTCCCATAGCCTGTACCACTCCTTATTACTGACAAGACACTGAAGTCAGGTATCAGATCTCAAAGATGTTCAGTGTATTTTCAGGCCAAGGTAACCCAGAATGAAGCTCAGACTGCCGGAATATGAAGCTCCTCACTACTTTCTTAAGTAAATACCTCTCATTTTATTATCAAGAGCCTGCAACTAAGAAAATATGAACACATTTATTTTCTCATTCAGATTATTCTACCTTATTAACTTTCTAATAGAACATTTTGCATTTGCTGTGATGATGTTTTGTCATCTCAATCATTGATACCAATTAGCTAGAGCAATGAAGGTAATACTTATAACACCCCCATGAGTACAGTAGTCCATCCAATAGGTCAGAAAAGCTGCCCATTAAATTGGTTGTGAACTGTTATTAAGAAGGCTAACCAAATGGGCATTGGCTCAGAGCAGTTAGCCAGACATTAATGTGATCAATTGTTTGGATTCAAGTAAAATCAGTTTTACTCTGGCCAAACAGAAGCATCCATATTGCTCAGGGAATATTTTTCATAGAGTAATCTCCTAAAAGGCTCTGAATGGGTTGCACTAGTTCCAGCAAATCATGGAAAACACACCTGAAATGTATTTTCAAATAGGAAATATATTTCTAATTCTGCAGTTGGTACAAAATAAAAGTCACTGAGAGAGAATGAAGCAAGAGCGAAGAAACCAGGGGAACGTGACGGGGAGAGCTCTTTGGTGTGGTGGTGTTCATGTTTTCTGCAGGGACCACCTGTCCCTATTTCCTGCAGTAGAGTAACTGTTACTTTGTTATGCTGATCCTGGTATCTAATGTTCTTACAGCTAGTAATAGTGAGTTTTCCCTGTTTGTGTTAAGCAGTATTTTTAAAAAGGAATCCAATAAAATTTCAAAATAGATCTTTTAAAAGGTCCTATATCAACACTAGCATTAACTTCTCTCAAAGATGTTGCATGTTTCTCAGCTGATTGTGTTGTAAAGCAGCAAAAAATTGAAAAAATATAATTATGCCTGTCATGATTTACATGCCTACACTGGTGGTTCTGAATGTACACATGATGACTCCCTTGAAAATAAAATATTTTCTTCACCCTTACAATAATGGAATTACAATTTTAGTATTCATTACTAGGGAAAATATGTAACAATAAAAAGCTATTATGAATTGATTAATGATTAAGATTTGTGTACTTTGTCATTATATGCCACATAATTTGTCAAATGCATTTGAAAATGTGTCCTCACAGACTGAACAACATAGCAAAACCCCATCTCTACTAAAAACACAAAAATTAGCTGGGCATGGTGGCACACACCTGTAGTCCCAGCTACTCGGGAGGCTGAGGCATGAGAATGGCTTGAACCTGCAAGGCAGAAGTTGCAGTGAGCCAAGATTGCGCCACTGCACTGCAAGAATTCTGGTTGGTGTATATCCACACTGTTAGAACTCTTGTGGTAATTTTGTGACATCCCCCCCATCACCAAGGGGTCTATAAAGCATATATTGGTAACCACTGATTAACATAAACAAACTTTGAAAGTTTAACTGCATAAGTTTTATTACCAAAATCAAAATGTGTGTGTGTGTGTGTCTGTGAGTGTAACCATATTACATTATGCACAACTCTAAGAGAGCCATTCAAGAAAGCTAAGCCATTACTTGTCAGCTTGGAGCAAATTTGGCAAATTGTCAGTAACCCACCAAAGACTCTCTTGACACATTTCCAATCTGAACAGATTGGGAGTACAGTTGCTTTAATTCAGCCTGCCATGAAGCTCACTACTGTAAATCAAATAGATGCACGGTCTGAGATCGCGTATGAGGAAAAATTACATACTTTGTAAAGATGTGCTGGATAAAAACCTATCATATCATCTGTTTGACAGCTCTACCATTATAATTCATAGGCACTAAAAGTAGGAGACAAAAAAACATAAAATGTCGTTCTTTCTAATAGTATCAGGAGTACATCTATAAAAGTCTTTTGTCATATTAGAGAAGAAGTGGCTATACCTTTAGGATAGTCCTACCATACAAACTGACACCAAGAATCTCTCTACATGTGTATTTTAATCTCTCTGATTTTTGCCTGCGATATTTTACTTCCAGGGTTTTAAAACTGAATTTTATTCTATTTATTGCGCATTTATAACTTTCCATCTTAGGTTAGAATTATTAGATTTGAGAATTTGGTCTAAGATAAAAATGTTTAGTAATACATAGAAAGTGTCTAAGCTTTCGTAAAACTGCTAAGAATACTACTCTATTCTGGACAGCTATTTGGTAATTAGATTTACTTTAATTTACTTATGATTGTATATAAATTTATAGCATATTAATATAGTATATTATACTACCACATTAATATATATAGTATACTACCACATTAACATATATATAGTATATATAGTATAGTATGCATATACTACGTAGTATACTATAGAAATAAAAAAATTTGTGGTTTTAGTGTGCAGTTCTATGATTTTTAACACATACATAGATTCATATAACCACCACCACAACCAACCAGGATCAGAAAGGTCCCATCATCACGTTAAATTCCATGGTGCTTTCCCTTTGTAGTCAAACCCTCCTGCACCCCTAATCCTGTCAACCACACTTCTGTTTTTTGTGCCCATAGTTTCACCACTTCTAGAATCTTAACTTAATGGAATTGTGCAATAAACAAATTTTCCAGACTGGATTCTTTCTGTTAGCATAATGCATTTAATATCCATTCACATCATTGCATGTATCAATAGCTCATTCCTTTTCATTGCTTGCTCAAATTTCATTGTATTGATACCTCATTTTGTTTATCCATACACACAGTGAAGTGCATTAAGTTGTTTCTAATTTTGGTGGTTATGAACGATGTATGAATGATGTATGAGTGATATAAATATTCAATAAAAGATTTAGTATAAATATACATTTGTAATTATATAGGGTAAATATCTAGGAGTAGGGTAGCTATGTGCTATAGTAAGTGTATGTTTAATTTTATAAGAAACCACCAAACTATTTTCTGGAGAGTGGCTGTACCATTTTGCATTCCCACTAGAAAGAAATGAGAGTTTATGTTATTCTGTATTCTTGCCATAATTTGGCATTGTCAGGTTTTATTTTTCTTATACATTGTAATAATGTGTAGTGCTGTTTGTGGTTTTGATTTGCATTTCCCTAATGGCTAATAAGGTTGATTATTTATTCATGTGCTTAATTTCCCAACTGAATAGCTTTTTTGATGAAGTGTTAGTTCAGACTTTGTCCACTTTTTAAATAGCTTCCTTGTTTTCTTATGGTTGAGTTTTGAGAACATTTTAAAATATATTCTGGATATAAGCCCTTTGCCAAGTATATTATTTGTAAATAATCTATTCTAGTCTTTGAGTGGGTTGGCTTTTGATTCCCTAACAGTGTATTTAGCAAAAGTATTTACATTTTGATGAAGTCTAATTTCTCTCTCTCTCTTTTTTCTTTCTTGTAAGAACTTGATATTATTTCTATGAACTTTCGCCTATCTCAAGTTTTCAAAGATTTTCTCTTGTGTTTTATCAGTTTTACATACATTAATTGCCAATTATGATTAAATAATAATCTTTTTCTTGCCTTATTGCACTAGCTAAAATTTCAAGTAAGATGTTAAATAGGAGTGCTGAAAGTGGATTAGGCAAAACACATTCATTGCATTTTTTCTGGTTATTGGGGGAAATAATTTGGTCTTTCATCAGGAAATGTAATGTTAGCTGCAGATTTTCCGTACGCACCTTTTTTCAGACTGAGAAATGTCCTCTTCTATATTTAGCTTGCTGAGCATTTGTATTATGAATGCATTTTACCTAATATATTTTCTATGTTGATATGTTCATGGACATTTCCTGTTATGGTCTTATTTAGTCTATTAATACAGTGAACTGCACTGATTAATCATCAGATATTGAACCTATCTTAACAATTTGGTGGAAGATTATTGAATACACGTTACACTTTGCAAATATCAACTCTTTGTAAAATCTGATGGTAAAAATACAACGCAATTCACTAAGTATATTTCTACGTAGTTAAAATAAGGTTTATATGTTCAGGTCTTCTTATGATAAATTTGTTAGATATTTGGTATAGACTGTCTACGGTGGTTGTAATCTGTTGGGCCATAGGTCAAATCTTGTCCAAATGCTTTTTGTTTCATCTATAAAATATTTTTTTAAAGTTGAAAAAATGTCTGGCATTTAAACTTCAGATTTTAATTTTATTTCTGGACTTCCAGCTTCAAAGGTCTTGCAACACTAGACCTCATTGTTGTGTAACATCATGAGTTGAGTAGCAACAATTCCTATTTCACAAGGACCATGTGAGTTCTGTTTTACTACAGTACCCAATATTCCCTAAGTAATTTTACTCATTTAAATTATCTTACAGCTGTAGGGTATGGACTTTGCAGTCAGTGATCTAGAGAAGTAGAGAGATTAAATATTATTTAGTATTTTTAAATCAACAATAAATACAATTTGGAATTGTGAGATATTATTTGGTCTAATGCATTGTTTACTTTAAAAATAAACATGTGCTATTGAAATAAGTAATTTTACAGATTTTGAAGCAAATGTAAACAGACATAGATATAGTTGACCATTGAACAACATTGGTTTAAACCGTGCAAGTCCACTTATAATCAAATGTTATTGTGCCTCTATTACCCCTGAGACAGTGAGACCCCCTTCTTTTCTTTCTCCTCCTCAGCCTACTTAACGTGGAAATGACAATGAAGACCTTTATAATAGTCTACTTACAGTTAATGAATAGTAAATATATTTTCTATTCCACATTATTTTCTTAATAATATTTTTCTAGCTTACTTTCATTGTAAGAATACAGTATAAATACAAGACATAAAATTTTCTTACAAATGCCAAACATTCCCAAATTCCTAGAAAATGGTCTTTGTTACATTGCCAAAAGCTTGATGTAAAAACAAAACAAAACATAAAAATAAAGCATTCTAGCTAATGCATACTCCCTAAGTGCAACCAAACAAGTGTAGACACGTGGAAAGTTAAAAAACTGCCTTCTAACAGACTACTCTATGCCATTGATTCAGGCAGACTTAGGGTCTATGCCAAAAACCTCAGTGCCTTTCCTCTTTTGAATGGCATCTATGTAGGGAACTAGTAAGAATTGAGGCCCTTCCATCTATTCTTGAAATCTATTCAGAAACAATAAATGCAGAAGAAAACATGATTGAATGCATATTTTCAAAATAAAAAGCATAATGTGTATGACTGGAGATCTCCTAATGTGTATGACTGGAGGCCTTCCAAAGAAGGCAGGCCAGTAGATTTATTTTATTTGTAATCTTTCTATAGTGGAGGATTTTACTCGCTGCCTCTTAAGAACAGCTGAAGTATTTTAACATCAGAACCAAAGAATCCACTGAAGTCCAGGAGCTTCTGGATGACTGTCTGCTACAAACAAGAAATTGGACCGGGTTATATTTGTCAACCTCTATTCTGTGTATGATTTTAGGAGAAGAATTTTAACAACCCAGAAGTCCTGTCTTTCAGAAAACTCCAGGCCTGGCTCTCTTCTTACTCAAAGAAAATTAATGAAAACATAAAGACATAACAGCAGAGGACTGTAGAAATATTCTGTATGAGAGAGTAACAGGAAAACATAGCATTGAACATGCAGAAAAGCATCATTTTATACATGATTTATAGAAGATTCATTTTAAATAATTTTTGTTTGTTAACAAAGGGGTTTAGGTCTATAGAGGTTGTATTTGTTACCTTTTTCACATTGCAGGTAGTTTCTAAATACATGACATTTCAATCATGGCTTATTCTTTAACCTAAGAAATTGTCTTAAAATTTCCTAGTTGTTAGATTTTTTGATTGGATATCTTAAAGTTGGTTTTAAATGGTTTCATTGTTGTTTGTACTATGTTTTGGTCAGATTTGGTGGTCTCTAAAATATCTATTTTTTTCTTATGTAATTAAAATTTTATTTATGAGCTACTGCCTGATTCTAAATAGTCTATGGTTATTTGAAAATATCATGCCTTCTTTAAGGGAAACCAAATAATAATATATCTTGTTAAATGCTTTATTTAAATCCTCTGTATATATTTTAATGTTTTTACTTGTATCAGTAACAGTTCGCAAATTTCAAACACATAAAAAAACTTACCCTCCTTTACATTATTTTAATAGTGTATCTCCCATAGTGCCATATAGCTAGATTTTTTTTCTGTTTTAAACTTAGTTTAAAATGTTTATTTTGTAGTAGTAAAATTTAGTTTCAGCAAATATATTATCAATCATTGATATACTTGTCTTTCTTATTAAACTTTATTTAATGCACTGTGTTTATTAGGCTTTCTTAGTATTCCCCCATTTTTTCCTTTTCTTATTTTACAGCATAAAACTTTATCAAGTTTTACGTTCACTTTTTCTTCTATTGATATGTTACCAGTAGTTATTTTTAATTTTACAACAGGTGCATTTGAGCATATGTATGTTCTTTCCTTAAATAAAACAAGACCAGTACTTGTTGTGTCTTTTGATTTGAAAAGTTTAGGTATTCACCATACTTCTTTGATTATTTCTTCTCCCTTCACTTTTGTTCCCCTAAAACTTCCACAATACTTATCTTAAATATCTAAATTCTATTCTTTCTTAGATTTTGTCACATTCTAGTCATCTCTGTGCTTTCCTTTTTTTTTGAGAGAGAATTAATTGGTTTTCTAATTTATATAACTACAAATGCAATTTTCATCAATATCAGTTCTGTTTTATCAACATTTCTACAATCTTTTTTTAATTACTAAGAGAATATTCTTCCTTTTTATTATTCCTTTTTATAGCTACCTAATTTTTTTGCAGTTTTAAAATATTTTAAAGTGAAAATGTTGAGGTTTAATTTATATAGTACAATTCAACTTTTACAAAATTGCAATATATAACATGTATACAAAATTGTTAAATTGTTTATGTTACTGGTAAGGCTTCCATTCAACAGGCTATTAGTAGTTAAGTTTTGTGGGAGTCAAAAGTTATGCACAGATTTTTGACTGTGAAGTGGGGTCAGTGTCCCTAATCCCTGCATTGTTCAAGGCTCAGCTGTATTGGATGAGTAACCATTCCCACGTCAAGAGACAGAGCATTTTTATCACACAAGAAGTTCCTTCATATCTCTTTGCAGTAAAGCCCCTACTTTACTTTGCAGTAAAGCTCCAGGGTCTAGGCAACTACTGATCTGACCTCTTTCCTTATTAAATGTTGTTCCCAGAATGTCAATATAAATGGAATCAAACAGTAGGAACATTTTGTGACAAATTTCACTTTGTATAATGCTTTTGTTACCAGTACACCAGAGGTTTGGTCTGGGTTCTGCTGCTTGCAGCACAGAATGCCAATGACAAACAAGGAGTATTGTCAAGGAAGAAGGTTTTGATAGGGTGCTGCAGCTGAGGAAATAGGAGCTCAGTCTCATATCCATCTCCCTGACCAACTAAAATTAGGGGTTTATATAGCAGGGAAGAAATGAACAATGGGTAAGAAAACAGGAACCAGGGAGGGGCAAGGAAACAATAATGATGAATGAGGGGTCCAGCATCTCATTATCTGGATCTGGTGATCTCGTGACTTTCAGTTCTTTGCTACTTTTTTTTTTTTTTTGAGATGGCATCTCACACTGTTGCCCAGGCTGTAGTGCAGTGGCGCGATCTCGCCTCACTGCAACCTCCACCTCCCAGCTTCAAACGATTCTCCTCCCTCAGTCTCCTGAGTAGCTGGGATTACAGGCACGTGCCACCATGCCCGGCAAATCTTTGTATTTTTAGTAGAGACGGGGTTTCACCATGTTGATCAGGCTGGTCTCGAACTCCTGACCTCGTAATCTGCCCACCTCAGCCTCCCAAAGTGATGGGATTACAGGTGTGAGCTACCGCGCCCGGCCTGGTACTTTTTTTGAGAGGCCTGAAGGTCTTTCCTGAGGAACAAACTCAGATAAAACAAATGTTAGGTTCTAGCCAGAAAGGTGCTTTTCTATGTTTATCCACAAAACTGTCTATGGAACTCTTGGGTCAGTTTCACTTTGAAGATTTACCCATGTTGTTGCATGTGTTAGTTCAGCCCATTTATTGTTAAGTAGTGGCATATCACAATTTTTTCATCCATGTATAATTGGGCATTTAGATATTTTTCCCAAATTTTTACTACAGGTATACCTCAGAGATATTCTGGGTTCAGTTCCAGACCATTACAATAAAGCAAATATGGCAATAAAGCAAGTCACACAAACTTTTTGGTTTCCCAATGAATATAAAAGTTATGTTTACACTATACTGTAGTCTACTAAGTATGCAATAGTATTAAGCCTTGAAAACAAGAAACATACCTTAATTTAAAATACTCTATTCCTACAAAATTCTGACATGGAAACATGAAATGAGCACACGCTGTTGGAAAAATGGTTCCAATAGACTTTCTTGTCACAGGGTTGCCACATACCTTCAATTTGTAAAAATCACAGTATCTGTGAAGTGCAAAGAAGCTAAGAACAATAAAATAAGCTATACCTGTATTAGGAATAAAGCTGCTGGAAATATTCATATACTGATATTTATGTAGACATATGTTTTCATGTACCTTGTCCAAATGACTAGGAGAAGGATTTTTGGGTTCTGTAGTAAGTGTACAATTAACCTTATAAGAAACATTGCTATAGCATTTTACATTCCTACCAGCAATATAAGTGATTTCACGTTGTTCTGCATATTCACTGGCACTTGAATTCAGTGTTTTTACTGTTAGTCATTGTAATGGTTAGTGATATTCCATTGTGTTCTCATAAAAGTCCAATGTAAGTTGTGTTCTATATATGTTCTGGTTTCAAGTCCTTTATCATATATGTTTTTCAAATATTTTCTCTCAGTCAGTGACTAGTCTTTTCATTTTCTGAACAATGTCTTTTGAAAAATAGAAGTTTTTAATTTTAGTGCGGTACTATTAATCCTTTTTTCTTACATGGTTTGTGATTTGGAATTCCATTAGTGACATCTTTAAGCCGACATACCAAAAGATTTCCTCCTGTTTTTACACAGAAGATTTGGAGCTTCAGTTCTTATAATCAGGAATATGATACATTTTGAGTTATGTATATTTACAGTTTAAAATAGGTGTCAGCATTCATTCTTTTGAATATGGATAGCAAACCTTCCAGCATCATTCGTTGAAAGACTTTATCTTCACCATTGAAATAGTTTGGCACCTAAATTAGATTTCTATCATGGTTGTAACAAAGTACCACGAACTTAAAGTAATATCCACTTATTATCTCACAATTTTGTAGGTCAGGAGTTTGACACTATGTGTCTGGATTCCTGCTCAGAGTCTCACTGTGCTAAAATTAAAATACAGGTTGTGGCTGTAGTTCTTTCTGAGCTCAGAATCCTCTTTTGAGCTCACTAATTGTGGAACAATTCATTTACTTCTCATGCTTTCCACATGACCCCTTCCATCTTCAAGCCAGCAATGGTGGATCGAGTTCTACTTACATTCAAATCTCTCTGACTCATACTTTTGTTGCATCTCTGTGACTTTCACTTCTGCTTTCCTCTTGTTTTATGGGCTCATGTAATTCCAGGGTAATCTCCCTATTTTAACTACATCTGCATAGTTTCTTTTGTCACAAAAAGTAACAAAGTCATATGAACAACACCAGTGGTCAACATGATGGAGCCAAATTCTGACACCACCACCTTCATTGTAATCTAATGGACCATATATTTTGGACTCTTATTCTGGCTTTCCTTTATGTTCCCTTAATCTATATGTCTATCTTTATACCAATACTATATTTTATTTACTATGATTTTATAGTAAGCCTTTAAATCACAAAGTATAGATCTTCTTAATTTGTTCTTTTAGAAGATAGGTGACTATTTTATGCTCTTTATATTTCAGTGTGCAATTTGAATAACACAAATATCTACCCAAAGCAAAGCCTCTTGCACTTATTTTGTTATATTGATTCCAAAATACTTCATGTTTTCTTTTATGATGTTGTAAATGACATTGTTATTAAAATTGTTATTGTCAGTTGACCATTGCTAGTATATAGATATTCAATTCTTTTTTTATATTGACCTTATAATCTGTGACTTTGTTAAGTTCACTTATTAGTTCTAAGGGCTTTTTCATAGATTCCTTGAGAGTTGTCTACATAAACAAACATGTCATCCTTGAATGAGGACATTCCTGTTTATTTCTTTCCAATCCATATGGCTTTCCTTTCTTTTTGTGTTCCTTATTTTACTAGTTAGGATTTCTAGTACAATGTTGAATATATAATTATTGACATTAGACACCCTTGTCTGTTGCAACCTTGGGGGGAAAGAACTCAGTCTTTCACCATAAATTATGTTAGCTATACAAATTTTTACAATTTCCTTGATTGGATTGAGGAAGATGTTTTCTATCTTTAGGATGCTCAGAGTTGGTGATTGTAAATGGAAGTTGAATTTTAGCAATTTTTTTGTGTATTTATTTTAAGTAATATACCAGGTAGGGCCTATTTCAGAAAGGCAACATTGTTTCAACTAAAAAAATCAATTATTCTAATTCATTAGGTTAACGGACTAAAAAAAAGTGATGATCTCAACACATGCAGAAAATTGTTTTTGATAAAATTCAACCTCTATTAATAATAAAAACACTGCAAACTAGAATAGATGAAAATTTCTTCAACTTTTAAAAGGATCTGTATAAAAATAAATTAAATATGCTAATATTTAGATAAGAATGTTGCCACTTTGTTGTTGAAGGATATTACTTTAGTTTCCTTTGTTTGTATGATCTTTACCTATTTGAGTATCAGGGTAATACTGGCCTGATGTGAATTTAGACATGCTCGTTCCTTTTTATTTCTCTAAGAGATTGTGTGGAACTGGTATATCTCTTCCTTAGATATTTGGTAGAATTTACACATGAAACCATGAGTGTTTAAAGTTTTTAGCTTTTTTTAACTATGAATTCCCCTTTTTAAATAGATATTGGACATTCCGTTTATCTATTTTGTCTTTAATTAGCTGATAGTTGGTATATTTCATAGAATTTGTTTATTTCCTTTAATTTGACAATATGTTGTTCTAAATACCACTACCTTAGTTTGCTTTTTATTTGCTTCTTTTGTTTGAGGCTCTGCAATGGTGCCCACTTTCTGGTTAGAGGAATAAATTTTGTTATCTTTTCAAAGGACCAGCTTTCCATCTCTTCGATTTTTTCTATTGATTTTCTGTTTCCTACTTTAATGGTAACTTCTGTCATTCTTTCATTTGCTTCCTCTTGCTTTGTGTTTAATTTGCTTTTTATAGCTTTTTAAAAATGGAAGCATAAATATATATCTGATACCATTCTACTTTTGTAATATAAGCTGTTACTACTATACATTGCTTCTAATCACAGTTTTAGCTAAGTTTTTAAATTTTTATAATCCTATTTTCATTTATGCTGAGTTAACGATATATTTTAATTTATACTGTGATTTTTTTTTTCTTTCATCCATTGCTTATTTAGAAATGTATATTTTAATTTCCACATATTTGGGGATTTTCCATATACCATTTTGTTACTGATTTTGCAAATATTTGGGGATTTTCCTGATATTTTTGTTAATGTAATGAGAGAATGTGTTTCTAGCGATTTTAATTGCGTTGAGATTTGTTTTATGTTCCAGAATATTGTTTACTTTAGTATTCACCAAGACACATGTGGCATGTGCCTTTAGAAAAATGTATAATACTATCGTCAGGTCTATAAACATCAATAGGCCAGTTGGTCAATAATGTTTTTCAGAAGTCTTCTACGTCCTAACAGATATTTTTGTCTATGTTTTATTTAGACTACTGAGGGGAAAGTGTCTACTGCTTCCTTATAACTGTGAATCTATTTCTTCTTTCTGTTCTATCATGTTTTCCTTTATGTATTTGACATTGACAATAGTTACATATAAATGCGTGATTGTCTTCACATATTGTGTAAGAAACCTGTAAGAGAAAACTTTCAATTCCTCTTACCTAGTCAGTCTTTTTTTTAACTTGGAATTTAGGGTTTTAATAAACTAAAAAATAGGGCAGTTTAGAGTCACAGCCAAATTGAGCAGAAAGCACAGAAAGTTTCCATATACCCACTGTCTCCACGTATGCCAGTCTCCACAACTATCAAAAATCTGTACCAGAGCCCAATCATTTTTTTATTCTCATATGTTTTACTTCTACATATGTTATAATCCCCACAATATATTAACCATTTTTGCTTTGAGTTGTCAATTATCATTTAAAATTTTACTTTTAATTAAAGTAAAATTAATTTTTGAATATAAATTTTTATGATCTTTAGAACATGTATAGATTTGTATGCCAGCCACATGATGAGAATGTTGAACAGTTCTGTTAACTTAAAAAAAAACAGCCTCTCATAGGTTTCCTTTGTATTTACACCCTTTCCCCATACCACTGGGAACCACTGACATGTGTTCTCCATTCCTACAATTTTGTCTTTTCAAGAGTGGGAAATAAATAGGCCTATACAGTATGTAACCTAACAGGATTGGCTTCCATCTCCGTAAAGAACTTTGAAATTCACCCTAGTTTATATATATATAATATACATATTATACATATAATATATATTATATATTTATATATTATATATATTATATATTTATATATTATATATATATAATTGCTTGTTTTTTAAATTTATTCACAATTGTGAATGTGCCACAATTTGTTTATTTGCTAACTGAGAATATTTGAGCTGTTTCCAGTTATTGGAGATTACAAATATTACAAATGGAGATATTACATATTTGTGTCATGGTTTTTGTTAACTTTTTATATCTACAAGTATTTAGGAGTGGAACTGCTGGGACATATGGTAAGTGGGTATTTATTTTTATAAGAAACATCCTCCAAAGTTCCTGTATCCTTTTGCATTTCCACCAAAAGTGTAAGAGAGTTCTAGTCATTACACATTCTCATTAGTACACTGAATTTTCAGAATGTTTTTATTTCAGTCATTCAGAAGGGGTATCTCCTTGTGGTTTTAATTTGAAAGCCTCAGTGGCTGAGGATCTTGAAATATCTTTTAATGGGCCTATTTGCCTTCCATGTATCCTCTTACGTCAGACGACTATTTAAGACTTTTACTCAGTTTTTAACTGGGTTGTTTGTTTTCTTACTGTGCAGTTTGAGAGCTTTTATATATTCTGGAAACCATTCCTTTGTTTAATAAGTAATTGCCAGAGATTTTCTGCCATTCTGTTTGTCTTTTCATCAATTTCTCTGTCTTTCTTAGAGCAACAGTGTTTACTTTTGATAAAGTTCAATTTTTTTAATGCACCATTGCTAAGAACTCTTTGCCTAAGCCCAAGTGAAAAAAAGTCTTTCTTTTGAATAAAAGCTTATTTTTTTCAATTTTACATTCAATTTTATGATCTATTTTTAGTTAATTTTTGTGTAATATGTGGGGTTAAGATTTAAGGTTCATTTTGGTTTTTTTGCTCTTGCAGAACCAATTGTCTCAATCCCATTTAAAGACAGTCTTTAACCTGAGTTAAACAGACTATCCTTTTTATATTGAATAGGCATTGCATCTTTGTAAAAATCAATTGATAATGATTTTTATTAATTTATTTCTAATTGAACAATGTAATAGAACATTATATTGTTCTATTAAATGTTTACATTCAAAACTACACTGTTTCGATTACTTGTAGTTTTCTTCAAATAGGCCATATACATTCCTGTTTCCTGATTTCCCTTATGATTTTTTTACGAAAACTAGAAATTTGAATATTATAATACGGTAGCTCTGGAAGTCAGAAATCACCCAAAAGATAGAGTGTTATTTAGTCTTCTCTGCTACATAGCTCTAGTGCCTGTACCTGCATCCTGAGCCATTAGGTGGAAGGATCGCAAGAAAAACAATCGGGGGGTGGGGAAATTTTGTCCCAGGTGTTGAGGTCTGCAGTTTCCCTGGAGGGCATGGTTGTCTCTTTCTGATTTGTGGGTGCCTGTGTGTCCCTTATGCAGCATCTGTTGCTGTCACCATTGCCATCTCACAGGATGGCATAAGGGCTGAGATATGACTGAAGAGGGAAAAAGAAAAAAAAAAAACCAGTAGACTTGCTAATCTCTCTGAGAATTAGAAATCCACTTTCCTGCTTCTAGATTAAGAACTAGAGGAATCTCCTGGAACTTTCACTATCCATTCTAACGCCTGCTTCTGGGTTTTTGGTTCCTTTGAGTCCTGGCTGAAAGATTTGGGAGGAGAAAAGTGTTAAACTCTCTGCCAGATCAGTAGTGCTTCAAATTCTGTTTTTACCCCCCAAATATCCATGCTACAGTTTACATTTCAGAGTCTTTAAAAAGCTGGTCCATTGATTCATTTTAGGTGTTATATCTGCATTCAATTACAGAAGTCTGGGGAGTGTGATTTCTCAATCTTATCCAAAACTTGAATAGATCAATCTGTTATCTTTTAAAGTGATTAAAAATAATCACTGGCTCCATTCAAAAATATATTTTTAATTGACAAGTAATATTGTATATATTTATGGTGTACAACACGGTATTTTGATATATAAGTATATACATAGTGGAATGGCTAAATCAAAATATTTAAAGTATGCATTACCTCACGTACATTTCTTTTGTGGTGAGAACACTTGATATCTACTCTCTTAGCAATTTTCAAGTATACATCATTAACTACAGTTACCATGACATATACTAGTTCTCTGGAATGTATTCTTCCTGTCTAACTAAACTTTTGTGTCTTCTGACCAATATATCTTCAATACCCCTACTCCCCAGTTTTCTCTAACCACCATTTTACTCTCTGTTTTTAAGATTTTGACTTTTTCAGATTCCATATATAAGTGAGATTATGGCATTTTCCTTTCTGTGCTTGGCTTATTTCACTGGATATAATGTCCTCCAGATTCATCCATGTTGCTTCAACATTTTATAAAACTGAATAGTATTGCATTGTGTGTATATACCACATTTTCTTTATCCACTCGTCCATTGATGGACATAGGTTGATACATTATCTTGGCTATTGTGAATAATGCTCTAATGAACATGAGAGTACAGTTATTATTTCATCATATTGATTTTTATTTTTTGGATATAAACCACGTGTGGTTGACCCTCCTGTGTCCATGGGTTCCACATCCACAGATTCCAACAGTGGATGAAAAATATTTTTTAAAGGAATAACAATTAAAAATAAAAACACTTAAAATAATATAGCATAACAACTGTTTACATAGCAGTTACATTGTATTAGATATTATAAGTAATGCAGAGATTATTCTAAGTATACAGGAGGATGTACATACTATACTATTTTATATAAGGGAGTTGAGCATCATGGATTTTGGTAATTGTCGGAGGTCCTAGAACCAAGCCCTGCAGATAACAAGTAACAACTTTAGTGAGATTGCTGGATCATATGAGAGCTCTATATGGGTTTTTTTAGGACTCATAATACTGTTTTCCATGATGGCTGTACTAGTTTACATTCCCACAAACATTTTACAAGAGTTTCCTTTTCTCCACATTCTTGCAAATACTTATCGTTTGTGTTTTTGATAATATCCATATGAACAGGTGTGAAGTGATATTTCATTGTGTGATGATTAATGTTTAATATTTTTTCATACAATTGGCCACTTAGATTTTTTTTTTTTGAGAAATGTCCATTTAGGTCTTTCATCCATTTTTTCATTGAGTTATTTGTGTTCCTTACTATTCAGTTGTTTGAGTCCCTTATATATTTTGGATATTTACCACTTATCAGATCCATGGCTTGCAAATATTTTCTTCAATTCCATAGGCTGTCTATTCACTTACTTGTTTTCTTTGCTGCAGACAAGGCTTTCAGTTTGAAGTGATCTTTTTTGTCAATATTTGCTATTGTTGCCAATGATTTGAGATCATATCCAAAAATATCATTGCCCAGAATCATGTCATGGAGCTTTTCTCTTATATCTTCTTTTAGAAGTGTTGTAGTTTCAGGTCTTACATTTAAGTCTTCAAGTCATTTTGAGTTAATTTTTGTATATGGTGTGATCTAGCAGTCTAATTTAATTCTTCTGTATCTGGATATCCCATTTTCCCAGCACTATTTACTGAGGAGACATTCTTTAACATCTTTGTTGAAAATCAATTGGCCAGGCATTATTTCTGAGCTCTCTATTTTCTTCCATTAGTCTATGTGTCTGTTTTTATGTCAGCACTATGGTATTTCTGTAACTAGAGCTTTGTAAAGATTTTGAAGTCAGGTAGTATGATGCCTCCAGCTTTGTTCTTTTTACTAAAAATTGCTTTAGTTATTCAGAGGTTTTTGTACATATATATAAACTCTAGGCATGTTTTTTCTATTTCTGTGGAAAATGTTGTTAGAATTTTGATAGGGATTTCATTGAATCTGTAGATTGCTATGGGTACTATGGACATTTGCAGTATGTTCCAGTCCATGAGCATGGTATTTTTTTATTTATTTGTATCTTTAGTTTCTTCAATTAATGTTTTATAGTTTTCAATATACAAATTTTTTACCACCCTGCTTAAATTTATTCCTAATTATTTCATGTTTTGTAGCAATTGTAAATGAAATTACTTGATTTTTTTAGATAGTTTGTTGTCAGTGTATACATATGTTACTAATATTTGTGTGTTTTGTGTGTGTGTGTTTTTTTTTTTTTTTTTTGACAGGGTCTCACTTTGTCACTTAGGCTGGAGTGCAGTGGCATGATCTCAGCTCACTGCAGCCTCGACCTCTTTGTCTCAAGCTATCCTCCCACCTCAGTCCCCCAAGTAGCTGAGACTACAGGCATGCACCACCACACCTGGCTAACTTTTTGTATTTTTTTTTTTTTTTTTTTTTTTTTTTTTTTTGCTAGAGACATTTTCACCATGTTGCCCAAGCTGGTCTTGAACTCCTGAGCTCAAGTAATCCACCTGCCTCAGCCTCCCAAAGTGCTAGAATTACAGGCATGAGCCACTACGCCTGGCCTGTATGTTATTTTGTATGTTGATTTTGTATCCTGCAACTTTACTGAATTAGTGTGAAGCTTTTGGAGAGAAGTCTTTAGAAGATCATGCTGTTTGCAGAGACAATTTAACTTCTTCCTTTCTTTTTTGGATGCTTTTTATTTCTTTCTCTTGTGTAATTTCTCTGGCTGAGACTTTCAGTCCGATGTTGAAAAGAAGTGATGAGAGTGAACATCCTTGTCTGGTTGCTGATCAGAAAGGAAAAGCTTTCAACTTTTCATTGTTGAATGTAATGTTAGTTGTGGGGTTGTGGGTCTTTATTGTGTTGAGGTACATTCTTTCTATACCTAATATCTTGACAGTTTTATCATAACAGAATGTTGAATATTGTCAAATGACCTTTCGGCATCTATTGCAATAATTATATGGTTTTAATCTTTTATTCTGTTAATGTGGTGTATCAAATTTATTGATTTGTGTATGTTCAATCATCCTTGCATCCCTGGAATAAATTTCACTTGATTATGGTGGATTATCTTTTTAATATTCTGTTGAATTAATTTTGCTAGTATTTTGTTGAGAATTTTTGCATTTATAATCACTAGGGCTATTGATCTATAAATTTCTTTTCTGGTAATGTTCTTATCTCATTTTGGTATAAGAGTAATTCTAGCCTTGTAAAATGATTTGAAACTGTTTCCTTTCTTTTAATTTTTTTGGAAGAGTTTGAGAAGAATAGTATTCTTTCCTCTATAAATGTTTGATAGACTTGAGCAGTGGAGTCATCAAGTCCTGGTCTTTTCTTTGATGGTAGACTTATTATTACTGATTCAATGTCTTTACTCATTATTGGTCTGTTCAGATTTTCTATTTCTTCATGATTGAGTCTTAGTAGGTTGTATGTGTCTAGAAATTTATCGATTTCTTTTAGATTATTTAATTTGTAGGCATAAAATAGTTCATAGTATTCTCTCATGACACTGTATTTCTGTGAGACCAGTTGTAATGTCTCTTCTTTCATTTCTGATTTTATTTAAGTCTTCTCCTTTTTTCTTAATCTAGCTAAAAGCTTTTAATTTTATTTTTTTCAAAAAAACATTTAGTTGTATTGATTTTTCTCTATTTATTCCTAGTCTTTATTTCATTTATTTTTGCTCTTATCCTCCCATCGTTCTACTAACTTCATGTTTGGTTTGTTCTTTTTCTAGTTATCTGTGGTGTAACAATAGGTTGATTTTTTGAGATCTCTCTCTCTCTCTCTCTCTCTCTCTCATGTTGGTGTTTATTGCTAAAAACTTCCCACTTAAAACTGCTTTTGCTATATCCCATTAGTTCTGGTATGTTTTATGTTCATTTTCATTCATCTCAAGGTATTTTTAAATTTCCCTTTCAATTCCTTCTTAGACCCACTGATTGTTTAGGAGCATGTTGTTTAGTTTCCATATATTTGTGAATTTTCTAAAGTTCCTCCTGTTATTGATTTCTAGTTTCATATCATTGTGGTTGGAAGGAATATTTGATATGATTTCAATCTTCTTAAATTTCTTAAGACTTGTTTTGTGGCCTAACATGTGAGCTATCTTGGAGAATTTTCTGTGTGGGCATGAGAAAATATATATTCTGCTGTTAGATGGAATGTTCTGTATATACCAATTAGGTCCATTTAGTCTAAAGTATAATTCAAATTCAATGTTTTCATATTGATTTTCTGTCTAGATGATCTGTCCACTATTGAAGTTGGAGTATTGATGTCCCCTATTAGTATTTTGTTGCAATCTCTCTCTCTCTTCAGATCTATTAATATTTGCTTTATACATTTAGGTGCTCTAATTTGGAATGCATATACACATAATTCTTATATTCTTTTGGTGAATAACTCTTTTGGCATTGTATAATGACCTTTGTCTTGTTTTACAGTTTTAGACTTAATGTCTATTTTATCTCATGTAAGTATAGCTACTCCTACTCTCTTTTGGTTTCCATTTGCCTGGAATATCTTTTTCCATTCTTTCACTTTCAATCTTTAGTAGTCTTTAAGGGGGAGTGAGTCTTTTATGTGCAGCATGTAATTTTTTTTTCCATTGAGCCACTCTATGTCCTTTGCTTTATTTTATTTTTAGTTTTTTTGTTGGTTTGTTTTTTGGAGAAGCATTTTATTTATTATTTTATGTTTTAAATTTAATTCAATGTTTTATTTCCATAGGTTATTGGGGAACAGGTGGTGTTTAGTTACATGAGTAAGTTCTTTGGTGATGATTTGTGCGATTTTGGTGCACCTATCATGCTAGAAATATACACTACACCCTACTTGTAGTCTTTTATCCCTCACCCTCTTCCCACTCTTTCTTCCTGAGTCCTTAAAATCTATTGTCATTCTTATGCCTTTGCATCCTGATAGCTTAGCTGACACTTATCAGTGAGAACATACAATGTTTGTTTTTCCATTCCTGAGTTACTTCACTTAGAATAATAGTCTCTAATCTCATCCAGGTCACTGAGAATGCAATTAATTCATTCCTTTTTATGGCTGACTAATATTCCATCATATATATAGTCTCAAGTGAGTAAGTAAGTGTGTATGGAATTATCTTACATTTATAGAAAATGTATTGTGGGATAATATATATATAATCGAACACTGTTTCTAGATACAAAGAAAATCGGAAATTTGTTTTATGTATCTCACAAATATATATGTATATATATATATCACAGTTTCTTTATCCACTCATTGATTGATGGGCATTTGGGTTGGTTACACATTTTTGCAATTGCTGATTGTGCTTCTATAAACATGTTTGTGCAAGTATCTTTTTCATATAATGACTTATTTTCCTCTAGGTAGATACCCAGTAGTGGGATTGCTGGATCAAATGGTAGTTCTACTTTTAGTTATTTAAGGAATCTCCACACTTCTTTCTATAGTGGTTGTGCTAGTTTACATTCCCACCAGCGGTGTAGAAATGTTCCTTGTTCACTGCATCCATGCCAACATCTACTATTTTTTGATTTGTTGATTATGGCCATTCTTGCAGGGGTAAGGTGGTACCACATTGTGGTTCTGATTTGCATTTCCGTGTATCATGTTGAGCAATTTTTCATACGTTTGTTGGCCATTTGTATATCTTCTTTTGAGAATTGTCTACTCATGTCCTTTCACCACTTTTTTGATTGGATTTTTTTTTCTTGTTGATTTGTTTGAGTTCATTGTAGATTCTGGAGTCCTTTGTCAGATGTATAGATTGAGAAGACTTTTTCCCACTCTGTGGATTGTCTGTTTACTCTGCTGACTGTTCCTTTTGCTGTTCAAATGCTCTTTAGTTTAATTACATCTCAGCTATTTATCTTTGTTTTTATTGCGTTTACTTTTGGGTTCTTGGTCATGAAATCCTTGCCTAAGCAAATGTCTAGAAGGGTTTTTCCAATGTTATCTTCTAGAATTTGTACAGTTTCAGGTCTTAGATTTAAGTCCTTAAAATCCATCTTGAGTTGATTTTTGTATGAGGTGAGATATGGGGATCCAGTTTCATTCTCCTACATATGGTTAGCCAATTATCCCAGCACCATTTGTTGAAAAGGGTGACTTTCACCACTTTATGTATTTGTTTACTTAGTCAAAGATCAGTTGGCTGTAAGGTTTTGGGTTTATTTCTGGGTTCTCTATTCTGTTTCATTGGTCTTTGTGCCTATTTTTATACCAATACCACGCTGTTTTGGTGACTATGGCCTTATAATATAGTTTGAAATCAGGTAATGTGATGTCTCCAGATTTGTCCTTTTTGCTTAGTCTCGCTTTGGCTATGCAAAGTTTCTGTATACAAAATTAGTGTACACAAAACAGTAGCTCTTCTATATACCAACAGCAACCAAGCTGAGAATTAAATCAACAACTCAACCCCTTTTACAATAGCTGCAAAAAAAGAAAACCAAACAGAAAAAAACAAACAACAACAAAAATTTAGGAATACACCTAACTAAAGAAATGAAAGAACTCTATGAGTTCTTCTTAGAGGAAAACCAAAAACCACTGATGAAAGAAATCATAGATGACACAAACAAATGGAAACATATCCCATGCTCATGGATGGGTAGAATCAGTATTGTGAAAATGATCATACTGCCAAAAGCAATCTGCAAATTCAACGCAATTACCATCAAAATATCATCATCATTCTTCACAGAATTAGAAAAACAATTCTATGTCCTTTGATTGGAGACTTTCACCTATTTATCAAGAGGTAAGGACTTGCTACTGCCATTTTGTTACCTGTTTTCTGGTTATTTTTTAGATATTTTGTTCCTTCCTTACTCTATGGATGTCTTTTTTGTGATTAGATAATTCCTGCTGATGTGCTTTGATTCATGACTTTTTTTTTTTTTGAGGTGGAGTTTTGCTCTTGTTAGCCAGGCTGGAGTGCAATGGCATGATCTTGACTCACTGCAAGCTCTGCCTCCCAGGTTCAAGTGATACTCCTGCCTCATCTTCCCGAGTAGCTGGGATTACAGGCATATGCCACCACACCTTGCTAATTTTGTATTTTTAGTAGAAATGTGGTTTCTCCATGTTGGTCAGGCTGGTCTCAAACTCCTGACCTCAGGTTATCTGCCTGCCTTGGCCTCCCAAAGTGCTGGGATTACAGGCGTGAGCCACCGCGCCCGGCAGATTCATGACCTTTTATCTTTTGTGTACCTACAGGCTTTTGCTTTGTGTTACTGCAGGGCTTACATAAAACATCTTATAGTTACAACATCAAGATTTTTTTTTAACATTTTAGCTTAAGAAGCTTGATTATGATGCTCTTTGATTTGCTTCATTTTGTTTGGTGTTGTTTTCTTTGTTATCCAAGCTTGATGTTCTCTGTAATTTTTTAATCTGTGGTTTTTCTTGTCTCATTGTTTTGAAAGCCATTTTCTCTTCAAATGTATCTTTGATTGATTCTCTTTTCTTTCTGAAATTTCAACATGTATGTTAAACCATTATATATCTTTCCACAGCTCTTGGGCTGCTTTAATTTCTCAATCTTTATCTTTCTGTATTTCAGTAGAAATAATTTTTATTAAACTACATTATTTCAGGGGAAATATATTTCTAGGAACCCTTTAAAGTAGAAGCCATGGAGAAAGGATCACTCATTGAGCTTTAATCTTAGAGGGGTACCACAGCTACAAAATCAATGTACCAAAACAGTGAAGAGGTAAATAAATGCCTCTCTATATCTCTACTCAACCTCCAATATTTTGATAGAAACTTTTAATGGCTGAATCCAACTGAAGTCAGCTGGCAAGGAAGCCCAGGTGATGTATGTCAGGAGTTATCTTCCAGAGATAGAAAGATATGTAGAGAGAGGTAGGAAATGAATGGAGGAGAGAATAGACTTGCCATTCTTGTCAATTTGAAAATATAAAATAATTTATCAGCGTAGCTTAGTTTGTATTACTCTTATGCAGGAGGTTGTCATGTTTATGGGCCATGTTTACTTACTTACTTGAGACATTTTCAGATTTTCTTTGTATCTAAGAACAATGTTTGATTTTTTTATATATATATATAATTCCACAATACATTTTCTATAAATATAAGATATTCCATACACACTTACTTAAGACATTTTCAGATTTTCTTTGTAGCTAAAAACAATGTTCTGTTTTAATTTATATATATATAATTTTTTTATAAATATAAGATTTTCCATATACACACATATATATACAATTTCCCATGGTTGTATAACAAACATGGTGGCTTAATGAAAAAGAAATTTATTCTTTCATGGCTGCTAGCTATCCTTTGTATTCCATGGCTTATAGCTCCACCACTCCAATCTCTACCTCCCTCTTCAAATTACTTCTTCCTCTGTGTGTGGGTGTCTTCTTTTCTGTCTGTCTCAAATATTCCTTTGCCTTTCTCTTATAAGAACACTGGTCATTAAATTTAGGGCCCATATGGATAATCTGAGATGACCTCCTCATCTCAAGATTCTTAACTTATTTTTATCTGCAAAGACATTTTTCAAACAAGATAATGCTCATAAGTTCCAGAGATTTGATATGAAATCTGAAGCCATGGTTTTGGAGCCATGTTTCACCATATTATGTGTGTTATATATGAGAGGACTTCAAAACTCCATGGAAAAAAATGAATTAAAAGACAAAACTTAAAAAAAAATATAAACTATTGTTCAGCACAAACTCCATCAAGGTCAAGACACTTTTGTAAGAAATGATAATAGTCATTTAGTTCCTCCCTAGAAACCTGAGAATCCTGGCAAGTTTACCATGTCAATGAAGTCCTTTTTACATTATTAACTGGAGAAAAATGGGTGCCCTTTACAGTTTTTTCTAAGATTAAGAAAGAAAAAGAAATCAGAAGGAACCAAATCGGGACTGTGAGGTGGATGTCTAATGATTTCCTATCAAAACTCACATAACTTTGCCTTTGTTTGATGAGAAGAATGAGCAGAAGCATTGTTGTGGTGGAGAGGGACTTTCTGGTGAAGGTTTGCAAGGCATTTTTCTGCTAAAGCTTTGGCTAAATTTCTCAAAACACTGTCATAATGAGCAGATGTTATTGTTCTTTGGCCCTCCAAAGAATCAACAATGCTTGAGTATCCCAAAAAACAGTTGCCATGACCTTTGCTCTAGACCAGTCTGTTTTTGCTTTGACTGGACCACATTTACCTCTTGGTAGTCATTGCAGAATCCTATTGGTAAAACCATGTTTAATTTCTATTAATTCTTCAAATAAATGTTTCAGGATCTTGATCTTAACTTGTTTAAAATTTCCACTTAAAGCTTTGCTCTTGTCTGCAACTGATTTGAGCACAATGGTTTTGGCACCCATCGAGCAGAAAGTTAGTTCAACTTTAATTTTTTAGTGAAAATTATTTCACTAAGTTGATTCACTAAGTTGAATCAATATATTTACAGTTTGGCTATTGTTTCAGCTGTTAATTATTGATCTCCTTCCATTTGGTCACAAAGAATATTAATTATTCTTCTCTCAAATTGATGTGGATGGTCTGCTAGTGTGGGCTTTATCTTCAACATCATCCTGTCCCTTTTTAACATGAGTTCTCCATTTGTAAACTGCTGAGCTCTTTGGTGCCTTGTTCCCAGAAACTACATAAAGCGTCAATGATTTTAGCATTCTTCCACTCAAGTTTCTTTCACCATAAATTTTATGTTTGTTCTTGCTTCAATTTTAGCTGAGTTCATATTGCTTTGACAGGGGCTCTTTTCAAATCTGTGTCTTTTCCTTCTTAGTGCCTCAAATTAGATCCTTTTCAGAAATGTTAAAACTAGTTAGTACAAGTTAATTTTGGTGTGAACCATTTTTTCAATCCGTGCAGTTTTTTCATAATGTGCATTTTCCATGAATTTTTTGAATCTCCTGTGTAACTCAAGTAAGTCTATCTTATTAATTATGCTGTTCTGTTACCTATATTTCTGTCCACTTGATGTGTCATGGCATAAGATAGGTGAATTAAAATGCCCTAATTTAATGTTTCTATTTATCCTTGAGTCTCCTATAATTTCAGCTGTATTCATATGGTTACTAAATTATTTGCTGCATAGAAATGTATGATTGTTATATCTTCATGTGAATTCTACTTTTTAATTTTTATAAAATACCCTTCTTCTTGTGATTTTTATGTTGAATTCCAATTTCTAATAATGTGGCCCCTGTTTGATTTTAGTTGAATTTGTTTGGTTTATCATTTTTCAAACTTTGCTTTTCAATTGTTTTTTGTTATTTTGTTTTAGATGTCTTTTAACATATAGCATGTAGTTTTATACTTTGGCCAACATAAAATGTATTTAATATGTTTTTAGGCCATATAAATTTATTTATGTGACAGGTACATTTGATCATAATTATCATATTTTTATTATGTTTTCTCTTATTTTTAAGAGTATCCAACACTCCTTATACAACTGCATTTCTTTGAAAACTCTCCTGTCTCTTCCTCTAGTTGCTGCTGTAAATGGATTCCAAAACCACTTTTAATTGACCCACCCTACATTGCCTCAGTTCATCTCTCATTCTGCACCAGCTGCCTGTTGTCCCAAAGTTTCAATGCTAATTCCACTACAGCATGCTCCTGGAAACTTATGATAAGGAATCTGGAACCATCTGGTTTTAGTTGACTTTTTAAAAATACGTTTTAGTGTCACAGTTGTATTATTAAACATAATTATGCCTGGTACTTGATTTGTCCATTTTGCCTCATATCTTTTTATACAAATATTAAAGGTAAGGAAATTATTATAAATATTCCACCTCCTACCTTCTTTACCATTTTCCACATATTGAGTTTAAATCAAATGTTACATAGCAAGTTAAATTTTAATGTCGCTATATTCTGTTTTGTCCCCATGATCTTTTTTTTTTTTTTTTTTTTTTTTTTTTTTTTTTTGAGACAGAGTCTTGCTCTGTCTCCCAGGCTGGAGTGCAGTGATGCAATCTCAACTCACTGCAACCTCCACCTCTCAGATTCAAGCGATTCCCCTGCCCCAGTCTCCCAAGTAGCTGGGACTACAGGTACACACCACCACACCTGGCTAATTTTTGTATTTTTTGTAGAGTTGGGGTTTCACCAGGTTGGACAGGCTGGTCTCAAACTCCTGACCTCAGCTGGCATTACAGGTGTGAGCCACCACACACAGCCTTCCCTTTTGTTTTAATCTTCCTTCTACATTTAAGTAGATTCAGTACTCCCTACCAAGTCTTTACCTGTAGTTTTTAAATCACCTTCTGTTTGGCTGATGGTTGTCCTTCAGTAGATTCCCCAAAAGGGGACCATGAAGCCTACATTTTCAAAGTTTCTGGATATTTACAACTCCATACAGCTTTTATATTTGCATTACAATTTCATTTTATTATTAAATACTTTGTTCACTCTTTCCCTATGGATTGTGTAGATGTTGCTTTAACACATTTCTGTGAGAGTCTATATATATATTTTTTCTTACAAGTGACTTATTCTTTTTACCTAAATGCCCAAATAATTTATTTTAAAATTTTGGTACCCAGAACTTTTCCCTACAAAAAGTCTTTTTTGTTTTAAGGACTCTGTTCTTCAATTTTCTCTTTAAAGATTAGTCCATACTTGCCAGGCATGGTGGCTCACGCCTGTAATCCCAGCACTTTTGGAGGCTGAGGTGGGCAAATCACAAGGTCAGGAGATCAAGACCATCCTGGTCAACATGATGAAACCCTGTCTCTACTAAAAATACAAAAAAAAATTAGCTGGGCGTGGTGGTGTGCACCTGTAGTCCCAGCTACTCTGGAGGCTGAGGCAGGAGAATAGCTTGAGCCTGGGAGGTGGAGGTAGTAGTGAGCAGAGATCATGTCACTGCACTCCACCATGGCCACAGAGCAAGACTCTGTCAAAAAAAGAAAAAAAAAATCAGTCCATGCTTTTCTGCAATGTATACACTACATCTCTTTTGTTAACTGTTTCTATTACTGTCTCTAATTTAGTTAAAATTTGTATTCATTTCTATTCTCTATGACCCTAAATTTGTATTTAACAGTGATTTTTCTTTCATGTGTTCCTGTCATTGTCTTCTTTTTTTGGATTCAGAAAATGAGACTCCAAAGTTTAGGCCTCAGAAGCAAATCTCTGTCTGATCGTCTCTTGTCCTGACATAGAAACCACAGTCCCTTTTCCCCAAGGCAGATCATTGAAACCAGAACCCATTTTCCCCGAAGCCATCCATAAAACCTAAAAATATTGCTCCAAGCTTTGCCTCTTTCTGTGTAAGAACTGGCCATAAAGAAATTTCCTGACCTACCTAGTTTGACCTCCCATAGCTGGGAGAAGGAATGCTGCACAGAGAGGCCGAAAAGAATCTGAACAAATGGGCCTTGCAGAGTTTCCCCCTTCAATCTGTTCCCATTAAGTCATACTCTTTTTGTCCAGTCACATTTCTAGGAGGTTGTCCATTCTTCACCAAACCTCAGCATAAAAATAGACAGTTTTTCTGGGGTCTTTGAGTCTTCATTCTGAAGGCTCCCATGTCATATAAAACTCTGATTAAATAATTGTCTTATGCCTTTCCCTTGTTAGCCTGTCTTTTGTTATATGGGTGTTGGCCATGATCCTTGTGATAAGTGAGGAAAGGTATAACCCCTTTTCACCCCTCCATATATGGATTTTTAAATTTTTCCCACCACATATTTTCTGACCTCTTCCAGATGGCATTTCATCTCCACCTATTGTCTCACCATTTCTTCTTTGAGATTTTGTAATTTTTATTTACGCTTTTGTTTCATAGAGGCAAATGATTCATTAAAGGTTTTTGTTTTTTCTTTGTTTAAGTTCATCGAAAAATGTTCACAATTTTCTTCTTTGTGACAACATTTTTCTGGTATTTTTCTTCTGTTATCTAGTTTCACTATGCATTTGAATATGTTCCGTGCTGTTATATTTTTGATTCTTCATCTTTGAAGGAGAAAAGTTATTTCTGGACCACCTATTTATAGGAGTCTCTGGGGAGAGGTCGATGGCTGTGTTCCAGGCTGGTAGCAATTTTCCATAAGATTCAGGATGTGGTGTGTGATTTCTTTAAACTTTTCCACCACCCCATTCAATAGAAATACAAGATGTGGAACTGTCCACAGTAAAAAGTCTCCTTTTCCCCCATGTCACGAAAATCAGCATCTTCCAGAAAACATGGCTAACTATGTTGAGTCCCAGTACATTGCAGCCACCCTTTCTTATCAAAATAAAATGGGTCCAGAGAAGCTCTCCCTAATACCAGCAATTTCACATATTTTCTTCTGTGTCAAATAAAACATTTTAGTTCAGTATAGTAGGGTGCTTTAGTCACCTTGGAAAGTCTATGTTTTCTATCTTCCTGAGCTTCAAACCAGAGGAGTTGTCTTCTCACTTATTTGCATACCTTGTCTCCCACATTGTGGGCCACGCTTTTGCCCATTTCATAGTTAAGGGTTTCAGCTAGATTATATTTTGTCCAATAATGGAGTTTTCATATTTGTATTCTGTTCTCCTAATCGCTTGTGGATGATTTAAAAGATGAGTTAGGGGACATAAAAAATATATGTGGTGATCTTCAAACCTTGTGTAAGGGCTGTTATTTTACCATAGGTATAGGGGCTGGAGTTGGGAAGGAAGAAGCATCCCTTATCTTGTGCAAGTAAGGAATTATATCTAAGCTCCAAGGTCAAAAGTATGCACAATTATGTGTTTAGCAAAATTCAAGCTAAGAAGAATTTGTCTAGGTCAATCACCTCCTTAAGATATTCACCAGAGTTTGAACTTACTTGGAGTAGGAGGCCAAACGATCTAAGTAGGAAGAAATGAAGATCTCGAAAAGTGTGAATACATAGTAAAATTCAAAACAATATTGATGGTTTAAAATAAGTGCACTATCTTGTGAAACATACACAGAATAAAATATATGACAACAATAGCACAAAGGGGAAGTAAGAATAAATGAAATTATACTGTTGCAAAGATTTTACAGTTGTTATAGAAGGAGGAAAAACACTAACGTAAGATGAATATAAAAAGGCAAAGATACAAACTATCCTATTTAGTTTAAATAATGAAAGAATCATTATATATGGAGTCCTTCAGCACACTGTGACAGCCAGCATCAAGGCAGCAGCTGCATTCAAAGTCGGAGCAGGGGAGACTAGCTACAGGCATCGCGTTGTGTCCTTCTGGGGAAGAGAAAGGGGTCGCCTGGAGCCAGCAGTTTCCAACTTCCTGGGGGCCATTTGGAGTTCGGTAAGAGCTGGGAAGAATGCACTGAAAAGGAAGGCTGGAAAGAAACAGCTCTTCACCTGAAAAATGTTTGCTTTGCCTCAGTTGAGAATTCTTTCGTTGAGAAAGAGAATTATCACGTTACCATATTAACCAAAGGAGAGGTGGACGTGACTCATGATTCAGAACCACAGAATGTGGAACCTGAAAAAAAATGAAAGTTGGGACTGGGTTCCTTGGGAAGAATTTCCTCTACTAGATCAGCTTTTCTGGTCTCAAGGCCATGGTCCATTTAAAGAAGATTTGAACCATATGGTTGGATACAAAGGAAATCATCTCTGGTGACCAAGATTTATTGATTTTTTTCAAAAAGGACAAAAATAAGGGCTGGTTAGGGAATGAAAAATATCTGCATTTCAGAAAAATTTTTTTATCAAAAAAGTTCTTGTGATTGTCAATTTATCTGCAGTGTCTTCATATACTCACCGCCCTTTCAGCCAGTACTTGGGAACATTTTTCTGAAATACATCACTGAATTGTATTTCAGACACAGAGTATATGATAAACAGTGATATTATGGTTAATCCACTTTCCACATTTATCTATGATATTTACTGTGCAGTTTGTCATTACCAGCTTGCATGGAGTAGGATGCAATCAAATTTGCCTGAGTGTTTCAGTTCAAATAGAGATCTTAATTCAAATAGTGTAATTCAGATGTAGACAATATGCTTGTAGGAAAAATCTATCATGTTTGTTGATTTACCCCTTTTATTTAAAAAAATGGTAATATATTGTGATCATCTTTGCAACTAGAGAGAAGAGAACAGGCCTTTAGGGTATATTTATTTCCTTGGTTTCGAATTGAGAATCTAAACTAAGAGAAGTGAGACAAGCCATCTAAGATCCGTATCCTGTCATTAACAGGCTGTGAGATTTTGGGTTTCTCACTCTCTCTGAGATCCAATGTCCTTATACGTAAGATAAGGACATTAGACTAGAGCAGTGGGTCTCAAAGTGTGGTCTGGGGGGTCCTCAAGAGCCTTTTAAGGGAATTCAAAGTCAAAGTTATTTTTATAATACTAAGATGTCATTTATCTTTTTCACTCTCATTCTTTCATAAGCGCACAGAGGAGATTTTTAGAGGCTACCTAAGGTGTGATATTGTAAAAGTCCTAATGTAAAAGCAGATATGAGAGCCCAGCTTTCTTCTATTATGTCAGATATTAAAGAGATTTGTAAAAATGTAAAGCAGTGCCATTTCTCATTAATGATTTTTTTATTTTAGAAAAAGAGTAAAGTATTTATGTTAACATGTATTATTTGTAAATGATTAATAGAATTTTAAAAATAAAAAAGAACCATTATATACATATATGTAATATTAACAAAAAGAGGTAAAAGGATAATATATAGTCTCACCTAATATTAAGTATATAACAAATATTAAATACTATTTTTATTATATTTTTGAAGTATCTAAATAGTCCCAAGGAAGGGGTAGGCCCACAGAATGATAAAGAGAGAGAGAATAATATAACCTAGTTAACTAGTTTTGGCAAATTTTAAATGAAGTATTAAAAAAAAAATCAAAGTAAAATTAAAAAAAAAAAAAGAGTTGAGATCAGACCATAGTCTCCCAAGAAGATTTAGCCAAGGTGTTCTGGAGTTTTGGCATCACCGTATCCCATTTTGAGGCTTCCTCTTGGCAGGCCAGGTATATCATCCCAGTGGCTCTAGGGGAAGGGTAGCAGGTGGGAGGGAAAGTCAACTCTTGTCCACACTAAAGCAAGGGCTACAATTCCCAGTAGAAGTGACACCTGCCCCTGAGAAGTAACTGGAATGAGAGAAATAATCAGAGATGGAATTCCAGAGGAGATATAGTGGCTTGGCTATCCTTGGAAGATTATTAAAATACTGTAGCTTTATAAACCATTATACATTAGAGCTGAACCTATTGAGAAAGCCATGCAGGTGACTGCCAAGTGGTCACTACTGGCTCACAAAATTTCACTTCGATCACTGGTTTTTTTGAATTTGAATTACTCATTTCTGAAATTGCAGCTTCCAGAGTTCATCTGAGGACCAACATTTATCATCATAATGTAGACACGTTTAGATTCATTGAAGATTAAGTGGCCCCAGCACTATAGAACTGAACAGTTCTGCTACTAAGTTGCCAAGTGCTCCCCATCCAGATTGTCCACTAACAAATGATGCAATAAAGCAGCTCAGGGCCAAACAAGACCACACCTCAGACCACTGAAGCCTGGACTGGCTAGATAACACAAATTATAAAATTAAACATCATTGTCATCCAGACTTCAAGTGTGCACAATCTTCCTTATTCTAGCAGAACTCCTTGGAAATGTTAGAAATATGGAAGAATAAAAAGGCAGATGTTTTCAGTCCTTTGGTTATTAAATGCATATGAGCACACCTACTTTTTATCTTTGTTCACTGTTCTAGCATGTGAAGAAAGGCAAGAAGCATCAATTTGATTGTTTTGAACTGTCTTTAAAGGTATCTCTAGGCATTTAGGTATTTCTCCCATCATGTTTTAAGAAAACTTCTGTAAATATTGTTTTTTAGTAAAATAAAATCGGTCATTCTAATATACAGAACTAAGATACAGAGAATTAATGAATCTAATTCAGGACGGGAAAATGATATGGCAGACTTTAAAAAATTACTAGACAATTGCAGAGTTGGGCATGCATATTTATTTGTAAATGTCAAAAGAATATGAGTTGAATTAAAAATGTTTTAATATGGATAAAAAGGATACATTTTAAAAACACTAAAATACTTAAATAAACATGAATTTATTTGAAACTGACCACTTTTGACAGAATTAAAAGGAGAAATTGTAGACATTTACAATTATATTCATAGGTTTATGCACTCCTGTCTCAAAAACTTGGGAAACAAAAAGTCATTGAGAATATAGTATTATAACTAATGAGATAGTGAAGCCAAATTCCATTTTATTTCTCTATACCATAACTTATGCCAAGAAAAAATAAAAACAGTATCATGGCCAGGCAGAATGGCTCATGCCTGTAATCCTAGCCATTTGTCAGGCCAAGGCGGGCAGATAGCTTGAGCTCACAAGTCAGCCTGGGCAACATGGCAAAACCCCATCTCTACAAAAAATACAAAAATTAGTCGGGTGTGCTGGTGCACACTTGTAGTCGCAGCTACAGTGTGGTTGGGAGCTTGAGCTTGGGAAGTAGAGGGTGCAGTGAGCCAAGGCTGTGCCACTGCACTCCAGCCTTTAGCCTAGGTGATAGAGCCAGACTTTGTCAAGAAAAAAAAGCACCCAAAAAGCAATATCACTTACAATAGCATTAAAACTGTAAATTACATAGAAATAAATCTATAAAACATGTGAACTCCACTGACAAAATATAAAATTTCACTAAAAACACTTTTAAAAACAAATGGGGAGATAAGCCACATTCAGAGATAGAAAAATAAAATGTTATGAAGACACTAATTCTCCCCAAATGCATTTACTTATTCAATACTGTCTTTTTTTGCTTTTACTATAGACTTAACACAGTAATTTTAAATAAAAGTGAAAAATAATAACCAGATTAGTTGAAGAAAATGAAGTAGAGAGAACTTAGTCTCAAGATATCCTGACATATTATAAGGCTCTAGTCAGTTGGTTATTATGGAATTGAAGCAAAGATTACAAAACAGGACACCAGAACATAATAGAGAAACAAGAAGTAAATCCACACACTTATGGAAATTTAATATATGACAGAGGGGCATGAGTAGATTAATGGATTAATGGAGAATATGGTCATTCCAACAAGTGATGCTGGGCAATTGAGTACCATTTAGAACAAAAGAAAATTAGTCTCGCACTTTAATATACATTTAAAAATTCAATTTCAGGTAAATTAAAAAATTGTGAAAAGAAAAATTATAAAGATTTTAAAAGATATTATGGAATCATATGTTAAACATCCCAAGATTGGAAATTATTTCTTAAATAACACACAAACGGCAATAGCAATAAAAGAAAACATTGATAAATTTTTATATGGTAAAATGGTCTCAATCAAAGACAGCAAAGAAGCAGTGCAAAAACAAGCTGCAGAAGGAAAGAAGTCATTTGAAATAAGGGACTAGAATCTATAATTAAAATCCTTTTAGATAAAAAAAATCAGACAATCTAATAAAAAAATGGAAAGAGACCTTCACAAAAGTGGATATCCATATGACCAGTAAGGATATGAAAGTGGATCAATAATGTTGCCCGTCAGAAAAATGCAAATTCAAAGCACAATGAAAGCAAAAAAAAAAAAAAAAGGTACAAAAAAAGCACAGATACCACACACTTACCAAGCTAAAGTGGAAATATCTGACAGTACTGACTATTGGTGAATATATGGAGAAATCAGAACCTTCATACACTTCTGATGGCAATGCACATTTAAATAAAATAGTGTATATCCCCTAATAAATTGAAAATTATGATACCCAGAAAATCTACTCATAGATATATATGCTGGGGAGCCTTGTCCATGTGTTCCAGAACACAAATGCATCAAAGTCCATAGCATCATCTTTCATAAAACTGGGTAGTATCAGTTGAGGTTTTCCAGAGAAACAGAACTAGAGATAGACAGATAGATAGATAGATAGATAGATAGATAGATAGATAGATAGATACATACATACATACATACATACATACATACATAGAAATCTGATTGGAATTGTCCTATCCACATTATCAAGGGTCATCTCCTTTGCATAAAGTAAAGTAAGTAAGTGTAGATGTTAACCATATCTACAAAGTACCTTCGGAGTAGCTCTAAATTATTATTTGATTAAATAATTGAGTACTATAGCTTAGCCAAGTTGACACATAACACGAAGCATCACATGGGTCAGTGAAATGAGTAATAAATTGTGATATATTCACACATCATGGATGAATCTCACAAACAATTTTGAGCAAAGAAGACTACTTTTCTTTAATATAAAATCCAAAAGCAAACAAATCTAAATTCTATTGTTTACAGATATACAATTACACAATAAAACTATAAAGCAAAGAAGTGATTATGGCGAAAGCTAATATAATGGTAACCTGTGAATACAGAGGTGATTATTTTAAACATACAAGTAATTATTTGGGGGAGGGACATGAGGAGGGTTTCTGGAGTTGGAAATGTGTGTGTGTTTGTTTTTTTCTCCTTGACTTTGGTCACTCTATGCATGTGTTAGGCCTTCCATACTTGTTTTATGTGCATTTTATTGTGTACATCGTATTTTATGAAAAGTAAAGAAAAGCAAAATATTCACAATACCAATTAAAACTATGTATCATTGAAGAATAATCCTAAAGAAGTGCAAGAACTTCATGGAGCAAAACATAAATGTTACTGAAGGACATTAAAGAAAATCCAAATCAGTAGAGAAAGATGCCATTTGAAGGGGTTGCAATCCTGAGTTCGAAAATATTTATGTGTCCCACAAATAATCAATCTATAAACTCAAAGTAAATCGAACTCAAATCACAACAGGGTTTACCAGGGAAGTTCACAAAGAGGTTTCAAAATTTATCTGGAATAATAATATTCCAAGAATAGCCAAAATCATTCTGAAAAAGAACAAATACATTTGGTACTGAACATGTTACTTCAGTAAGGATCCACTTTTGTTACCTTTAAAATGAAGTCAGAGATACTTAATCTCCTTTACAGAATGTAAGAATACTTTTCTTTCTTTCATAAACCTCTAAATCAGGAAAATATAAAACCTTTAGTATCCCATTTCAACCATTATTGACTTTCATGTGGGGAAGTTATTTCTGAAGCTTACATTAAATCTTTTATCCTTAAGCTTGTTTCTTATTTTGTCACTATTCTTGGTGTTCTAAGACTTCATGTTCTTGAAGATAAGTATTAAGTTTTCTTCATCTTTTTTCCCAATGCAGAAAACAAAATCGTAGTTCCATGAACTTTTCATTTTCAATTCTCTGCTGCTTTTCAAAATATTCTTTCTTTTGGTTATGTTTCTCTCACACTTGATTGGGGCAGGAGGGCTGTAAAAGGGTGGAGAGTGGGTAGAGGGCAGGGTATATAGGCAATTATACGGTAAAATTTTGTTTTGAAGAGTGGGCTGACTTTTACTGATCCTGAAGTTTGAACGGTATTGGAGCAAAGAGTATTATAATGGACAATAACTTTGTTTTACAAATTTGCTAAGCTCCAGCCAATAGCATGTTTATAGAACAATATTTGAATATCATTATATGATTTCCAGTGTATTTTCAGAAACATTATTTTGCTTCTTTCTAACAACAACTTTTTAAGTTATTACAGGTAATACCAGTCTCGTTGGGGAGGAAACTCAATAACGTTGACATGATTTGCCCAAGTTCACTAGGGCAGAGCAGAAAAATTACTAGAAACCAGGTCTTCTGAAGGTTTAGCTGGAATTTTCTCTTTTTCACTTATTCAAGTCTTCATTTGATGTATCAAAATTCTAGCAGTACAAAATAATTTGGACAAACTCCTGGCATTTATATAATTCATTAAATTTTGTCGTTACCAAGTGATTTTTCTTGTGAAAGAATGCATTTCCTGCTATCACCATTTGTGATACCAGAATGTTGGACCCCTAAAGAGAACCACATCTTAATTCCCCAAACCTGTGTAGGTGTTACAAGACAAGGGGGAATTAAGGTTGCAGAGGGAATTGTGGTTACTCAGCTGACCTTAAAGATTACCCTGGATTACCCGGTGAGCCCAAGGCTATCACACGGGTTTTTGGAGGCACAAGAGTCAGTACGAGAGTGATACAAGGCGGAACAGACTCAACCAGCTATTGCCGGCTTGAAAGACGGAAAGGGCAGGAGCCAAAGAAAGCAGGAGTCCTCCAGAGACTGGAAAAAGCAAGAAAAGGGATTCTCTCCGAAATATTTTTTCCCCCAACATCAAATATATGGTGTCTTTTCCAGCAGCATCAGTTCTCCAACTCCCTGACACCAGGTGAGTATCGAAAAATTTAATTCAATTCTGACACCAACTCCTGGAGTTAGTTTAGACTCCACAAGATCAGCACTCAGTCCCACAAGACTGTCCACACTTCAGAGGCCACCCATAAGTGGGGTTCCTGGGCTACCCACATTTCTGTCCCACTAACTACAAATTCAGGGGTTTCCATGACTCCTCTTCAGGTTCAATAATTCGCTAGAAGGGCTCACAAAACTCAGGAAAACACTTTACTCAGTACTAATGGTTTATTTTAAAGGAGGCTGCTCACGAAGAGCCAAATGAAGAGATGCATAGGCGAGGGGAGGGGCTAGTGGGCGGAACTTCCGTGTTTCCCAGGGCATCCTCCGGGCACCTCCACGTGTTCACCAGCCTGGAAGCTCTCTGAACCTTCTTGTTTAAGGGCTTTTATGGAGGTTTCGTTAAAGAGACATGACTGATTAAATAATTGGCCACCGGTGACTGAACTCAAATCTCTACTCTCCCCTCCCCAGAGGTGGGGCTGGGGCGGGGCTGAAAGTCCCATTCCTCCAAATCAAGGCTTGGCTCTTCTGCTGACCAGCTCCCATCCTGAAACTATCTAGGGTACCAGATAGTGTTATATCTATTCAGCAGACATTCGTTTGCATACCAAAGAAACACTTCACTGTGGAGATTCTAAGGAGTTTAGGAGCCCTGTGCCAGAAATCTTAGGGACAAAGACCAAATAATTTTTATTATACCACGCTCCCCTGGAACCTCCAGAAAGGATCACAGCCCTGCTAACACCTTAATTTTAGCCCCTGTGAGATGCATTTTGGAATTCTGACCTCCAGACCTGTAAGATCAAATATTTGTGTTGCTTTAAGTCATGAAATTTCTGTCAATTTGTTAGAGCAGCAAGAAGAGACTAATACACCATTTCATAAACATCAACAATGGATTATCACACTCACAGAGAAAGAATTTCAGATATTAAAAATACAGTTTTGATTTTTGTTTCGTTTTGTTTTTTGGTTACTGCATTTATAAGAGAAAGATTTTGGTTTTTACAGTAATTTTCCTCTTGTATAGCTGTTTATAGCAATGCAATGCAAAGTGGTGAGATACTCACATTTGAAGGAAAATACACTATTTTCGGATTAGATATCAGCTGTCAACTTGGATAGAGTGTATTGCTTCTGATATTTCACAGTCCAGTTCACAAAAATTTTACATGCTTACAATTCACTTCTGGTGTGAAATGTTTGTTGAAATATGTTGCATATGGAGCTCACAATAAGAACCTTTGTGCACACAGTCTGTACAGATTATATTAGGTCTGAATAGATACTGGTTAACATAAAATAAAAATGAGAAATTGAAAAAATACTCACTGAAGCAATTGAAATTGGTAAATAGTTTACATCAATAAATACTCTCAAACACAATATTGGATAAGTATTTTATACTGTGAATTCACAATTCAGAATCCATTGTACTCTAGCACAGGCTGAGTACATTTTGGCACAGTAGCCAAAAATCAGAAAACTAAATGTTAATTTAACCCTATTTTCTGTTAATTCACTTAGAAAACTATAAGGTAAGCCTAAACTATTGGAATCTACAAACTGTAATAACACATAAAAAATCCTCTTAATATTATTTAAGTGTAGGCATTGACTATCATCTCTGTTAAAATTTATTCTTAAAACACTTCTATATCACGTTCAATCTTAAAACACATGAAAATACAAACTATTGGCAATTATTGTTTGGATGAAAGAGACATAGATGATTTAGTATTTCCTTCTCACTCTCACGTAAATGAGGATATAGAGAACTTCAGTCCACTGAGCAAGCTGATAATTTGGGATTTTAAAAAATCATGTTTAAAAAAAATAAAAGTTCTGTATCTGATCTACAGAATCAATATTTTGAAAGTGAGTGAAGTAATGAGGCTTTAATTATACCACCTTTTAAATGCAAAGTGATCATTAAACTGTTTTTTCTTGGTAGACCTAATTTATTGGTAGTTTCACTGTTATATTGATTCAAATAATAATCCGTAAATTATCAAACTACATAATTAAAACTGCCAAAACTAATCTTTTAAAATTTCTTTAGGGTTTACATCTTTTGCTTTCATTGTCTTACTTGATCTTCCCAGTTATTATTTCAGAGGAATCGTTTGCTTTTAAAAAAATATTTTAACTAGGAAATAAATATTTGCACTCTGATTTACTATCTTTTTATTTTTAGATTTAGGAGCTTAGTTCAATGCCAGGTACATTGAGAATGCCTGATAAATGGTTTTTGAACCTATATTCACTGTATAATTTCTGGATCTTTTTCATAACAAAACAAAATAATGTCATTTAATATTATCTAATTAACAGATTCAAATTATGTTGAAACCTAACACCAAGCTAGGTGATATTGTGTCCGAAATTGGTAGGTTCTTAGTCTCACTGACTTCAAGAATGAAGCTGCAGACCCTCACGATGAGTGTTACAGATCTTAAAGATGGTGAGTCTGGAGTTTGTTCCTTCTGATGTTCCGACTTGTTTAGAGTTTCTTCCTTCTGGTGGGCTCCTGGTCTCACTGGCTTCAGGAGTGAAGCTGCAGACCTTTGCGCTGTTACAGCTCATAAAGGCAGTGTGGACCCAGAGTGAGCAGCAGCAAGATTTATTGCAAAGAGCAAAAGAACAAAGCACTCACGGTGCGGAAGGGGACCAGAGCAGTTTGCCCTGCTGGCACCTGTAGCCTGCTTTTATTCCCTTACCTGACCCTACCTACAGCCTGCTGATTGGCCCATTTTACAGAGAGCTGATTGGTCCATTTTACAGAGAGCTGATTGGTCCATATTGACAGGGTGATGATTGGTACATTTACAAACCTTAAACTAGACACAGAGTGCTGATTGGTGCTTTTACAATCCTTTAGCTAGATGCAAAAGTTCTCCAAGTCCCCACTAGATTAGCTAGACGCAGAGTGCTGATTGGTGTGTTTACAATCCTGTAGCTAGACACAGAGTGCTAGAAAGGAGAGTTCTCCAAGTCCCCACTAGATTAGCTAGACACAGAGCACTGATGGGTGCATTTACAAACCTTGAGCTAGACACAGGGTGCTGATTGGTGCATTTACAAACCTTGAGCTAGACACAGAGTGCTGATTGGTGCATTTACAATCCTTTAGCTAGACATAAAAGTTCTCCAAGTCCCCACCTGACTCAGTAGCCTAGCTGGCTCAGCCTAGTGCATGCCATGCAGGGGCTGCCGGCAGAGCTGCCCACCAGTCCTGTGCCACATGTCTGCAATCCTCAGCCCTTGGGCGGTTGATGGGACGGGCGCCACAGAGCAGGGTGCTGCGCCCATCAGGGAGGCTCAGCCGCAGGAGCCCACAGGGTGGGGGTGGGGTGGGGGTGGGGCAGGGGAGGGGGAGGGGGAGGGCATGGCGAGCTGCAGGTCCTGAGCCCTGCCTCAAGGGGAGGCGGCTGAGGCCCAGTGAGAATTCGAGCGTGGCTGGGCCAGCCGGCAGTGCTGGGGGACCCAGTGCACCCTCTGCAGCTGCTGGCCTGGGTCCTAAGCTCCTCACTACCCAGGGCTGGCGGCGCCCGCCAGCCGCTCCAAGTGCAGGGCCCACCGAGCCTGGCCCGCCTGGAGCTCACAGCCCCAGTTCCCGCCCACGCCTCTCCTTCCACCCCTCCCGGCAAGCAGAGGGAGCCGGCTCCAGCCTCGGCCAGCCCAGAGAGGGGCTCCTACAGTGCAGCCGCGGACTGAAGTTCTCCTCAAGCATGGCCAGAGTGGATGCCGAGGCCAAGGAGGCTCCAAGAGCTAGCGAGGGCTGCTAGCACCTTGTCACCTCTCAATATTAGCCAAAAGCAATTTTGCTTCTCTTTTGATAACGCTTAGCAGGGCTTCTATGTGTGGTTGGCATTTGTGTCCCACACATATCCCTTGTGTGAGGGTGAAGTTGCCATTCAGCCCAGCTTGGTTTTACAAGCAACACCAGGCAGAAGGAAGAGCTGCCTTCTTGTAATTCATCCCTGCCCTGGGGGTCAGGGCTGAGCTGCATTTTGCAATTCATTAAAGGCATAAAGGCATCATACGTGCCACTTGTTTAGGGCAACAAAAACCTCTTGTTAATTTTTTTAATCATACTAATCTTAAATCACAATCACTAGATTTTCTTTTTTTTTTTTTTTGTCAGAGTCTTGCTCTGTTGCCCAGGCTGGAGTGCAGTGGCGTGATTTCTGCCCACTGCAAGCTCTGCCTCCCGGGTTCGTGCCCTTCTACTGCCTCGGCCTCCTGAGTAGCTGGGACTACAGGCACCCACCACCACGCCTGGCTAATTTTTTTGTATTTTTAGTAGAGACGGGGTTTCAGCATGTTAGCCAGGATAGTTTGGATTTCCTGACCTCGTGATCCACCCACCTCAGCCTCCCAAAGTGCTGGGATTACAGGCATGAGCCACTGTGCCCAGCCCACAATCACTAGAATTTCTTATTGGCTATCCTGGAAACATGGTAACTATGTAGCTTTATATCTGTATTAACTGCGATTACTTTATTTCAGGCATGAAGATTTGTAATATTTTCTGAAATTTTACAATGTTCTTGGCTCAAACGTTTCTTTTAAACAATTTGGCACAAAGACCACATTTTCCCACAATACCTATGTTATAAGAAAAGGGAACTCAAGGGAACCAAGATGGACAGACACCCCATCAAATTGTACGCTCCCTGTCTGGATGTCATAAAGATAAAATAAGCCTATAATCTGACACATAGAAGGGAAAGTTTTTAGAGGCTCTTATAACCATATCAATTTCATGGATGGAAAGCTAGAATTCATTAATTCAAAAAAGTCCAAAAAGTTCCCCCAACTTCTCATTCCATTGTCATCATTTAAGTTCAAGTCATCAATACTACTATAATATCCCACTAATTATTATATTGGTTGATTGATTGAATAAACATGTAGTTAGTAGGGGCCACACACTAGTCTAATCATTTTATAAATACCAATTCACTTAATCCTATTAAAAATGTGGTATATACAATTATTATTCTCATTTTATTAATGAAGAAACCAAGGCAAAGAAAGTAAATTCTCAAGATACCACAGCTAGCAAAGGATCAGAATCAAGATTCAAGCTGGTTAGTCTGGCTCCAGGGTCCTTGCTCTGAACCACTAACTATGCTGCCTACAGTCTTTCCACCTCATCTCTTACCTTCCCCTTCTGATTCACTTTGTATATTCACCAGGTCAAACTCTATAAGGACTATTTAAACCATGTATTTATTTAGTACACTCTTGTAATATGCCCTCTTTTCTACTTGTCCATGTGTAAGTCACAGAGGCTCAAATACCCTCCCCTTCTTCCAGAAACCAAACAGCTTTGTGGAGAAGATAAAAATCTTCATAAATGGTGGCATGTACATCGGACATTTGATATGCCTGAATCCTATTACTCCATAGTCCTTAAGATTGTTTTTGGCTCATGACATACACATTAAAGGATGACAAGCAAAATTAAAAAAAAAAAAAGAGATACAATTTGGCTAGGCACGGTGGCTCACACCTGTAATCCCAGAACTTTAGGAGGCCGAGGCGGGTGGATCATGAGGTCAGGGGATGGAGACCATCCTGGCCAAGATGGTGAAACTCTGTATCTACTAAAAATACACAAATTATCTGGGCATGGTGGTGTGTGCCTATAGTCCCAGCTACTCAGGAGGCTGAGGTAGGAGAATTGCTTCAACCTGGGAGGTGGAGGTTGCAGTGAGCCAAGACCATGCCACTGCACTCCAGCCTGGGCAACAGAGCGAGCCTGTTCTCAAAAAAAAAAAAAAGAGAGAGAGATAGACAATTTTATTAATCTGGGAAAGCACCTCCTACCCCCAAAGATACAAGGATTTTTGTAAACTGTATTGCAGTAAGCAACAAAGACCTAAGGGACCCTCAATATAGATTTTGTCCACTGCAGAATAAAGCATGTCCTGCAGATATATAACTGGCCCCTGGGGTTACATCTCCAAAGGCTATTGGCTTGCTTCACAGCCCTGGAACAGGACCATGAGGAAGAAGAGTGGATGCACACCGTCTTCTAAGTTGTTCACTTCTGAAATGTAGCTCCATCAGTGTCAGACTCTGACATTGCAGCTCAGCCAGGTCTTCTTGGGAAGCAGCTGGTGCAGAGCTGGGGACACTGGGCACATCCTACGCACACTCTGTGGGTGGAAAGCAGCAAAGTTCTCCTCTTTTCTGGGCATGTGTCATGGTTAATACTGTCAACTTGATTCAATTGAAGGATGCAAAGTATTGATCCTGGGTGTGTCTGTGAGAATATTGCCAAAGAAGATTAACATTTGAGTCAGTGGGCTGAGGAAGGCAGACCCACCCTTAATCATGGTAGACACCATCTAATCAGCTGCCAGAGAATATAAAGCAGGTGGAAAAATGTGAAAAGGCTAGACTGGCTTAGCCTCCCAGCCTACATCTTTCTCCCATGCTGGATGCTTTCTGCCTTCGAACATAGGACTTCAAGTTCTTCAGCTTTGGGACTTGGACTGGCTTCCTTGCTCCTCAGCTTGCAGACAGCCTATTGTTGGACCTTGTGATCATGTGAGTTTAACACTCCTTAATAAACTCCCCTATAGAGAGAGAGAGGAAGATATAGAGCTAGAGATAGATATAGAGATATATAGACAAATCTATCCTATTAGTTCTGTCTCTCTAGAGAACCTTGACTCATACAGCATGGAAGGAAAGAGAATATGGGTTTTCTTTTCTTTTTTTTTTTTTGGTTTCTCAGTTGCTGCCTTTTTATTGATTCAGATTTTGTTGAAGATGATTAGAACATTGAATATCATTCATATGTCCTATGACAGCTGCCACCATGAATAAAAGTGGCATAATTGGAAAAACCTGAACTGCAATAATTTTATAAACTTTTCTATTACAAAAATTTCAAGTACATACAAAATAAACAGTGACATAATGAATCCATGTACCATTATCCAGCTTCAACAACTATCAGCATTCTGCCATTCTTTTTTTTTTTTTTTTTTTTTTTGGTTTTCCAACTATCAGCTATTCTTTTTTTTTTAATTATACTTTAAGTTTTAGGGTACACGTGCACAATGTGCAGGTTTGTTACATATGTATACATGTGCCATGTTGGTGTGCTGCACCCATTAATTCGTTATTTAACATTAGGTATATCTCCCAATGCTATCCCTCCCTGATGCCCCCACCCCACAACAGGCCCCAGTGTGTGATGTTCCCCTTCCTGTGTCCATGTGTTCTCATTGTTCAATTCCCACCTATGAGTGAGAACATGTGGTGTTTGGTTTTTTGTCCTTGTGATAGTTTGCTGAGAATGATGGTTTCCAGCTTTATCCATGTCCCTACAAAGGACATGAACTCATCCTTTTTTATGGCTGCATAGAATTCCATGGTGTATATGTGCCACATTTTCTTAATCCAGTCTATCATTGTTGGACTTTTGGGTTGGTTCCAAGTCTTTGCTATTGTGAATAGTGCCTCAGTGAACATACGTGTGCATGTGTCTTTATAGCAGCATGATTTATAATCCTTTGGGTATATACCCAGTAACAGGATGGCTGGGTCAAATGGTATTTCTAGTTCTAGATCCCCGAGGAATCGCCACACTGACTTCCACAATGTTTACAGTCCCACCAACAGTGTAAAAGTGTTCCTATTTCTCCACATCCTCTCCAGCACTTGTTGTTTCCTGACTTTTTAACGATCGCCATTCTAACTGGTGTGAGATGGTATCTCATTGTGATTTTGATTTGCATTTCTCTGATGGCCAGTGATGATGAGCATTTTTTCATGTGTCTTTGGCTGCATAAATATCTTCTTTTGAGAAGTGTCTGTACATATCCTTCGCCCACTTTGTGATGGTGCTGTTTTTTTCTTGTAAATTTGTTTGAGTTCATTGTAGATTCTGGATATTAGCCCTTTGTCAGATGAGTAGGTTGCGAAAATTTTCTTCCATTCTGTAGGTTGCCTGTTCACTCTGATGGTAGTTTCTTTTGCTGTGCAGAAACTCTTTAGTTTAATTAGATCCCATTTGTCAACTTTGGCTTTTGTTGCCATTGCTTTTGTTGTTTTAGACATGAAGTCCTTGCCCATGCCTATGTCCTGAATGGTATTGCCTAGGTTTTCTTCTAGGGTTTTTATGGTTTTAGGTCTAACATTTAAGTCTTTAATCCATCTTGAATTAATTTTTGTATAAGGTGTAAGGAAGGGATCCAGTTTCAGCTTTCTACATATGGCTAGCCAGTTTTCCCAGCACCATTTATTAAATAGGGAATCCTTTCCCCATTGCTTGTTTTTGTCAGGTTTTTCAAAGATCAGATGGTTGTAGATATGTGGCATTATTTCTGAGGGCTCTGTTCCATTCCATTGGTCTATATCTCTGTTTTGGTACCAGTACCATGCTGTTTTGGTTACTGTAGCCTTGTAGTATAGTTTGAAGTCAGGTAACATGATGCCTCCAGCTTTGTTCTTTTGGCTTAGGATTGACTTGGCGATGCGGGCTCTTTTTTGGTTCCATATGAACTTTAAAGTAGTTTTCTCCAGTTCTGTGAAGAAAGTCATTGGTAGCTTGATGGGGATGGCATTGAATCTATAAATTACCTTGGGCAGTATGGCCATTTTCATGATATTGAGAGAATATGGGTTTTCTTTAGCAATGGAGGTACACAATCCTGAGGGAGCACTGAGCATTAAGCTACCAGCCTCTTACAGGGGAAATTAGAGATTTCCCCAAAGAGAAGACATTTAAGCTAAGACTTGACATAAATTTAATGAGCATAAATATTTGCCAAGGAGACCAAAGAAGAAAAACATATGTCCAGCATAAGGAAGAGCAGGACAAAGTCACGGATGGGGGTAAGGACATACTACCCCCCAATACAGCCTCTTGGTATTAGATAAAATAGCAGAAGCAGAAAGGCTACTCTCACCTTCCCCACTTCTCCCCTGAGACAAGTCATAAAACCTAGGAAGGGCTTTCTGACCTTCCCCTGAAGCAGGTTGTAAGACCCTCATTGGAGAGGTGCCTTTTCTCTAATCAGAGGGAAGGAGTATCCTTATCTCTAAAGACTCAGGGACACAGGAAGCACCTGAACAAAGAAGTCCTGCTAAACTCCCTCTAGCTTTTACCAGTAGATCATACCCTTCATCCAATCATACTTTTCCACAACTATCCACTGCTTCATCAAACCTAGCATAAAAATGCCCACATTTACCCATTTCTTTGTATCTTCATTTCTATATGAAATCTCCCATATCACATAAAACTTATATTAATTACATTTGTATTCTTTTGTTACTTTGTCTTTTGTTATAGGGACCTCAGCCATGAACCTAAGATGAAAAAGAAAGAAATTTCTTTTCCCCTACACTACACAAATGGAAAAGAATATGGAAGGTCCAAGAAAATGCAGTGACAGGAAAGGTGTTAGAGATCCTAGGCGATGAGGCCAACTGCATGGTGGGGGTCTGAGTGTAAATGAGATTGAAAAGTATATGGGGAGGTTGGACTTAATTCTACAAGTAGTTTTCAAAATATGTACCAAGAATTACTGGAGTATTATGGAGAATTTTGAGGGTCCTTCAAATATTTTATTCAGAAGCCATTTAAATTGCATTTTAAATAGTTTTTTGAATGTGTGACCAAAAATTTCAGAAAGAAACATAAACATATCACATTTTAACCTTGTGGGGATCATCAATATAGAAACTGCAACAAGTGATCTCACTATGGGATACAGATTTGACTGTCTCTGTCCAATTACTGAAACTTTTAATGTTAAAAAAAAAAACAACCATTATGTAGAAATTTTGCAGTGCTGTACTGACCATTTTTAAAACATTCTATCCTAATCATGTCTACTCAATTTCAGGAGATGCTAAGATACATTAAGGCTACTTTTAAATCATATAGTAATATATTTCTTTATTTTATATAAATTTTATATTTATAAATGCTACATTTTTATGTTCTATAAGGTAAAATAATTATGCCTAAAGCTAGATAGGCATTTCTGCCTAAAACTAGAAAATGTAAAATAATTGAAGGGTTGTATGTTGGACTAGTTTCAAGAAGCAATGGCAAAGTAAACCTAGCTATCAACTGATAATTCAACTAGTGTTGGCCAAAGTGACAATAAAAAATTAAATCAACTTCTAATACAAAAACATTCATTCACAGGCAAAAACACAACAATCCTATTTATTTGTCCTTTGGGTTTATCTTTAATTGCAGTAAAATAAACCCAGCTCCATTATGTTTTATGAAGTGAATTTTGGAAAAGGGCTCCTGCTAAGTGATTCTTGCAAAGTGACAACATTTTGTAATATATGTAGTAGGCATGAAAATAAAGCTTTTAGCCTCTGACTGCAAGAACTAAATAATTTAATGTTATTTAAGAAAACATGATTTGAGTTTAAATTTTATGATATTAAATAGCTTAGTGTATTACGTGTGCTGTAAAGACCTTGTCAGAAAGTTTAATAAGGAAACTTATTAAATGTTCTGCTACATAGATTGCAAAATCTTATATGAGTCAGATACTAAAAAATGCAACCTGCTAATTTAGTCAAGTCAAGAAGCTCCATTGTGCTTGTTATATGTGATATTTTTACCCAGGCTTATTATTTTGTGGGATGCTCGATACATACATAAATGGAGAAGGAACCATAATATGAGACTTTTCTGGGTATTTCTCAGATCTGGCATGTTGAAGATTAATGACATATTCACAGTTTATAAATCATAATTTCCAAAGAATAAAATGACATATAATGATATTTTGATATAAAGAAAAATTTTTTTAAATATGTAATTACAGTCTAATGATATAAAACAGCTCTTAAGCTCCAAATTTTATGAATGACCACACTAGCTAGAATTCATGAGTTACACAGAGACTACCCTGGCACCCCATGGTCATCCCCAAAGCAACTCACTGTCCATATCACAGGTGATATAATTGGGGAAACAGTAGAAGAAAAAGAAACATTTTTCCTAAATGCATCCAAGTGGTTCTACTTTTAATAGTAATAACAATAAAGAAGATGATATCGTTCAAAACACATTGGTTAATGCCACATAACCTGCCCATTTTTTTAAAGCATTATCTTTAAATTGTGGACCTTCAAGTTATTTGTGATAATTGCAGTGATTTACAGGATTTCTATCACTCTGACTATTATTGGTTGTCTTGTATTAAAGGGCTGATATTAACATTTCAAAGGAAATAGAAGCTAGTCAATATTTTCTACAAACAAAATCTGTAAGCCTAAACACTGAAACATCCAAACAAAAAAATCATTCTAAAGGATTTTTGAAAAATAGTCCTTTTTAAAAAAACATAATTATAATAATTAAAAAGTAATTTTCTGGGATATGGGTTAAAATTATGAAACGGCCGCATATGTATGCAGGGATGGAAAAAATAAATACATGGATGATGGGTAGTAGGAATAGGGGATTTCTCACTGTTAGAGAGTTTGCAGAAAAGCAAGGGGAAAACACTGGAATAGACCACCCAGTGCTGCATTAGAATCAGAGCAATCGGTATGAACTCATGTTTAACTTACTGCAGATGTAGCTAGATGGTTACAGAAATAATGAGAGATATTTGTATAGACACAGTTAGTAGACTATGGCTCTGCTCACCACAGGGTCTAAAAGCAACCACACTTGTATAGGAACAGGCATGCCCTGTGCCCAGATCTTGATTTTTTTTTTAAATGTCTTACTGGCAAGATGTCTTTAACAAATTCTTTTTTTTTTATTATTATAATTATACTTTAAGTTTTAGGGTACATGTGCACACTGTGCAGGTTAGTTACATATGTATACATGTGCCATGCTGGTGTGCTGCACCTGTTAACTTGTCATTTAGCATTAGGTATATCTCCTAATGCTATCCCTCTCCCCTACCCCCACCCCACAACAGTCCCCAGAGTGTGATGTTCCCCTTCCTGTGTCCATGTGTTCTCATTGTTCAATTCCCACCTATGAGTGAGAACATGTGGTGTTTGGTTTTTTGTCCTTGCGATAGTTTACTGAGAATGATGATTTCCAATTTCATCCATGTCCCTACAAAGGACATGAACTCATCATTTTTTATGGCTGCATAGTATTCCATGGTGTATATGTACGACATTTTCTTAATCCAGTCTATCATTGTTGGACATTTGGGTTGGTTCCAAGTCTTTGCTATTGTGAATAGTGCCGCAATAAACATACGTGTGCATGTGTCTTTATAGCAGCATGATTTATAGTCCCTTGGGTATATACCCAGTAATGGGATGGCTGGGTCAAATGGTATTTCTAGTTCTAGATCCCTGAGGAATCGCCACACTGACTTCCACAATGTTTACAGTCCCACCAACAGTGTAAAAGTGTTCCTATTTCTCCACATCCTCTCCAGCACTTGTTGTTTCCTGACTTTTTAATGATTGCCATTCTAACTGGTGTGAGATGGTATCTCATTGTGGTTTTGATTTGCATTTCTCTAATGGCCAGTGATGATGAGCATTTTTTCATGTGTCTTTTGGCTACATAAATGTCTTCTTTTGAGAAGTGTCTGTTCATATCCTTTGCCCACTTTTTGATGGGGTTGTTTGTTTTTTTCTTGTAAATTCATTTGAGTTCATTGTAGATTCTGGATATTAGCCCTTTGTCAGATGAGTAGGTTGCGAAAATTTTCTCCCATTTTGTAGGTTGCCTGTTCACTCTGATGGTAGTTTCCTTTGCTGTGCAGAAGCTCTTTAGTTTAATTAGATCCCATTTGTCAACTTTGGCTTTTGTTGCCATTGCTTTTATTGTTTTAGACATGAAGTCCTTGCCCATGCCTATGTCCTGAATGGTAATGCCTAGGCTTTCTTCTAGGGTTTTTATGGTTTTAAGTCTAACATTTAACTCTTTAATCCATCTTGAAATAGTTTTTGTATAAGGTGTAAGGAAGAGATCCAGTTTCAGCTTTCTACATATGGCTAGCCAGTTTTCCCAGCACCATTTATTAAATAGGGAATCCTTTCCCCATTGCTTGTTTTTGTCAGGTTTTTCAAAGATCAGATAGTTGTAGACATGCGGCATTATTTCTGAGGGCTCTGTTCTGTTCCATTGATCTATATCTCTGTTTTGGTACCAGTACCATGCTGTTTTGGTTACTGTAGCCTTGTAGTATAGTTTGAAGTCAGGTAGCATGATGCCTCCAGCTTTGTTCTTTTGGCTTAGGATTGACTTGGCGATGTGGGCTCTTTTTTGGTTCCATATGAACTTTAAAGTAGTTTTTTCCAATTCTGTGAAGAAAGTCATTGGTAGCTTGAGGGGATGGCATTGAATCTATAAATTACCTTGGGCAGTATGGCCATTTTCACGATATTGATTCTTCCTACCCACGAGCATGGAATGTTCTTCCATTTGTTTGTACCCTTATTTCATTGAGCAGTGGTTTGTAGTTCTCCTTGAAGAGGTCCTTCACGTCCCACCTTATAAGGTGGATTCCTAGGTATTTTATTATCTTTGAAGCAATTGTGAATGGGAGTTCACTCATGATTTGGCTCTCTGTTTGTCTGTTATTGGTGTATAAGAATGTTTGTGATTTTTGCACATTGATTTTGTATCCTGAGAATTTGCTGAAGTTGCTTATCAGCTTAAGGAGATTTTGGGCTGAAACAATGGGGTTTTCTAGATATATAATCATGTCATCTGCAAACAGGGACAATTTGACTTCCTCTTTTCCTAATTGAATACCCTTTATTTCCTTCTCCGGCCTAATTGCCCTGGCCAGAACTTCCAACACTATGTTGAACAGGAGTGGTGAGAGAGGGCATCCCTGTCTTGTGCCAGTTTTCAAAGGGAATGCTTCCAGTTTTTGCCCATTCAGTATGATATTGGCTGTGGGTTTGTCATAGATAGCTCTTATTATTTTGAGATATGTCCCATCAATACCTAATTTATTGAGAGTTTTTAGCATGAAGCGTTGTTGAATTTTGTCAGAGGCCTTTTCTGCATCTATTGAGATAATCATGTGGTTTTTGTCTTTGGTTCTGTTTATATGCTGGATTACATTTCTTGATTTGCATCTGTTGAACCAGCCTTGCATCCCAGGGATGAAGCCCACTTGATCATGGTGGATAAGCTTTTTGATGTGCTGCTGGATTCGGTTTGCCAGTATTTTATTGAGGAATTTTGCATCAATGTTCATCAAGGATATTGGTTTAAAATTCTCTTTTTTTGGTTGTGTCTCTGCCCGGCTTTGGTATCAGGATGATGCTGGCCTCATAAAATGAGTTAGGGAGGATTCCCTCTTTTTCTATTGATTGGAATATTTTCAGAAGGAATGGTACCAGTTCCTCCTTGTACCTCTGGTAGAATTCGGCTGTGAATCCATCTGGTCCTGGACTCTTTTTTGTTGGTAAGCTATTGATTATTGCCACAATTTCAGCTCCTGTTATTGGTCTATTCAGAGATTCAACTTCTTCCTGGTTTAGTCTTGGGAGGGTGTATGTGTCGAGGAATGTATCCATTTCTTCTAGATTTCCTAGTTTATTTGCGTAGAGGTGTTTGTAGTATTCTCTGATGGTAGTTTGTATTTCTGTGGGATCAGTGGTGATATCCCCTTTATCACGTTTTATTGCGTCTATTTGATTCTTCTCTCTTTTTTTCTCTATTAGTCTTGCTAGTGGTCTATCAATTTTGTTGATCCTTTCAAAAAACCCGCTCCTGGATTCATTACTTTTTGAAGGGTTTTTTGTATATCTATTTCCTTCAGTTCTGCTCTGATTTTAGTTATTTCTTGCCTTCTGCTAGCTTTTGAATGTGTTTGCTCTTGCTTTTCTAGTTCTTTTAATTGTGATGTTAGGGTGTCAATTTTGGATCTTTCCTGCTTTCTCTTGTGGGCATTTAGTGCTATAAATTTCCCTCTACACACTGCTTTGAATGTGTCCCAGAGATTCTGGTATGTTGTGTCTTTGTTCTCGTTGGTTTCAAAGAACATCTTTATTTTTGCCTTCATTTCGTTATGTACCCAGTAGTCATTCAGCAGCAGGTTGTTCAGTTTCCATGTAGTTGAGCGGTTTTGAGTGAGTTTCTTAATCCTGAGTTCTAGTTTGATTGCACTGTGGTCTGAGAGACCGTTTGTTATAATTTCTGTTCTTTTACATTTGCTGAGGAGAGCTTTACTTCCAACTATGTGGTCAATTTTGGAATAGGTGTTGTGTGGTGCTGGAAAAAAAATGTATATTCTGTTGATTTGGGGTGGAGAGTTCTGTAGATGTCTATTAGGTCCGCTTGGTGCAGAGCTGAGTTCAATTCCTGGGTATCCTTGTTAACTTTCTGTCTCGTTGATCTGTCTAATGTTGACAGTGGGGTGTTGAAGTCTCCCGTTATTAATGTGTGGGAGTCTAAGTCTCTTTGTAGGTTACTCAGGACTTGCTTTATGAATCTGGGTGCTCCTGTATTGGGTGCATATATATTTAGGATAGTTAGCTCTTCTTGTTGAATTGATCCCTTTACCATTATGTAATGGCCTTCTTTGTCTCTTTTGATCTTTGTTAATTTAAAGTCTGTTTTATCAGAGACTAGGATTGCAACCCCTACCTTTTTTTGTTTTCCATTTGCTTGGTAGATCTTCCTCCATCCTTTTATTTTGAGCCTATGTGTGTCTCTGCATGTGAGATGGGTTTCCTGAATAGAGCACACTGATGGGTCTTGACTCTTTATCCAATTTGCCAGTCTGTGTCTTTTAATTGGAGCATTTAGTCCATTGACATTTAAAGTTAATATTGTTATGTGTGAATTTGATCCTGTCATTATGATGTTAGCTGGTTATTTTGCTCATTAGTTGATGCAGTTTCTTTCGAGTCTCGATGGTCCTTACATTTTGGTGTGATTTTGCAGTGGCTGGTTCCAGTTGTTCCTTTCTATGTAAAGAATTTTCAACCCAGAATTTCATATCCAGCGAAACTAAGCTTCATAAGTGAAGGAGAAATAAAATACTTTACAGACAAGCAAATGCTGGGAGATTTTGTCACCACCAGGCCTGCCCTAAAACAGATCTTGATTTCTAATACCATTTTCCATTTAAAAGAACCAAGACCCTCTGGATAAACAGCTGATTCTAGGACTGGGGCTGCAGCAAACAAGATGAGCCTGAAGCATCTTGACATGCAAGAAATAAGGAAGTGCAAAAACAAACAAACAAACAACAACAACAACAACAACAACAACAACAAAAAACAGTCCCAAAAGGATGGGCAGGTCAAGGAAACACCAGAGCCAACCTAAAAGTGCTCTCAGTGGCCAAACTTGAATTTCCAAATATATGAGGCTCATCAAGTGCCAGTTAAAATGCTGACTTAGACCTAATTCAGCATTATACTCAACTCCAAAGATAAAAGAAAAACTTGTAAGTTTCTTGAGAGAGAGAGATTGAGGCTGAACAAAGGAAAAGGAAAATAATTAGACTGCCACCAGATTTCTCATCTGTAATCCTGGACATTGGAAGATAGAGTTTGAGGAAAGGGATGGTGTCGTTGGAATTTTTTTTTCCTAGCCAAACATTTATAACATTTATTTCAATATTTCAAGATCTATATGCAGACCATCTATCACAGTTGGGTTTTGTGGGGGAGGAGGCAGAGATCAAAATATTCTAACAAATGAAAAATCTTAAAAGGTAACAATACAATATATATGAAACAAGAGTGGATAGAGTTCTGTGACACTTAAGTCAGAAGTCTGAGTAAATTTCGATAGTGTTTGCAAACTATAAAAGTTTTTGTCTTCTGAAAAGATCAGTTAAATTACTTTAACAATGAGATTGTAAATTGGGTTATAAAAAATATCTCATCATTAATGACTACTTAGTTTTATGAAGAAATATCATGTTTATTCTGCACAAATGAAATGAAAGTTCAAGATAACTTTAGTGCTGAGACTGATACAAGACTTCACAATCATTCCTAGCTGTCATTTTAAAATTATTATAGAATACATTAACGTTGTTATTAAAAGTATCTCATTGTTCTTATGTTCTTGCCTTATAATAAGTATATGTTACAAAGCTTAAAATATTTCATACTACTAAAATATTGCTTTTTTATTCATTTTGTATGTAGGGTTTTATTTTTTTTTTAACGAATTGCCTATTAAAAAATGCTTGAAAACTATAGCTACAGACAAATGACTTCGAGTAGGAAAATCACACTAACAGAACGGTAGTTTAGAAAATATAATGCTGGTGGCAGTGAAGCAAATGCCTGGAAGAGGAGGGAAAAATATAAAATATAATACAAGTCATGTAATGTCCTATTATTTTGGTTATTAGACCTATAGGAGGTGAGAATATGCCACCCCAAAATATGCTTCTTTGATATAAGGATTATTTTGAGCTGATAGTTTGGAGAAACTGCAGAAACCAGAGAAGCTCTGAAAACAAGGGTAGAAGTTATCCTTTTGTAAGAGAAATGTATAACTATAAAGGAAATCTTCATTTGTAAGGGAGTCTCTCTCTCAGGACCAGGAAGGGAAGGATGGCTGCAAATCACTGGAGACTTGTCAATAGGGAAGGCACCAATTTCAGTGTTTTTCCTGGTGACCTCTCATTTCTGAGCTTCCCTGGGCCCTTCATTCTTTATTTCCATGGACAGTGGTATTTAAGCCTGAATTCAAAGCTCTCTCATTTCTCTAGGTATTTCTTATGTAAACATGAGATATACATGTTATTAAACTTGTTTGTTTTTCTCTTATTAATCTGTCTTTTGTTAGTGGGGTCCATTTGAATGAAGAACTATGAAAGGTAGAGAGAAAATGATTTTTTCCTTCCCTACAGAACTACAAATTTTTGAGAACTAACTGTGTGCCTGAGATTGCACTAGGTACTTACGTACATTATCCATCTTCTCTCATTCTCACAACCAGCCAACAGGTATTACTGCCTTCATTTTACTGGCCCAGAGTGCTGACGTGACTTGTTGTAAGAGCAGCCGGAATCTGAGCCCTGGGACTAGCCAGTTCCAACATCCATGCTGTCTACTGGGTACAGCATGGAACTGTTTCCCAGCTAGTGCATAACGCTTTACCGTCTGACTTAAAAAAATAGACTGTAATTCTTTCAGGGAAAAAATGTTATTTACTGCATTTGAAGCAACCATAACACGTAATACAAGGAAGCAGTGAGTAATTAACATATATTTGTAGATAGATAAAAGAATAAACAAATATAATCAAATCCTCTGAAATTCCCAAGGTGTTTTGGTTTTTTAGAAGGATACCATGTGATAAACATTAACTGGTTAATGCACATGCTTTCCTAATATATTTTTTTCTCTTTGCTGATTCTGTTTGACATCAGTCAAATTATATTGCAAAATCCACAATAAAGATTTCAGAAGAATTGTCCCTTTCCATTATTCATATAGTGTGCATTACTTTCTTAGTAAACTGGTTTCAAAAACAAGCTTTGGATTTAAATGTTAAAATGTTATCTTAGTTTTTTTTTTTTTTTTTTTTGAAGGTGGTAAAAATGGAAACAGGCACAGCATTTGAATGCAGGAAGCCTTTAAGCCATCTTTCTCTCCTTTGCCCTTGCCTCCCCCTCTCTTCCTGTGAAACATCAGAATAAACGTCCCTTGTTTGAACTAAATCACCCACTGTGCGTAACTGATATCATAAGCACAGACACATATACCTCATAACCAGAGCTCTCACACCTTATCAGAACATTCTCATCTGAAAGGTGAGGATGTTGGAAACCAGGCTTTTTTAATGTGGTGATATCAATTAGGAGCAAGGAGAAAAAATTGCACGGGGCTAGAGGGGAGTGGTTGCTCAGGTTTGTTTAGGCTTCACTTAGCTTTAGTCTATTAAGGTCTAATTCCTTATGTGTTTTACCTGATGGTGAGCAAAGTGGCTTTACATTGTATTTCTTTGTAACACTGACATTTCCTTCGCACCATTTAAAATTAAACCTTTTATTAGTCCATGGATGGCTGAGGCAGGAAACAATAGCAGCTCAGGGAGAATAATTATTTCTGTTTCATTGTGTAGGATGTTTGAGCTCTTGATTAGTTGCATTCTACAGTACTTAACAGCTAACCAATCTTACCATGATTAACAACACGAGAAGTTTGTTGTTGTTGTTGTTGTTGTTTTATACTAGAAATGCTGTTTTATATGTTTCTTGGTGACTTAAATCTTGTTTTAAAAAATACCTCTCATTTTCTGGGGTGTGTTTGAAAACGACCACACCATCAATGGCATGCAGTAGTGAGCAGTGGGCAAGGCAAGAGAGGATCACTATAAAATGGATGTAAAAAGCTGTGGGTTGTCCGGCATTAAGCATTCCCAGTGTGTTTCTAATGAGCTTATGATGGCCTCGCCGGATTACTGTTTCTACTCCAGCCCAGTAAATTACAGTATGCCCAAATTAAATCAATGGGACTCCATAGAAGCCGATCTTCAGCAGGCTCCACATTTGTAAGAATTAAAAAATCACACTTAATCATATTTAATCACGTCCATTGTCTCAAGAGTACTAGGCTTACTTTTCTTCCCAAGTATTTGGGTGCTAGAGATAGATATAGTGACTCTATGCTCAAGAAGCAATTTTACTTCATTTTCTATTTTACCCAAGTGCAATTCTTATTCCACTTCTGGTCATTCCAAACCACTTGCAGTGTGAACACTGAAGATGAATTCCAATTCAATAATCACTATTAAGTAGTAAGATTATCACGATCACATCTGTGTATATACATTAGTTATTAAATATGTGTAGCTTTCACTTTGATTTTAAAGTGTCCCCAAAGCTGGGATTTGGTAAATTACATATCATTAGATAGCAATAACTTATGTGAGTTAGGCTAAAAATGTGCTTTAAAAGCCTTGAGAAGTGACTACAAAAATGTGTCATCTGTGTGAATGAACAGCCATGTTATATGGATAAAATAAAACAGATCACATATATTGGTTTCCAAGAATGAAAAATAAAATGATACTAAGGTTTGAACTGGGAGAAATAAAATTTACAGAAAATGGGATAATTACTACTTTATATAATTCCCCTTAACTATTATGTCAGGCAAGTAATACTTGTAGCACTTCTTGACTGAGAGTTAAAGAAGCATTACAAACATTAACCAGTTCTGAGTCATAGTATCTCTTTTAATAATTATCAATGCTACATAAGCACTTGGTTTTGGCTACAGGAAAGAAAAAAAAAAATGCCCAGAAGAGTATTTAAGTGAAATTGACTTCTAGTTTCCATTTTCTAAAACCAGACTCCATAATCCCTGTCCATTAATATATTAATTGGTTATCATATTACTGGTGGAGGGTTGAATTAGGCTATTTAATTTATAGCAGGAAATAAAATTGCTCTCCCTTTTCCCACAGAATCTAGCCGTCTTCCTGCCCAGCCTCTCCCCACCTGGCTCAAACCGCTTTCTGCTTTTCACAGAGAGCAGCTTAACAACAGGACTTTATACAGTTTTAAATAAATAATCCAGGTTCTCATTCCTAAAATGGAATGCAGCAAAGAGCTGGTTCAGAAGATGGCATCTTGCGTCCTGTGTATGTGAAACATCAGCGTTGATTAGCAGGGACAGGAGACTGGAAAACCATGAAGCACTTTTGAAACCTTGATAAGAAGTGACTCTCCCTGGATGCAGATTTATTGATACTGACAACATTTTTTTTTTCTCAAGTTTTAAAAAAGTGAAAATACCTTGTACATGGAAAAACACAGAAACCAAATGAATAATGAAGAAAACAACAGCTCAGTAGAACTAAATGCCCCAGCTGCTGAAAGAACCTGTGTGTGCGCTTTGGAGTTGAGGGAGATGGGGAGAGGAAAAGAGAGGGAGAGAGAGGAAGAAGGGAAGGGAAGGGAAGCGAGAGGAGGGAGGGGAAAGGGAAGGGGAAGGGGAAGGGCAGCCAGCCAGGCAGACAGACAGGCAAAATATTATCAGCAGAATTTTTAAGAGATAAATATTCTATATGATATTTGAATATTGGCAAAAATCCAGTTCTTGGTTCATCTATTTATTTAAAAGGAAAACCTGTAATATGCAGTTACATTAGCCTGAAACCTGGATCTTTTGGGAAAAATCATCTCACTGTGACTTTATCTATCCATACTGTCCAAGGAAAGATAGTGATGTAAAGGTGAATCCCCTCAAGAAAAAAAAAAAAAAGTAAAAAAAAGTGAAAAAAGAAAGAATGGCAAGAAAACATAGCAATCTTTCCAAACGGCAAAGTCTCTCAAATTTTTTTGTAAGAAAATAGAAAGTTTGTATTAAGCTTTTCCAAATTTACGTGTGGTTAATTCAAAAACTGAGTCACCGAATGGCTGAATTATGAGAAAATCCCTGTCTTGTAATTCAATCTTCCCCAATATCATCAAACACTCCATTTACTGACAGCACAAGGAGCATAGCTGGAAATTACACATAGCATTAGAAGTGAGGAGGCCTCTGATGTTGAATCCAGGGCCGGGAGGCTGTTGGCTTCCATTGCAAAGCTGGGCTCCCAGGAGGACACTTACCTGTGGGTGCAAGATGGCAAAGTGCCTCAGCCAGTCTGCAAATGCTCTTCTGGCTTTCCCTCCATAGCTCCAGCCTCCTTGGATAGGCTTTATGTGCCAAAGGCAAGATTTCCTTCGTTCTTTATGACTGTTCTTTCACAGTAAACAGAACACGCAGATATTCAAGTACATACTTTCACTGGGATAAAACTCCCAAGTTAACCGTGTCCTTGCCCATGCAGAGAACACAGCCATTTGAGGAACTAAGCACTGAGAACACCATGTTTAGTATAATCTATAAAACCAGTCAGGGGAGGGCAAGGTCCACTCAGACACTGCAGAAAGGATGGATGACATCACAGACAGGAGGCACTGACTCAAGTTTGGCCTCAGCCATCTGCATTGTACCGTCCTTGAGAACAAAGATACAGAGGTTTAAAAAAGAAAAACAATGGATATGAGAAATATGATAGAAACAGGCCATTTTCCACTCCCTTCCCTCAACATACATAAAGTTTCCTTTGGAATGTCTGATAGGTACAGACTGAGTCCCCTGCACAAATGGATGTGCACAATCACTACAGATTTGAATGAGGCCCAACACAAATTCATAAACTTCCTTAAAACGTTATGAGATTTTTTGCAATTTTTTTTTTTAGCTCATCAGCTATTGTTAATGTTAGTGTATTTTATGTGTGGCCTAAGACAATTATTCTTCTTCCAATGTGGTCCAGGGAAGCCAAAAGATTGGTCACCCCTGCAGATGATCTGTGGCCTGTCATGGGATATGAGGTTACAAAGGGAGGGAATATACAATGTTTTGAATCTTCAGATGATCATAAATAATATTATTCATCATGATACTGGCAATAATTGAATAGCTAGAATATAAGAACATAGAAATTAGTATTTTTAATAAAAATAAAACCTCAATACAATACAAAGGGCTTATCAGTTGCTACCAAAGAAATGCCCTAAAAGTGATATGAGACTTTTTAAGCTATAATATTTATTAAATAAGTTTTTATTTAACACAATATTGTTATAACCTCAGCTTTAAAGTTTTTGGGAGTTATTTGATCTGAAAAAGTACCTAGGTGAGGTTAGAGACTGTGTCTTAATTAATCCAGTATGCAGAGTACTTAGTAAACTGTTATCCAGATATGAAAGAATAAATAAGCCAATGGACATATGAACAAGAGAGCCGTATGGAGGCCTGCTTTGATCACTCGCTTTGTCTTCATTGAATCCTGAGCTCATTTCCTAGGTCAGCGTTATTCTAGTTAGATGCTAAGCATTCTAGGAGTGTAATGGCCAGCCATGCCTTTATTCTTGGGACCTGAAATATTTGATTCTCTTCACATTTCTTAGTACAATAGACAGCATTTACAAATTCACTTGGGACAGCAACATAGAGGATGCAGAGATCCAGGCACTGCTTGAGAAGGCTGTGTAATACAAGAACGAAGGGCTAAGACTAGATTTTTAGAAAATGGGATATGGAAAAATCCTATGATGCATATTCACCTCATCAGTCAACCTCTCACAACATATGTAAAATACTTTGGGATCAAACTAAGCTTTGAGGGATCTGAGGAACATTACTTTGCCCTCGGGGTTCAGTTCTCTCATCTGTAAAACCTGAGAAAATAAAGGGATTCCTCAGAGGTATTATTGCAGGTTCAGTTCCGGACCACCACGAAATTTTTTTGTTTCCCAGGGTGGAGAAAAGTTAGGCTTACACTATACTGTAGTCTATTAAGTGTGCAATGGCATTGTGTCTAAAAAAAGTACATACCTTAATTGAAACACACTTTATTGCAAATAATGCTAACAATCATCTAAGCCTTCAGGCAGTCATCTTTTTGCTGGTGGAGGGTCTTGTTTCAATGTTGATAGCTGCTGACTGCTCAGGGTGCTGAAGGTTAGAGGGTCTGTAGTAATTGCTTAAAATAAGTAAACAATGAAGTTTACCACATCTATTGACTCTTTGTTTCATGAAAGATTTATTTGTAACATCTGATGCTATTTGATAGAATTTATTTCAAAATTGGTTTCAATCTGTTCAAACCCTGCCACTGTTTATCAACTAAGTTTATGTAGTATTCTAAATCCTTTGGTGTCATTTCAACAATGTTCATAGTGTATTCACCAGTAGATTCTGTCTCAAGAAAACATTTTCTTTGCTTATTAATAAGAAACAAGTCTTCATCCATTAAAGTTTTATTGCAAGACTGTAACAATTTTGTCACATCTTTAGGCTCCACTTCTAGTCCCAGTTCTCTTGCTATTTCCCTAATATTTGCAGTTTCTTGCTCCACTGAAGTCTTAACCTCTCAAAGTCATCCATGAAAATTGGAATCAATGTCTTCCAAACTTCTGTTAATATAGATATTTTTACCTCCCATGAATCATAACTCTTCTTAATGGTGTCTAAAATGGTGACTCCTTTTCAGAAGGTTTTCAATTTACTTTCCCAGAATTCATCAGAGGTATCACACTTTTTTCCAGCTATAACCTTCCAAAATGTATTTTTTAAATAATAAGACTTGAAAGTCAAAATTACTCCTTGATCCATGGGCTGCAGAATGGATGTTGTGTTAACAGGCATGAAAATATTCATCTCCTTGTACTCCCCATTAGAGTTCTTGGATGATCAGATGCATTGTCAATGAACAGTAATAGTGTGAAAGTTGAAAGAAATCTTTTTTCTGAGCAGTAGGTCTCAACAGTGGGCTTAAAATATTCAGTAAACCATGTCTAAACAGATGTGCTGTCATCCAGGATTTGCTGTTTCGTTTATTGAGCACAGGCAGAATAGATTTAGCATCATACTTAATGGCCCTAGAATTTCCAGAATAGTAAATGAGCATTGGCTTCAGCTTAAAGTCAGCAGCTGCATAGTGCCTCACAAGAGAGTCAGCCTGTCCTTTGAAGCTTTGAAGCCAGGTATTGACGTCTCTTCTCCAACCATGAAAGTTTTAGATGACATCTTCTTCCAGTAGAAGGCTGTTTCATCTACATCGAAAATCTGTTGCTTAGGGTAGCCACCTTCATCAGTGATCTTAGCTAGATCTCTCGATAACTTGCTGTAGCTTCTACACCAGCCCTTGCCACTTTACCTTGTATTTGTATGTAATGGGGATGGCTTATTTTCTTAAACCTCATGCACCAACCTATGCTAGCTTCCATCTTTTCTTCTGCAGTTTCTTTAACTCTCTCAGCTTTCATATGATAGAATTGAAGAAAGTTAGGGCCTTGATCTGGATTAGGCTTTGACTTAAGATAATGATGTGACAGGTTTGATTTCTATCCATAACACTCAAACTTTCTCCATATCAGCAATAAACCTGTTTTGCTATTTTGTCATTTGTGTGTTCACTGGAATAGCACTTTCAAATGCCTTCAAGAAGTTTTCGTTTCCATTTACAACTTGGCTGTTTAGTGCAAGACACCTAGCTTTCAGCCTATGTTGGCTTTCAACATGACTTCCTTACTAAGCCTAATCATTTCTAGCTTCTGATTTAAAGTGAGAGATGTGTAAGTCTTTCTTTCACTTGAACACTTAGAGGCCATCTTAGGGTTATCGATTGTCCTAATTTCAAGATCATTGTGTCTCAGGGAATAGGGAGACCTGAGGAGAGGGAGAGAGGTGAGGAAATGGCCAGTGGGTGGAGCAGTCAGAGCACACACACTTACCAGTTAAGTTCACTGTCTTATGTGGATGCGTTCATGACACCATCAAACAATTACAATAGTAAAATCTAAGACCACTGCTGACAGATACTATAACATAGCAGTTCCCAACCTTTTTGGCACTAGGGACCAGTTTTGTGGAAGACAATTTTTTTCACACACTGGGGTGGTGAGGGTGGATGCAGGGTTGTCATCAACCTTCCATTTGAAAGACAAAAAAAGCAGCATTTATGAAGCACAATAAAGCCAAGTGCAATAAACTGAGTTATTCCTGTACTTGTCTCATACTGATGATTAAATAATATAAGATAAAGATATGAAAATATCCTGTTGCCATGCAGAATGTGAGTGGAGTGGCTAGTAAATGTAATTTTCTTGTCTTTCTCATACTAAAATAAAACCTTTATTTAGGAAAAAAAAGAAAAAATCTTGGTTTTCTATTCAGAGCAAAGCTCTGGTACTTCTCAAAAAATTAATTCGGTAAGTGTGATTTTTTTCAAAAACTTACAGGATACCCATATAAATTGATAAATGATAAGAAGGACTCAGTACCACCAGGGGCAATTTAATACTCAATTTCAAAGACAACATGAGTTTGGAACTTTGAAGAAGAGAAACTGGTGATACATAATTTAATCTAGTTCTCAAGTGATTACATTTTAATTTGGGCTGTTTAAACACCACTCGTGAGACTGTAGGGACTTTAAACCACATCACAAATCTCAGAATGAAGCACTTTATTTTTCAGGCAAGTTTATTAAACTGAGGCAGGTGAATGACAAGTGACTAGAGTAATTATGAAAACATTTTTTTCATGATTAAGATGGATGGCAGTCCTCTTGTTTAAACAGTGCAGTTAGAGAAAAACATTATACTTTCTAGAGAGATGTCACTTCTGAAATGTTCCTCCCTCTTCAGATAAGACTAGTTTCTTATTCTGATAGAGCATTTAAGTTTATCATATTATGCATTTTGCTGGTTGAAAACAAAAAGTTTAGACATATGATAAGAAAGGTCTAAGATAACTGCTTTGTAAGGCAACTTCTGAAAAGGAAAAACAAACATGTAATGGTCAATATTGTCCCATTTAAATGTATCTCAGAAACGTTTTGGTTCAATGAATTCAGAATGAGTGATCACAGTGTGATATCGTTTATATAAAAAGTCACAAACACATAATACAAAACTTTTACATTCTATGCACACACACACACACATAACACATATATAAATGCAAGGGAAATAAAGATTTTGAAAGAAACAGATAAAACCCCAGTAACTTTGGAAAGCACCGCAATTTTGCTGTGGGGAAAAGAAAGAGAAGGACTATAGGGAAAGAAAGGCTGGACTCAATTGCGGGGAGGTAAGGGTTTATTACTCAACGGCAGGAATCAGAATAATAGCTTTTCTTGAGTTCTAGGTATAAAACAGAGAAATAGGCCCCCGAAACTAAAAATTCCAGGCAAGGGAGTTGTTAAGATTTCATTACAGAAATTAAAATCCTGTATGAAATTAGAAAAAACAATCAGTTTTGCACTGTGTGCCTATAATTTAGTTAGAATAATGAGATTACTTACATTACAAAATACGAACAGTTTAATGAGCTAATAGTTTCTGATAGAGAAGAATATCAGGAGAGTAGTATTGAAACAGGAAAAGTTCCCTTATCCCCCTCACAGGGTATGTGACGGGGGTATGGCTCTCTTCTTCAGTGCCCCGCTTCTCAAACCTCTAGAGGAAGCATGCAGGCAGGCATGTTGTGGGGCTCCGACCCCACTGCAGCATCTATGGGTGAATGTTTGCAACTCCTGAAGCCCCAGTGTGTGTGTGTTACAGGGTGCTCTTTCAGTTTTGCCATCTGTAGGCAGCTTGTGTTAACCAGCTCAGTTAGACCCTCAACTTTATCTCAAGGACAGAGGGCTTTCTGTATCCTGGGTTCTTGCCTTGGTGTACTGTAATAATTGGATACACATGGGCTTGGAGAATGAGTGCAAGGTTTTATTGAATGGAAGTAGCTCTCAGCAGATGGATGGGGAGCCAGAAGGGAGGTGAGGTGGGAAGGTGGTTTTCCTCCGGTATTGGGCAGCTCAGCTGCCGGGCTCTCCTTTGACTGGCCCAGCCAAACTCCACATTGTTCTGCTGGTTGATGGCCTGCTGGCATCTGCTAGTACCTGTTGGTGTGCTCTTACGCCGGTGCGTTCCTCTCGCAGTCCAGCTGGTTGTGTGCATGCCCGCTAGGGTCTCAAGGTTTTTACAGGCACAAGATGTGGGTGTGGTGGGCTAGAGTGATCTTGTGAAATGCAACATTTGGGCACGAAAACAGAAATGCCTGTCCTCACCTAGGTCTGTGGGCACAGGTCCAGGGGTGGAGCCCTCCCCAGGAACCATGTCTTTCCCTTCCCAGCATTTCCCTGCCCAACTCCCATATCAGTATATACAAACTACTGATGAGTTTCTGACAAAGATTGTTTTTCTAATCTGTAATAAAATAATAACAATTTGGGCAATGTAGTGAGTTTTTCATAAATTTACTTATTTTCTCAAAGGGCTATTCTTTATTCTCAGAATACATTCTTTCTATTTTGGGTGTGTTACAAAAGCTGTTTCTTTGATAAAATTGATGGCAAGTGAAAATGGTAATCTATTTTTTTCTAATGTCCTTGCTTGGTAAAATAGAAATTGAACACATTTTATTACACATATATTTTATCTTTTGAAGTGTTAGCAGTTGTTTCAATTCAAGAATCTAAGAACGCTGTTAAAAAGTATAGAAGAAATAGATTGTTTCTAAAGATAATTTTTTTGTTTTTGTTGAGATTTTCTATATACTTTTGTTTTCTATTTTATCATTCTCTGTTATTATTGCTATTATTTATCTTCTTCAACTTTGTTGAATTTTCTCTCTTTAACTTCTTGAAATGAATGCTTAGCTTCATGATTTTCAGCCTTTATTCTAACAGATTTAGGTCTATATACTTTCCTTTAGAAAAGCTTTAGCTGCCTCCCACATGATATGATGTTTTGTACTTTGTTATTTTTTTCAAAATATATTCTAAACTTTGCTTTCATAATTTCTGTCACTTGTAAACTAGAAGAGTGTTAATTAATTCCTAAACATTTGGGAATTAGTGGAACAGAATGTGATTAATTATGGCAAATGTCCCATTTGTTCTTGAAAAGAAAGGGATTTCCTCTTTATATAGCAGTGGGGTAAGAGTGAAGAATCATGTTTAGATCTTCTACATCATTGCTGATGTTGTCAATCTGCTCATTTTCTGTTTTTAGCTTTTATTTTAGGTACAGGCAGGGGTACATGTGCAGGTTTCTTACATAGGTAAATTGCATGTCACACGGGTTTGTTGTACAAATAATTTCATCACTCAGGTAATAAGCATATTAACTGACGGATATTTTTTCTGATCCTCTTCCTCCACCCACCCTCCCCCTCTCCACCCTCAAGGAGGCCTCAGTGTCTGTTATTCTCCTCCTAGTATCCATGTGTTCTCATTATTTAACTTTCACTTGTAAGTGAGTGCATGCATTATTTAGTTTTCTGTTCCTGTTGTTAGTTGGCTTAGGATAACGGCCTCTAGCTTTATCCATATTGCTGCAAAGGACATAATATCCTTCTTTTTCATGACTGTGTAATATTCCATGGTGTATATGTACCACATTTTCTTTATCCCATCTACCATTGATGGGCATTTAAGTCAATTCCATGTCTTTGCTATTACAAATACAGCTGCAATGAACATATGCACACCTGTGTTTTTATGGTAGAATAACTTACATTCCTTTAAGTGCATACCCCAAAATAGGATTGCTAGGTTGAATGGTAATTCTGTTTTAAGTTCTTTGAGAAATCACTAAACTGCTTCCCACAATGGCTGAAATAATTTGCACTCCCACCAACAGTGTATGAGCATTCCCTTTTCTCCACAACCTCACCAGCATCTGTTATTTTTTTTGACATTTTAATAATAGCCATTCTGACTGGCATGAGACATCAATTGTGGTTTTGATTTGCATTTCTCTAATGATTAGTGATGTTGAGCATTTTTTCATAAGCTTATTGGTCACATGTATGTCTTCTTTTGTAAAATGTATGGTCATGTCATTTGCTCACTTTTTAGTGGAGTTGTTTATTTTGTGCTTGTAAATTTGTTGAAGTTCCTTCTAGATTCTGAATATTAGACCTTTATCGGATGCATAGTTTGCATATATTTTTCCCATTCTGTAGGTTGTCTCTTTACTCTGTTGATAGCTTCTCTTGTTGTTCACAGGCTCTTTAATTTAATTAGATCCTATTTGTCAATTTTTGTTTTTGTTGCAGTGGCTTTTGGCATTTCCATCATGAAATCTTTGCAAAGGTCCAAGTCCAGAATGGCATGGATTATTTTCCAAAGTTTTTATTGTTTTAGGTTTTATATTTAAGTCTTTAATCCATCTTGAGTTGATTTTTGTATGTGGTGTACAGTAGACATCTAGTTTCATTCTTCTGCATATGGCTAGCCAGTTATCCCAGTACCATTTATTGAATGAGTTCTTTCCCTATTCCTTGTTTTTGTCAGCTTTGTCAAAGATCAGATGGTTGTAGACGTTCGGCATTATTTCTGGGCTCCCTATTCTGTCCCATTGTTCTATGTGTCTGTTCATGTACCAGTATCATGCCATTTTGGTTACTGTATTGCTAAGAGACATGAGTTACAGTCTTTCTCTTTTTTGGATTTCTCTATTTCTCCCCTTAGTTTCAGCAGTTTGGGGCTTATGCTTCTTGGGATTATATTATTAGATTTATAAAAATTCAGAATTGTACTTCCTAGTGGATCGATATTTTATCACTTTGAAAGCCTCCTTTTTGTCTCTAGCAATGATGCTAGCCTATCTACTTTGTATGCTTAGTATAGTTCTACTAGCTTGCTTAGAGTAAACATTACCTCAGGGTATCCTTTTAAGGTGTGTCTCTAGAAGGCAACATATATTTGGATTTGTTTTTTAACCACCATAGCCGTATCTATCTTTTAATTAGAGTATTAAACATATTGACATTTGATATATTTAATGAAATATTTTTGTTGAAATCTACGTCTTCCTACTTAATTTCTAGTTTTCCATATCTTCTTGATTCTTTTTTCCCTTCTTCTTTGTCTTCTTTTAGAAATATCAAGACTCCTTTGTTCTTATTTTCTCCTGTATTTACTCTTGGTTATATGTTCTTTTACTTTTTACTTTAGTGGTTATCCTGAAGATCGGAACATTCATTCGTGACTTATTATAGATTACTATAAATTAGTACTTTCCCAACATCCCAGATAATGAAAAAGCTTTCACTATTTTATGTCAGTTTACCTTCTCAAATCTTTTGTGCTGTTGTTTTTATGTAATTTATTGCACCTTATTTCAGCCTTAGTTTGGTTTCCCCACAAAACAGTTTCTGAGGCAAGAATTAGAGTTCAGAGAATTTATTTGGAAAGTAATCCCAGAAAGAATGTCATCAAAGAGAAATTGAAGAAAAGCCAGTAAAGAATATTTTAATGACCAGGTCACAGGTTTGAGTTAGTGTTAGAGGTTGTAGTATGTTAAGTGGTGACCCCCAAGAAGATATGTCCATGTTCTTACCCCAAGAGCCTGTGAATGTCACCTTAGTGGGAAATAAGGTCTTTGCAAATATAATTAATTTAATAATCTTGAGATAAGGAGATTATCGTGGATTAGGGTGTACCCTAAATCTAATGACAAGTCCTTTAAGACGTAGGAGAAAACACAGACACTGAAGAGGAAAAGGCCATGTGAAGATGGAGGCAGAGATTGGAATGATGAAACCTCAAGGCAAGGAACATCTGAAGATACCAAAAGCTAGAGAAGGCAAGGCATAATTCTTTCATGAACATTCACAGGGAGCTTGACTATGTTGACACCCTTATTTCAAACCTCCAACTTCCATCCACAACTATGAGACAATATATTTTTATTGTTTTAATCCAACAAGTTCATAGTAATTTGTTACAGCATTCCTAGAAAACTAATTCAGGATCTCTCTGTGAAACACATCACAGAATCTTTCCACAAACTGCTGAGGAGGCTGGGGGATTTATCCACTGACTTACATTTTATGCCATTGAGGTTTGCCCCAGGGCATTATGTTCCTGAACTTCTGGACAGATCTGTGTATAGTCACTCAAACTGAACTTCACTGATGCTAAAGAGAGGATCCAAGCAGGGAAGAGAAAAGGGCACGGGAGGTAGAAAGGTTGTTATTGTGAGGAATTGTCAACATCTTCATGGGAAGTCAGGTAGTCCATGGGCTCTCAGATGGGATATCAACATTATCTATTGCATATATTTTATGTTTTATAAGACATTAGTATCATTGTTTTATACAACTGGTACTCATTTAAATTTATAATATTTAATTTGTTTCATTAATTTGCATTTCTTCTTGCTTTTCTGTGATTCTAACTGGGATGATTTTTCTTCTTTGTAAAAAGAGTCTATCATATATTTTAGTCTATCAGGTGGCAAAAAGTTCTCTCAGTTTTTGTTTGTGTGAAAATGTGTTTATTTTATTTTATCTTTTTTTTAATTGAAGACTATCTTGGCTGGGTATAGATTTTGGGGTTGGCAGTTATTTTCTTTCACCACGTTTATGATGACATTTTATTTTCCTCTGGCTTTCATCCTTTGTTTGAAACGTTAGTTGGCAGTCTTATTTTTGCTCCTTTTAACAGTTTTCTTCTGGATGCTTTTAAGTCTGGTTGCTTGTGTTTGGTTTTCAGCATTTTATAAATGTTTCGGTATGTTTTCCTTTATCCTACTTGAGTTTCATAATACTTCTTGAATTTGTAGTTTGATATCTTCAGTTTTGGAAAGTTGTCAGCTAGTATTTCTTTAGTTATTGCTTATACTTCATTCTTCTCTCTATTTGGAATTCTACTTATTCATGTATTACAGTTTGTCTCTGTATCTCATGTGGTTTTGATTTTCTTTTTCATATATTTATTATTTTCTTTTGCTATGCTTATGTATGGATATTTTCCGCTCATCTGTCTCCCAGTTCACAAACTCTGTGCCTATTCTGCTGTTTAAACTATTTGTTACATTCTTAATTTCAATTAGCAAATTTTTCAGTACTAAAATAAGCATTTGATACTTTTTTAAAAGAATTAATTCCAGTTTTTTGGTAAAATTCAGATGAAAAAGTGCAATATTTTACCAGAGAATGGTAGTCTATGAAACTGTTATGTTCAAGTCTGTTTCTGCTATTTCCAACATCCAGATTATGTGTCAATCTGTTTCTGTTGTTCATTTTTCCTTTTTATTTTCAGTCTTTTGGTCTTGACACTGTGTGAAGCTCAGATTAGACTATCTTCTTCCAGAGAGAATTTGCTTTTCTTCTTGTAATCAGTGAAAATAAATGCTGATCTCTTTAATCAATTCAAAGTTTCTAGTCCTGGTGAGGCTGCTGTAGAACCAGTGCTCCAACTCCTAAGGTGTAGCCTTTCAGAGAATTAGCTGGAATCTGGGGTATTTACCTTCTCAGTGGCCTCTGATTCCCCATTTCCTTTCCTCTTCATCTAATTGCTAAATTTTAAAACTACCTTTCTGCTGGTCTTTTCAGCTTTTTTCTTGATGCAGTTCAGGAATTGGAAACCCCCTCAAGGGAAAGGAAGCAGGGAATATAGGACTGACTTTAAACACCTTCTTCTTCTTTCTTCTTCTTCTTCTTCTCCTTCTCCTTCTTCTTCTTCTTCTTTCTGGAATCTTGGCTCCTTAAAACCTTGTTGCATAAAATTCTTCTTCTTCTATTCCTATCACAGCTATTTGCTTGTTTGTGTTTTTCCAGGTTTATTTTCCTCTTTTAGTTGCTGTCTTACAGCAGAGGCCAGATTATAGTTTTAAGATAGAAATCCTAATTTATTGTATGATTGTAGTGAATAATACCAGCAGTAAATGTGAAGACATTTTTTCTTTGAGAGTCTCTGGAGGTTTTGTTTCCCCATAACCATTAATACTATAAGTGCAAATGTCATACTTTTATGAAGGTAGAAATAATACAGGAGGAAAAGGTCTAAAGATCTCAAGAGATTATTGTTATATAATCCACTCCTTTTCTTACCTCCCAAAGCACCTCAGGTGATTATCCCTTTTAATTAATTAATTAATTCAATTAAAGCTAAAATTTTTAAACAAATATTAATTTCTTGTCACGATGTGCCCAGAACCATTCTAAGCACTAGGAGCTGATGAACGGGGAAAGTGATATTGAGTGGGTAGGTTAGGAGCAGAAGATAATAGTCTCCTGGACAGAAAAAAATAGCAAGTATACAAAATCAGAAAACAAATAAAAATGAATTATATCACACTGATTATAAGTGTGGAAGGAATAATGATATAATAAAGATTCACAGGGCAAGAGACACTATCTAATGAGGTATTATAGCTGTTATTGTGATAAAGTTATTTGCTTATTTGCAACCAAAATTTCTGCTAAGATGAGTTAGTCTCATATCTTTCATGATCTCCTCAGGGTAAAAGTGTTCATTTATTCAATGTGCTTATTCTTATAATATGTCATTAATCACCATGACAAGTCCCAGAATGAGAAATTGTACATAAATATCCACACAAAGAATATTCCAGTCAATGAATAAGCTCTAGGAACAAATTCTCTCTTTATGAGGTTACCAATCACAAACAAATAACAGATTAGGGGCACTTCATGTTATAATCATTTGTATTTTTATGTAAATAAAAATAAAATGATTTTTAAAATAATTTTCGCAAGAAAACTGGACAATTTCTTGTTGTGATGTTCTAGTTTTGTTGTTTTGCCAAAGGTGTTACAGAACTCAATTATCCTAAGTCATTTTTAAGATTGTATGCTTTTATTTTCATATTTATTTATGATTTTACTCTGAGGCAAACCAGCAGTAATAATATATCATGAAATGCTTTCTTTTTAAATAACAGTAAGATCATGGATCATGGAATTGAAAGAGTAGTAATAAAGCCATTATTTTACATATAAAATCTCAGTTTTTCTGAAGTATAACTAGGTAGAAAAGCACTGTTAAGTATCATTTTACAATGTCTGCATTGACACAGCATTATGCAAAATGCTATAGCAAAAAAGTAAGATAAAATCTCTTTATATATCAATATGTGTACATATAAACACACACACATTACAAAAAATACCAAAATGCTTTGAGAACCATAATAAAATATACTGAGTACTGTTTTAAAAACTAGTTGATGCAAGTAGCAATCCATTTATAAAATACAATCGGAGAAACAAAAAAGAAATGATAGCAGCAGCAAAATGCTGAAATACCAAAGAGAAGCTTAACAAGAAATGAGCATCATCCATAAGAAGAAAACTTTAAAATTATGAAAGACACAAAAGAAGATTTAAACAAATGGAAAGTTCTGCTTTAGCCTTGAATAGAAAAACCCAACATCACCAAAAAGGAGCAAAAGGAAAAATAAAACCAACAATAAAATGAAATCAGTTCTCTCAATATTAATATTATTAATTAGCTGGTAAAATATAAATAATAATTCTAGAAAAATAATGAATAGGACTACCTTTGTAAATTGTTAAACCACATTATAAAGCTAACAATATAAAAACAGAATGGTATGTATTTATAACTAGATAAAGCAGAATACAAAATTCAGAAATCCATCTAAATCCATGAGGCATTTTTTTTCATTTGATAAAGAAAGCATTTCAATGAAGTAAGAAAGTATGGATTAATAAGTAAATTAAACTGGGCCTATCAGCTAGTCATTTGGAAAAAATAAACAAATTTGAATTCCTACTTAATACACAATAAATTCCATATGGGTCAAAGAATTACAGGTGAAAAACCAACCATAAAGTGTTATGGGAAAACAAAACAAAGCAACAAAACATGTACCGTTCTTTTATAATCTCAGAATGAGAAAGGCCATTGAAGTATTGCACAAAATTTCAGAAGCCTCAGACTAGTATATTGATAAATTCAACTATACTAGAATATAATATTTCTGCTTGAAAGAAAAAAAGCAAGCAAATTCAAGAAAAGGGATAAATGGGGAAACATTTGCTCATATCATAGTGTATCGATTTCCCTAATATGTAAATACATATACCAAATTAATAAGAAAATATCTATAAACATTATGAAATTTGTGAAGTATATGATAAGACAGTTCACAGAAAATGAAAAGTAAATATTTGGCTCTTAAATATGTTAAACATATGAAAAGACACCATACATTTCATCAATAAGGGAAATGCTAAATTAAAATTATGAGATGATATAGTTTTTCCCTAAATATTTGGCAACTATCAGTTTGATTACACAAAGTCATTTTCATACTTCTTAATAAAAGTATGAATTGGTACCTCTTTATGGAAGGCAATTTAGCACTAGTTAGAAAAATGTTTTAAAAATATCCTTGTTTTTTGCCCTTATTCATATTCCTCAATAGAGAATACATCCTACATAAGTATCCACACATATGTAAAATGGCCTATGTGTAATATTAGTCATGGAATTGTCTTTTAATATTGCAAAAACTTTGAAGAAAATATATTTTCATCATTAAGGGAATGGTTAAGAATGTTATGTCACATTTATATAATAAATGTCATTATTAAAAAGAATTAGGCAGAACTTGATGTGTTTTAAGACACTGAAGATCTTTAAGATATATTTATTAAGGAAGGAAATAAGACGATAACTACATTTATGACAAACTACCTTTTATGAGCTGAATTATGTTTCCCCCAAATTAGTATGTTAAAGTCCTAAACCCCAGTACATTAGAATGTGACTGGATTTGAAAATACAGCCTTTGAAGAGATAATTAAGGTAACATGAAGTCATATGAGTGTACCCTAATCCATTATGACTGGTGTCCTTACAAGAAGAGTAAATTCAGATGTAGACTATTCACACAAACAAAGGGGTAACCATGTGAGGTGCAAAGGCAGTATTCTGCAAGCCGAGGGGAGAAGCCTCAGAGAAGCCAAATACGCCTACACGTTGATCTTTGACTTCTAACCTCCAGAACTATAAGAAAATAGACTTCTGTCTTGTAAGTCACCCAGTCTGTGGTATTTTGTTACAACAGCTCTAGCAGACTAATATACTACCATTTGTGTAAAAATTATATATATATATATATATATATGTATGTATGTATTTGCGGTATGTGTATAGAAAATCTCTTGCAGAGTAGATAAACTGGTTGCAATACTTCCTCTGGGGAAAATAACTTTTCATCAACTGTGTTGATGGAAATGTGGGAAACAGACTTCTGGAAAAAGGAATATCCTGGGAACAAGAAGAAGGGTTTGAATAGCAGCCTCCATCCATTACCATATTACCTGGATAAAAGTTGCCTAGCCACACAGGGTCTCAGCTAAGGGGGTAAAGTATGAGCACTGAATGACTTCTCGGTATCTTCACATGAAAATACAATGAGTATTATATTGTTTGAAAAGTTTTTATCTGCACAGGAAAAGAATGACAACCAAGGAATTGTAAATATGTGAACATTCATTTTCTAACCAAAGGATTAGTCTTGTGTCATAAAGACCAAAGTTCAGAAGAAACTAATGATAACAGCATGTTTTTAGTTCTGTCCTGAGCAAGGAAAAAATGAAGAAGTAATCCTATTGATTATGGGAAGGTGGCATAAAGTTAGAAAACAAGAAAGAGAGAAAATAGGAATCTCCTATTTTATTTCTGTTCTCCCTGTCAAAGAGAATGATCTTCACACTGGAAAGTCTAGGAAATATATTGGGTATGGGAAATTGAAACTGAAAGATAAGTGAAGAGATTGTAAGAGAGCACCCAGCTACTCAAAATGAATCCAATTTTCTGGAGCCAGATGAATTGTTCTAAGATACTGAGAGAACTTTTTAGCTGAGAGCACTTGGCTACCATCATTAATTGTTAAGGGGATGTAAAAGAAGAATAAATGTTATCCTGGTTTCAAAAAGTTTCAGAAGGTGCCTTTCACAAACCATAGATGTGGGGTCTTTTACTTTTTATTCTTGTATTTCTTGGGCTTGATATGTTGTAAAAGAATTAAGATAATTCTCTAGAGCAAATGTTTAATCTGTTGAGATGTGAGCTTGTGGAAAGGAAATGAGCAATCACTAGGAACCATATTGGATTTAGAGGGACTAGGTCATGGGGGACCAACTACAGAGCTGGTCTCTCACTCTTCTTTGTTCCTGTGGGTCACTTTCCCCATATCTCTGTCATGGCTCTTGTGTCATGAGGGAGGTCTTTACTTACATATGGTGTTTCTTTCAATGGACTGTGAGCTCCTCAGGATTTGGAGGACACTCTATTTTAGAGTCTGAGCCTGTAACATTCCGTTTATTTTTATAGCACTAGAAAACTGCAGGTTTGGGTGCAATATCAACTACAGTCAGAGTTAGGGTACACGTGTGGCATTTGACAAAATTGTTAATTATGCACAATGGAGAAAAGCTCTACAATTAGGACTTGTAGATTGTTAAGTTGCATTAGCCAAGGAGCAGAGGCTAATGGATGTTAATGAGAGGAAGATCTCTATTTAGCTCATATAAAGTCTTATCTTCATCTCTGCCTTTTTTGAAATTGCAGAGGTCCTTGTCTATGGCCCTACCATCTTGAATGTGCCCAATCTTATCTGAAATTGTAGAGTTCCTAGATACACTCAGAAAGCTTACGAATCACATAATATTGACCGAGCACTGTGCCAAGCTTGTGTCACGGTTAAAACAGTGGACGAGGAGGGGCTCAGTCTTCACTATGGGAGCATGTGAAGCCTGACAGAAACAACAGATAAATATTTTTAAATGAAACAGAAGAAATGTCAGTGGCTGCTCCATAATCTCCCCATAGGATGAGTTTAGTGTTGGTAATCTTATTGAAATTTGCCTGTAAGGCTTGTGTTTAAGTTGCATTTCTATAGCAAAGAGACTAATTTTATTTAGCTATTTGTTTATTTGGGGGCCTTTAGAGTGAGGGATGCTCTGGAAAATTTGGGGAACACAGGTTGATCTGAAGCTTGTTGACAGTGAGTTTTACGACAGAGAAAGTACAGATTGCACTGGGGTTACCTAGTGGAGGTATCTAACCTAGGTCTACATCCAACAGACATATGACCTAATTTAGTGGAACTGATGTCATACCTAAGCCATGAAGATGAATAAGAGGGAGAAACGGGGTAAAAACAAGTGTTGCAGGTGGAAGGAAAAGTACCTGCCAACTTCTAGAGGAAGGATCATGGGCCCTTAGAAGATCTAGAAATTTACTCCAACTAGAACACAGATTGAGAATGGAGGGAGTGTGACATGATGGCCCTGTAAAGAATTACCATAAGAAGCCTTGTCATTGCAAAGGTACAATCTGTACTTAATCCTCTGAGTAGTGGAAGCAAATATAGGTTTTTAATGCTGGAGTATAACAATCAGTTTCTGTTTTTAGTAAGACTTCTTGATATGGAGAACACATTGGATGGGCTACACATGGAGGGAGGATGACTACTTAGAAAGCTGTCACAGTGGCAGGAGATTTTGACAGGGAATAGAGCAAGGGAGGAGGGACCTGTGAAATAGTTACATGGTCATATTGATAGAAATCTGGGATCTGTTGCATGGGAACATGAAAAAGGGGAAGAGTCTTTTGAAATTTCTAAGTCTACAGCATGGATTCCTGTATGGAGAGTGATGCCACTTACTTGAGGTAGAACATGGGAGGAAAATCATGTATGGATTTTGGGGGGTAGATTAGGAATTCGGTGTGATAGGTGATGCACAGGAGAGAGGCAGTAATGGAGATGCATATAACGAAATCTACTCTATATAGATTAGTCATTTTTCTTTTTCATGCCTGCCTTTAAGAACTTGATTGTTGTTATGGTACGAAATGAACATACACACGACAATGTTTGTGAACCCCTTGGTTAGCCTTTTTGGATTCTAGATGAAGTATCACTATAGGGGGATGAATAGAGTCACCTAGAGAGTCTGTGTAGATTGAGAATAGGAGAAGGCATAGTATGGGACCCTGAAAAATAATAGCAATGGGCAGAGAATAATGACCCTGTAAGATAACTAAGGAAGAGAATTCAGAGGGTTCAAAGGAAAACAAGTGGAGATTATGTCACGAAAACTAAGTGAAAAAACATGTGAAGCATGTGGAACTTCTTAACAGTGTAAAATATGAGAGGGGTGGGCAAATACGCTGAATGAACAAATGAGGGCATACACATATTTCAAGCAGCTTGAATGATACAATAAATCCACCAAGAAGAAATTTAGTATTATTAAATGTAAAGGCCTATCCTGGGTCCAAATAGTTAACTGAAAAAATGATATGATAGAAACATTTTTATTTAACCAAAATACATGAAAGACATTAGGGTTAATGTGGATCATTAGAGTAATTTTCGTCTACAATAATGGACATAGAATAGGAAAAATAAGTTATAGTCTCAATCCTAGGCCTGAGTAGCTTTTAGTAGTTTAAGATTTGCCTTTGTAGTCTCAAAAAAAAAAAAAAAAGACTTGCCTTTGTAAAACAGATAGGTTAGAAAATATTTGTGTCTTAGAAAATATAAATTGAACCAATATTGATTCAGTAATAATAATAATAATAAGTTGATTCAGTAATTCAGAGAATTCCTGGAAATTACTTATACCTAGAAATGACTGCTTCTTAAATTGGTATGTTCCTCAATAATGTAGAAGAAGTTCCAGCAGAGGTTACATGGTAGAACGTCCACAATATTAAAAGACTAATCAGGCAGCAATTTGAGATTGGAGCTGGATAACCATTAAGTTTTATATTATTTTTTCTAATCGATGATTTGAAGATTTCTGGAAAAAATTAAAATATAAGCATTATTAAATCTAGAGAAAACTATAAATGTTCTCTCAGTCAACCTATGGTTCTATAATTGTGTTATCTAGGTTTAATCTTTCCTATACTGTAATTGTTTTACAACCCCGACAAACTTTAAACACAAAGTTCTATTATAGTCATTCAAATGTTTAAAATAATGATGGATAGATAGACAGATGGGTAGAAAATAGATAGATATAGATATATAGATACTGATATATATTTTAACTCTCTGGATATAATAAAATAAAATGAAATATATCTGCTAAAGCAATGTTGATGCAAAAATAAATAATGAATATATTAAGTTGTTACCACAATATACAGCACCAGAAAGGTACTTATAAAATTAACATTTAAAAATAAAAACCTTCCTATTTCCAGAATTATGTAATACAAATGACTTTCATCAAACTTTCAATACTTTAAGTTGATCATTGTCTTGAAAATCTAAAGGAAAATAGACACAAAAATTGTAACTAATGAGGAAAAAACTTCTCTTTGAAAGCCTATGCAAACAATGCATTATGAATAATAATAAAACTAAGAACTTTTCCTGCATTCCAGGCAATTTTATAACATTGAAAAGGAATAGCTTAAAAATGAAAAGAAGCAAATTCTTAATCAAAATTTGTACAAACTGATCTGTATCTTATATGTGCTGTTATTCACACATAGTGTAGAAAAAAAAACTTTGGTCTTGTCCAGCTGCTGGAGAAAGGAAGGTTGTGCCTATATTGAAACCTGGCTCAGATCATCTGCCCACAAGAGTTGATTCCAGCCAGCCTTATGGCTTTGCCAAGAAATAGGGAGAAAAAGATGCTTACGATGACTTATTCAATGCAGCAAAGAGAAAGAAAAGCTGTATGTTTTCTATGGCCCTGTGTAATTCAGGTCCAAAATGATTCATTCCTCTTGAGCAAGGATAAGCTTAAAAAATTAGCGCATTTTCCTCTACTTCAGACTTTAGTGTCCACATCAGCAAAACTGAACAAAGAGCTCACTTTGAAAGAAACCTTACAGCAGACAGCAAAACCTGACCACAAAAAGACCCATTTGTGAAGAGATTATCACCAAGGCAGCTTGTGGTTAGATACCTTACGATTTGAGACAAAATAGGTTCCCAGGAGTCATGGTTCTTTAGGAGAAAATAGATTCACAGGAGTCATGTTATTATTATTATTATTATCTTTATTGTGGTTTTGTTTTGTTTTGTTTTTGAGATGGAGTCTCGCTCTGTTGCCCAGGCTGGAGTGCAATGGCACAATCTTGGCTTACTGCAACCTCCGCCTCCCAGGTTCAAGCAATTCTCCTGCTTCAGCCTCCTGAGTAGCTGGGATTACAGATGTGCACCACCACACCTGGCTAATTTTTGTATTTTTAGTAGAAACAAGGTTTCACCATGTTGGCCAGGCTGGTCTCGAACTCCCAACCTCGGGTAATCTGCCCGCCTCAGCTTCTCAAAGTGCTGGGATTACAGGCATGAGCCACTGCCCCCAGCGCATGTTTCTTTTAAACACATTTTTTTTAAACTTCGACTGCATGAAAATTGGTATTCAATTTCAACAAAATGTGTGTACAGAACATCTTCAAAAACTCATTTACATGTAAGCAAGTGGTTAAATATAAATATTACTAACCATGATTAACCTCATGATTGCCAAAAACATTACTGACATATTATATATACAAAACATTGACTATATCTAGCACACAGAACATGGTCTCTAATACCATCCCTACTAAAAGGAATCAAGGCTCCACAGAGCAATGACTTATTCCAGGGCTAAGGCACAGAACATCTTTTGATATCAGAATGTAAAGAGGTGCTTTAAAAATGATAGGTGCATATCACAAAGACATAGGAGCCAGGCTGAAAGGGTTCCCATTGGCCAAATCCAGGACAACTTGAGCACCAAAATAATTAGGAAAAGTAAGAAATTTTAAGCCATTGAAATAAAGTACAATCTATTAGTTTGCAGCATAAGAAATAAATGATAGATGGTTACATGATGGATATGAACATGTATACATACATGTATACATATGAAGGAGTGTCAAATATTGAACAGGGGAGGAATGGTGGAGTTGAAAAAAAATCACGATTTTGCAACCATCCAAATAAAGATTAGAATATTGGATCAAGTAAGAGTCATCAATGGATAATCAATCTAGAAAGAAATTTACATGAGAAACAGGATATTTAAATGGCCATAAAGATTCTTCCCACAGATTACTCATTGGTAACAATACCATGCAGAAATTGGACAAAGTATTGACCAGGCAATCAACATTAGTGCCACCAATGAGGGGGAAGATGGACACCATACACTTCCAGATGTGACATCCTGAGAAAGGCATGTCACTTATTTATTATTCCAGCCATCACCATGAGAAAACATCCAACAAAATCAAAATGAGAAGTCCTCTGTTTAAAAGGAAAGACATTCTTCAAACAATTTTAATGTCAAAAAGACAGTGAAAATGTTTAAGATTCTAAATACAACTTATCATAAAGTGAACTCTGTAATGAAGGAAAAACATACCGTAAATATATTGTGAGGTCAATGGGCAAAATTGGAGTGCAAAGATTAGATTACACAAAAGTATTCTATCAAATTGATAATCCTATAGCAATTATGTAATAGAATACGCCTACTCTTAAGAAATATGCATTGAAATCTTTAAGGGTAAAGAATCTTATTTTAATCATCTTAATCTCACATGATTCTGAAAATAAACCCAGAAAATACACACACACACACACACACACAATAAAAAAATAAAGAAAGAAAGAAAGAAGAAAGAAGAAAGAAAGAAAGAAAGAAAGAAAGAAAGAAAGAAAGAAAGAAAGAAAGAAAATGGAAATAGGTTGTTAAGAATATTTTGGGTAAAAGTTGAACTTGTGTAAGTTGAGTAAAAGGTATATTTTTATTTGAGAAAAAGGTATATGGGCAATCTTTGTACTGTTGATATTTTTGCATTTTTGTGCTACTCTTACTTTTCACAAATTTTATATGTATATAATTATTTTCAAATAAAATGTATTTTTAAAAGCTCTATGAAGCTGGACATGGTGGCTCATACCTGTAATCCCAGTACTTTGGTAGGCTGAGGTGGGAGGATCACTTGAAGCTGGGAGTTTGAGACCAACCTGGGAAACATAGCAAGACCCCACTTCTGCAAAAAAAAATTTTAAAAATTAGTTGTGTGTGATGACACACACATGTAGTCCCAGCTTCTCAGGAGGCTGAGGCAGGAAGACCCGTTGGCCCCAGGAGTTTCAGGCTGCAGTAAGTTATAATTATTTCACTGCACTCCAGCCTAGGTGACAGAGCAAGAATCTGTCTCTTCTAGATCATTGGGAGTAAAGATGTATAGTATGCAGTTGTGTCATCCTCGAGTACAAATTCTAGTTGGAACACATGTTTATCCAAAAGTAATGTTAAGGATCATAAGATGGCAAAATAATATCAATACAATACTTAGATTGTGTTTTGACTTTTTGAGCACAGACTATTTTTGGTGCTGTAAGCCTTTCAAAATGAAATAGAGGTAACTTATAATGGCAGCTTAAATTAGTGTCTTTCCAGTAAATGGTTTTACAATTAATCTGATTGATCCTAATGTTAAAAGTGCCTCAAAAATTGAAATCAATAGAATGTCTCACTTCTCAATGGTGGTCTCAAGTGTTCCTGATGTGCATTTATTTTTAACAATTTACCTGAGACCGTAAACGCAGAGAATTCCAAAACCATTTTATCACTAGAGTCAACCAAATGTGAAGGGCAGAGGATGGGAGACAGCAGAAACGACCACGTATCAAGTTGCAAGGACAAACATTAATACTTACTCAGCAACCACACTTTATTTTTGAAAACTTTCACGTTACTATGGGAACATGAAAGAGTGAAGTGCGCATATGCAAGACAACAATAATAAATTCATGAGTTATAAGAGGATTGCAATGAACAAACACACATGCACACAGAATTGTTTATCATCATTTGCAGCAAACAGGAGCAACCTGAAAGTCTCAAGGAGTCCTACAAACTAGGATATCAGGCATGAAATACTCATGGTGTATATGGAACCAATATACAAGAAAACCTGCAGATTATCTCCTGATTTATAGTTGAGAAAAGGCCTGTTCAGGAATTAAGGCCTGGTGCTGTGCACACATTCAGATGGTAAGGATGAAGATAACGAAGGCAACAATTTGCCCCTCAAGGTTCCCACCCATTCTTATTGTGTTCTGAAGCTTCCTTTCTTCTCAGCCTCAGACATTTGGTGTTTCTAGGCCTACTTTCGTGTACCCATGTCTATTTCCCCAACTAGGCCCATGAACAAGGACATTCATTTGGCCTCAACATCCATTCTTCCTCCCTCAAAACACCATAATTTCCTTTTGAGCAATTACTCCTCCACCACATTGTGTAGTGTGGGTGAAATGCTTAATCCATTCCAGAGGAGAAGCTACAGGGGTGCCTGTAACCTCTTTCTGGAAGATTCTTCCTTACCACCCCATACAGTTAGCTTCAAGCTGTGCCCTAACCTGTGCCAAGCACATGCTTTTTCTGCAGACTTTAAACCTTAAGTAAATTATGCAAGGCTGCAATAATATAAAGAATTAAAAATAAAGCTGGTTGAGTTTACTCACTCTCTGATTCCAAATTTTCAACTAACCATACTACCTCTACATTCTTTGCCACATCCAGATTTATTTTCCACAAGGCATCTCCCAAGCATTCCTTCCTTTTTACCTCCCTCAACATAAATTCTGCAGTCGAGCTCTATAATCACTTTCAACTTCCTTTTACTTCTTGTGTCCCTCTCTTCTTCCAAAATGTTCCTAGCGAAAAATACATTCTGGATGGTTTCATTTTTATTTTTATATTTTATATATATTATATATATATTTATATAATATATATTTTTATGTATATTTATATATATTATATATTTTATATATTTTATTTTTTATATATTTTATTTTATATATATTTTTATATAATATATAAATATATAATATATATATTTATTTTATATATATTTTATATATATGAGAGAGAGAATATAATATTGTATATAATATATATAATTATATATATATTTTAGATTCAGGGGACACATGTACAGGTTTGTTACAAGGGTATGTTTTATGATGCTGAGATTTGGCCTTCTATTGATCCCATTACCCAAATAGTGAACATAGTATCCAATAAGAAGTTTTTTAGCCCTTGCCCCCTCCTTCCTCCCTTTTGGAGTCCCCAGTGTTTATTGTTTCTATCTTTCTGTCCGTGTGTACCCAATGTTTATTTCCCACTTATAAATGAGAACGTGTGATATTGGGGTTTCTGTTTCTGCATCACTTAGGTTAATGGCCTCAGGACATTGATGTTGCTGGAAAGGGCATAATTTCATTCTTTTGATGACATTGCATTGTAATGCATGGTATATGTATGACACATCTTCTTTATCAAATCCACCCATTGATGGGCACCTAGGTTGATTGCATATCTTTGCTACTGTGAGTAGTGCTGCAAATATTTCTCCCATTCTGTGGTTGTATGTTTACTCTGCCGATAGCTTCTTTTTGTGTGAAGAAGCTCTTTAACTTAATTATAATAGGTCCCAGTTGTCAATTTTTGTTTTTGTTTTGTTGCATTTTTTTTTTGAACTTACTCTTATGGGTGAAGGTGTCTTTCATAAGCAATGCATTTTCCTTTGGGTATATACCCAGTAACGGATTGCTGGCTCAATGGTAGTTTTATTTTCAGTTCCTTGACAAATCTCCAAGCCACTTTCTACAGGGTCTCAACTAATTTACATTCCCACCAACAGTGTATAATCATTCAATTTTTTCTGTAACCTCCCAACATGTTACTGTTTTTTCTAAAAAAAAAAAAAAAAGTTTTACAAAAATAACTTACAAGTTTTACAAGTTACAAACTTACAGGTTATAAGTTTTTTATAAAAAAAAGAATTTTAAAAAACTTTTAAATAATAGCCATTCTTCCTGGCATAAGATAATACCTTACTGTGGTTTTGATTTGCATTTGTTTGCTGATTAGTGATGTTGAACATTTCTTCATGTTTGTTGGCTGCTCGTATGTTTTCTTTTGCGAAGTATCTGTTCATGTTCTTTGCCTACTTTTTAATGGGGTTATTTGTTTTTTACTTGTTGATTTGTTTCAGTTCCTTATAGATTCTCGATGTTAGTCTTTTGCCAGATGCATAGTTTGCAAATATTTTCTCCCACTCTGGAGTTTATTTACTGTGTTGATAGTTTATTTTGCTGCACAGAAGCTCTTAGTTAAATAGGTGCCAATTGTCAATTTTTGTTTTGTTGCATTTGCTTTTGAAGACTTAGTCATAAATTATTTGCCTAGGCTGATGCCCGAAAGTGTAATTCCTAGGTTTTTTTCTAGGATTTTTATACTTTGAGTTCTTACATTTAAGTATTTAATCCATTTTGAGTCAATTTTTTAAATGGTGAGAGGTAGACGTCCAGTAGCATTCCTCTGCATATGTTTAGCTAGTTTTCCCAGCACTATTTATTGAACAGGAGGTCCTTTCTCCATTGTTTATTTTTGTCAACTTTGTCAAAGATCAGTTGGTTGTAGGTCTGTGGCTTTATTTCTGGGTTCTCTATCCTGTTCCTTTCGTCTATGTGTCTATTTTTGTATTAGTACCTTGTTGTTTTGGTTGCTATAGCCTTGTAGGCAACCCAACTTTGAAGCTGGGTAATGGGATGCCTCTGGCTTTGTTCTTTTTGCATAGGATTGCTTTGGCTACTTGGACTCTTTTTTCTTCCACATTAATTTTAGAATTTGTTTTAATTCTGTGAAAAATGACATTGGTGATCTGATAGGAATAGCATTTAATCTATAGATTGCTTTAGGCAGTATAGACATTTTAACAATATTGCTTCTTTCAGTCTATGAACGTGGATTTTTTTATTTGTTTATGTCATCTCTGATTTCTTTCAGTTTTGTAGTTCTCCTTGTAGAGATATTTCACTTCCTTGTTTAGATGCATTCCTAGATATTTTATATTTTTATGGCTATTGTAAATGGGATTATGCATTTGATTTTTCTCTCGGCTTTAATTTCTTCCTGATTCACTCTTGGTAGATTGTGTGTTTCCAGAAATCTATCCATTTCCTCTAGATTTTTTAGGTTGTATGCATAGAGGTGTTCATAATAATTTCTGAGGATCTTTTGTATTTCTGTGGAATTGGTCATAATGCCACCGTTATCATTTCTGATCTGTTTATTTGGATGTTCTCTTTCTCTCTTTGTTAATGTACCTAGAGGTCTTTCGATTTTGTTTATTCTTTCAAATAAACCACTGTTTATTTTGTTAATCTCTTGTATGAATTTTTTGTCTCAATTTCATTTAGTTCTGTTCTGATTTCAGTTATTTTTTTTCTTCTGCTAGCTTTGGGATAAGTTTGCTCTTGTTTTTCTAGTTTCTTTAGATGGAATGTTAGATTGTTAATTTGAGATCTTTCTATCATCTTGATGTAGATGTTTAATGCTATAAACTCTCTTCTTAACATTGCTTTTGCCACATCCCAGAGGTTTTGGTATGTTGTGTCTCTATTTAATTTATTTCAAAGAATTTTTTTAAATTTTTGCCTTAATTTTATTGTTTACCCAAAAGTCATTCAGAAGCAAGTTTTAATTTCCATGTAATTATATGGTTTTAAGAATTCCTTTTGGTATTGATTTCTATTTTTATTCTACTGTGGCCTAAGATTATGGTTGATATCATTTTGATTTTTTTGGATTTATTGCAACTTACTTTATGACCAAGCATGTTATAAATCTTGGAATATGTTCTGTGTGCAGAGGAGAAGAATGTATATTTAGTGGTTGGTGGTATATTTAGTGGTTATCTATTAGTTACAGTTGCTCAAGTGTCAAATTTAAGTCCAGAATTTGTTAGTTTTCTGCCTTAGTGATCTCCCTAATGCTGTCAGTGGAATGCTGAAGTCTCCCACTATTATTGTATGTCTGACTAAGTCTTTTCTTAGGCCTGGAAGTAATTGTTGTATGAATCTGAGTGCTCCAATGTTGGGTGTATATATATTCAATCTTAGGAGAGTTAAAACTTCTTATTAAATTGAACCTTTTATCATTATGCAATGCCCTTCTTTTTTGCTTTATTACTGTTGTTGGTTTAAACTCTTTATTTCAAACAAGAATACTGATTTCTGCTCTTTTTTGTTTTCCATTTGCAAAATAGATCTTTCTTCACCTTTACTTTGAGCCTGTGGGTGTCATTACATGTGAGATGGGTCTGTTGAAGACAGCAGAAGGATAGGTCTTGTATTTTTTTTTATCCATTTTGCCACTATATGTGCTTTAAGTGGAGCATTTAAGCCATTTACATTCAAGGTTAATATTGGTATGTAAGGTTGTGTTCCTGTTGCAGTGTTGTTAGCAAGTTCCTTCATAGTTTCAACTGTGTAGTTGTTTTATAGGGTCTGTGAGCTATGTACTTACATGTGCTTTCATTGTGTGTATCATTTTTTTTCTTTTCAGGTTTACAACTCCTTTAAGAATCTCTTGTAGACCCAGTCTGGTGGTGACAAATTTGATTTATGATTGCTTATCTGAGAAAGACTTTACTTCTTCATTTATGAAGCTTAGTTTGATGGTGTATGAGATAATTGGCTGGCATATATTTTCTTTAAGAATGCTAAAAATGAGCCCTTAGTCTCTTCTGGCTTGTAAGACTTTTCCTGAGAAGTCTGCTATTAGTCTGATTGCTTTCCTTGTATAAGTAATATGGCCTTTTTCTCTAGTAGCCTTTAAGAATTTTTTCTTTTGCATTAATCTTGGATAGTCTGATAACTATGTGCTTTGTGTAGTATCTATGGTTATCTTATACACTATTTCACAGGAGTTCTCTGGATTTCTTATACCTGCATGTCTACCTCTCTAGCAAAATTGGGGAAATTTTTCTAAAGTATATTCCTTAAATATGTTTTCCATGTTGCTTCCATGTTCCTTAAATATGTTTTCCATGTTCTCTTATTCTCTCTCAGGAGTACCAGTAAGTCATAGACTTGATTGCTTTGCCTAATTTCATATTTCTCAAAAGCTTTGTTTTTACTCTTTTTTCTTTATTTTTGTTTGTCTGGGTTAATTCAAAGGACTGGTCTTCAGTCTCTGAAATTCTTTCTTTTGCTTGTTTCTGTTGTTAAGCCTTCCAATTGTTTTTTGAAATTCCTGTAGTGAATTTTTTCATGTGAGAAGTTCTAGGCTCACTGCAAGCTCCGCCTCCCTGGTTCACGCCATTCTCCTGCCTCAGCCTCCCAGGTAGTTGGGACTACAGGTGCCGGCCACCATGCCTGGCTAATTTTTTGTATTTTTAATAGAGACGGGGTTTCACCGTGTTAGCCAGGATGGTCTCAATCTGCTGACCCCACGATCCACCCACCTCGGCCTCCCAAAGTGCTGGGATTACAGGCGTGAGACACCTCACCCAGCCTATTTGGTTCTTTCTTAATGTAGCTATGTCATCTTTCAAATTCTGAATAGTTTTTCTGTTTCTTTTTATCGGATTTCAACTTTCTCTTGGATCTCATTGAGTTTTCTTGCCATCCATTTTCTGAATTCTATATCTATTATTTCAGACATTTCATTCTTGTTAGGATCCATTGCTAGGGACCTAGTGTGATCTCTGCAAGGTGACAAAACACTCTGGCCTATTATATTTCCAAAGTTCTTTCACTGGTTCCTTCTCATCTGGAGGTGATGCTTTTTTAAATTTGTTTTTGAATTTGGTATTGTTTGGATGGGGATTTTTTGATTTTTTATTCTTTTTTCTCTTCAGGGTATGACTGTGGTGTATGATGACTGTGGTGTATGTGGTGTATGATGGATTGGCTTTGTTTCTGAGTGCTTTCAGATGACCATGGCTCTATACAGAATCCTTGGTCACAGATGGATTTCTATGGTGGCTTTCTCAGATTTTGTTTGGCGTAGTGATATACTTGTGCTCATACAAAGTCAATCATTGTTTGGTGACCTGGAAACAACAGCCACTGCAGACATTTTCTTCTCAAGCCAGAGATTATATCACTTGCTCTGGAGCTAGTGAAGGGCCCCCATAGCTAGAATTGAGTGGCAAGTGTGGAGAGCACTCCAGCAGTAGATGCTGGAATTAGGCTGTCTCCCACGACAGGACTGGAGCTGGAAGAGAGCTGCTGAAGCTGAGGTTTCTCTTGGGTGGTATGATTTGCAGCTAGCAACAGCTTTGCAACCTGGAACCCATCTGCATGTGTTATTGCTGAGTGCCCTAGCCTGCTTCCTTGGTCAGTTGGAGGAGAGTGACAAACCAGCTCTGAGGGGAGGAAGAGAGGCAGACCCCACTATGGTTCAGACCTAATCCTTGGCATAGACTACCCCTAAGAAAGGGGTGAGTGCAGTATACCAAAGCTCCCCTTTGGTCAAAGGAAATGTAAGCATGGTGCCAGCTGCTGAAGAGGCAACATTAAAGCCCGGGATGGACTTGGAGAGGAGATCATTTCTCAACCCTCACCCCTTCCCCCAGTGTACTGCTGTGGACACAGTTGTGGCTCTTCCCACTGGGGCTCAGGGAGCATGGGCTTAGAGAGACACTTCTGGGGATTCTCCAGTGGCCACAACCCTGCTGAAAGCCGGCAGCCCTGGGAGAGAGTGTTTTTTGTGCTTCTCTGTCACCTTTGCCCTGCTGAGGGTGTGCACTCTCAGAGTAAAACCTCCTGCCAATTATTATTAATTGCCATCTACCAGAATGCAGCCTGAGTCTTTCCTCAAATGCCCAGTACTCCTTCTTCTTTACTATCTTTTTTTTTCACCAAGAAAAGAAATATAGCTTAATAAAGAGACTGAGCCAAAAGTTGGACAGCAAATGCATGTTTGGGCTATGAGTAGACCATTTGCCTACTGCTTATGCCTACTGTTCATGCGGAAGCAAGATTGAATCCAGAAAAGGGATGAGGCTAAATCTTCTTGACCTTGAAGAGGCCAAACCGAAGAGTTTACATACTGTTAAGTGGGCAATATATTAACCAAGTTTTCTGTAACAACCTCTAAATCTCAGTGGCTTACAAAAGCAAATATTGATTTTCATGCTCACAAGACTGCTGGTAGTCTGTGCTCCTGCTGACCTTGGATAAGTTTGTCTGGGCCAGGCTGGATTCCAGTTTTCTGGGTGAGATGCAGGTGTGTTCCACATGACATTATTCTGGGGCTGAGCCTGAATGTGCAGTGGTTACCAGGGACATGCCATTCTCATGATGGATCACACAGACACAGGACCACAAGGGGAAATGGGGTGCTCCTTAAGGCCTCAGCTTGGAATTTGCCAGCACACCCTCAATTCTGCCACTAAAACAAGTCCCACAGACAAGCCCATGGTGGGATGTACTGGAGAGTTCCCTGGCAAACACAGAAGGAGTGACAAATTAGGAACAATATTCCAATCTATCACAGGCAATACATAATATTTTAAGGTTTGGGGGATCATTAGAAAAAGTAATCACGAAATAGGATAGAGGTGGGGCTGGAGGGAAAGACCAGAATCCAAGAGATCACACAAGAAATTCTAACAATAGAGAGAGAGGCGATAAGATCCCTTGTTAATGCAGATTCAGTGGTAAAAAAGATGGAAATTAGAAGAGAAAAATGCAATACAATACAATACAATACAATACAATACAATACAATACAATACAATACACAGGAAGAAGCAACAAGACTGGTGATAGCCCAGATGAGAGGAAAGAGAAAGTGAACTCAAGATAACACCAAGGATCTGTTGATAAAAATTGTATAAGTGGAAATAAATATGGAAGAAAGATTATGAGTTTGGTTTCTTGTTCTGTAGTGAGTTCGGCTGCCTCCTTAGAATGAGGCATCCAGTCCTACCTCAGAGCAAAATCCCAGGCTGTCACGGCACACTCAACATTTGTCACATGGCAATGCTTCATTATCATGTTTATATCAACGTTACCTCCAGATATGCGGACATGAAATTAATAGGAAATGGCCAATGTGCCTATGCACTCCCACAGCCTAGTGTGCCTACACTTCCTTACCATTGCTCTTATCACTGTCTTTTAGGGGCCAATTTACCAGTTTGCTTCTCTCTTACACTATTTTTTCACTTTATATCTGTAGTGCCTCCAAAAGACACTGGGATTTTAGGATTTCATTTTCCAGCTTCTACCATAGAGGCAGACAAAGAAGAAGGGGAGTTGTAATGGGTGCTGAATGAATCAAATACAGCATTGGCCATATTTAATATAACCAATATCAATTTATTGCTAACAATGTAAAGCTTTCAACTTATTTTTATTAATTTATTTTTTAAATCTTTTGACCAATCTAGGTAAATGGCTGGACTTGCAAAAAAAATCAAAAATCTAATATTTAATATTTAAAATGGAAAAAATGTCAGCTCTGGAACTCATATTGTAAATAATGGAAACAATTTTCAAAGACAGTGAAAGAAACCTGCCTGTGTGGCTACCAATCACCAGGAGGAGGGAAGAGAGGCAGTAAAGAGGATAGGAATGCAACAAGAAAGCCAGGTTTATTTTTAGTGTGTCTTTGCTGCAGAAGAAAATGAGGACATTTTTTATAACAAAGGCCATTTTATAAGAGATTGGATTTTGTCCTTCCTAAAGTTATAGAATTACTTGAGAAAATAAAGTGTCGGAAGTCACCAAAAAAGTATAACACTCAGAAAATTTCTGAAATTAAATGTGAAAAAAGTAGACACATATATTAAAGTTTCTTTGAAAAATTCTCCAAGAAAAGCAATTTAAGTTGCCATTACAGATAGCATTAGTGCTTGTGTATGCTGTCTAGAATATCATCTTAAAGTGTTATCTTAAAAATTGAGCATGAATACAAATGTATACATTTTCAAAATATATTAAAATATTTTGGAATATGTTTAGATATTTTCTTAAATTATCCAAACTTTTTTTTAGTTTGCATCCCCAAGATAGCTAAAAATAGAAGTATTTACTCTAATAAATATTTGGTTTTCTTTTCTTTTTTTTTTTTTCTTTTTTTTTTGAGACAGGTCTCACTCTATTGCCCAGGCTTGGAGGACAGTGGTGCGACCATGGCTCACTGCAGCCTCAATATCTTGAGCTCAAGCAATTTTCCCACCTCAGCCTCCCAAGTAGCTGGGACTACAACCACATGCCACCATGTTGGGCTAATTTTTTAAAACTATTTTTGTAGAGGTGGGGGTCTCCCAATGCTCCCGAGGCTAACATTTCTTTTTCTTTAATTATAGTAGTAATTCATTTTAAATATCTTCCAAGGTATTTTTGCTAATAAACATTTTATAGTTCTTTTTTAATCTAGGTTAATTTTTAACTGATAAAAGAAATGAAACAATTTGCATGTACATTTAAAAAAACCCAGAAGGAAGCCTCCTTCCTTCTTTCTAGTATTTCTCTCATTGCTCTAAGTTATCACTATTGGAAATATGTGTAAAATGCCATTATGAAAACCTATTTGATTACTATTAAATAGATATATTCACACTATTATTTTAACAGAATAGGTGAATAATAAACACGACTAATTTTACAATGAAGGTGAGACTAATTAGATTGATTGTTCCATTTAGGTCAAAGTATATAAAATACATAGAACTCAGCAATTAAAATGTTGGCTTCTTGCAGGAAGTCAGGGACCCCAAATGGAGGGACCGGCTGAAGCCATGGCAGAAGAACATGGATTGTGAAGATTTCATGGACATTTATTAGTTCCCCAAATTAATACTTTGTAATTTCTTATGCCTGTCTTTACTGCAATCTCTAAACATAAATTGTAAAGATTTCATGGACACTTATCACTTCCCCAATCAATACCCTTGTGATTTCCTATGCCTGTCTTTATTTTAATCTCTTCATCCTGTCAGCTGAGGAGGATGCATGTCACCTCAGGACCCTGTGATAATTTCATTAACTGCACAAATTGTAGAGCATGTGTGTTTAAACAATATGTAATCTGGGCACCTTGAGAAAAGAACAGGATAACAGCAATGTTCAGGGAATAAGAGAGATAACCTTAAACTCTGACCGCCGGTGAGCCGGGCGGAACAGAGCCATATTTCTCTTCTTTCAAAAGCAAATGGGAGAAATATCACTGAATTCTTTTTCTCAGCAAAGAACATCCCTGAGAAAGAGAATGCGCCCCTGAGGGTGGGCCTCTAAAATGGCCCCCTTGGGTGTGGCCGCCTTCTATGGTTGAGACTGTAGGGATGAAATAAGCCCCAGTCTCCCATAGCACTCCCAGGCTTATTAGGGTGAGGAAATTCCCACCTAATAAATTTTGGTCAGACCAGTTGCTCTCAAACCCTGTCTCCTGATAAGATGCTATCAATGACAATGGTGCCCGAAACTTCATTAGCAATTTTAATTTTGCCCCAGTCCTGTGGTCCTGTGATCTCGCCCTGCCTCAATTTGCCTGTGATATTCTATTACCTTGTGAAGCACGTGATCTCTGTTACCCACACCCTATTCATACACTCCCTCCCCTTCTGAAAATCCCTAATAAAAACTTGCTGGTTTTATGTCTTGTGGGGCATCACAGAACCTACCGACATGTGATGTATCCCCCAGACGCCCAGCTTTAAAATTTCTCTCTTTTGTACTCTGTCCCTTTATTTCTCAAACTGGCCGATGCTTAGGGAAAATAGAAAAGAACCTACGTGAAATATCGGGAGTGAATTTTGCCTGATATTTGGCTGAATTTTCCCCGATTTTGGCTAAAAGATTTTGAGGAAGCAATTTTGTCTCTAAAACACTGAAACCTGAAAATATCTTATCTTTCAAAAAATCATGATCCATGTTTCACAGCTTTTGAATTTCTACCATGTGACCACAACAATGTTTCCATCACTGTTTGAAACTTTGGCAACTCCCCGTTGGACTTAAGCATTTTTCCCAGAATTTTTTTTTCTCCAGTTTGCATCTACTTGGTGCCCAGGTGTTTTTCCCAAATGTTAGCACTTGGTTGTGTGTCTGAGAATGGAAAAACTGAGGATAAAAATCTGGAGCAGGGTGGCTGGCAAGATGGCTGAATAGAAACATCTCTGGTCTGCAGCTCCCAGTGAGATCAATGCAGAATGTGGATGATTTCTGCATTTCCAACTGAGGTACCCAGCTCATCTCATTGGGACTGCTTAGACAGTGGGTGCAACCCACGGACAGTTAGCAGAAGCAGGGTGGGGCATCACCTCACTGGGGAAGTGCAAGGGGTCGGGGAAGTCCCCTAGCCAAGGGAAGCTGTGAGGGACCATGCCATGAGAAACAGTGCATTCTGGCCCAGATACTATGCCCAGATACTTTTCCCATGGTCTTTGCAACCCATAGACCAGGAGATTCCCTCCAGTGCCTATGCCACCAGGGCCCCGGGTTTCAAGCACAAACCTGGGCTGCCATTTGGGCAGACACTGAGCTAGCTACAGGAGTGTTTTTCATGCCCTAGTGGCACCTGGAATGCCTGAAAGACAGAACTCTTCACACCCCTGAAAAGGGAGCTGAAGCCAGGGAGCCAAGTGGTCTAGCTCAGTGGATCCCACCCCCACAGAGGCCAGCAAGCTAAGATCCACTGGCCTGAAATTCTCACTGCCAGCACAGCAGTCTGAAGTCAAACTAGGACGCTACAGATTGGTGGGGGGAGGGGCGTCCACCATTACCGAGGCTTGAGTAGGCAATTTTCCCCTCACAGCTGCATAGCCCACTGCAGCTTGGCAAAGCCACTGTAGACAGACTGCCTCTCTAGATTCCTCCTCTCTGGGCAGGGCATCTCTGAAAGAAAGACAGCAGTCAGGAGCTTATAGATAAAACTTCCATCTCCCTGGGACAGAGCACCTGGGGTAAGGGGTGGCTGTGGGTGCAGTTTCAGCAGACTTAAACATTCCTGCCTGCTATCTCTGAAGACAGCAGTGGATCTCCCAGCACAGCGCTCAAGCTCTAAGGGACAGAGTACCTTTTCAAGTGAGTCCCTGACCCCCATGCCTTCTGACTGGGAGACACCTCCCAACAGGGGTCAACAGACACTTCATACAGGAGAGCTCTGGCTGGCACCTGGAAGGTGCCCCTCTGGGACAAAGCTTCCAGAGGAAGGAACAGGCATCAGTCTTTGCCATTCTTCAGCCTCCACTGGTGAAACCCAGGCAAACAGGGTCTGGAGTGGATCTCCAGCAAACTCCAGCAGACCTGGAGCAGAGGGGCCTGACTGTTAGAAGGAAAACTAACAAACAGAAAGGAATAGCATCAACATCAACAAAAAGGACATCCACACAGAAACCCCATGCGAAGGTCACCAACATCAAGACCAAAGATAGATAAATCCACAAAGATGAGGGAAAACCAGCTCAAAAAGGCTGAAAGTTCCAAAAACCAGAATGCCACTTCTCCTCCAAAGGATCACAACTCCTCGCCAGCAAGGGAACAAAACTGGATGGAGAATGAGTTTGACGAATTGACAGAAGCAGGCTACAGAAGGTGGATAACAACAAACTCCTCTGAGCTAAAGGAGCATGTTCTAACCCAATGCAAGTAAGTTAAGAACCTTGAAAAAAGGTTAGAGGAATTGCTAAGTAGAATAAGCAGTTTAGAGAAGTACATAAATAACCTGATGGAGCTAAAAAACACAGCACAAGAACTTCGTGATGCATACGTAAGTATCAATAGCCGAATCGATCAAGTGTAAGAAAGGATATTAGAGATTAAAAATCAACTTAATGAAATAAAGCATGAAGACAAGACTAGAGAAAAAGGGATGAAAAGGAACAAACAAAGCCTCCAACAGATATGGGACTATGTGAAAAGACCGAACCTACGTTTGATTGGTGTACCTGAAAGTGATGAGGAGAATGGAACCAAGTTGGAAACCACTCTTCAGAGTATTATCCAGGAGAAATTCCCCAACCTAGCAAGACAGGCCAACATTCAAATTCAGGAAATACAGAGAACACCACAAAGATACTCCTGGAGAAGAGCGACTGGAAGACATATAATCATCAGATTCACTAAGGTTGAAATGAAGGAAAAAATGTTAAGGGCAGCCAGAGAGAAAGGTCGGGTTACCCACAGAAGGAAGCCCATCAAACTAACAGTAGATCTTTCTGCAGAAACCCTACAAGCCAGAAGAGAGTGGGGGCCAATATTCAACATTCTTAAAGAATTTTCAACCCAGAATTTCATATCCAGCCAAACTAAGATTCATAAGCGAAGGAGAAATAAAATCCTTTATGGACAAGCAAATGATGAGAGATTTTGTCACCACGAGGCCTGCCTTACAAGAGCTCCTGAAGGAAGCACTAAATATGGAAAGGAAAAACTGGTACCAGTCACTGCAAAAACATACCAAATTGTAAAGACCATCGACACTATGAAGGAACTGCATCAACTAACAGGCAAAATAACCAGCTAGCATTATAATGTAGGGATCAAATTCACACATAACAATATTAACCTTAAATGTAAATGGGCTAAATGCTGCAATTAAAAGACACATACCAGAAAAATGGATAAAGAGTCAAGACTCATTGGTGTGCTGTGTTCAGGAGATCTATCTCATGTGCAAAGACACACATGGGCTCAAAATAAAGGGATGGAGGAATATTTACCAAGCAAATGGAAAGCAAAAAAAAAGCAGGGGTTGCAATCCTAGTCCTTGATAATACAGACTTTAAAACAACAAAGATCAAAAAAGACAAACAAGGGCATTACATAACAGTAAAGGAATCAATGCAACAAGAAGGTCTATCCTAAATATATATGCACCCAATACAGGAGCACCGAGATTCATAAAGCAAGTTCTTAGAGACCTACAGAGAGACTTAGATTCCTACACAATAATAGTGGGAGACTATAACACCCCACTGTCAATATTAGACAGATGATGAGACAGAAAATTAACAAGAATATTCAGGACTTGAACTCAGCTCTGGACCAAGTGGCCTAATAGACATCTACAGAACTCTCCACCCCAAATCAACAGAATATACATTTTTCTCAGCACCACATTGCACTTATTCTAAAATTGACCACATAATTTGAAGTAAAACACTCCTCAGCAAATGCAAAAGAATGGAAAACATAACAAACAGTCTCTCAGACCACAGTGCAATCAAACTAGAATTCAGGATTAAGAAACTCACTCAAAACCACAAAACTACATAGAAACTGAACAACCTGCTCCTGAATGACTACTGGGTAAATAACAACATGAAGGCAGACATAAGAAAGTTATTTAAAACCAATGAGAATAGAGACACAACATTCCAGAATCACTGGACAGAGCTAAAGCAGTGTATAGAGGGAAATTTATAGCACTAAATGACCACAGGAGAAAGCGGGAAAGATCTAAAGTCAACACCCTAATATCACAATTAAAAGAATAAAACAAATGCAAACAAATTCAAAAGCTAGCAGAAGACAAGAAATAAGTAAGATCAGAGCAGAACTGAAGGAGATAGGGACACAAAAAACCCTTTAAAAAAATCAATGAATCCAGGAGCTGGTTTTTTGAAAAGATCGACAAAATAGATAGAACACTACCCAGACTAATAAAGAAGAAAAGAAAGAAGCAGTAAATAGACACAATAAAAAATGGTAAAGGGGATATCACCACTGATCCCACAGAAATACAAACTACCATCAGAGAATACTATAAACACCTCTATTCAAATAAACTAGAAAATCTAGAAGAAATGGATAAATTCCTGGACACATACACCCTCCCAAGACTAAACCAGGAACAAATTGAATCCCTGAATAGACCAATAACAAGTTCTGAAATTGAGGCAGTAACTAACAGCCTACCAACCAAAAAAAGCCCAGGACCAGACGGATTCACAGCTGAATTCTGCCAGAGGTACAAAGAGGAGCTGGTACCATTCCTTCTGAAATTATTCCAAACAATAGAAAAAGAGGGACTCCTCCTAACTCATTTTATGAGGCCAGCATCATCCTGATACCAAAACCTGGCAGAGACACAACAACAACAACAAAATTTCAGGCCAATATCCCTGATGAATATCAGTGTGAAAATCCTCTATAAAATATGGGCAAACTGAATCCAGCAGCACATCAAAAAGCTTATCCACCACGATCAAGTCAGCTTCATCCATGGGATGCAAGGTTGGTTCAACATACACAAATCAATAAATGTAATCCATCACATAAAGAGAACCAATCACAAAAACCACATGATTATCTCAATAGATGCAGAAAAGTCGTTCGATAAAAGTCAACACCCCATCATGCTAAAAACTCTCAATAAACTAGGTATTGTTGGAACATATCTCAAAATAATAAGAACTATCTATGACAAACACACAGCCAATATCATACTGAATGGGCAAAAGCTGGAAGCATTACCTTTGAAAACTGGCACACGTCAAGGATTCCCTCTCTCACCACTCCTATTCAACATAGTATTGGAAGTTCTGCTCTGGGCAATCAGGCAAGAGAAAGAAATAAAGAGTATTCAAACAGGAAGAGAGAAAGTCAAATTGTCTTTATTTGCAGACGACATGACTTTGTATTTAGAAAACAGCATAGTTTCCACCCAAAATCTCTTTAAGCTGATAAGCAACTTCAGGAAAGTCTCAGGATACAGAAGCAATGTGCAAAAATCACAAGCATTCCTATACACCAGTAATAGACAAACAGGGAGCCAAATCATGAGTGAACTCACATTCCCAATTGCTACTAAGAGAATAAAATACCTAGGAATATAGCCAACAAGGGATGTGAAGGACTTCTTCAAGGAGAACTACAAACTACTGTGCAAGGAAATAAGACAGGACACAAACAAACAGAAAAATATTCCATGCTCATGGATAGGAAAAATCAATTTTGTGAAAATGGCCATACTGCCCAAAGTAATTTATAGATTCAATGCTATCCCCATCAAGCTACCATTGACTTTCTTCACAGAATTGGAAAAAAATACTTTAAATTTCATATGGAACCAAAAAAGAGCCCGTATAGCCAAGAAAATCCTAAGCAAAAAGAACAAAGCTGGAGGCATCACACTACCTGACTTCAAACTATGCTACAAGGCTACAGTAACCAAAACAGCACGGTACTGATATCAAAAGAGATATATAGACCAATGGAAGAGAACAGAGGCCTCAGAAATAACACCACACATCTACAACCATCTGATCTTTGACAAACCTGACAAAAACAAGCAATGGGGAAAGGATTCCTTATTTATTAAATGGTGTTGGAAAAACTGGCTAGCCATATGCAGAAAACTGAAACTGGACCCCTTCCTTACACCTTATACAAAAATTAACTCAAGATGGATTAAAGACTTAAATGTGAGACCTAAAACTATAAAAGCCCTAGAAGAAAACCTAGGCAATACCATTCAGGACATAGGCATGAGCAAAGACTTCATGACTAAAACACCAAAAGCAATGGCAACACAAGCCAAAGTTGACAATTGGGATCTAATTAAACTAAAGAGCTTCTGCACAACAAAAGAAACTATCATCAGAGTGAACAGGAGAAAAATTTTGCAATCTATCCATCTGACAAAGGGCTAATATCCAGAATCTAAAAGGAACTTAAACAAATTTACAAGAAAAAAAAACCCCATCAAAAAGTGGGCAAAGGATATGAACAAACACTTTGCAAAAGAAGACATTTATATGGCCAACAAACATATGAAACAAAGCTCATCATCACTGGTCATTAGAAAAATGCAAATCAAAACCACAATGAGATACCATCTCTTGCCAATTAGAATGGCAACCATTAAAAAGTCAGGAAACAACAGATGCTGGAGAGGATGTGGAGAAATAGGAATGCTTTTACACTGTTGGTGGGAGTGCAAATTAGTTCGGCCATTGTGGATGACAGTGTGGTGAATCCTCAAAGATCTAGAACCAGAAATACTATTTGATCCAGTAATCCCATTACTGGATATATACCCAAGGGATTATAAATCATTCTGCTATAAAGACACATGCACACGTTGTTTACTGTAGCACTGTTCACAATAGCAAAGACTTGGAACCAACCCAAATGCCCATCAATGATAGACTGAATAAAGAAAATGTGGCACATATACACCATGGAATGCTATGCAGCCATTAAAAAAGGATGAGTTCATGTCCTTGGCAGAGATATGGATGAAGCTGGAAACCATAATTCTCAGCAAACTAACACAAGAACAGAAAACCAAACACTGTATGTTCTCACTCATAAGTGGGAGTTGAACAATGAGAACACATGGACACATCACACATCACACATCACACACTGGGGCCTGTCGGGAGGTGGAGAGCTAGAGGAGGGAGAGTATTAGGAGAAATACCTAATGTAGATGATGGGTTGATGGGTGCAGCAAACCACCATGGCACGTGCATACCTATGTAACAAACCTGCACATTCTGCACATGTATCACAGAACTTAAAGTACTAAAAAAAAAAGAAAAAGAAAAAAAAAGAAATAGTCCAATCTGAAGAATGGACAAAAAATATTAAAAAGATTGGAAAAAATCAGCAGAGCCTCAGATAATTCTAAGACAATATCAAAAGACGTAACATATGTATAAATGGAATCACAGAATGAGACGAAAGAATGTGAGAGAAAAAGTATTTGAAGAATTAGCCAAAATTTTCCAAAATCGGGTAAAAGGCATAAACATACAGATTGAAGAAGCTCAGTGACCCTCAAACATGATAAATTAAGATGCTATGTTTAGATACATCATGGTCTTAACTGCTGAAAGCCAGAGAAAAAGAGAAAATCTTGAAAGCAGCCAGAAAAAGAATAACATAATTACATAGGGTTCAAATGATCCCAGATTTTGCATCTGACACTGTGGAGGCCATAATTCTATAAATAAACAGCTTCAAAGTGCTGGGAAAAAAAAATTCTGTTCAATTCTAATCTCACAGCCAAATCCACATGACTTAGGTTATTTCCCTATCAATTAATATAATGTCGTTTATTACATTTTTCATGTTATATAGTTCATTTATTTAAGCATAAATAACTCAATATCAGATATAGAGCAAATGTATAAAACATTAAGCATACTAGATTTGTGCTTCTTATTTAATTTGTAAATCTTTGGCTTCATTGGTTTAAATCCATCTATCAAAGTTTCCTGGGACAAATTCCTACTGTTCATATTATCCAATTAATGCTTTTCTTCATGATTGACTAAGAATTACAAAGTATCAAGTGGCCATAACATGTCTCTTTCTGTATTTTTAAAGCAGTTCATCACTTCTTTTTACACTAGCTTGAGTGGACTGTCCCCCTTGAAGGAAAACCTATGCTATGGAGCAACAGCTTCTTTGCAGAACGCTATAGTGTAGTAGAAACCTGAAGACTAAATGTCAGACCAATCCAAATTCAAATGCTGTCCCATCCTCCTACCTGTGTGATCTTCAAAAAGAACATTTATTGCTTTGAACTTCAGTTTCTTTGTAAAGTTGAGATAATAACACATTTTAAAGTTTGTTACTGAACTTGATGTGCCCAAAGTACCTACCACATTGTAGGTTCTCAATATTATTATTTTATTCTCTTTTATTTACTGTCTTTATGAAAAAAATTATTCTAAATAATTAGGCTACATTTCTGCCTGTGTCATAATATCACTTCCTCAAATGATTCCAGTAAGAATCCTGTCTAACGAATCATTACCAAACGTGCTGCTTCACTGGAACACATTTGTTTGAATACCTGCAAAATTTGTTTAAAAATTGTCTAAAATTTGTATAAAAAATATATAATTTAAATAATTCATGATTTTGACAATAAAAATACTTTATTCCTTAATCTAGTGCAAAACCCTGGTCCAAGTAGACCCCTTTCCTTGGGGGTTCCTTCATTATGGGTCATATTTTTCTACTTCTCTGCATGCCTGATAATCTTTGATTGAGAGACAAAACTTGTATGTTTTATCTTCTTGGATGCAGATAATTTTGCATTTCTATAAGTACTCCAGAACTTTGTTTTGAGATACTGTTATGATACCTGGAAACCATTTAAACCTGTTGGGTCTTAATGTTAAGATTTGTTAGGTGAGACCAGAACAGTCTCAGTCTTGAGAGAATTTTCCCCACTACTGAAGCAAGATTCTCCTGAAGAACCTCCTGAATGTCCTATTAATTAGGAAACTTTTCCATCTTCACTGAAGTATCATGTCTTCATTTTTTTAACTTTTTCACTTGATTTTCTTAATATTTTAATTCTTAGTTTTGAAAACTCAGTAATAAATCCAAACATACTTGTGTAAGGCAAAAATATCAACATAATTAGTTGAATGTCCCCAGGAGATCATTACCTAGACAGAGTTTCTGAATTAAGTATGGACTCTAGGAACCCCTTGTATAAATGGTAGGTTAGAGTAGAACACTATTGTACAGTAAAATGTGAATCTTCAGCATGAGTCCTTATGTCAATATTTTACTCATCATTCTGGTTATCTGAAAGTAATTCACTAGTAGATTCCTTAGTAAAGGCTCATGAGAAAACCATTCCCTGATATCTTGATATAAAATTCTTGGATCACATATTCCATTTCTTATTCATCACAAGGTATTGCTTTAAAAATGTGATGACAATCTGATAGTCATTTTTTTTTTTTTTTTTTTTTTTGAGACAGAGTCTCACTCTGTCACCCAGGGTGGAGTGCAGTGGCACGATCTCTACTCACTGCAAACTCTGCCTCCCAGGTTCACACCATTCTCCTGCCTCAGCCTCCCGAGTAGCTGGGACTACAGGGGCCCGCCACCATGCCCGGCTAATTTTTGGGGTTGTGTGTTTGTTTTTGTTTGTTTGTTTGTTTTGTTTTGTTTTGTTTTGTTTTAGTAGAGACGGGATTTCACTGTGTTAGCCAGGATGGTCTCAATCTCCTGACCTTGTGATCCGCCCGCCTTGGCCTCTCAAAGTGCTGGGATTACAGGCATGAGCCACGGTGCCCAGCGACAATGTGATATTCTTAAGTCACATAGTATGGTCTCAGTTCCTCACTGGCTCTTGGCTGAAGACATCAGTTCCTTGCAGAAATAGCCTGTACTTGTCAGGAGTGTATATAACATGGCAGCTTGTTTCCCCCACAGAGAGAGGAGGGGAAAGAGAAGGAGAGAGAGAAAGCACAAGATGAAAGTAACCTAATCTTGAAAGCTGTCTTCTACCCATTGGAAGTGACTCACTAGATCCAGCCCACACACAGGAGGAGGGAAACAGACAAGGACATGAATACCTGAAGGTGACGATTATAGAGAGCCATTTTAGAGGCTGCCTACCACAGCCATTGTGTTGATTTTTCGAGAACATATTGTAGGATCTTTCAATAAGTGGTTTCAAGTAATCTTTTTCTTTAGAAATTTTTAAAAATATGTATATTTTTTAGTTTTAGAATTTTAAAAAATATAATTGTTTGGCATGTTTCTTGGTTTACTATGTTGGAAATAATTTCCAAGATTAAAAAATATATATGAAAAAGGCGGGGCGCTGTGGCTCACATCTGTAATCCCAGCACTTTGGGAGGCTGAAGCAGGCAGATCACGAGGCCAGGAGATCGAGACCATCGTGGCTAACACTGTGAAACCCCGTCTCTACTAAAAAAATACAAAAAACTAGCCGGGCATGGTGGCGGGCCCCTGTAGTCCCAGCTACTCGGGAGGCTGAGGCAGGAGAATGGCGTGAATCCAGGAGGCGGAGCCTGCAGTGAGCTGAGATCATGCCACTGCACTCCAGCCTGGGTGACAGCACGAGACTCTGTCTCAAAAAAATAAAATAAAATAAAATAAATATATAAAACGAAAATTAATGGACAAAAATAACTGTTCAATGGTGAATAAGTAAAATATATGTTCAAATTTATTCTTCTTTTAACTTTAAAAAATAGAGATTTAGGCTGGACACGGTTGCCCACACCTGTAATCCCAGCACTCTGGGAAGCCTAGGCTGGCAGATCACGAAGTCAGGAGATCAAGGCCATCCTGGCCAACGTGGTGAAACCCCGTCTACAATAAAAATACAAAAATTAGTTGGGCGTGGTGGCGCGCGTCTATAGTTCTAGCTACTCGGGAGGCTGAGGCAGGAGAATTCCTTGAACCCAGGAGGTGGAGGTTGCAGTAAGCCAAGATCGCGCCACTGCACTCCAGCCTGGCAACAGAGCAAGACTCCGTCTCAAAGAAAAAAAAGAGATTTAGATATAACATGGGTAGGATATGATTGGTTTTATTTAATGGCCTATGCAAAATATATGGGGATAGTTTCTTTAAAGGGGGGACAGTTAGCATGTATGAAAAATATATTCTTTACTTTTAATGAAAATTTTCAGATTTCTGAGCAAGTCTTTTGCAAAGTATCTTACCTGAAAATAATAAAATAATCTGAACTAAATGCAGCCACAGTATATTCTTCAGTGAAATAGTGATATTGGATTTTTTTTAGAAAATGAGGTATTTGTGACAAATAATAATGGCTAAAAAGAAGGTAAACATCTGCTTTCCCAAAGATTTTCCAAGCTTATATTAAACCTATGAGCCAAGTGAATGTTTAGTTCTTCCAGCTAAGGAAAATTTATTAAGAATACTTTGATATTTAAATAATATATGTTGAAATGATGTGAAGATTTGTTTCCTATTTATTTGCTCACTGGGCTACTTTCGTGCTAGAAGGCAAAAATTCATTTTCTATATTTTCTCTATAGTAATATAGATTCATATCTAAAGGCCATCGTTTGACACTAAAGGACAACTATAATAAAGCTTTATGTAAACCTGATTATCTCACATCCAGAAAATATAGCTCCTAGTATTTCCAACGTTGTGCTAATAATAGCAACTAATGAGGTAGAAAGTCAAGTTGATTCCAGAATCTTCTACCTAGGGAGTGGTTATCCTAAGCACTAGATCCCAAGGCACAAATGATCTACTTGAGAAAATTTTTCTTTTCTTTGTTTTTTTTGTTTGTTTGTTTTTTGTTTGTCTTTTTTTCTGGAGACAGAGCCTTGCTCAGTCTCCCAGGTTGGAGTTCAGTGGCATGATCTCAGCTCACTGCAGCCTCTGCCTCTGGGGTTCAAGTGACTCTCCTGCCTCAGCCTCCCAAGTAGCTGGGATTACAGGCATGAGCCACCACTCCCAGCTAATTTTTGTGCTTTTAGTAGAGACTTTCTCCATGTTGGCCAGGCTGGTCTGAATCTCCTTACCTCAGGTGCTCAGCCTGCCTCGGCCTCCCAAAGTGCTGGAATTATAGGCGTGAGCCACCATGGCCAGCCAGAAAAATTTTAATTTTCCAAACAGAGTAATAACTTGCTTAGTCAACCATGAAGCCATATTAAAGAACAAACATTATAGCACCATATTAAATTACGCCCACCTTATTTCCACCTTATATTTTGAAAGACCATATTATAAAGCCTACATATGTATATTTTTCTTAACCCTATTTTGGTTAATTGCATATTAGGAAAGTGCATATCATTAAAGTTGAGTTTAAGTGAGGGGTGCTTACACTGCTTATTCCCTCTGTTGGAGCAACAAATTTTAACAACCATCTGCACACAGAATAGCATTATCAAAAGAACCAAAAATCACATGAGCAGTCACAGTACCTGGTTTTAACTTCATATCATAGAAAGAGGCTTTGAGAAGGGTAGGAGAGACAGTCTTGAATCACCAACACCACTCCTCCCCGAACCCCCAGCAGAGGTTGCGCAGCACAGAGAAAGAATCTGTGCACTTCGGGGAGAGAGAGCATAGCAACTGGGGGACTTTACATTGAACTTAGGGCTGCCCTGTCATAGTGGAGAATAAAGCCTTACTTGGCTCAGACAGTGCCTATGCACAGAGGGAGCATTGGACCAGCCTTAGCCAGAGAGAAATAGCCCACTCCAGCGATCAGAACTTGAGTTTCTTGCCAAGCCTATCCAGTGTGAGCCAAATTGATCTGGGGTCCTAGATAAACTTGAAAGGCAGTCTAGGACACAAAGACTGCAATTCCTGGATGACTCCTAGTGCCTGGCTGAGCTCAGAGCCAAAGGACTATGGTGGTACATGATCTAGAGAGACACAAGCAGAAGTGACTCTTTCCTTCTGCTTAAGGACAGGAGAGTGAAGAACAAAGAGGACTTGGTTTTGCATCCTGGACACCAGCTCAGCCACTGTAGGATAGGGCACCAGGCAGTGTCATGAGGACCCATTCCAGGCCTTAGCTCATGGACAACATTTCTAGACACACTCTGAGCCAAAAAGGAACACACTGCATTGAAGGGAAAAACCTAGTCTTGGCAGGATTCATCATCTACTGACTAAAGGGCATTTGGGCCCTGAATAACCAGCAGTGACACCCAGATCATATGCCATGGGCCTCAGGCTCTGAGATGTGCTGAATTCAGGGGTGACCCAGCACATTCCTAGCTGTGGTGGCTATAGTGAAAGACTCCTGTTTGAGAAAAGCACAGGGAAAAGTAAAGAGTCTTTGTCTTACAGCTTATGTACCAGCTTGTACACAGTGTGGTAGAGCAAGAAACAGATGCTTGAGCTCTCTTAGTTCAACCCCAGGCTCTTGGACAGCATTTCTGAACCTGCTCTGGGCCAGAGGGGAGCCCACTCCTCTGAAGGGTTGGTCAATAAAGAAATTAATAAGGAAGTTGAAAATTTTTTGAAACAAATGATAATAGAAACACAACATAGCAAAACCTATGGGATATAGCAAAAGCAGGACTAAGAGGGCTATTTCCAGCTCTAAATGCCCACATCAAAAAAGATGAAAAACTTCAAATAAATAACAAAAGAATGCATCTTAAAGAATTAGAAAAGTAAGAACAAACCAAACCTAAAATTAGTAGAAGCAAAATAAATGAATAAAGATTAGAGAGGAAATCAATAAATTTGAAATGAAAACAATACAAAAGATCAATGAAACAAAAATTTGTATTTTGTAAAAGATGAACAAAATTGACAAACATTTAGCAAAACTAAGAAAAAAAGAGAAGACCCAAATAAATAAAATCAGAGATGAAAATGACACAGTAAAACTGGTACTGCAGAAATTCAAAGGATCAGTAGTGGCTGCCATGGGCAACTACATGTCAATAAATTGAAAAAACTAGAAGAAATGGATGCATTCCTAGACACATACAACCTATCAAGATTGAACCTGAACAGACCAATAACAAGTAATAAGACTGAAACCTTAATAAAAAATATTCCAGTAAAGAAAAGGCTTGCACCCGATGGCTTCACTGCTGAATTTTATTAAACATTTAAAGAAATAACACCAATCCTATTTGAACTTTTCTGAAAAGTAGAGGAAGTGGGAATACTTCCAAACTCATTCTACAAAACCAGCATTACCCTGAGACCAAAACCAGACAAAGACACATCAAAACAAAACAAAACAAAACAAAAACTACAGGTCAATATCTCTGACAAATATAGATGCAAAATCAACAAAATACTGGCAAACTGAATTAAGCAATACATAAAAATGATCATTCATCATAAATAAGTGGGATTTACCCCAAAGATACAAGGATGGTTCAACATAGATCAATCAATCAATGTGATACATCATATCAACAGAATGAAGAACAAAAACTGTATCTTTTTTTTTTTGAGATGGAGTCTCATTCTACTGCCCAGGCTGGAGCGCAGTGCCGTGATCTCAGCTCACTGCAACCTCCGCCTCCCAGATTCAAGTGATTCTCCTGCCTCAGCCTCCCAAGTAGCTGGGATTACACGTACACGCCACCATGCCTGGTTAATTTTTTGTGTATTTTTTTTCAGTAGAGACGGGGTTTCACCATGATGGCCAGGCTGGTTTCAAACTCCTGACCTCAAGTGATTCACCCAACTCAGCCTCCCAAAGTGCTGGGATTACAGGTGTGAGCCATTGAGCCCGTCCTGTATCATCATTTCAATGGATGCTGAAAAACATTTGATAAAATTCAACATCCCTTTATGATAAAAACTCTTAAAAAACTAGGTAGAGAAGGAACATATCTCAACATAATAAAAGCTATATGACAGACCAACAGATAGTATCATACTGAATAGAGAAAAACTGAAGGCCTTTAAGATCTGAAACATGACAAGGATGCCCACTTTCACCACTGTTATTCAGCATAGTGCTGGAAGTCCTAGCTATAGCAATCAGACAAGAGAAAGAAAGTAAAACCATCCAGTTGCAAAGGAAGAAGTCAAATTATTCTTGTTTGCAGATGATATGATCTTATATTTGAAAAAACATGAGACTCCACGAAAGAAAAAAATCTTTTAGATAAACAAACACATTCAGTAAAGTTGCAGTATACAAAATCAACATACAAAAGTCAGCTGCAATTCTACAGGCCAATAGTGAACAATCTGAAAAAGAAATAAAAAAGGTAATCCCATTTATAACAGCCACACATAAAATTAAATACCCAGGAATTAATCAAATAAGTGAAAGATCTCTACAATGAAAACTATAAAACATTGATGAAAGAAATTAAAGAGGATACAAAATGGAAAGATATTCCATGTTCATGGACTGGAAGTATCAATATTGTTAAAATGTCCATACCACCCAAAGCAATCTACAGATTCAGTGCAATCCCTATCAAAATACTAATGTCATTCTTCACAGAAACAAAAACAATAATCCTAACATTTATATGGAACCACAGAAGACCCAGAATAACGAAAGCCATCCTGAGTAGACAGAAAAAAATCTGGAGGTGTCATATTACCTGACTTCAAATTATACCTCAGAGCTACGGTAACCAAAGCAGCATGAAAGAGAGTAGACAACTCAGAAAAAAATCTACACATCTACAGTGAACTCATTTTTGACAAATGTGCCAAAAACATACAGTGGGGAAAACACAGTCTCTTCAATAAATGGTGCTGGGAAAACTGGATATTCATATACAGGAGAATGAAACTAGACCCCTATCTCTTGTCATATACAAAATTAAATCAAAATGGATTAAAGACTTAACTCTCAGACCTCAAACTGTGAAACCATTACAAGAAAGCTTTTGGGAAATTCTCCAGGACGTTGGCCTGGGCAAAATTTCTTGAGTAATATCCCACAAGCACAGACAATCAAAGCACAAAAGAGACAAATTGGATGACATCAAGTTTAAAAGCTTCTGCACAGCAAAGGAAGCAATCAACAAAGTGAAGAGACAACTCACAGAATGGCAGAAAATATTTGCAAACTACCCAACTGACAAGGGATTAATAACCAGAATATATAAGGAGCTCAAACAACTCTAAAGGAAAAAATTCAATAATCTAATTAAAAAATAGTTAAGTACTTGGTTAGACATTTCTCAAAAGACATACGAATGTCAAACAAACATATAAAAAAAAGTTCCACATTATTCCTCATCAGAGAAATGCAAATTAAAACTATAATGAGATAACATCTCACCCCAGTTAAAATGGCTTTAATCCAAAAGACAGGCAATAGAAAATGCTGGTGAGGATGTGGAGAAAAGGGAACCCTCATACACTGTTGGTGAGAATGTAAATTACTACAACCACTAAGGAGAACAGTTTGGAGATTCTGCAAAGAACTAAAAATAGAGCTACCATACAATCTAGCAATCTCACTGCTAGGCATATACCCCAAAGAAAGGAAATCAGTATACCTAAGAGATACCTGCACTCCCATACTTATTGTAGCACTCTTCACAATAGCCAAGATTTGGAAGCAACCTAAATGTCTATCAACAGATGAATGGATATAGAAAATATGGTCTTATACATAATGGGGTACTATTCAGCCATAAAAAAAGAATGAGATTCTGTCATTTACAACATCATGGATGGGAACGGAGGTCATTATGCTAAGGGAAATAAGCTAAGCACAGAAAGACAAACAGAACATGTTCTCCCTTACATATGGGATCTAAGCATAAAAACAACTGAGTTCATGGAGATAGAGAATATAAGGATGATTACCAGAGGCTGGGATGGGTAGTGCAAGAGTACAAGGGGCTATAGTCAATAATAATCTAATGGTACAGTTTAAAATAACTAAAAGAGTAGAATTGCATTGTTTGCAACACAAAGGATAAATTCTTGAGAGCATAAATACCCAATTTTTCATGATGTGATTATTGCGCATTGCATGCCTGTTCCAAAATATCTCATGAACCCCATAAATATATACACTTACTATGTCCCCACAAAAATGAAAAAATTTTAAAAAGTTTTTGAGTTTAGAGGGGAGAAAAGGATAAGAGGTATGTGTACTTCCCTTTCAATTCAGCCATTTTAGATAGTAAGTAAAAATTCAAGTGTGCATCGCATAGAGTGTATGTTTATTTCTGAGGCTGCATGTAGCTGCACCTGCTTATTTTCCCACCTTTTCCCTCTGTTGGAATATACTTAAAGTTATTTTTCTGACTGGCTAAACCAAAAGTAACAGGAATGTGGATTTGGAGCCTCATATTTCCTCCACCCTCAACTCTTACCTCTGCTTTTGTACTCATTAAGAAAAGAAAACTGCTTGGATATTGATGCTTTAAGTTTTCATATTCTCCTTTGACACAAATTTAGGCCTCGGTTAATCTACATTATTGGAAAATAACAAGTGTTTGATTCATACTAGTTTTTAGAGAATATCAAGTCATTAGATTTTTCAGCTTTAGAGTTCTAATAAATATAATAATTATACCAGATATTTTTGTTGGACATTTTATAAACATTCCTAGCAGTTAAACAATATTAAACAAGTCATTTGTTCTATTTGCTATTTTGTAACTAGTGCATTTACAGACAGTTACAAACTCACAGTCTTTTTTGGTATACAGATTAATTTCTCTCTGACAGCAAATCATATCTTATTTTTGTTTAAAATTTATGGTTTTATACAATGGTTTCTAATATTTTAACCAGAGTTTGTCCACATATAAGAAAATTATGCTCTGCAAATTCACAAATTTCTTCTTGAATCTATTACAAAGCTCTAATAAAAATAGAAGTCTTAATTGCAACCTAAGTAATTTAGGTTTTCTGTCTTTTGTTCAAAAATGGCAATGTTGATTTCTTGGGTAAAATGATATAATCAGCACAAAGAATAGATTCAGACTTCTATATTCATCATGTCCTAGAAGACACTCTGTAACAGATGTGTGTGTGTGTGTGTGTGTGTGTGTGTGTGTGTGCATCATAAAACTAAATCTGTACTTAGGATGTTATTCTTTCTTGGTGGTGTTTTAAGCAATAGTTAAAGGCTGACATTTGATTCTTGATAACTGGAATGAAAAGGTAGTGGCAAGCTTTTCTAAACTTAGTTTGCTACTATTCTGCTATAGTACGTGTGTAACATAATAATACAGTAGTTTATGTATACTTTATGTAGAAGGATACTTTATGATCTAAATCTAGTGATTTATGACAAATGTACCTTTAATATTTATAGCAAACTTTATGCCCCGTGCTTGGCTAGTTACCTGATATATTTTTTCCTGTAGTGCTTTATGAACTGTGGAAATTGTTAATGTTACATTAAAGTTAGTAAATTCCAGTCTCTGAAATTCTAATCTGAGGTTAAATAGTAAAGGAAAGCTAATGTTTACTAACCACTCAAATGTAACCAAAATCTTTCATTTGGCTAGTATAGATTTTTAATATGTTTTGTAAAATCTGGAAAGTTAGACATCCAAACTTTAGAATTTAGAAAGCGATTGTAGAAAATACCCAAGACGATGTCATGGACCTAAGGCAACTGTCAGAGCCCCTCTGAAAGGAAGTGGGACACACCCGCTATTCACAGTAATCAGAAACAACAGTAATACTCAGTCTTGACATTCCATCAATAATCCCTTAGAAACAAAGCAAAAACATTATTGGGAAGCTGAATTACAACTAAAGATAGAATAGCTGGTTTAAAAAAGTAGATAATATGGAATTTGGCTTGAAAAAAGAAAACCTTCATGAAGAAATGAAACAGTGCAGGAAACAGCATGTCCCCAACTCTGGGAGATGGTTGAGTTTCAAGACTTGCCCTGCTGCTTCCTCTCAGGTTATACTTATGATTATCATGCTCCCACTGCCCCTGCCATGGCCCTCTCCAACTCACTCCTTCCCTCCATCCCATCTAAGAACAAGAGGTCAAGGGCCATTCATCAATGTTTCCAGCTTTCCAATATATGATGTTTGGAAATACCCTGATGGCCTCTGCCCAGTTGCACAGATGCTAGATAAAAGCTTAGTAGTTACAAAGTCTGGATTTCATTGTTCACCCTGCTATTTATTGGCTATGTGGACAAGAGTAAATTACTAACTAACTTCCCTGAGCTTTGTCTTGTTTGTTTCTATACTGGGAATAGTACAACTTACTTTCTAGAACAATTCTGAAGATTGAATGAGAATATGTGTAGATGGTTTAGCTCAGTGTTTGACACACAGTAAATGATCAATAAAGAGCATTTGTTCTTTTTTTAAATTTAATTTAATTTTCAGTTCTGGATACATGTGCAGGACATGCAGGTTTGTTACATAGGTAAACATGTTCCATGGTGGTTTGCTGCACCTATCAACCCATCACCTAGGTTTTAAGCCCTACATGCATTAGCTATCCTGATGTTCTCTCTCACTCACCCCTGAAACAGACCCAGTGTGTATTGTTCCCGTCCCTGTGTCCATGTGTTCTCATTGTTCAGCTCCCACTTATAAGTGAGAACATGCAGTGTTTGGTTTTCTGTTCCTGTGTTAATTTGCTGAGGATAATGGCTTCCATCTCTATCCATGTCCCTGCAAAGGGCATGATATTGTTCTTTTTTATGGCTGCATAGTATTCCAATGTGTATATGTATCACATTTTCTTTATCTAGCCTATCATTGATGGGTATTTGGATTGATTCCATGTCTTTGCTATTGTGAATAGTGCTGCAATCAACATACGCGTGCATGTGTCTTTATAACAGAATGATTTATATTCCTTTGTGTATATACCCAGTAATGAGATTGCTGGGTCAAATGGTATTTCTGATTCTAGGTCTTTGAGGAATCACCACACTGTCTTCCACAATGGTTGAACTAATTTACATTCCCAACAACAATGTAAAAACATTCTTATTTCTCCACAGCCTCACCAGCATCTGTTGTTTCTTGACTTTTTAATAATCACCATTCTGACTGGTGTGAGATGGTATCTCATTGTGGTTTTGTTTTGCATTTCTCTAATGATCAGTGATGTTGACCTTTTTTCATGTTTGTTGGCCACATAAATGTCTTCTTTTGATAAGTGTCTGTTCATGTCCTTTGCCCACTTTTTAATGGGGTTGTTTTTTTGTTGTAAATTTAAGTCCCCTTGTGGATTCTGGATATTAGACCTTTGTTAGATGGATACATTGCAAAATATTTCTCCCATTCTGTAGGTTGTCTGTTCATTCTGATAATAGTTTCTTTTGCTGTGCAGAAGTCATTGACTGTGACTTACCATTTACCTTTACTTGCTAGCCCATTTCTCAGCTGCTGGACTCTCTTCTCGTTCTCCCTAACCTCCAGCCATCATTGGATTTCTTGGACAATGTGGTTCACTTCCCATACTCCCTTTAAACCTACACTACATTTTGGAAGCTGTCTGCCAGCATGGTCTTTTGGATTGAGACTTCCCTGGATTATATTTGCCCACTATCATTTTGACTTTGTCTCCAACTACAGGCCCTCTTTTGCTTTGCCCACCATATGGCCCAACCTTCCTGGTCTGAGCTACATTCTAAGCTACATTTCTTCTCTTTCAGCTGGGTATCCTCCTCACTCCTACTTGCTACTTGGCTTCCACTGCCCAGTGATGAACTCTTAACTCTGCGCTGGGGCTAATGCTGATAGTGACAGAACACACAAAAACAGGGGTGGGAATCCAGAGAGACAGATTGTTTAGCTTTTGCATTAATGAAAACAAACCATTTGGTTTGGCAGAACACTATCTTTTAAACGGAGGAAACATGTCTTCTACCATAAAGTAGTTAATTTCAGTATTTTTTTGTCAAGATATTATGCCTTTTAAGACATCCTTTGAGAAACCCTTAGATAACTTTGTTTTACCTTGAACCAGTTGTGTTCCCCTAAGTAAACATGTGCTAGATGTGCAACTAAAAAGAAGTTCTGAGAAATTCAAGTACAAGCATAGTGTTGAGAAACACTAATGCCCAAAATGGAAGGAGTGTACTTAGAAATAAAGTCAACATGATTTCAATGTTATTTAAAATGAGTTGAGATTGTTACTTTGTATTCTCCCTTACATTAGCTGAAATTCTTACTGACTTACTAGCAATGCTTGCCAAGATCTTCTTAATAAAGGCCACAGAAACAAATTTAACACCCCAACTTATTTCATATTAGTGTTTCCAACTGATTACAAAAAAACTAATTCACTAAAAATCACAAAGAGGTATTGGCAGCAGTTATTATTCTAAATGATTGTCCTGCCTTAATAAATCCATCTTTTATAATTACTATACTTACAAGTAAAAATGTTATGGTTTTGTTTTCAATTAATTTTTAGGAAGTTAAGAAGCTCAGTTTAAAATAAGACCTAACATTTCCTTACTCCACATCAGGGAATTTTATTCTTAACATATATGCTTTTAAAAAATACCACTCATGTCATTGAAACATCCTAATAAGTTGCATTCTAGCATGAATAATTTCATCAAAAGTGTTTCTCTGGGTCATAGTACCCATAAGGAAATGGTTATTTTTCTTTCTACCACTGTATTATCCGACTCTCATCTTTTAGTACCTACTTGGAATCTGGTGTTTTTCACTTACATCATTTCACCTGAGATTCTAGAATTTACTTTTGCAGAATTCTTGATTAAGCACCTGGCCATCTTCAGGCTTCTTAGCCAAATATAAACTATCATTAAAAGAACAATATCAATCAGTATCAGTTTAAATAAATAAAACAAAACACCATACAAAACAAAACATTTCACAACATGAAGGTATGGAAAAGTATAGTTTTTCTCCTTAAATAGGAGGTATAAGACAATTAGAAGCTCTAGAAACAGCTCTGTGCCTCAGATAAAAAGCAAAATCAAACTAAAGAAGTTATTTTCATCTGAATGCATGGATGTTGACAAAGTAAATCTTTCAGTCTTTTAGAACACAGCCAAATTGGAAGCTAATTTACTGCTAGCTGATGTCAGAAGCAATCTAACTTGTCCACTGCAGAAGCCACACAAAGAACATTACTCATAAGTAAACTACCTTGATAAGAAGCCATCCTCCCAGCATAATTAGGAAATACAATGGCCGGAACCAGAGCTGGAGTTTTAATAAAAAAAGACAGTAAATTCTCTTTATAACTTTCATGACATAAAAGCAAAATATAACAGAGGAAATCAGATTATTCCAAATTGATGGCACTGCAAAGCAGTTAAAAATAGCAAATTATTTTTCTAAATGGAAAGAAGTGACAATATCTTTTGGGTGACAAATACAGTTTATAGAGACCCCAGTGGAATCCCATTTTCAATTCACTAATTCAAGCAGTAATTACCGCACAAGACATTACCAAATAATTTTTTTCTCTGACTATTGATAGACATTTGTTTTAGCCTGACCAAAATCTTCAAATAAAGATAATATTCACCATGTAATGAATTTTGCTCTAGCTTTCATGAAAGTTACAATGATACTTACTGACGTTTAGAAGGTGGTATGATTCAGGCACTTGTTTTTCATCATAGGAATTAAATATCTGTACTCATTATGCATACAGCTTAATTAAGAGCATTTCTTTTGGCACCTAAGTCCAGAATGGCTTTTCTAAATGTTTCCATGGAGTTAAACCTCTATTTTCTCCTCCTGTGATTTACAGGCCCCCAAGTTTAAGGAACACAACATTCCCTTGGCCTTGAATCATTCTCTTGACAACTATGCTCAAATTTTAATAGACAATGATTTTTTTTTTTTTTTTGAGACAGAGTCTTGCTCTGTCACCCAGGCTGGACTGCAGTGGCATGGTCTCAGCTCACTGCAACCTCCGCCTCCCAGGTTCAAGCTATTCTTCTGCCTCAGCCTTCTGAGTAGCTGGGATTACAGGCATGTGCCACCACACCTGGCTATTTTTTTTTTTTTTGTATTTTTATCAGAGACAGGGTTTCACCATGTTGGTCAGGCTGGTCTCGAACTCCTGACTTCGTGATCCGCTCGCCTCGGCCTCCCAAAGTGCTGGGATTACAGGCATGACCCACCGCGCCTGATTTTTAACTCACCTTCCACATGAATCTATTGTATTCTAAACCTAATCCTGGTCTTCAGAGCTTCCTAGAAATTCAGAAATTCTGAATTTTTTATATTATGGTGATATCTGTCATGGTGACTTTCACCTCTTTGACTGTTAAGAACCCATTTGGACTTTTAATATTTTACAGGATAAATTTATTTTATAACCCAATTGTAAATATACAACCCAATACAAGGAAAATGATGTTAATCTTACTAATCAGACTACTGAGTTCAAATTCTAGGTCTTTCACCTTCTTATAACGTAATCTTGGGCAACTGTTGGGGAGGAGAGAAAATTTGTTTAAACTACTGTTTTAATATTTGTAGAATTTCTTACTAACTGCCAGATTAATCTATAGCTTTCAATCATAGTGTTCTATATGGAGGAAATGGTCACTCTAGGAAACTCTCAGGCCTGAGCCCATTCATGATATTAGACCTACCTTCACATACTGTTTCTCTGGGGAATAAAAAACAGAACTTGGAATGATAGCTAGACTTCTGATATTTTAAAGATGTCTATTGCAAATGCAGCTCTTTTGAACATGTATTACATTTGGGCAGCCCTCAATATCTGCTGCACATTAGTCATGAAATCAAGCTAACCTGAAGCAGTAAGACTAAAATAAATGCTTTAAAATTTTGCCTGATACACCAGAAATCTGGCCTATCCATAGGTAGCTAGGGAATCACTCAGCAGAACAACCTGGCATATGGCCACGAATCATGGAATGATGCTCTTTGATCTGTGGATTTTGCTAGGACTGCAAGCCTGACACTTGGAGTGGCTCACTGGATAATAGTTACTGATGGTCATCAAAGGATCGTCAGTCCTTATTCACGTGAGAAGCCCCATCCTGTGCTTCTCTTTTCACTCATGCTCATAGATCATAGATTACAGTCAAAGCAATCTTTAGAAAATAAGTTAAAACATATCGTTAAAACTTAAATCATAAATTACTAGGTTAAAATTTGAAGTGTCAAAATAGACTTTATTTATTTGTTTTATACACTGAGACAATTACCTGTGTTACTATGTCCTGATATGGACAAACTCATTTATTTCGGAGACTTCCAACTTGGGAAATCCTGACAAGTGTTAATATTTGGGAGTCAGCTAGACAGGTGGTGATTATACAAAGATAACCCTATTAATGGCACCATCTCAGCTATGGTAGCCGAGTGTTAGGCTAGTTTCCACTCTCAGGAAAAGGACGAATAAGAGTCTGTGGCTCACGCCTGTAATCCCAGCACTTTGGGAAGCCAAGGCAGGTGGATCACGAGGTCAGGAGTTCGAGACCAGCCTGGCCAATATGGTAAAACCCCGTCTGTACTAAAAATACAAAAATTAGGCATGATGGTGCATGTCTGTAGTCCCAGCTACTCTGGAGGCTGAGGCAGAAGAATAGCTTGAACCAGGGAAGTGGAGGTTGCAGTGAGCCAAGATCATGCCACTGCACTCCAGTCTGGGCAATAGAGCGAGACTCAGTCTCAAAAAAAAACAAAAAAAAAACAACAACAACAGAAAAACAGTATGTTCCAGTTAGTCTTAAGGCATAGCACTCTACTCCAGAAGTCAGTAGCTTTAAAAAGCCATTTTATTTTGCTCATGAATATTGTGGATCAGGAACTGGAGCACGACACAGTGGGGAGGATTCATCTCTGTTTCCTGAGAGGCCCAAGTTGGAAGACCTAAGTTGGAAGCAGCAATGCCTGGGGTGACTTGATGGTTAGGAATGTCTAAGGGGTTCTTCATTCACGTGTCATATCAGTGGATACAAGTTTCTTTTAGGATTTCTGCTAGGGCTGTCAGTTAGAACACTTTTATGTGACCATTTGACTTGCACTTTCCTACAGCAATGGTGGCCTCAAGGTATTCAGATCCTTACCTGGCATCCCAAGACTTCCAAAGTGAGTGTACCAGAGAACAGTGAGAAAATATTTCACTCTTTCTGACCCAGCTTCAAAATTCATTCAGTGTCATTGGAAGGCCAACGCAGGTGGATCACCTGATGTCAAGAGTTCAAGATCAGCCTGGACAACATGGTGAAACCCCATCTCTACTAAAAATACAAAAAATAAGCCAGGCATGGTGGCAGGTGCCTGTAATCGCAGCTACTCAGGAGGCTGAAGCAGAAGAATCACTTGAACTTGGGAGGCGAAGGTTGCAGTGAGCCAAGATTGCGCCATTGCACTCCAGCCTGGGTGACAACAGTGAAACTTTGTCTCAAAAAAACAAACAACAAACAAACAAACAAAAAGCAAAATTCATTCAGTGTCACTGCTACTGGATTTTGTTGTTACAGTGAGTCAAAAGTATGCTAAGATTCATGGGGAAAGGATGTAGACACCACCTCTCTGTGAGAAGAATGTCTAAAAATGTATGGCCATTTACTTAGACCACCACAGATCCAATGATGGCCTTAGATCTGAGTTACTACCATGGATGTCAGGGCTGCTCTCAACCAGCAAAAGCAAAGCAGAACAAGTCCTCCTTGGATTGTGGTACCAAATCAAACCAGATCCTTTATTTATCCAGACCTTTAAGTCTACCTATCTCCTATATTTCTCCATCACAAGCTATATTTAAGTTTTATTGAACCAATAATTATTGGAAACCTTTTAAAAGTAAAGTTGTACATTTGCAATTCTGGGGTAAATAGCAGCCCTACTCCATTGTGCTCAGTGTGGAACACCGGAATGAAGAGTAGCAGATGAGTTACAAGGCAGTTGATGAATCAAAGGGCTTTCATGGACAACAAAGCTCTCATTTCAGTGTTTTTTAGTCACCTTATCCATTAGTATTGTTAATTTATTTACCAAAAAAAAAAAAAAGACATTCTTTCTGATGTTTTCTGCCCACATAGTACATCAATTGAAAATCAAAGGTTCTTTAGCTAGGGCCTAACATAAAATTTAAAAAGAAAAAGTCAAATTACACTCATCTACATAAAGGTAAATCAGTAAGTAGGTAGGTAGACTGACCTTTTGCTCTGGCTGCCCTTAAGATTTTTCCTTTGTTTCAACCTTGGAGAACTATTTACAACAGCAAAGGCCTGGAACTAACCCAAATGTCCATCAATGACAGGCAGCATAAAGAAAATGTGGCACATATACACCATAGAATACTATGCAGCCATAAAAAAGAATGAGTTCATATCCTTTGCAGGGATATGGATAAAACTGAAAGCCATCATTCCCAGTAAACTAATACAGGAATAGAAAATCAAACACCACATGTTCCTACTCGTAAGTGGGATGTGAACAAAGAGAACACATGGACACAGGGAGGGGAACATCACACACCAGGGCCTGTTGGGAGGTAGGGGGCATGGGGAGGGATAGCATTAGGAAAAATACCTAATGCATGCGGGGCTTAAAACTTAGATGATGTGTTGATGGGTGCAGCAAACCACCATGGCTCATGTATAACTATGTAACAAGCCTGCACATTCTGTACATGTATACCAGAACTTAAAGTATAATCATAATAATAAAATAAGTAGGTAAACATCTGTTACCAATAATGAAAGCTTTTTCTCAAACTTCTATGATAAACAGAAATATAATATTTGACCAAAGCATCTATTTTTTTCTACAAAATAAATTGAATATTCTCAGTATTCAAACTTCTTATAAAGGTTGCTGTCTCAATTATCATCTTTTTCATTTTATGAACTGACTAAAAATAAATTAGAGATGAAACGCTAAAGACAGGGAATCTCTACATCTAACTAGTTTTCCATATGAACTAAGAAAGTCAATAGACATAAGTATAATTGTAGCAAGCGTGGTAAATATAATTATGAACCTTCACTATTATCAGTTTGACTAATCCACATTAGTTTGCTAGACTCCCTGGTAACTATTTTCTTTCTAAAATTACTTTTAACTAATAGCACATCATTCTTTACCAATTTGAACCAAAGACCACTCAAATGAAAATTGAAAATCAATCTTGGCCACTCTGATGATGAGTTTCATGTCAGCTTACAATTTGGGGTATTGGTAGTGGATAAAACAAATCTGATATTTGTCCATGGAACCTACAATTTATATTGTGCTGGCAGAGTAGCTTCATAATTTTCTTCAAAGGTGTAAGCTCTACAAATATAAAAGACAATGATTTATCATTAGGAAAAGAAAGAAGGAGAGAGAGAGACAAAGAGAGAGAACAAAAGTGGGCCTGAGGAAATAGAAGTGGAAGGGGAAATAAGCATCAGGATTAGAGGAGAGTACAGTATAAATACTGGGGCAATGTATGAAAAAGAGAAACAAAAATTCAATGTATAGTTTAAATCAACAAATATTGATAAAATACCTACTATATGCCTGAAAAAATTGAGATATAGAATTAACAAGGTTCGTATACTCAAGGAGCTCACATTTTGATGAGTAAGACATATAAAAAAAAACAAAAAAATAGATACATAAGATGTTTAAAAATTGTGATTACTAGGAGCCACATAACCATTGCATCTTACTAGAAAATAGCTTGTATGAATTTCTTTGGAAATTTCTTTCAGTGTTCTTTCTAAAGTCTCCCTGAGGAGATGATATTTCAGTTAGACCTTTACAACAATATTAAATTAGTCAGTCAAAGTGCTGGGAGAGGAGCTGTGTAGTTATACAGAACATTAGGCGCTCTAAGACAGGATTTAGAGTTTCAAGGTACATAAAGAAAGTCAGTGGCTAACAGTTACTGAGAAACTAAGCTACATCACTCCCTTAAAATGTGCTAATCCATTTAAAAATACAACCACAACAAGAAACACAACAAATCTATGATTTAGATACTGGCTTCATTAGTTCACCTCTGTTTAGTGGACAATGAAACTAAATAATGAAAAGGTGAAGTCATCTGCTGAAGCCTGCATGGTGAGCACATGTTGGAACTAATATAGAAACTGGGGCATTCTGATTTTTTGTATTGTTTCTACTGAGATGGGAAACCTGGCAAAAGAAGAGTTGGAGAAACATCAGTACATCAAAAGCTTCATTTCCAAAATAAGTTTGAGATAACTAGCAGCAATCAAAGAGATATAAAATAAGCAATTGGATATATAAGATTAGAATGAGCTTACATTCCTAGCTGAATACTTAAATTCAGGAATTATAACATATAAATGGCAATTTGTGCTTCCAGACAAAATGGAATACCAAAGATTAGAATACACTCCAGCTTGAAACAAATACACAAACAAACAAAGCAGACAAGATAAAGCAATGGTTTTTAAGACACTGGATATCGAGTAACAAAAGACAGAGCTGAGAGACAGGAAATGAAACAATGTGAGCCATAACATTGTACTAGTTTATTATCTTGAAGGAGTTTACAGCTACAATGCATGTAGAAGGAACTGAGATAAAGCCCAACAAACTCTGAGTTGAGTGCACAGAACCAAAAAGTCTAAAGAAACTAATGTAAATAGGCTTCACATGGCAGAGTTTTAGAGAGGCTGAAAATACTATCTTTTCCAACAAGCAAGTCTGGAGAAAACTCATCATTTACAGAGCATTGGGTAGAGTACTCACAAAAACCTTCATGGGGTTTTTATCCCTCAATAGTTACTGAGGGATAATTAGTCTTATACAAAACGCTGCTATGGCCCTACTTAACAAATCCTAAAATCAACACATAAATTTATCCAAGTGTCCTCATGTAATTTGTTTGCATCCCAGAATGATGCTCAATAATATTTATAAGGATACAATGTTCAGCACCCAACGAGGTAAAATTTGCAAACTCTGTCATTTTATTAAAGATTGCCAGGCATGCAAAGAAAAAAAAATACAATCCATAATGAAAAGAAAAATATCACTTGATTGAAACTGATTCAGAATTGGCACAGATGTTAGAATTAGCAGGCAAGAACATTAAAACAATTATTATTATTTTATTCCACATGTTCAAAAAGTTAAGTAGAGACATGGGAGATTTTAAGAAGGTGCTAATTGTACTTTCAGATATGAAAATTATAATGTGTAACATGGAAAATACACTGGATAGAATTAAGGGCCAATTAGACTTGGCAAAATAAACGATTATTGAACTTGAGGGTATAGCTTAGGATTTTCCAAAATAAAACACAAAAAGAAAAGAGAGTTAACATAAATGAAGAAAGCACCAGTGATCTATGGAACAAGTTTAAGCATCATAATATATGTGTAATTGCAATACTAAAGGAGAGGGCAGGGAAGAAATATTTTTTTAATGATGGTCATAATGTTTCCAAATGGATAAACATTATAAGTCACTGATGAAAAAACCTAACAAATTTCACAGACAAGAAATAAGAATGCTATACCATGATACATCTTAATCAACAAATTCAAAAACAGTGATAGAAAGAAAATCTTGAAAGCAGAAGAAAAAACAATATTGCATATAATGGAACAAAGATAAAGATGACAAGAAATTTCTCACTGGAAACAATAAAGCAAAAAACAGTAGAGTAAAATCCTTAAAATACTAAGAGAAAATAAATTTCTTAATATAGAGTTTTATAAACACACACACAAAAAAACTTCCAAAAAAGAGGGCAAATGATAGCAGATACACAAAAGTTAAAAGAATTTATTGCCAGCAGATCTCCATTGCAAAAAAAAAAGTTAATAAATTTTTTTAGGCAGAAAAATTATTTAAAAATCAATATACACAATGGAATAAAGAACATCAGAGATGGTAACTACATTGGTATATATGTAAGATCTTTTTTCATATTTAGTATTTCTACAGGATAATAGATGTTTTAAACAAAATGTAATTTTTAAAAAGTGAATAAAAATAACAAAAAAATCAGCAAGAGGGAAATAGAAGTATAGTAGTGTATGCCAGCACTTGAGGGTACACTAAGTTGTATACTCTAAACTTTACAACAACTACTAAAACAAAAAAGCTAATGAGCCAGTAGAAAGGATAAAAACAAATAATGAAATACAAAAATTATCTAAATCAAGTGGAAAAAGAAATAAAGAGGAATAAAGAAGAGATAAGAAAAATAGATAACAAAGGACAAGATGAGAGAATTAAATTTGTGCTCATAGTCACATTTAATGTAAATGGTCTAAACACACCCATTTAAAAGGCAGAGACTGGTTGATCATAAAGAAACAACTATATGTTGCCTATAAAAAATGCAATTGAAAAATAAATCATTTAAAATTAGGTATATCTCCTAATGCTATCCCTCTCCCCTCCCCCCACCGCACAACAGGCCCTGGTGTGTGATGTCCCCCTTCCTGTGTCCATGTGTTCTCATTGTTCAATTCCCACCTACGAGTGAGCACATGTGGTGTTTGGTTTTTTGTCCTTGCAATAGTTTGCTGAGAATGATGGTTTCCAACTTCATCCATGTCCCTACAAAGGACATGAATTCATCATTTTTTATGCTGCATAGTATTCCATGGTGTGTATGTGCCACATTTTCTTAATCCAGTCTATCATTGTTGGACATTTGGCTTGGTTCCAAGTCTTTGCTATTGTGAATAGTGCTGCAATAAACATACGTGTGCATGTGTCTTTATAGCAGCATGATTTATAATTCTTTGGGCATATACCCAGTAATGGGATGGCTGGGTCAAATGGTATTTCTAGTTCTAGATCCCTGAGGAATCGCCACACTGACTTCCACAATGGCTGAACTAGTTTACAGTCCCACCAACAGTGTAAAAGTGTTCCTATTTCTCCACATCCTCTACAGCACCTGTTGTCTCCTGACTTTTTAATGATCGTCATTCTAACTGGTGTGAGATGGTATCTCATTGTGGTTTTGATTTACATTTCTCTGATGGCCAGTGATGATGAGCATTTTTTCATGTGTCTGTTGGCTGCATAAATGTCTTCTTTTGAGAAGTGTCTATTCATATCGTTCGCCCACTTGTTAATGGGGTTGTTTCTTTTTCTTGTAAATTTGTTTGTGTTCATTGTAGATTCTGGATATTAGCCCTTTGTCTCCCATTCTGTAGGTAGCCTGTTCACTCTGATGGTAGTTTCTTTTGCTGTGCAGAAGCTCTTTAGTTTAACTAGATCCCATTTGTCAATTTTGGCTTTTGTTGCCATTGCTTTTGGTGTTTTAGACATGAAGTCCTTGCCCATGCCTATGTCCTGAATGGTATTGCCTAGGTTTTCTTCTAGGGTTTTTATGGTTTTAGGTCTAACATTTAAGTCTTTAATCCATCTTGAATTAATTTTTGTATAAGGTGTAAGGAAGGGATCCAGTTTCAGCTTTCTACATATGGCTAGCCAGTTTTCCCAGCACCATTTATTAAATAGGGAATCCTTTCCCCATTGCTTGTTTTTGTCAGGTTTGTCAAAGATCAGGTGGTTGTAGATATGCGGCATTATTTCTGAGGGCTCTGTTCTGTTCCATTGGTCTATATCTCTGTTTTGGTACCAGTACCATGCTGTTTTGGTTACTGTAGCCTTGTAGTATAGTTTGAAGTCAGGTAGTGTGATGCCTCCAGCTTTGTTCTTTTGGCTTAGGATAGTCTTGGCAATGTGGGCTCTTTTTTGGTTCCATATGAACTTTAAAGTAGTTTTTTCCAATTCTGTGAAGAAAGTCATTGGTAGCTTGATGGGGATGGCACTGAATCTATCAATTGCCTTGGGCAGTATGGCAGTATGGCCATTTTCACGATATTGATTCTTCCTACCCATGAGCATGGAATGTTCTTCCATTTGTTTGTATCCTCTTTTATTTCATTGAGCAGTGGTTTGTAGTTCTCCTTGAAGAGGTCCTTCACATCCCTTGTAAGTTGGATTCATAGGTATTTTATTCCCTTTGAAGCAATTGTGAATGGGAGTACAGTCATGATTTGGCTCTCTGTTTGTCTGTTATTGGTGTATAAGAATGCTTGTGATTTTTGCACATTGATTTTGTATCCTGAGACTTTGCTGAAGTTGCTTATCAGCTTAAGGAGATTTTTGGTTGAGACAATGGGGTTTTCTAGATATACAATCATGTCATCTGCAAACAGGGACAATCTGACTTCCTCTTTTCCTAATTGAATACCCTTTATTTCCTTCTCCTGCCTGATTGCCCTGGCCAGAACTTCCAACGCTATGTTGAATAGGAGTGGTGAGAGAGGGCATCCCTGTCTTGTGCCAGATACCTAATGTTAAATGACGAGTTAATGGGTGCAGCACACCAACATGGCACAAGTATGCATATGTAACTAACCTGCATGTTGTGCACATGTACCCTAAAACTTAAAAGTATAATAAAAAAAAGAAAAAAAGAAAAATAAGGCAAATAGGATAAAAAAAAAGCATACAAATTGTATCACACTAAAATTAACTAAAATAAAGGTGGAGTAGCTATATTAATATCAGGCTAATTAGATTTCAGAGTAAAGAATATAACTCAGGATAATAAACATCATTTTATAATAACAGAACCAAGTCATTAAGCACACATAATAACCTTAAGGATTTATGTATTTTATAAGAGAGATTCAAAATACAAGAAATGAAAACTGGTAAAACTTAAAGGAGAAATGGGCAATTGCACAATTAAATTTGGAGATTTTAATACCCCTCTCTTAATAATTGATAACTCAATTACACAAAAAATCAGCAAGCACAGAAGAGTTGATGACTACCAACCAAACTAATTTAACTGATATTTATAGAGCATTTAATCTGCAAGTAGCAGAAAGCACAACATTTTCAAAAGCCTATGAGACATTTACCAAAAGTTGGCAAGATTTGTGCACTGACAACTATGAAATATTTTTCAGCAAATCAAATTGTCTCAGTAAATTTAAAATACTTCAAATCATACGAACTATGCTTTCTGATGCAATGGAATTGAAGTAAAAATCAGTAACAGAAAGGTTATTAGAAACTCTCCAAAAGTTGGAAACTAAATAATACACTTTCAAAAACTCATGGGTCAAAGGATAAATCAAAATAGAAATTAGAAAATATCCTAGCCTAAATAAAACAGAAAGCATAATTCATCAAAATTCTGGAATGCTTCTAAACTAGTAATTGGGGAAATTAAAAGGACTGAATGCCTATGTGCAAAATGAAGAAAGGTTTCAAATCAATGCACTTAATTTCCACTATAAAAATGTAAATCTGAAGGACAAATTCACCCAAAATAAGCAAAATGTTTAAAATATAATTGCAAATTAATAAAATGCAGAACAGGAAAACAATGAGAAAATAACTGAAAGAAAAACCTGCTCCTGCTAAAAGATAAACAATATTGACAATTTTCTGGCCAGACTGATCATAAAAGACAAAGTGAAGACACAAAGTAATAATATTATAAATAAATATGGGGACATCACTACAGATTCTCCACATAGTAAAAGGGTGATCAGAGGGTATTATGAACAATTTGATGACTTAGATAAAATGAAAAACTCCTTGTAAGATAAAAACTTCCAGAGATGGAGCTAAGATGGCCTAATAGGAACAGCTCCAGTCTACAGCTCCCAGCGTGATCAACGCAGAAGACGGGTGATTTCTGCATTTCCATCTGAGGTACTGGGTTCATCTCACTAGGGAGTACCAGACAGTGGGCGCAGGACAGTGGGTGCAGCGGACATTGCACAAGCCAAAGCAGGGTGAGGCATTGACTCACTCAGGAAGCACAAGGGGTCAGGGAGTTCCCTTTCCTAGTCAAAGAATGGGGTGACAGACAGCACCTGGAAAATCAGGTCACTCCCGCCCTAATACTGAGCTTTTCCGACGGGCTCAAAAAATGGCACACCAGGAGGTTATATCCCACACCTGGCTCAGAGGGTCCTACGCCCACAGTCTTGCTGATTGCTAGCACAGCAGTCTGAGATCAAACTGCAAGGCAGCAGCAAGGCTGGGGGAGGCGTGCCTGCCATTGCCCAGGCTTGATTAGGTAAACAAAGCAGCCAGGAAGCTCAAAATGGGTGGAGCCCACCACGGCTCAAGGAGGCCTTCCTGCCTCTGTAGGCTCCAACTCTGGGGGCAGGGCACAGACAAACAAAAAGACAGCAGTAACCTCTGCAGACTTAAATGTCCCTGTCTGACAGCTTTGAAGAGAGCAGTGGTTCTCCCAGCACACAGCTGGAGATCTGAGAAAAGGCAGACTGCCTCCTCAAGTGGGTCCCTGACCCCCAAGCAGCCTAACTGGGAGGCACCCCCCAGTAGGGGCAGACTGACACCACACATGGCCAGGTACTCCTCTGAGACAAAACTTCCAGAGGAACCATCAGGCAGCAGCATTTGTGGTTCACCAATATAGGCTGTTCTACAGCCACTGCTGTTCTGCAGCCACCACTGCTGATACCCAGGCAAACAGGGTCTGGAGTGGACCTCTAGCAAACTCCAACAGACCTGCAGCTGAGGGTCCTGTCTGTTAGAAGGAAAGCTAACAAACAGAAAGGACATCCACACCAAAAACCCATCTGTACATCACCATCATCAAAGACCAAAAGTAGATAAAACCACAAAGATGGGGAAAAAACAGAGCAGAAAAACTGGAAACTCTAAAAACCAGAGTGCCTCTCCTCCTTCAAAGGAACGCAGCTCCTCACCAGCAACAGAACAAAGCTGGATGGAGAATGACTTTGACGAGTTGAGAGAAGAAGGCTTCAGATGATCAAACTACTCCAAGCTACAGAAGGAAATTCAAACCAATGGCAAAGAAGTTAAAAACTTTGAAAAAAAATTAGACGAATGGATACCTAGAATAATCAATGCAGAGAAGTCCTTAAAGGAGCTGATGGACCTGAAAGCCAAGGCTCGAGAACTATGTGAAGAATGCAGAAGCCTCAGGAGCCAATGCAATCAACTGGAAGAAAGGGTATCAGTAATGGAAGATGAAATGAATGAAATGAAGTGAGAAGGGAAGTTTACAGAAAAAAGAATAAAAAGAACTGAACAAAGCCTCCAAGAAATATGGAACTATGTGAAAAGACCAAATCTACATCTGATTGGTGTACCTGAAAGTGACAGGGAGAATGGAACCAAGTTGGAAAACACTCTGCAGGATATTATCCAGGAGAACTTCCCCAATCTAGCAAGGCAGGCCAACATTCAGATTCAGGAAATACAGAGAATGCCACAGAAATACTCCTTGAGAAGAGCAACTCCAAGACACATAAGTGTCAGATTCACCAAAGTTGAAATGAAGGAAAAAATGTTAAGGGCAGTCAGAGAGAAATGTCGGGTTACCCACAAAGGGAAGCCTATCAGACTAACAGCAGATCTCTCAGCAGAAACTCTACAAGCCAGAAGAGAGTGGGGGCCAATATTCAACATTCTTAAAGGAAAGAATTTTCAACCCAGAAGTTCATATCCAGCCAAACTAAGCTTCACAGTGAAGGAGAAATAAAATCCTTTACAGACAAGCAAATGCTGAGAGATTTTGTCACCACCAGGCCTGCCCTAAAAGAGCTCCTGAAGGAAGCACTAAACATGGAAAGGAACAACTGGTACCAGCCCCTGAAAAAACATGCCAAAATGTAAAGACCATCAAGGCTAGGAAGAAATTGCATCAACTAATGAGCAAAATAACCAGCTAACATCATAATGACAGGACCGAATTCACACATAACAATATGAACTTTAAATATAAATGGGCTAAATGCTCCAATTAAAAGACACAGACTGGCAAATTGGATAAAGAGTCAAGACCCATCAGTGTGCTCTATTCAGGAAACCCATTTCACATGCGGAGACACACATAGGCTCAAAATAAAGGGATGGAGAAGATCTACCAAGCAAATGGAAAACAAAAAAAGGCAGGGGTTGCAATCCTAGTCTCTGAGAAAACAGACTTTAAACCAACAAAGATCAAAAGAGACAAAGAAGGCCATTACATAATGGTAAAGGGATCAATTCAACAAGAAGAGCTAACTATCCTAAATATATATGCACCGAATAGAGGAGCACCCAGATTCATAAAGCAAGTCCTTAGTGACTTAGACTCCCACACAATAATAATGAGAGACTTTAACACCCCACTGTCAACATTAGACAGATCAACGAGACAGAAAGTTAACAAGGATACCCAGGAATTGAACTCAGCTCTGCAACAAGTGGACCTAATAGACATCTACAGAACTCTCCATCCCAAATCAACAGAACATACATTTTTTTCAGCACCATACAACACCTATTCCAAAATTGACCACATAACTGGAAGTAAAGCACTCCTCAGCAAATGTAAAAGAACAGAAATTATAACAAATTGTCTCTCAGACCACAGTGCAATCAAACTAGAACTCAGGATTAAGAAACTCACTCAAAACTGCTCAACTACATGGAAACTGAACAACCTGCTCCTGAATGACTACTGGGTACATAATGAAATTAAGGCAGAAATAAAGCTGTTCTTTGAAACCAACGAGAACAAAGACACAACATACCAGAATCTCTGGGACACATTCAAAGCAGTGTGTAGAGGGAAATTTACAGCACTAAATGCCCACAAGAGAAAGCAGGAAAGATCCAAAATTGACACCCTAACATCACAAGTAAAAGAACTAGAAAAACAAGAGCAAACACATTCAAAAGCTAGCAGAAGGCAAGAAATAACTAAAATCAGAGCAGAACTGAAGGAATTAGAGACATAAAAACCCTTCAAAAAATTAATGAATCCAGGAGCTGGTTTTTTGAAAAGATCCACAAAATTGATAGACCACTAACAAGACTAATAAAGAAGAAAAGAGAGAAGAATCGAAAAGACGCAATAAAAAATGATAAAGGGGATATCACCACTGATCCCACAGAAATACAAACTACCATCAGAGAATACTACAAACACCCCTACACAAATACACAAATAAACTAGAAAATCTAGAAGAAATGGATAAATTCCTTGATACATACACCCTCCCAAGACTAAACCAGGAAGAAGTTGAATCTCTGAATAGACCAATAACAGGCTCTGAAATAATCAATAGCTTGCCCACCAAAAAAAGTTCAGGACCAGATGGATTCACAGCTGAATTCCACCAGAGGTACACGGAGGAGCTGGTACCATTCCTTCTGAAACTATTCCAATGAATAGAAAAAGAGGGAATCCTCCCTAACTCATTTTATGAGGCCAGCATCGTCCTGATACCAAAGCCTGGCAGAGATACAACCAAAAAAGAGAATTTTAGACCAACATCCTTGATGAACATTGATGCAATAATCCTCAATAAAATACTGGCAAACCAAATCCAGCAGCACATCAAAAAGCTTATCCACCATGATCAAGTGGGCTTTATCCCTGGGATGCAAGGCTGGTTCAACAGACACAAATCAATAAATGTAATCCAGCATATAAACAGAATCAAAGATAAAAACCACATGATTATCTCAATAGATGCAGAAAAGGCCTTTGACAAAATTCAACAATGCTTCATGCTAAAAACTCTCAATAATTTAGGTATTGATGGGACGTATCTCAAAATAATAAGAGCTATCTATGACAAACCCACAGCCAATATCATACTGAATGGGCAAAAACTGGAAGCATTCCCTTTGAAAACTGGCACAAGACAGGGATGCCCTCTCTCACCACTCCTATTCAACATAGTGTTGGAAGTTCTGGCCAGGGCAATTAGGCAGGAGAAGGAAATAAAGGGTATTCAATTAGGAAAAGAGGAAGTCAAATTGTCTCTCTTTGCAGATGACATGATTGTATATCTAGACAACCCCATTGTCTCAGCCCAAAATCTCCTTAAGCTGATAAGCAACTTCAGCAAAGTCTCAGGATACAAAATCAATGTGCAAAAATCACAAGCATTCTTATATACCAATAGCAGACAAACAGAGAGCCAAATCATGAGTGAACTCCCATTCACAATTGCTTCAAAGAGGATAAAATACTTAGGAATCCAACTTAGAAGGGATGTGAAGGACCTCTTCAAGGAGAACTACAAACCACTGCTCAATGAAATAAAAGAGGATACAAACAAATGGAAGGATTTTCCATGCTCATGGGTAGGAAGAATCAATATCGTGAAAATGGCCATACTGCCCAAGATAATCTATAGATTCAATGATATCTTCATCAAGCTATGAATGACTTTATTCACAGAATTGGAAAAAACTACTTTAAATTTCATATGGAACCAAAAAAGAGCCTGCATCGCCAAGTCAATCCTAAGCCAAAAGAACAAAGCTGGAGGCATCACACTACCTGACTTCAAACTATACTACAAGGCTACAGTAACCAAAACAGCATGGTACTGGTACCAAAACAGAGATATAGACCAATGGAACAGAATAGAGCCCTCAGAAATAATGCCGCATATCTACAACCACCTGATCTTTGACAAACCTGACAAAAACAAGCAATGGGGAAAGGATTCCCTATTTAATAAATGGTGCTGGGAAAACTGGCTAGCCATATGTAGAAAGCTGAAACTGGATCCCTTCCTTACACCTTATACAAAAATTAATTCAAGATGGATTAAAGACTTAAATGTTAGACCTAAAACCATAAAAACCCTAGAAGAAAACCTAGGCAATACTATTCAGGACATAGGCATGGGCAAGGACTTCATGTCTAAAACACCAAAAGCAATGGCAACAAAAGCCAAAATTGACAAATGGGATCTAATTAAACTAAAGAGCTTCTGCACAGCAAAAGAAACTACCATCAGAGTGAACAGGCAACCTACAAAATGGGAGAAAATTTTCGCAACCTACTCATCTGACAAAGGGCTAATATCCAGAATCTACAATGAACACAAACAAATTTACAAGAAAAAAACAACCCCATCAAAAAGCGGGCAAAGGATATGAATAGACACTTCTCAAAAGAAGACATTTATGCAGCCAAAAAACATGAAAAAATGCTCATCATCACTGGCCATCAGAGAAATGCAAATGAAAAGCACAATGAGATACCATCTCACACCAGTTAGAATGGCAATCATTAAAAAGTCAGGAGACAACAGGTGCTGTAGAGGATGTGGAGAAATAGGAACACTTTTACACTGTTGGTGGGACTGTAAACTAGTTCAACCATTGTGGAAGTCGCTGTGGTGATTCCTCAGGGATCTAGAACTAGAAATACCATTTGACCCAGCCATCCCATTACTGGGTATATGCCCAAAGGATTATAAATCATGCTGCTACAGAGACACATGCACACGTATGTTTATTGCGGCACTGTTCACAATAGCAAAGACCTGGAACCAACCCAAATGTCCAACAACAATAGACTGGATTAAGAAAATGTGGCACATATACACCATGGAATACTATGCAGCCATAAAAAGGATGAATTCATGTCCTTTATAGGGACATGGATGAAACTGGAAACCATCATTCTCAGCAAACTATCACAAGGACAAAAAACCAAACACTGCATGTTCTCACTCATAGGTGGGAATTGAACAATGAGAACACATGGACACGGGAAGGGGAACATCACACTCCGGGGACTGTTGTCGGCGGGGGCCAGGGAGGAGGGATAGCATTTGGAGATATACCTAATGCTAGATGACGAGTTAATGGGTGCAGCACACCAATATGGCACACGTATACATATGTAACAAACCTGCACATTGTGCACATGTATCCTAAAACTTAAAGTATAATAATAATAAAATAAAATGAAATAAAACTTCCAAGCTCCCTCAAGAAAACAGAGCATGAATAGACCCGTATTTATAAAATAAATTGAATTTGTCATTAAACACTACTCAGAAATAAATTCCAGGCCCTGAAGTCTTTACTAGTGAATTATACCAATCATTTAAGAAATAGTAGTATCAATTGCACACAAATTCTTCTAGAAAATATAAGTTCCGGCCGGGCATGGTGGTTCATGCCTGTAATTCCAGAAATTTGGGAAGCTGAGATGGGCAGATCATGAGGTCAAGAGATTGAGACCATCCTGGCCAACATGGTGAATCCCTGTCTCTACTAAAAATACAAAAATTAGCTGGGCGTGGTGGTGTGTGCCTGTAGTCCCAGTTACTCGGGAGGCTGAGGCAGGAGAATCGCTTGAACCCAGGAGAAACAGGTTGCAGTGAGCCGAGATCGTGCCACTGCACTCCAGCCTGACAACAGAGCGGGACTCCGTTGGAAGAAAGAAAGAAAAAAAGAAAGAAAGAAAGAAAGAAAGAAAGAAAGAAAGAAAGAAAGAAAGAAAGAAAGAAAGAAAGAAAGAGAGAGAGAGAGAGAGAGAGAGAAGGAAGGAAGGAAGGAAGGAAGGAAGGAAGGAAGGAAGGAAGGAAGGAAGGCAGGCAGGCAGGCAGGCAGGCAGGCAGGCAGGCAGGCAGGCAGGCAGGAAGGAAGGCAGGCAGGCAGGCAGGCAGGCAAGCAAGCAGGAAGGAAGGAAGGAAGGAAGGGGAAAGAAAGAGAGAGAAAGGAAGGAAGGAAGGGAGGGAGGGAGGGAGGAAGGAAGGGAGGGAGAGAAAGGAAGATAAGAAAATATAAGTTCCAGAATTGAAGAGATGGGAATATTTTTCCATCCAAGTATTATCCAGGCCCGACCCTGCTTAGCTTCTGAGATCAGACGAGATCGGGCGCGTTCAGGGTGTTATGGCCATAGACTAGAATATTTTTCATCTCATTCTATGTGACCATTACTCTCGTGAGAAAACCAGACAAACACACTCTAAGAGAAGAAAACCACAGACAAATATCACTCATGAGCTTAGATGCAAACATGCTAACAAAAGATAATCAAACCAACAACATATCTATAAAAATGATAATACATAATAACTGAGTGGAGTTTATCCTAGGAACAAAGGTTGTTTTGTTCCTAGGATAAAGTAGGTTGTTCCTAGTTTGTTTTGTTCCTAGGTTGTTTTGAACATTTGTTCAAAAATCAGTAAGTGTAATTTATGATCTAAAGAAAAGTGTAAAAATTAAGGACATATCAATAGACACAGAAAAAGATAAAGAAGGAATAGCAAACTAGGAATAAAAGGACGTCTGCAACTTGATAAAAGGCATTTACAAAGATCCTACAGCTAACGTTACATTTTAATCGTGAGAGACTGAATGCTTTCCCCAAAATCAAGAATAAGACAAACATTTTTTCCCTCCCTTCTTTTATTCAACATGGTATTGGAAGACATGCGTAGGGCAATAAGGTAAGGAAAATAAATAAAAGATAGGTATATTGGAAAAGTAGAAGTAAAGCTACTTTATTCACAGACTAAACGATTTTCTATGTATAAAATCCAACAGATTGAGAAAAAAAGGGTACTAAAACTAAGAATTGAAGGATACAGGGTCAATATACATAATTTAATTATATTTCTATGTACTAGCAATGAACAGTTGGAAATTGAATTACAAAGAACAATATCAGTTACAATAGCAATAAAAGTTTGAGTTATTTAGGGAAAATTCTGACAAAAATTGGCAAAATTTGTACACTAACAAGAACGAAGTATTTTTGAGAGAAATTTAAAGAGATCTGTATAAATGGGGAGATATATCTTGTTCCTTGACCAAGACTCAGTGTTGTTAAAATCAATAACCCCCAAATTGAAACACAGATTCAAAGCAACCTCAATAAAAAATCCCAGCTGACTTCTTTGTAGAAGTTTGCAAAATGATTCTTACATTCATTTGAAAACACCAAGGACCTAAAAAAGCTAAAACAACTTTGTAAAAGAACAAATAATTTGGAAAGCTTCTTTGGCCTTATTTTAAGATTTATTATACAACTACCATCACACAATATGGTATTAGTATCAAAATAGATAAATATATCAAGGAAAAAACAAAAATTCATAATTAAATCACACATATAAAGTCAACTGATTTTTTTTTTTTTTTTTTTTTTTTTCACAAAATTGCAGAGGCAAATAGGGGAGAAAGGCATCTTTTCAGTAAATGGTACTGGAACAATTGGATATGCATATGAAAAAAATTCAATTTGTTCGTGATACAATAATAAAAAATTAGTTCAAAATAGATCACAGACCTAACAGTCAGTCTAAAACTACACAACTCCTAGAAGAAAACAAGAAGAAAATCTTTATGACTTTTAGCTAGGCAAAGAGTTATTATTTACAATACCAAAAATACAGTCTATTAAAGGAAAACATTTTTTTCCCAAAATTAAGAACATCTGTTCCTCAAAAGACAATCTTAGAAACTGAAAAAGCAAGCCATACACTTAGAGAAAATATTTTCAAAGAATAAATCTGAAAGCTGGGCACAGTGCCTCATGCCTGTTATTCCAGCATTTTTGGGTGGCCAAGGCAGGAAGATCGCTTAAGTCAGGAGCTCAAGAACAGCCTGGGCAATAGACCAAGGTCCCCATCTCTACAAAAAATTAAAAGATCAGCTGGGTGTGGTGACATGCCTGTAGGCCTAACTATCTATCTATCTATCCTAGTTCCTTTGTGTCCTCACTAACACTTGGTATGGTCAGCCTTTTAATTTAGCCATTCCAATCAGTGTGTATCTCAAATGCTTTTAATTTGCATTTCCCTGATGACCGAAGACATTGAATACCTTTTCTTGTGTTTATTTGCTATCTATATCTCTTTTATGGTGAACTGTCAATTCAAATATTTAGAGTATTTATGAGAATTAGATTGTGTGTTTTCTTAAGTTTTGAGAGTTTCTTCTTCAGCTATCCAGGATACAAGTCATTTATCAGATATATCTGATAAATGATATATATCTGACAAATATAAACCATATATATACTATAAATATCTGATAAATGACTATATATCTGATAAATGACTATATATCTGATAAATGATATATATCTGATAAATATAAACCATATATATATACTATATATATATCTGATAAATGACTTGTATCCAGGATAGTTGAAGAAGAAACTCTCAAAACTTCAGAAAACACACAATCTAATTCTCATAAATACTCTAAATATTTGAACTGACAATTCACCATAAGAGATATATAGATAGCAAATAAACACGAAAAGGCATTCATTGTCTTCAGTCATCAGGCAAATGCAAATTAAAAGCATGTGAGATACACACTGATTAGAATGGCTAAATTAAAAGGCTGACCATACCAAGTGTTAGTGAGGACACAAAAGAACTAGAATTCTAACATATTCTGGTAATGTAAAAGAGACAATCACTTAAGAAAATAGTTTGGCAGTTTTGTAAGAAGGAAAGTAAGTTACACCTACTATATGATCCAGCTATTCCATCTATACAAATTAACCCAAGAGAAAAGAAAGCTTATGTTCACATAAAATTTTAAAAATACTCATAGATGCTTCATTTGTAATAGCCAGGATTTTGAAAACAATCCAAATGTCTATCATCAGACAATGCTTACATCAATTCTAGTATATCCAAATAATATTAATAGAATACTACTTAGCAATAAAAAGTGATGTCACACTACAGCCTGGGTGAATCTCAAGCAAACCAGGCTAAAGGAATCATCATACTTGCTCTATGCTTCTGTCTATATAAAACTCTTTAAAACACAGACTAATCGGTAGTGACAGAAAGCAGATCAGTGCTTGCCTGGGAGAGGTGGAGTTAGGTGCAATGGGAAGAGATTATTACCATGTGGCATGAGAAACTGTTGGTAGTGTTGGATATGTTCACTATCTTGATTTTGTTGATGGTTTCACAGTTGTGTACATACATCAAAACTGATCAAAACATACACTTTAAATATGTGCAGTTTAATGTATGTCAATAAATAATAACATACAGAAAACAATTGAAAATGGCATAAGATTGTCAAGATAGAAAATAAAAGACAAGGTATAAGACTAAGGCTTAAAATACTTGACATTTAAATATCAGATTAAAAAAAGACAAATTTGCAAGGGTTACATAGACAAAGGTATGGGAGGGTTAAGAAAAGAAACCACAGAAAGAGTTTTTGAAGGAGAGAGTAGTCAGCAATGTCAAATTCCACTGAGAAGTCAAGCAAAATGAGAATTTACCATGTTCATTGGATTTGGATTAATGGAGAACTTCGGTGGCTATAGTAAAATCTGTTTGGTTGGAATCCTGTGGGTGGAAGGTAGATTGGAATGGAATGAGGAATGAGTGGAAGATGAGGAACTGCTAATGGTGGGAGAACATAAACAAGTTTTTCAGGAAGATAGTTTTGAGGAAGCAGCAAGAGGAACTGGAAGAGGATTTTGGAATCAAAGTGGAGATTTTATGTGTGTGCCTGCATATGTGTGTCTATGTGTGCTTGTGTGTGTGTGTACATGGGTGTGAAGATGGGAATACTTTGAGCATGTTAAAATACAGAATAATGATTCTACTAAGGAGACACACAACAAGAAAAAAAACTAAACTGATGGCTAGAGCCCCAGTACCTTTAAAAGTGGGAGAAAGAAGAGTCAATGCAAAATTTGAGGATGGCCCACACAGTGGAATGTTTATTTGCAAGATAGTATTCTCTCTCAAAATGGTTCCTTCACGTAGTCAGATTTCCATAAATATTTGTGACAAACAGATGAAAATGCAGAAAAATAGTTTTAAGTAACTCATACTCCAATTGCTCAGTCACCGAAAGGGTGTATAGAAATCTCTTATTCTACCTGACCTCTCATATGAAAGTTTGGTTTGTCTGCCAGTGAGCAATCATACTACAAGTGCTTTTTCAATCTACTATAGTTCACATTAATAAAATACTCCTCAAAAAGTTTAAAGAGAAGGATGTCAAATTTATCTTTTGCACTATATTAGTCATCTTGATTATTTACTTGCTCAAAGAATAGAGCATGCTGTTTGGATCCAAAATAGTGTATTTTTAGAGGCAAGTGGATTCACACATGTAATATGAAGCTTCACGTCACTTCCCATTAATTTAGATTATTGATCCTATTACAGAAGCTGAAATAGAAATGAGAGATTAGTATACTCTTCATGGGGTCTGGTTTTTTTGTTTGTTTGTTTGCTTGCTTGTTTTGTTTTGACTGTCAACAAAACTATAAACTTACTTGGAATTCAAAGAGAACTCTACTATTTGTAATAATTATTGATATCATTTCAATAACCTGGCCCCTGTGCTCTGAGCTTTTGGGGAATGACTAAATGAAGGTGTTAATGTGTTACATATAACAGATTAAATCTAGGCACAAAAGTAATCTGCTAAACACCTTCACCAAAGTTACAAAGTACAATAGATGGAGAGAAACTAAGCAGGCTTGGTTATATGAAGGAGGTGGCTTTTAAGTTGTGCCTTAAAAAAATGACTTGCACTTTGTCCTTACTTGTCTAATACTTTAGATTAGGACTTTTGGACTTAGATTGGAAAATCTATATTTCTAAGAGAATTTTTTTTCTTAAAAAGAAAGGTTTTGATTTCATTTTAACCATGATATAGCCTTTTGACCCTAGGCAAATCACTTCACTTCTCAGATGCTCTGTTATCTCATATAACAGTGGGGAAAGGATCAGTCCCTTGCTTCAGCATCATAAGGATGGCTTGCAGTAGGAATAGTGTTCCATCCTCTGCACACAGTCAATACTTAATAACTCACCTCTTTGGTGAGCTCCATATTATCATAGCCTAACCACAGCAAATAAGCAAACAACATAATAAATGAAAAAATATATATCAAATATTAGGGTTGGATAGTGAAACCATAGAGGGGAACTAATGAAAATGTGATCTCTAGGTGTTCCATCTACCATTTATGATTTCCAAGGGCTAGGTGCTTTCCTCCAATGTTCAAACACAAAGATTTCATTTTCTTTTTCTTTTTGTTCTCTGTATTCTTATTATTACTATACTTTTAAGTTCTGCAGTACATGTGCAGAACATGCAGGTTTGTTACATAGGTACACATGTGCCATGGTGGTTTGCTGCACCCATCAACCCATCATATACATTAGGAATTTGTCCTAACGCTATCCCTCCCCCAGCCCCTGACCCCCTGACAAGCCCCAGTGTGTGATGCCCACCCCCCAATGGCCATGTGTTCTCATCGTGCAACTCCCACTTATAAGTGAGAACATGTGGTGTTTGGTTTTCGGTTCTTGTGTTAGTTTGCTGAGAATTATGGTTACCAGCTTCATCCATGTCCTTTCAAAGGACATGAACTCATCCTTTTCAATGGCTGCTTGGTATTCCATGGTGCATATGTGCCATATTTTCTTTATCCAGTCTATCATTTATGGGCATTTGGGTTGGTTCCAAGTCTTTACTATTGTGAAGAGTGCCGCAATAAACATATGTGTGCGTGTGTCTTTATAGTATAATGATTTATAATCCTTTGGATGTATACACAGTAATGGGATTGCTGGGTCAAATGGTATTTCTAGCTATAGATCCTTGAGGAATAGCCACTCTGTCTTCCACAATGGTTGAACTAATTTACACTACCACCAACAGTGTAAAAACGTTCCTATTTCTCCACATCCTCTCCAGCATCTGTTGTTTCCTGACTTTTTAATCATCGCCATTCTAACTGGTGTGAGACGGTATCTCACTGTGGTTTTGATTTGCATTTCTCTAATGACCAGTCACAATGAGCTTTCTTTTCGTATGTTTGTTGGCTGCATAAATGTCTTCTTTTGAAAAGTGCCTGTTCATACCCTTTGCCCACTTTTTGATGGGGTTGTTTGTGTTTGTTTTCTTGTAAATTTGTTTAAGTTCCTTGTAGATTCTGGATATTAGCCCTTTGTCAGATGGATAGATTGCAAAAATTTTCTCCCATTCTGCAGGTTGCCTGTTCATTCTGATGATAGTTTCTTTTGCTGTGCAGAAGCTCTTTAGTTTAATTAGATCCCATTTGTCAACTTTGGCTTTTGTTACCATTGCTTTTGGTATTTTAGTCATGAAGTTTTTGCCCATGCCTATGTCCTGAATGGTATTGCCTAGGTTTTCTTCTAGGGTTTTTATGGTTTTAGGTCTAACATTTAAGTCTTTAATCCATCTTGAGTTAACTTTTGTATAAGGTGAAGGAAGGGATCCAGTTTCAGCTTTCTGCATATGGCTAGCCAGTTTTCCCAACAACATTTATTAAATAAGGAATCCTTTCCCCATTGCTTGTTTTTGTCAGGTTTGTCAAAGATCAGATGATTGTAGGTGTGTGGTGTTATTTCTGACCTCTCTACTCTGTTCCATTGGTCTATATATGTGTTTTGGTACAAGTACCATGCTGTTTTGCTTACTGTAGCTTTGTAGTATAGTTTGAAGTCAGGTAGCATGATGCCTCCAGCTTTGTTCTTTTTGCTTGGGATTGTCTTGGCTATACAGGCTCTTTTTTATTTCCATATGAAATTTAAAGTATTTTTTTCCAATTCTGTGAATAAATTCAATGATAGTTTGATGGGGAGAATATTGAATCTATAAATTACTTTGGGCAGTATGGCCATTTTCACGATATTGATTCTTCCTATCCATGAGCATGGAATGTTCTTCCATTTGTTTGTGTCCTTTTTTATTTCGTTGAGCGGTGTTTCATAGTTCTCCTTGAAGAGGTCCTTCACATCCCTTGTAAGTTGTATTCCTAGGTATTTTATTCTTTTTGTAGCAATTGTGAATGGGAGTTCACTCATGATTTGGCTCTCTGTTTGCCTGTTATTGGAGTATAGGAATGCTTGTGATTTTTGCGCATTGATTTTGTATCCTGAGACTTTGCTGAAGTTGCTTATCAGCTTAAGGATATTTTGGGCTGAGACGATGGGGTTTTCTAAATACACAATCATGTCATCTGCAAAGAGAGACAATTTTGACTACCTCTTTTCCTAATTGAATACCCTTTATTTCATTCTCTTGCCTGATTGCCCTGGCCAGAACTTCTAATACTATGTTGAATACTAGTGGTGAGAGAGGGCATCCTTGTCTAAACACAAGGATTTTTAACTGCACAGGAAAATGTTTGAATATTGGAAAGAGTGGTTCCACTCTATGAACTCTACAGTTTGGGTAAGTCCAAATCACTTTGCACAATGATCCTGATGCCTGCTACTTGTTTGTTTTGTCAATTTTCTATTGACCTGGCTGCTAATGACTTTTGTACATGAATTGAGGAGTGTATACCTTTTGAGTATGACATGGGCCATTAATTATGCATAAGGTTTATTTAAAAAATGCTGAGTGATCTGTTTTTCTTCTCTTTAGTTCTTATTCAGATAGAGGCAGTTGCTACAGTCAAGAATACAGGAGATTCAGTTGTTTTATATATATGTATATGATATATATACACACACACACATATATATATATATATAAGCCTTCATGGTGACCTGTACACACTAGGCTGGACAAATACTGTGAGATTCTTTCCTACCACAAAAATTTTGAAAATGTTGTTCTAGGCGAACAATGTACAGTCCAGTTTAAATTTTGATTTTGGGCCCAGAACCTCCTAAACTCGACTAATGTAGATTTTTCACCTTATAATCTTGTCTGATTTTTCTAATTAAACACAAGGTCAGTGGTTTGCCTCTTTTTTCTTTCAAAATTTGCATAATTTTACCAAAATATCTTTAGAAATGTGTTTTCTGTGACTTTCCTTGACTTAAAGATGAATACAGGGGGTGGAGCAAGATGGCAGAATAAAAGACTATACCATTAGTGCCCCCACTCAGGAACACTGAATTTTTGCAACCATCTACACACAGTAACGCATGTCACAAGAACCAAATTTCAGGTGAGGAACCACAGATAATACCTTTCTTTCATATTGCTGAAAGATGCATTGAAGAGGGTCAGAGACAGTCTTGAATCATGGATGTCACCCCTCTCCAATCCCACAGCAAAGGCTATGCCACTAGGAGAGAGAGAATCTGTGCACTTTGGGGAGGGAGAGCACAGCAACTGGGGGACTTTACATTGAGCTCAATGTTGCCCTGTCATAGCAGAGAGAAAAGCCATGCTGGGCTCAGCCAGTGCTCACACATGGAGCACTGGGCTCCATGTGGACCAGCCCCAGCCAGAGGAAAATAGCCCATCCCTGTGGTGGGAATTTGAGTTTCTTGTCAAACCTTGTTACCATGGGCCAAAATGCTCTGGGGTCCTAGGTAAACTTGAAAGGCAGTCTAGGACACAAAGATTGCAATTCCTAGGCAACAGCTAGTGCTGGACTGGGCTCAGAAACAAAGGACTAGAGTGGCACATGATCTAGGGAGAGAGGAGCCAAGGGATTACCATTCCTCTCACCACCTCAGGCTGCACAGCTTGGGACAATGAAAAAAATTATGTCCTTCTGCTTAAAAAGAGGAGTGCGAAGTGTAAAGAGGACTTGGTTTTGTATCTTGGATATCAGTTCAGCCACAATAGTTTACAGCACTGGGAGAGTCATGAGGCCCCTACTCCAGGCCCTAGCTCATGGACAACATTTCTACACACACTTTTGGCCAAAAGGCAACACAATGCCTTAAAGGGAAGGATTCCCAGTCCTGGTAGCATTTATCAACTGCTGACTAAAAAGCACTTGGGCTCTGAACAACCAGTAGTGATATCCAGGTCATATGCCATGGGCCTTGAGCTGTGAGATGTGTTGAATTCAGGGGTGACTCAGCATATTTCTAACTGTGGTGGCTGTGGTGAAAGACTCCTTCTGTTTGAGAAAAGCACATGGAAAAGTAAAGAGTCTTTGCCTTGCACCTTAGGTACCAGCTTGGCCACAGTAAGGCAGAGCAAGAAGGAGGCTCTTGGGGTCCCCAAGACCAGCCCTAGGTTCTTGGACAGCATTTCTGGACCTGCCCAGGGCCAGAGGGGAGCCCACTATGATGAAAGGCGAGTCCCAGGCCTGGCAGCACTCTCCACAAGCTGACAAAAGAGCCCATGGGCTTCACATGTACATCAATGGTGGCCTGGTCAACCCCCTCATGGATCAGTTGTGGTGGTGGCCACAGGGAGAGGTTTCTCTGCATGTGCAAAGGGGAGGGAAGAGCAGAAATAATTTTTTGTTGTGGTTTGAGTGCCAGCTTAGCTGCAGTAGAATAGAACAGCAGGCAAATTGCTAATGTTTTTGACTCCAATCCCTGGCTCCCAGAAAGAATCTCTTGACTCTCCTGGGGCCTGAGGGAACTCACTGCCTTGAAGTGAAGGGCAGAAACCTGGCTAGCTTCACCATCTGTTGATCATAGAGCCCAAGGGTCTTGAGTGAACATAGGTCGGAGGCAGGTGGTGGTTACAGTGGGCTTTGGGTGAGACTCAGTGCTGTGCTGGCTTTAGGTCTGACCCAGCACAGTCCCAGTGGTTGTGGCCACAGGGGTACTTGCATCACCACACCCGCAATTCCAGATGGCTCAGCACAAAGAGAGAGACTCCGTTTCTTTGGGAGAAAGTAAGGGAAAATAACAAGAGATTCTGCCTGGTAATCCAGAGATTCTTCCAGATCATATCCAAGACCACCAAGAAAGTATCTCCATGAGTCTGCAAAAATCACGGTGGTGTTGGGCTTGGGGCCAAAGTCCCTTCAAATACCTGCAATGCCTCCTCAAGAAGGATGGACACAATGACTACAATAAACCTCTAATTCTTCAATGCCCAGACACTCACAAATATTTACTAGCATCAAGATTATTCAGGAAAACATGACATCGCCAAACAAACTAAATAAGGCATAAGGGACCAATTCAGGAGAAACAGCAATATGAGACCTTTCAGAGAATTCAACATAACTATTTTAAGGAAACTCAAAGAAACTCAAGATAACACAAGAAGGAATTCAGAATTCTATCAGATAAATTTAACAAAGAAATTGAAATAACAGAAAGGATAAAATAGAAATTCTAGAGTTGAAAAATGCAATTGGCATACTGAAGAATATATCAGAGTCTCTTAATAGCAGAAGAAAAAAATAGGGATCTTGAAGACAGGTATTTGAAAATGCACAGTCAGAGGAGACCAAAGAAAAAAGAATAAAAAACAATCAAGCCTATCTACAAGATATAGAAAATCACCTCAAAAGGGTAAATCTAAGAGTTATTGGCCTTAAAGTAGAGGTAGAGAAAGAGACAGGGGTAGAAAATTTATTCAAAGAAATGATGTCAGAGAATTCCCCAAACGTTGAGAAAGATAGATACTAACATTCAAGTGCAAGAAGGTTATACAACACCAAGCAGATTTAACCCAAAGAAGACTACATTAAGGCATCTAATAACCAAACTCCTAAAAGTCAAGAATAAAGAAAGGATCCTAGCAGTAGCAAGAGAAAATAAGCACATAACATACAATGAGCTCCAGTACATCTAGCAGTAGACTTTTCAGTAGAAATCTTAGAGAGAGTGGCATGATATAGGTAAAGTACTGCAAGAAAAAACTTTCACCCTAGATAGTACATCCAGTGAAAATATCCTTAAAGCATGAAGGAGAAAAAGATCTCCCCAGACAAAAAAAAGCTGAGGAATTTTATCAACACCAGACCTTTCCTACAAGAAATCCTAAAAGGAGCTATTCAATCTAAAAGAAACAGATGTTAATGAGAGAGAAGAAATCATCTAAAGGAACAAAACCCACTGGTAATAGTAAGCACCCAGAAAAACACAGAATATTATATGACTGTAATTGTGGTGTGTCTACTACACTTATTTTTAAGTAGAAAAACTAAATAATGAACTGATCAAATATGATAACTACAACAATTTTTCAAGACATAGACAGTACAGTAATCTATAAAGAAAAACAACATTACTGTATAGAGTTTTCATTAGCTGTCTTATCCTGTGTTTGGTTGTTAATACAATCAATGTTAAGTTGACGTCAGCTTAAAATAATTGGTTATCAGATAGTATTTGCAAGCCTCATGGTACCTTCAAATTGAAAAACACACAAGATACACAAAAAATGAAAACCAAGAAATTAAATTATATCAACAGAGAAAATCACATTCACTAAAAGGAAGACAGAAAGGAAAAAAGGAAGAGAAGGGCACAAACAACCAAAAAACAAATAGCAAAATGGCAAGAGTAAGTCTCTACTTATTAATAATCATATTGACAATAAATGGACTGAACTCTCCAATCAGAAAATAGAGAAAGGCTGAATGGATTAAAAAATGATGCAATGACCTGTTGTCTACAAGAAACACACTTCACCTATGAAGATAAACATAGACTGAAAATAAAGGGATGGAAAAAGATATTCCATGCCAGTGGAATCTAAAATAAAGAGCAGGAGTAGCTAGATATCAGACAAAATAGATTATAAGACAAAAACTGTAAGAAGAGACTTAAAAAGTCATTCTACCATCATAAAAGGGTCAATCCAGCAACAGGATATAATGATTATAAATATAGAGGCACCCAACACTGGAGCACCCAGATAGATAAAGTAAATATTACAGGTAAAGAAAAAGATAGAAATCAATACAATAATAGCTGCAGATTTCAACGCCCCACTTTCAGCATTAGACAGAGCTTTCCAGGCCAAAAATCAACAAAGAAACATTAGACTTTATCAGCACTGTAGAACAGATGGACCTGATAGATATTTACAGAACATTTCATCCAATGACTGCACAATACACATTCTTCTCCTCAGTACATGGATCATTCTCAAGGATAGACCATATGTCAGGCCAAAAAAAACAAGTCTTAAAACATTCAAAGAAATTGAAATAATATGCTCTTTCTCTCACCACAATGGAATAAAAATAAAAATAAAAACGAGGAATTTTGGAAAGTATACAAACACATGGAAGGGAAACAATATGCTCCTGAAAGACCAATAGGTCAATGAAGAAATTAAAAAGGAAATTGAAAATTTTCTTGAAACAAATGATAATGGAAACACAATATACCAAAACCTATGGGATACAGCAGAAGCAGTACAAAGAGGGATATTTACAGCTATAAGCACCTACATCAAAAAAGATGAAAAACTCCAAACAACCTAATGATGCATCTTAAAGAACTAGAAAAGCAAGACAAAATTATTAATTTACTAATAAAATTAGTAAACGAAAAATAATAAAGATCAGGGCAAAAATAAATGAATTTGAAATGAAGAAAACAACACAAAAGATCAATAAAACAAAAATTTAGTTTTTTGAAAAGATAAACAAAATTGATAAGCTTTTAGCCAGACTAAGAAAAAAAAAGAGAAGACCCAACAAAATAAAATCAGAGATAAAAAAGGAGACAGTACAACTGACACGGCAGAAAGATCCATAGCTCCTTACTTAGTTCCAACTCAAAAGATCCTTAGTTGCTACTGTGAGTAACTATATGCCAATAAACTGGAAAAACTAGAATAAATGCGTACATTCCTAGACACATACAACCTATCAAGATTGAACCATAAAGAAATCCAAAACCTGAACAGACCAATAACAAGTAATGAGATCAAAGCTGTAATAAAAAAATCTTTCAATACAGAAAATCCTGGGAAATGACAGCTTCACTGCTGAATTCTCCCAAACATTTAAAGAACTAATGCCAATGATACTCAAACTATTCCCCAAAACAGAGGAAACCGGAATACTTCCAAATTCATTCTACAAGACCGATATTACCCTGATACCAAGACCAGATAAAGACACATCTAAAATAGAAAAGTACAGGTCAATATCTCTAATGAATATTGATACAAAAATTCTCAACAAAATACTGACAAACAAAATTCAACAATACATTAAAAACATTAATCATCACGAACAAGTGAGATTTACCCCAGTGTTGCAAGGATGGTGCTACATCAATCCATCAATCAATGTGATACATCATATCAGCCTAATGAAGGACAAAATCTATATGATCATTTCATTTGCTGCTGAAAAAGCATTTGATAAAGTTCAACATTTTTCCAAAATAAAAGCCCTGAAAAAACTGGGAATAGAAGAAACATTCCTTAGCATAATAAAAGGCATGTATGACAGACCCTCAGCTAGTATACTGAATGGGGAAAATCTGAAATCCTTTTCTCTAGGATCTGAAACATGATAAGGATGCCCACTTTTACCATGGTTATTCAACATAGTACTGGAAGTTCTAACAAGAGCAAGTAGACGAGAGAAAGAAATAAAGGGCATCCACATTCAAATGGAAGAAGTCAAAGTATCCTGGTTGCAGATGATATGATCTTATATTTGGAGAAACTTGAAGACCCCATAGAAAAACTATTAAAACTAATAAATTCAGTAAAGTTGCAGGATGCAAAATCAACCTGTGAAAATCAGTTACATTTCTATTTGCCAACATTGAACAATCTGTAAAAGAAATAAAATAATGCCCCATTTGCAATAGCCACAAATGAAATTACATACCTGGAATTAAGTTAATCAAAGAAGTAGAAGACAGTTACAATGAAAACTATAAAACACTAATGAAAACTATAAAATACTGATGAAAGCAACTGAAGAGACCACCAAAAAATAGAAAGATATTACATGTTAATGGATAGAAAGAATCTTTATTGCTCAAAGCAATCTACAGATTCAATTGCATCCCTATCAAAATACCAATGACATTCTTCTCAGAAATAGAAAAAAAAAATTATATACAACCACAAAATACCCAGGAAGGTATCCTGAGTAAAAAAAAAAAAAAAAACCCTGGGGTAATCACAATACCTGACTTCGAATTATACTACAGAGTTGTAGTAACCAAAACAGCATGGTACTGGTATAAAAAACAGACACATAAACCAATGGAACAAAATAGAACATGCAGAAACAAATACACACACCTATAGTGAACTCATTTTTGACAAATGTGCCAAGTGGCAACACTGGGGAAAAGACAGTCTCTTCAAATGATGCTGGGAAAATTAGATACTCATATACAGAAAAATGAGATTAGACTTCTATCTCTTGCCATATACAAAATTCAATCAAGATAGATAAAAGACTTAAATCTAAGACCTCAAGCTATGAAACTACTACAAGAAAACTTTGAAGGAATTCTCCAGGACATTGGTCTCACCAAACATTTCTTGAGTAATACTCCATAAGCACAGACAACCAAATCAAAAATGAACAAAGGGGATCACATCAAGTTAAAAACTTCGGCACAGCAAAGGTGGCAATCACCTAAATGAAGAGACAAGCCATAGAATGGGAGAAAATATTTGCAACTACCCATCTGACAAGGGATAATAACCAGAATATATAAGAAGCACAGACAGTTGTATAGGGGAAAAAATCTTAACAATCTGATCAAAAAATGGGCAAAAGATTTGAACAGACATTTCTCAAAAGAAGACATATGACTGGCAAGCATGTATATAAACAAGTGCTAAAGATCATAGACCATTAGAGAAGTGAAAATCAAAACTACAATGAGATATCTCACCTTAGTTAAAATGGCTTACATTCAAAAGAAAGGCATAAAAAATGCTGGCAAGGATGCGGAGAAAAGGGAATCCTTGTATGCTGTTGGTAAGAATGTAAATTAGTACAACCACCATGGAGAACATATTGGAGGTTCCTCAAAAAAACTAAATAATCCAGCAATCTCACTACTGGGTATATACCCAAAAGAAAGAAAATCAGTATGTCAAAGAGATTTCTGCACTCCCCTTTTTGTTGCAGCATTATTCACAGTAGTCAAGATTTGGAAGCATACTAAGTGTCCATCAGCAGATGAGTGGATAAAGAAAACATGGTACTTATATACAATGGAGTACTATTCAGCCATAAAAAATAATGAGATCCTGTCATTTGCAACAAAATGGATGGTACTGGAGGTCTTTACGTTAAAGAAAATAAGCTAAGCTCAGAAAGACAAACATTGTATACTCTCATTTATTTGTGGGATTTAGAAATCAAAACAATTGAACTCATGGAGATACAGAGTAGAAGGATGGTTACCAGAGACTGGGAAAGGTAGTGGTTGGGTGGGAGAGAGGTAGGGATGGTTAATGGGTACCAAAAAAATAGTTATAAAGAATGAGGAAGACCTAGCATTTGATAGCACAAAGGGGTTACTATAGTTAAAATAATTTAATTGTACATTTTGAAATAACGAAAAGAGTATCATTGTATTGTTTGTAATGCAAAGAATAAATGCTTGAGGGGATGGATACTGCATTTTCGATGATGTGATTATTACTCATTATATGCCTGTACCAAAATATCTCTTGTACTACATAAATACATACAGCTTCTATGTACCCACAAAAATTAAAAATTAAAAAAATGTGTATCTTATAATTCTCAGGAAAATGAAAAGTTTACACTTGACTGAAATCTGAAAAATATAGAGAAAGGATTAACTAACTCATTTGAAAAAAAAACTTGAAAAACACCTGAATTTGTTAGAAGGTTGTTATTTGTAATAAAAAACAACTTCAGATTTGAAATGATAGTTGCTCTGTAATAATTATAACAGGAAAAGCTAGTGACATCAACTTTTTAGAAGACTTCAAGAACACTTTGATGAAAACTTGTTCTAAGCCTTGACCCAACCCAAAGTAAAATATACTTTGTAAGTGAGATTGGAAATGAGTATTTACCTGACTCTATTTAAATGTTAAAATTATTTCTTAGTATATATTTATTTAGAAGAATTTCTGCCCCTAAACATAAACTGTACAAAACTTCAAATGTTCAATAATTTTAAAAATCACATTGTTGATGCTTTCTGTTTAAAGTGACAAAAAACTATCTTTTCTGCAACATTACACTAATAACTAGTCCCTTCCCTTCTCAAGATAAGCAGAGATACCACGCACACTGTTGTCTATTAGAGGTCATCAGGATGGATGGCTGCTTATATAACAGTATGTCAAGATTTTGAAAGAATCATGCTGTTCTCCTCTGTGTCATAAAAACAAATAAGTTAACAAGTTTAAAAAATCTTATCTCAAAAGTGGAAAGATTTCCTGGCCAGTAAGTTGGCTGCCTGAGGTCGTCTTGCTGAGTATGAGTTGGGAATAAATAAGTTACATATTTTTGCCTTGCTATCAGTGTTGTCTATTTTATTAGTCCATTCTCACACTGCTATAAAGAACTACCTGACACCGGGTAATTTATAAAGAAAAGAGGTTTAATTGACTCACAGTTCTGCAGGTTGTACAGGAGGCATGGCTGGGGAGGCCTCAGGAAACTTACAATCGTGGCGGAAGGCAAAGAGGAAGCCAGCATATCTTACATGGCAGGAACGGGAGGAAGAGAGAGAGCCGGGGGAGGTGCTACACACTTTTAAACAACTAGATATCATGAGAACTCAATCATGAGACAGCACTAGGGGAATGGTGCTAAACCATTAGAAACCACCCCATGATTTAATCACCTCCTACCAGCCCCCACCTTCAACACTTGGAAACACAATTTAACATAATAGTTGCGTGGGGACACAGAGCCAAAGCATGTCACCCTTGTCTGAAAAATGTGATCCTATAATTTATAATACACTATATGTAAACAGATAATTTATTTTAACATAAGTGAAACTTTGAGATCATGAACTCTACTCTTCCTATTTTACAGATTAGGAAGCTAAGATGACAAATTGATTAGTGGCAACTGTGGTTACACCAGGTGAAGATATCATAATTTTAGCATTTAGTGGTAGATGTACACCAAGGAATACTATGCAGCCATAAAAAGAACGAAATCATGTCCTTTGAAGTAGCATGGATGCAGTTGAAGACCATTATTCCAAGCAAATTAACACAGGAACATAAAATCAAATACCATATATTCTCACAAGTGGAAGCTACCCATTGGGTATTAATGGACATAAAGATGGCAACAATAGACACTGGGGACTACTAGAGTGGGGAGGAAGGAAGGGGGGCAAGGGTTGAAGAACTAGCAGTTGGGTATTGTGCTTAGTACCTGGGTGACAGGATCAATCATACCCCAAACCTCAGCATCATGCAAAATACCCAGGTAACAAACCTACACATGTACCCCCTGAATCTAAAATAGTGGTTGAAAAAAGAAAGAAATTTGAGCATTTGATTTAATGTTCTTTATCCTCCCTGCATTATTACTTTTGCCAGTCTATAAGAATTTACAGTTCAGAATAGCCTCTGCTAAGTAGAATTTCTTTATCCCAATCTTATTAGAACTTCTCGAAACTCCTCACTAAAATTCTCAAGAAAGAGAACAACCTACAACCTGGAAAAATCAGAGTTCACAGAAAGTCTGAGAAAGAATTCACAATCTAGGATTCAATAGATCCAATCATCTGGGGGGAAAACAAAATACAAACAGGTAAGAATCTTAACTTTTGAGGAAAAGTATCTGAATTGTAATTACAGAATACTTAGAAGCCAATAATAATGAGAACTATGTATCAAATTTAGGGAATTCCATCAAAGATTCATTTAGAGGAAAACTCATAGCCTTGAATGAATTTTATTATTAAACTGAGATGTTAGGCAAAGAACAATTAAATTAATTGGAGAAAATGAGAAAAAATAAATCTGGGAAACATTGCATTGAAAAGTCTAATATTTCCTTTATCACAATATCTGTCTAAAGGTTTTCTATAGTTACACCTGGTAATATTGCAAAATCAGGAACAGCGATTTCCAAGAAACTAGCTTCCTAAATATTGAAAAATTACTTGTCTTCTGGATGAGAATTTACCACCATTCTATGGCTTGAGACTATAATCTTTCACTAGCAAGAGTTATATCTATTATATTGACTTATTACCTTTGGTGCCATTTGACATTTGGAGCCCCTAATTTACACCTCACCTCACTGGCATGAATATGATATCTAAATCATATCTAGTAAAAGAAGAATAAAGGTGGACCCGTATCTCTCACCATACAAAAATTTAGCCAAGATGGGTTAAAAACTTAAATGTAAGAACTGAAAATATAAAAGTCCTGGAAGAAAACTTAGGAAAAACTCTACTGGTCATTGGCCTAAGCAAAGAATTTATGACTAAAACCTCAAAAGCAAATGCAACAAAAACTAAAATAAACAAATGGGACTTAAAAGCTTCTGAACAGCAAAAGAAATAATCAACAAGAGTAAACAGACAACCTGCAGAATGGGAGAAAATATTAGCAACTATGCACTTGACAAAGTACTAATATCCAGAATCTACAAGGAACTCAAACAACTCAACAAGAAAAAAAAAAAAGCAACAAATAACCCCATCAAAATGTAGACAAAATCATGAACAGACATTTCTCAAAAGCAGATGTAAACTGGCCAACATATGATAAAGTGCTCAACATCACTAATCATTAGGGAAATGCAAATTACAATCACAATGAGATATCATATCACACTAGTCAAAATGGCTATTACCAAAAAGTCTAAAGACAGACATTTGCAAGATGCATAGAAAAGGAAATGCTTATGCATTGTTAGTAGAAATGTAAATTAGTACAAACTTTATGAAAAATAGTACGGACATGTCTCAAATAGCTAAAAATAGAACTGCCATTCAAACTGGCAATCTTACTACTGGTTATTTACCCAAAGGAAAATAAAACATTATATAAAAAGACATCTGCATTTGCATGTTTATTACAGCACTATTCACAACAGCAAAGTCATAGAATCAACCTAAGTGTCCGTCAATGGATGATTGGAACTATACACACACACAAACACACACACACAGACACACACTCAGTCATAACGAAGAATGAAATCATGTCTTTTCCAGCAACATAGATGGAACTGGAGGCCATTATCCTAAGTGAAATAACTCAGAAGCAAATTCAAGTACAGCATGTACTCACTTATAAGTGGGAGCTAAACAATGGGTACACATGGACATACAGAGTGGAATAACAGACACTGGAGACTCCAAAAGGTGGGAGGGTGGCAAAGCAGGTGAGGGTTGGAAAATTACCTGTTGGGTATACTGTGCACTGTTTGGGTACTGGCTACACTAAAAGCCAAGACTATAATATGCAATATATCCATGTAACAGAGCTGTGCTCGTACCCTTTAAGTCTATTTTTTTAATTGTTTTTTTTTTTTAATGAAACAGAGAAAGAAAGAAAGAAGTGGCCAATTGTTGATGAATATTCATCCACCAAAGGAAAACATACATTTTTCCTGGAAAGTTAGGCTATTCCAGTTCTCAACTGACCTATTGCTTCTTTCTATGAGATTCTTGAATATATTATGCAACTTAAAATTAACCCCCAAATTGACATGATTGTTTATGCATGTTTAGTCTTAATACATGTTAGAAATCAGTGTCTGAGTAAAGTTGATGGGAAATGTGAGCATTTTACCAGATAAAGGCAATGCTGACATGTCTAAATTTACCTGATATTATCAGTATGCTTTGTAAATGTGTCCTACATAAACACAAAAATTAAATTTCAAATTGTAAAAGATTCTATAATAAGTTGCCATTTTTTTCTCTGGAATTCAAGGATGTAATAATAAGAAAGTCATACAGAAATTCTTCTTTTTAGTAATGGGAAATAAAGCATTTATTTCACATTCTCTTTTATTCATCAAGCCATTCCAAAAACTGAAACCAACACAGCTAAGAGAGCAGACTTGTAGAATGGGATAAGATAACTTGAAAGTTACATGGTCATCATTTTAATAAATGTAATATTAATTACTCTTTACCAGCCAAAGAAACTTCTTATTCCTTAAAAATATCTTTTTACTAAAATCTTAAGTTGTCTGAAAAAACACTTTTAACCTAACATACATTTATCTGAAGTAATATGGGAAAAAAGTACTAGGAAATTAAGTTCAAACTGAAAAGGAAAGGTGAAATATTGTTATAATATCAATGAAAAAAGTGAGGTAGACATTTATATGATCATCTGTCCAGCATCCTCACTATTATTTTCATGATTTATCTTCCTCTCTCCATGATACTGCCACACACACCCGGCCACCTTTCTATCATATTCTTGCATGAAACTGCCACCCTAAACACAGTTGTTTCATCAAGAGTTGACAACCCATAAAGGATAGAATAATCTTAGTGTCCCAACCCCTAGTATCACAATCGATTGGTCTACAGACAGGCACAAGACTTAAAGTGGGCCACATGCTTTACCAGTATCTTTGAAACATAAAAATCATCAGGATATACCTCTTTCTCTCTCTTTCTCTTTTTCTCTCTCAGTTGTAGTCTTAAGATCCAATATTCTAGTCATTTAAACAATTGTTTCTCAGGATGGGTATAGAGATCAGTGGAAATAACAAGCATCAAAAGTCTCTTGGGTTGGCAATGTGTGTGCCCCACTTTAGCTCCACCTTTTCCCTTGAGGATAAGGGAAATGCCTGAGTGTCCTCCAATCTCTCCTTAGATTCCAGAAGCCAATGTACTTTCTGCATAAGCCAGCTGGAATTGGGTTCTGACCTCTTACATCAAAAAGAATTCATATTGAATGAAACCAAATATATTAAGGCTGGACAGCAAAACCACTTAACAGTTTGATAATGTCCATGCAACAACTGGTCAATTTAGTGAAAGAAAATAATCAAAGTAAATTAACCAAAAATTTTGTGCAAAATAGTAGCTCCTCAGATGTAGCTGAGGTAAGAAATACATAAAAGTCAGAAGATAATTATAAGAAAAAGTGGAAGAATGTGACTTATTTAGCACAGTGGTATCATTCATTATTGTGGCTCTAATAAAAACCTGTCAGTTAGCCAATTCCTTCAGGGTTGTCCAAGTTTTACCTGGTTCTAGTGACAACAGTATCTGGCATTACGCGCAATTCTGGCTGCTTTGAAGAGTTCTGGCACCAAATAGAAATCTTTGGTCACAGATGAAAGTAAATAAAAATAAACCGTGAATCCTGTACCAACTAACTTAACCGCCATTCTCTTTATTTGTGATAACATGGAAATGGCAGCTGTGCCCTTTTTAGATTCACCACTAGGGTCAGAGTCAGAACTTCAGTGATGAGGTAGGAGGAGCTAGAGAAAATGGTACTAACTAAGGAGCAGATACAAGCCCCCAGTCCCAGTTTCCCAAATTCCTTTCCCCTTATGTTTTCTTTCTTTCCTCTCTTTATTTCCCCTAAACTGAAGTCAGAGATTAGCTCATCTCTAACATGCAGAATTGGATATACCAAAGAAGCAAACAGCTTCAGCCTCAGGGCTCCCATTAGCACTAGTCCCTCTGGCTGCAGCTTGTGGAGTTTCCAGGAGAGGAGGAGGACGGGTCACATTCAGGTAGCATTTCTAAATAAGTATTTCTGGAAAACTACTAAAATGGTATAGATGCTTGTCCTCTCTATAGGCCATGTTGAAATGTGATCCCCAGTGTTAGAGGTGGGGCCTAGTGAGAAGTGTTTAGATCATGTAGATCATGGAGGCAGATCCTTGTTGAATGACTTGGTGCCCTCCCCTTAGTAATTAGTTCAGGCAAGATCTCGTTTTTTAAAAGAATCTGGGACCTCCCTCTTCTCGCTCTTGCTACCCTTCTTGCCACAGAAACAGATGTTGAGGCTGCATTTTTTAGACAGTCTACAAAGCCATAAGCCAAAATAAACCTATTTTCTTTATAAATTACCCAGCCTCAGGTACTTCTTTATAACAACACAAGACAGACTAACGCAACTTCCTAAAGAGAACTCAGCAGAATGGCATTAAAACTCCAAGCCTCCAGCAATTCGTTACAATTTCTTTTCTTATTTTGAACAAATATTCACTTTTATTTTCGTGAATCCACTTTTGTGTTCAGGAGTTTGTATTTATTATGGACTGAATTGTGTCCCCTCTTCCCTCTAAAATCCATAGGCTCAAGCCCTAAGCCCCAATCACACAAGAAGGTGATTAGGGTGAAATAAGATCATACGTATGGCCCTCTGATCTGCCACGACTGGTTTCAAAGAAAAGGGAGGGATACCAAAGAGCACATGCACAGAGAAAAGACCACGTGAGGACACAGAGAGAAGGTGGCCATCTACAAGCCAGGAAGACAAGCCTCGCCAGACACCAATCCTACCTTGATCTTGGACTTCCAGCCTCCAGAACTGTGAGAAAAAAATTATGTTGTTTAAGCCACCCAGTCTGTGATATTTTGTTATGGAAGCCTCAGCAGATAGACAGAGTATTCTTCTTCAAGAAGGATCTCAAAATCATATGAACTTAAGGTCCTACAAAACCTGGATCTGGCCTTGAGAGAAAAATTTAAAATAGGGAATAGGGTGGGGGCTAGGGCAATAAGGAAAATAATTTCCAGGGTTTTTTTCCTACCATCACCACCAAATCTGATGCAGACTCACTATTTTTCCTCAATAAATTATCAAAATAGACCTTAATCCTGAGGAGCGTCAACACTGGAGAATGAAGTGTTTAGAGTATTAGCTGAAGTTTTGCTATTTTTGTATATCATACTTTAATTATCAGAACATCCAGAACTCAATAAATAATAAATAATATAATAACCAAAATCATTATATTAATGGCATTGCATAAGCTCATTGTGATTGCTGTTCTCATTTTTGTTTCACTGTAAACAGAACTTGAATAGACAGGAATTTATATGATTAAACATCCTGCTTGCAAACATGAATATATTATGAAGTGTTAATGTGATACATTAATAAATTATGTCTTGCAGCATAGATTTACTATTGGAATAAGGAGAACATTTTCAGTTTCTTTTTTAACTTCAAAACAGCTGATTTTGACAAATTTGGAGAGATTAGAATTTTAGAGAAAATTGATTAATACCACAGAGAACCCAACATAAAGACAATCATTCTAGATTGCTGAAGACGCACCTGCCTTTTTGGTAGACTAACGGTGGCACTTAGCCCATTTGCAGAAAGCATTCATTACTGCATGTGAAGCCATGAGTCGTTTTCCCTTTTTACCTGAGGGACACAGGCCGTAGGAGATAGAAACTTCCTATTCTTTGGTGCTTGAAAAAGTATTTCTATTTCTTATTATGTTATACATATCACAAATAGCTACAACCCCAAATGATTTCCCAGCACATGGTGTGGTTCATGGTCAAATATGGAGTCTTAAATGAATCCTAGTGGTTCTAGAATTAATCAAGAGTGGGGATGTGGGGACATGGAGATGGTTAATGGGTCCAAAAATATAGAAAGAATGAATAAGATCTGGTATTTGATAGCACAACAGGGTGACTATAGTCAATAATAATTTAATTGTACATTTTTTAATAACTAAAAGAGTATAAATGGATTCCTAAATGGAAATTTTCCACGCAGAAACTTGGGAAAATCAGGAAAAGCATCCACAAAGAGATGAGTCAGGACACACAAAGATATGGTGAGAAGCTCAATATTTTCAATCACTGAGTAAAGATCCAATATGAATTAATTATTAAATAGATTTAATAAAAATCTATTATAAATCAGACATTATGTGGAGGCATGAGAAAACAAAGGGAAATACAACACTAACCCCTCATATATGTTGATGCTCATTCAGTTAATGTGTACCTTCCAATCTATTCTCTGATATGATCATAGCTGCATATCAACACATCAGAATATTTAGAATGTTTCCTTAAAATACATAAAGCTGCACTTTGAGAGGCTAAGGCAGTTGGATCACTTGAGGTTAGGAGTTCAAGACCAGCCTGGCCAACAGGGTGAAACCCTGTCTCTACTAAAACTATAAAAATTAGCCAAACATGGCGGTGCCTGCTTGTTATCCAAGTTACTTGGGAGGCTGAAGCAGGAGAATCGCTTGAACCCGGGAGGTGAAGGTTGCAATGAGCCAAGATTGTGCCACTGTGCTCCAGTCTGGGTGACAGAGTAAGACTCCATCTCAAAAAAATAAAAATAATAAATAAAATAATAAAAAAAATACCTGAAGCTATAAGGTTTTATATTTTTTAGTAGAACTTGTTCTATTATTAAAGAAAATAACAACAAGTAGCATATTTTTCCTGGCATATCCTAAAATTGTCTTTTTCTACCAAAACCATCTTATTCCAAATCAAATGACCAATATCTGATTTTTCCTCAAAGTTGATATACACCAGGGCAGGCTCACAGGGCTCAGTCTTCTGAACTAATGTAATTTTGTTTTCAATAGCAATGTAGTTATTTCTCTTTGAAGAGCAAAGTCTTCATGCTAGAAGTGGTGATGTAGAGATTAAGGTGATATTGCACATGTCACAACAGACCCCAACAAGAATACATTTTGGAAGGGAAAAAAGTAAAAGTGACAGTCAACTTAGGCATTCCAAATCCCCAGGGGCTGAACACCACAGCAAAAATTGCTGGTGCTTTCTTTTCCTGATTTTATAAGGATTTTTTACATAGGATAGACCGTGAATATTGTTAGCAGTCAGAGAGTTGTTCCAGTAACTATTTTATAAGATACCATATCATACAGGATAATATTGGTACTTTAGGATCTCCCAGAGAGCTGTGCAGAAAGCTTACATTCCTGTCAAAACAGGTAGAACTGTACAATTTGATTCTTTCAGTTTTTTAAGTAGGTAAAAGTAATAGTAAAATAGTCCAGAGTATTGTACGTGAGTTAATAAATGTATTTAGTGAAAACAAAACAATAAAGAGAAAGAAGACAAAAGAGAGCTGGTTTGTTTTTCTTATTACTGCTTGTCTCACTAAACAACTTGCTTTCTTCTTCCACTTCAGCCCATTCAGATGACATTTACATTGCAAGGCATTTGAGTTCACGTATTTAATATTTTTCACTGTTTAGTGCACACGATTGCTTGGTAGAGCACAAAACTGCCTCTACTCCTCCTTGAAGAAAGACGAAAAGTAGTTTAAAGCTGGAAATAGTGAAACCAGAAGCCAACCACCTCCAGCAGTGAGGGCTCTACTTTTTCCAGGCATCTTCCATTTAGATGGTCATTCCATTAGCAGGAGCTATGCTGCCCATCTGCTTTGAATGGACGCGTTGTCAGCATTCAAACAGTAAATGACAGCAAATTCTGGTATTTTGACATGTTATGTGAAAGGCCAGAAAATTCAGGCTGTGAAAGGCAAAAGGAGTTGACATCTGTTGAGCCAAAATGTGGGCTATTATAGAGAACTTAGATTTGCAGTGAGTAAGTAAGTTGTGGGAGGCTTAGCAATGGCTCAGAAATCTTTCTTGTGACTCCTATACCCCCAGGGAGAGAGAACAAGCAGCTGCCAGAAGTAAATTTTGACTATAACAATTCATTCGACCAGGAAAATTTCAATCACTTTCCATGTAAATTGGGCCAAGTCACAGGTGTTCCAGTTTCCAGTTATGCATGAGTAAAGTGGATCATGCTATTCAGTTAAAAAGCACTTTGGAGTAATCGAAATATAGATATTGTGCAAATACAGTATAGGCTTAACATAACTGAGCTATAATTGTGTTTAACATTTTTCCAGGTACCATTTTTCCATACTTTAACTTGTGTACACATCTGTCTTTAATTTCATTCATGAGTCCACTGAAAATTTAACCATATATACACAATAAATGTTATATATAATGCTGTATAATTTTATAGGTAATAACAATACGAAATGTGTTTTTTCAGCATACTCATTTAATTTTAGTAACAGCAAACAGATATTTTAAAATATTATATTTTGGGAGCAGTTTTACTTATTTTATTTTATTTTTTTTTGAGACCAAATCTCGCTCTGCCTCCCAGGCCGGAGTGTAATGGCACGATCTCGGCTCACTGCAACCACTGCCTCCTGGGTTCAAGCGATTCTCCTGCCTCAGCCTACCAAGCAGCTGGGATTACAGGTGCATGCCACCATGTCCAGCTAATTTTTTGTATTTTTAGTAGAGATGGGGTTTCACCATGTTGACCAAGCTGGTCTCAAACTCCTGACCTCAGGTGATCCGCCTGCCTCGGCCTCCTAAATTGCTGGGATTACAGGCGTGAGCCACCATGCCCGGCCCAGTTTGACTTATTTTGTGCAGCCTCTATTTTCTTGGTTTTCTTTTCCAATTTACCCTCAGGATTAAACCACTTTAAATCTGTCTAAACTTGCTACCCATTATGGATTCAGCTTTATAACTAATGAGTCATCTGGGTCAAACTCTACACTTTTTTAGCAGCCTAGTTTTTTTCTGAATATGCAGTTTTTAAAAATACTGTCTTATTGTTCCAAACAACATATAATTAGGAGACAAATAATAAGCCTTCTTCTTCTTCTTTCTAATAAGCCTTCTATATGCTTTCATCCCCAAAGCAACTTTTCAGTTTCTCCCCAGATAAATTTACAGAGCATTCATTATGAGTGCACATTATATTAGGTGCATTAATATAGTGTCTTGTACTATGAACACCAAGGATGATTAACTTAATAAAAAATTATAGCCAACATAAGTCTAGAATAGATCTTTTGTGGTAGGTGGAGAAAAAGCCTTAGAGTAGGCTGTCTATTCTCTAATCACCAACTTGCTATAATCTCACTTCCCTCTCATTTAGCCTTCTAAACACTTCTTTTCTTTAATATTCAAAATGTTCTTATCCATTCACTCACAAAAGAGGAGAAAAATTCTTGTCATTTTTAGTTCCAAAATCATTCTTAAGAGTATGTGTTCATAAGTTTTAAAATTTATGGTAATGGCCATCTTCTGTAAAATGGCTTGGTATCTTTACAGTTTTGCATCTCTCTTGCCATTTAAAATACTTATAACTCAACTCAAGTAAATTGCAGGGAGTTGATACATATAACTTTACCCCCGTTACACATTTTAAGACAAGAAAGTGAAAATAACTGCACAAAGACTGTGCTATTCATTTATTTCATAGGATCTTCCAGCCTTTTTTAGAATGGCCACCTCCACATTTCAGTGTGTGTTTTGTATGCTGCAAGAGTGGTAAGAAGATTGATTACATTTAGAATTCTGTGAACTTTAAACAATAAAAAAAAAGTTGCAGTATTTGTTCCAGGTTGTTTTTCAGTTCTTTCAATTTATCATGAAAAAGAATTTCAATCTCTTCCGTCTTATGAAAAGGTTTCTGCCAGATATATTTGTCTGATATATAACTAGGAATCTAGTAAAACTTCAGAATATATAGCAGTTTGCAAAGAATACATTTGAAAAACTAAAATTCACCAGAAATCATTTTTGAAGTATTAACCAAAACAGTAGCTTTGACCAATAAATAAGTAGTTTTTTTGGTGTTTTTTTTATAGTCATGATTCCCACGTGTTTGTTTAGCTACCCCACAATCTTGCTGGCTTTTCTCAGCAGTATCTTGTGATCTTGCTTTTCTTTCAGGAGTACAGTCATGTAAGTGCTCCTCTTAAATTGGGCCTTTTATGGAGAAACATAGAAACATTAAACGAAGTGCTTTGAAGATTAAAAGTCCAAAGTTAAAAGACAAACTAGGCTATGTAATTTAGGCATCTAAAGCTTAACCCTCTGGGGCCATACTTTCTATTATTTGGAAGAGCAGTAGAGAAGAGCACGCACATCAGAGTCAGTCTGCCCAAATTCAAATTGGTGTTCTACCCTTTATTTAGTTCTGAAAGTTTGGGCAAATAACTTAATCTGCATGACTCAGATTTGTCTTCTGTAAAGTGGGAATATGAGCATCTGCCTCATAGGACTATTGTGAAGATTAAATGATTGATCCATGCTGTGCCCTCTGTCAGCGCCTGATGTGTAAGTACTCAAATGTTAGCTATGGTTATCCAACAGGCAATGATTATGCCACTTACTTCACAGTATGTGGAATCATAATTTTCATGAGCTCTTTGAGGGTCAGACTTTGTACACTAGAAACAGAGCTAACCATTGCCATCAGCTCAACTCACAGACTAGTTTTGTTGGGATGGCAGCTCCCTAGCATGCCATTCCATACTTAATGATTTCCAATCAATCACTCATGATTACACATCACTTTGCTTCAATCTCTTAGGACAATTCGCAATCTGATATGAAACTAAAGGGTGAAGTCAATTACAGTTGCTTGATATGTTCTGATTCCATATCCTTTATAAATATTTTATGTATCTAAGTCATATTGTCACAGTTGTGTACTGCATATGTGAAACTACAAGTAATTAGGATGAAAGTTCTTAGAGCCTAGAATACAGGATATCCACACAATATTTAGGAACACTAAAAATATATGGTTTTGTGAATACAAATTTACAGCTTAAAAATAAGTCAAAATGTACTAGGTAAATAAAAATAAAAGAGAACACCGGAGAGAAATAGCTGGAATAATAATCACAGAATCAAGAGAAATTAATATAATAATTATTTCGGGTTATCATCATTTTTAATAGGCTTTTTTAGAGGAGTTTTAGGTTTACAGAAAAATTGAGCAGAAAGCACACAGAGTTCTTGTACACCACCTCTCGCCACTCACCTATGCACAGTTTCCATTTTATTAACATCTTGTATTAGTATGGGACACTTGTTATAATTGGTGAGCCGTAATTATTAACTAAAGTTAATCACTTATAAGTTCTCTGTTTTTTACAGTTCTATAGGTTTTGACAAATGTATAACTTCATGTATCTACCATTATAAATAACTACCATTATTGTTTGTCTGCTTACAAACTCTTTTTTCTGCTAACATTTTCTATTCAGTGAAAGAACGCAATACATAATGAACCATTCAGCTAGAAAGCTTCTTTTACTTTTCAGGGCTGTTTACTTCTAAGGACCTATAAGAGCCTATAGATGAAAGAAATTTCTGCCAGCTTCATCTTAATGTCTACCTACAAATTTTCTTATATGGAACATTTTAACTTCATTAAAAAGTCCCCTGTGTTCCATTGCTTTAATCCTCTCTTCCTCTTCCAAAAACCTTGGCAACCATTGATTCTTTTACTGTTGCTGCAGTTTTGCCTTTTCCAGAATATTATTTTGCTAAAATCTTGTGGTATATGGAATGTTCAGATTGGCTTATTTCACTCAGTAATGCGCATTAAAAGTTTCTCTATGCCTTTTTAGGGTTTGATAATTTAGTTCTTTTAAGCACTGAATAAGAATCCACTGTATGGATTTACCATGGTTTGTTTCTCTGATCACCTATGAAGGGCATCTTGATTGCTTCCACATTCTGGTAATTGTGACTAAAACTACTATAAATATTTGTGTGCAGATATATGGGAGGACATAAATTTTCAACATATTTGGGTAAATACCTGGGAATGCAACGGCTGAATCATATGCTACCCATCATGTTTAGCTTTGGAAGAGAAGCTAAACCGTCCAACTGCCTTCCAAAGTGGCTGTACCATTTTGCATTCCCACCAGCAATGAATGAGAGTTTCTGTTGCTCTACATCCTGCCCATATTTGATATTATAAGTGTTTTGGATTTTGGCCATTCTAATAGGTGTGCTGTGGTACCTTGTTCTTTTAATTTACATTTCTCTAATGAATAATTATGTTCAGCATATTTTCAGATGTGTATTTGCTATCTTCTACAATTAGATGTCTGTTCAGCTCTTTTGCCCATTTTTTAAATAGAATTTTTTGTTTCCTTATTGTTAAGTTTTAAGACTACTTTGTATGTTTTGGATATAAAAACCCTTTATTAGTTATGTGTTTTGCAAATATTTTTCTCTTAGTCTGTAGTTTGTCTCTTCATTCTCTTAATAGTGTCTTTTACCAAACAAGTTTTCATTTTAACTATTTGCATTAAATATATAGCTGAAATAATAATTAAAGAATCAGGAAAGCTTGATGTACCGATTATTTTTAATAATGAATTCACCCAGAATCATTTCTGAGATTTTATAAGGAAAACAGCATAAAGATTGAGCTACCGCTAACAAATGGTACAGGAAAATTACATGGAAATGTGAAGAATAAATTTAGAAACATGTTCAGAAGCGCTAAAAACAAATGTGGGAAATTCAACAAAAAAACTCTAAATTGTTTTTTGGGAAATATGTATCAACTTTTGAAAAGTCAAAATGGGATTATATATATTTCATTAGATCATATATATCATTATATCATATATCATATGATTCATATATATGAATATGATATATACATATATTTATCTCATATATATCATACATACTATCTATCTATATATGATATACATGAGAGACATCAATGACAACCCAGGGTTTCACAGGGAATTAAAAATTATATATGACAGAACCACAACCTATTCTCTAGGGCCAAGTGACAAATTTGTGGCCTCTTACATGCCAATGCCAATGGATTGGTGGAGCTGCATCTATGGCAATGTTGAGAAGCCTCCACAGGAAAGAAAGGAAGCTGTGATTGATGAGCAGTGGAATCTTTGCTGTAGAATGCTCAGAGCATTCAATCTCAACCCTCAACCATAGCCCAGTAAGGAACAGATCCTGGATAAGTCACATGTTTAATTACAAAGCATACTAAAATAGAGATTTCATGGGAGAAGAAAGGCATTGCACCATAAGCTGAATGGTGAGTCCTTTCTTCTTTAAGTTCTGCATGATGATCAGTATAAAAAGACAGACTTAATGGTTACTCTTGCTCTGGTTGGGTAGGGGCCCCATACTTGGCAGATATGAGCAAGAATCTGTGCAAGGCTCAGGGCTGGGCTAAATAATATTTTCTTTCCTGATGATCCAGTAGTAAAACAGAAATGCTTTTCAAAATGTCATAGATGTTGAAGTCATCTCTCTACTTTTGAGCTGCTCCTCCAGGCCCCAGATAAGAGTCTTCAGAACAAAGACAAAAATGCAAAAGGAAAAAAAATCTATGCAAGATGGCTGCATGTCTGAGAGAGAGCATGCTCTCTGAGTAAAATCAGAATAAAGAAACTTGTAAGGTATCAACTGGTGACAACAGTAGACAATTCTGTGGCAAATACACTATGAGAAGAAGAAAAATAATTGCCTTCTAGCATGTGAGCCCTTCAACTCTAAGCCAGAGTCTCAGTCAAACTGATTAAGAAGAGCTGGCTACAGTTTTTCCAGAAGCTACAACTTAGGGTTAGTAATATTATAGATTTGACAAATGTCTTTTTTCAATGTTCACATACAAAATCTAAAATTTTGCCTACTTCGTAAAGGCACAATTGTCTAAACTGATTATAACATAATGCAAATATTGATCTAAAACAAAAACAGCAATCCTGTAGCCTAAGTATGCTAACAGCTTTCCTGCCAGATCAACAATAAAATAGCAAACTGGTTAATTGTGCTCCTCTCTTCATTTCATCATGAGCAAGTATCTAAATTTAGCAAATAAGCTGAATATAGGAATCTCCAAGCGTGTCAAAATTTGATGGCAATTAAATTGACATCTCTTCTGCACCTCATTTTTAAGGGAATATATTTTTCAAGTCCTTGACAGTCAAAAACTATTTCGTTTATTTATGACATTTCCAATGAATTAGTAACGTTTTCTATTGCATTACATTTTGCATAATATAATTTGTCACCATTTCTTTATTAAGCTTGTTTTATATTCATAGTTGTCCCACAACACTATATTTTCCTTTTTGTCAGCCCAGAACTTCATTATGAAGGATGAGGTTTTATTGTTTGCCAGTGATGCAAATGTCTACAGTGAATAAGTGTCATTATGCAGGAACAGGAATTTAGTTTTCCTCCATTAACCAGACAGGCTAATGACTCAACAAGTTTATAGCCTGCCACAAAATTTGATAGCTCAATGTGAGTTAGAACAAATGAGAGTTACATGGATGTAAAGATTAGAAATACACACTTTTTTTTTCATTTGGCTAATTTTCTAAATTTCCTAAAGTGAATTCCAGATTTTTGTTGGATTAATGAGTAAGGACTCTTCCTGACCTTTATTCCTGAGAAAGAATAACTTTAGTTTTCCACTGCCAGCAGTTCAACAGGTCACATGTTCATCTCCTAAGATCCTCCAATTCAGCTTGAGGGCATAGTCAAATGGCAAGCATTCACCCATACCTCCAAATCAACATTTCAACTCCTATGAAAGAGAACAAGCACGTTCAATTCTGGAGATTGTAAAGGAAGATCCCAGGAGTAAACTATTGCAGTCTTATTTCTAAATCCAGGGAACATAAAAAAGATTGAGCAGGTAACATGTTCAGCCTGCACATAGGCACGACCTTCTGAGTGCATAGCATTAAACAATCTTTCAGAGTTAGCCTAGACCTACAGATCTTAAATCTCTTACCACTGGTAGAAGGTGCTTACAGCTTTAGATTAAGCGAGGGATTAAGGGGAGCAGAGTCAGGAACCAAGTGTTCTAGCTATTCCCATATCTTTACCATGGTATAGGTTGGTTATCTATAACTTTACTGATGTGAAGCAGAGGTAATAAGCAGATATTTTGCAAGAAGGAGATGAGATAATTCCAAATTCTAGGGTGTGAGGGAAGGTCACCACATGGAATATTAACCCCAAAAGACTACTCAGAAGGAGCAATAGGCACAGAGCACTATTCTGGACAATGTAATTTTGTTCTGAAAGTCCCAGACTAGGAGGACACATCCACAAAAGCAAATGTTTACTAGGTATCTGTGGAAGAATAAGACAATCTTCACTCACTGTGCCACTGCACCATGAGCAGAAAAGATCAAAACAAACTCACTACTGGTAGAGTTTTTCTAAATGAAAATGATTTAAGAGTCCACTCATTTAAAAATGGTTAATTTTATGTTATGTGATTTCACTTGAATTAAAAACATATGTATGAGCAGAGGGCAGGGGGAGTCCACTAAAGTTATTGACAAAAAATAGTCATATTTTATGAAAGATTACAATGAAAAATTGTCAACTAGGGAGCACGCAGAACTGGGTTTTAGACTGAGCTATTTGAGTAATTAGCAATATTACTCTGAACATGACCCTTAACCTCTCTGGATTTTAAGTTTCTACAAAGGGAAAACTTTGGACTAGTTGGTGACCAAGATTTCTTGTAGTTCAAAAACCAAATGAACCTAAGATTCTACTTAGATTCTACTCACATATCTGTAAAGGAGTTCCAATTGGTTTGAAAACATGAAAAAAAAATTGTCATTATTTGGATACCTATAGAAGTGAAAAATAATGGAGGACTAGAAACTGCCTATGTTTTCTCATAAAGCAAATGTTTAATGTCAATCACTTTTAATTGAAATCATTTACATAATCTTTACTTGAAGAGGACCACACCAAATACATAAAAGGTGAACACTCATGGAAATTGTTATGCATAAATAGTGCTTTGGTTTAGATTTATAATTTTATAGAATTTCAGCCTGGATTAATGTTTAAATCAGCTTTATTGAGTTAAAGTCTACATACAATTAAATTTTAAGGCCGGGAGCGGTGGCTCACGCCTGTAATCCCAGCACTTTGGGAGGCCGAGGAGGGTGGATCATGAGGTCAGGAGATCGAGACCATCCTGGCTAACAAGGTGAAACCCCGTCTCTACTAAAAATACAAAAAATTAGCCGGGCGCGGTGGCGGGCGCCTGTAGTCCCAGCTACTCGGGAGGCTGAGGCAGGAGAATGGCGTGAACCCGGGAAGCGGAGCTTGCAGTGAGCCGAGATTGTGCCACTGCAGTCCACAGTCCGGCCTGGGCGACAGACCGAGACTCCGTCTCAAAAAAAAAAAAAAAAAAAAAAAAAAAAAAAAAAATTTAAGTGTAGACTTTGATGAGTTTCGAAAAATGTATACCATTTTATACCCACCACCCCATGAAATAGAAAATTCCCATCACTCAGAAAATTTCCCTTGGCCCCTTTGCACCTAGGTGGCTTGCCATCCTTGGCAACTACTTAGTTGTTATCTTTATAGCTCTGCGTTTTCCACAATGTTACATAAATGGACCTAAACCTTAGGTACACTTGTGTGTATGACTTCTTTAACATAGCATAACGCTTTAGAAATGTATTGATGTTGTTGAGTATATCAATAGTTTTTCCTTCTTATTTCTGAGTAATATTCCAATCTATGGATGTGTTATTTTTCTTAACCAGCCGATGACATTTGTATTGGTTTTTGTTTCTGGCTACTATGAATAAAGCTGCTATGAACATTTAAGTACATATATGTGGATATGTACTGACTACATATTTCTCAGTTTTTATGTGGATATATATTTTCACTTCTTTTTGGTCGCTATCTATGAGTGGAATTGGTAAGTGCATGCTTTACTTTGTGAGAAACTGTCAAAGTGCTTGTCATAGTGACTGTACCATTTTGCATTTTTACCAAAAAGATATAAAAGTTCCACTTTTGTCTGGGGAGGGCAAGATGGCCAACTAGATGCAGGCAGGTGAAACAGCTCCCACTGACCCAGATGACTGGCGTGCTCCTAATAGATCCTCAGGGGAAGGCACTGAGAGTGGACAAAGGGAAGACACAGAAGCTGGACCAAAAGGAGAGAAAGCTGGGAACCCCACATGGAGCTACTGTGCACTGTGACTTGTTCCTGACCCCAAACGGCTCTGGGGAAATGGGTGGCAAGGAGCAACCCACTCTTGCCACAGGCCTCTGGAACCCCAGCAGGCAGAGACCCCTTGACCACCACAGGCACTCAAGTTGGCAGGGAGATCTGCCTAGAGAAGTGGTAGGGGCAGCAAGCCAGCTGATGTGGAGACCAGAGGATTTGGTGTGGGAGCGTCTGTAGCAGAGGACCGTCAGGGACAGCTATCTGCCTAGGCTCGACTGGCTCCCATAGGATACGTTATTCCTAGCGGAACTTTCAGACCTGAACTCTGCAGGGCAGGCTTGCCCATTAGATGAGGCCGGTTTGACCTGAGCATCCCTCGATCGTCTGGCCTCTCCTGAGGCCCCAGCCTGGCTGTGCCTGCTTGTAGAGCAGTCTCAGGTGCCCTGGTGTATGCCTCATAGCTTCTGAGCTAGTTGACCATGCCTGACTGGTGGCAAGCTCCAGTGGGGGAGCCCCTACGGCCGTGCACCAGCCAGCATGCTCCCTCCGCATATATATATGAGCATATATATATATATATACACACACACATATATACTCATATACTCATATATATATAAGCATATATATATATCACACATATACATAATGAAAAAAGCCTTTTATCAGACATATGTTTTGAAAATATTTTCTCACTTTGTGTGGCTTGTCTTTTTTCATTTTCTCAGCAGTGCTTTGAAGTGCAAAAAGTCTTTAATTCTGATGAAATTAAACTTACCAATTGTTTTCTTTTTTAATTTTAATTGTAGTTTTTGTTAATTTGTTAATTTGTTTTTTTTTTTAACTTTAGGTTCAGGGGCACATGTGAAGGTTTGTTACATAAGTAAACTCATGCCATGGGGGTTTATTGTACAGATTATTTCATCACTGAAGTATTAAGCCCAGTACCCAATAGTTATCTTTTCTGCTCCTCTCCTTCTTCCCACCCTTCACCCTCAAGTAGACCCGAATGTCTGTTGTTCCCTTCTTTGTGTCATGAGTTCTCATCATTTAGCTCGCAGTTATGAGAACATGATGTATTTGGTTTTCTGTTCCTGCATTAGTTTGCTAAGGATAATGGCCTCCAGCTCCATCCATGTTCCTGCAAAAGAGATAGTCTCATTCTTTTTTATGGCTGCATAGGATTCTATGGTGTATATATATATATACCACAATTTATCCAATCTGTCATTGATGGGCATTTAGGTTGATTCCATGTCTTTACTATTTGGAATAGCACTGCAATAAACATCTGTGTGCATGTGTCTTTATGGTAGAATTATTTATATTCCTCTGTGTTTATACCCAGTAATGAGATTGCTGTGTTGAATGGTATTTCTATTTTTCAGCTCTTTGAGGAATCACCATACTGATTTCCACAATGGTTGAACTAATTTACATTTCCACCTATAGTATATAAGCATTCTTTTTTCTCCATAACCTTGCCAGCATCTGTTATTTTTTGACTTTTTATTAATGGCCATTCTGACTGGTGTGAGGTGGTATCTTACTGTGGTTTTGATTTGGATTTCTCTAGTGATCAGTGATACTGAGCTTTTTCTCATATGATTGTTGGCTATATATATATGTCTTCTTTTGAAAGGTGTTTGTGTTCATGTTCTTTGCCCACTTTTTAATGCAGTTGTTTGTTTTTCTCTTGTAAATTTGTTTAAGTTCCTTATAAATGCTGGATGTTAGACATTTGTTGGATGCGTAGTTTTCAAATATTTTCTCCCATTCTGTAGCTTGTCTGTTTACTCTGTTGATAGTTCCTTTTGCTGTGAAGAAGCTCTTATGTTTAATTAGACCCCATTTGTCAATTTTTGCTTTTGTTGCAATTGCTTTTGGTGTCTTTGTCATGAAATCTTTGCCCATTCCTATGGCCAGGATGGTATTGCCTAGGTTGTCTCCCAGGATTTTTATAGTTTTGGGTTTTACACTTAAATATTTAACTCATCTTGAGTTGATTTTTGTATATGGTGTAAGGAACAAAAAAAACACATGATTATCTCAATAGATGGAGAAAAAGGCTTCCAATAAAATTCACCACCCCTTTATGTTAAAAACTCTCAATAAACTGGGTATTGAATAAACACCCCAAAATAATAAGATCTGTCTATGACAAGCCAACAGTCAACATAATACTGAATGGGCAAAGGCTGGAAGCATTCCCCTTGAAAACTAGCACAAGACAAAAATGCCCTCTCTCGCCACTTCTATTCAACATAGTGTAGGAAGTCCTAGCCAGAGCAATCAGGCAAGAGAAAGAAGCAAAGGGCATCCAGATAGGAAGAGAGGAAGTCAGACTATCCCTGTTTGCAGCCGACATGATTCTGTATCTAGAAAACCCCATAGTCTTGGCCCAAACGCTCCTTCAGCTGATAAACAACTTCTGTGAGGTTTCAGAAGACAAAAATCAATGTACAAAATTCCAACACTTTGGGAGGCCAAGGTGGGTGGATTGCTTGAGGCCAGAAGTTTGAGACCAGGCTAGCCAACATGGTGAAACCCCATCTCTACTAAAAATACAAAAATTAGCCTAGTGTGATGGTGCATGCCTTTAGTCCCAGCTGCTCAGGGGCTGAGGCACAAGAAACGCTTGAACCCAGGAGGCGGATATGGCAGTGAGCCGAGATTGTACCACTGCACTCCAACCTAGGTGACAGAGTGAGACTCCACCTCAAAAAACAAAAACGAAAACCAAAAAAAAAAAATCACTAGCATTCCTATACACCAACAACAGCCAAGCGTGAGTCAAATCAGAAATGCAGTCCCGTTTACAATTGCCACAAAAATAAAAAAAAATAGCTAGGAATACAACTAACCAGGGAGGTGAAACATTTCTACAATAAGAATTACAAAACACTGCTCAAGGAAATCAAAGACACAAACAAATGGAAAAAGATCCCATGTTCATGGATAGGAAGAATCAGTATTTTTAAAATGGCCATACTGCCCAGAGCAACTTACAGATTCAATGCTATTCCTATTAAACTACCAATAACATTCTTCACACAATAGAAAAAACGATTTTAAAATTCACATGGAACCAAAAAAGAACCTGAATAGCCAAGGCAATCCTAAACAAAAAGAAAAAAGCTGGAGCATCATGTTACCTGACTTCAGACTCTACCACAAAGGCTACAGTAACCAATACAGCATGGTACTGATACTTTTATTTCAATAGTTTGGGGTGCAGGAGGTTTTGGTAACATGGATAAGTTCTTTAGCGGTGATTTCTGAGATTTTTGGTGCATCCATCACCTGAGCAGTGTACACTGTACACAATACATATTATTTTATCACTCATTCCCCTCCTACCCTTCCCCTCCAAGTCCCCAAAGTCCATTATATCATTCTTATGGCTTTGCAGCCTGGTAGTTTAGCTCCCACTTATAAATGAGAACGTACAATATCTGGTTTTCCATTCCTGAGTTACTTCACTTAGAATAATGGCCTCTAGCTCCATCCAAGTTGCTGCAAAAGACATTATTTTGTTCCTTTTTATGGCTGAGTGACACTCTGCGGTGTATGTATACCACATTTTCTTTATCCATTCATCGGTGATGGGCACTTAGGCTGGTCCCATATCTTTGCAATAGCAAATTGTGGGCTATAAACATGCATGTGCATGTGTCTTTTTCATATAATGACTTCTTTTTCTTTTGGTAGACACCCAGTAGGGGGATTGCTGGATTGAATGGTAGTTCTACTTTTATTTCTTTAAAGAATCTCCATACTGTTTTCCATAGTGGTTATACTAGTTTACATTATCCATGCCAACATCTGTTGTTTTTTGACTTTTTAATTTTGGCCATTCTTGCAGGAGTAAGGTGGTATCTCATTGTAGTTTTAGTTTGCATTTACCTGATAATTAGTGATGTTAAGCATTTGTTCATATGTTTGTTTGCTGTTTATGTTCTTTTGAGTATCGTCTATTCATGTCCTTTGCCCACTTTTTGGTGGGATTATTTGTTTTTGTTTTTTGTTTTTTGTTTTTTTCTTGCTGATTCGTTTGAGTTCCTTGTAGATTCTGGATATTAGTCCTTTGTTGGATGCATAGGTTGCAAATATTTTCTCCCACTCTGTGGGTTGTCTCTTTCCTCTGCTGATTATTTATTTTGCTGTGCAGAAGCTTTTCAGTTTAATTAGGTCCCACTATTTTTATTTTTATTGCATTTGCTTTTGGGGCCTTAGTCATGAATTCTTTGCCTAAGCCAATGTCTAGATGAGTTTTTCTGATGTTATTTCTAGAATTTTTATGGTTTCAGGTCTTAGATTGAAGTCTTTGATCCATCTTGAATAGATTTTTGTATGAGGTAAGAGATGAGGATCCAGTCTCATTCTTCTATTTGCAGCTTGCCAATTTTCCCAGCACCATTTGTTGAAAAGAGCGTCCTTTCCACAGTTTATGTTTTTGTATACTTTGTTGAAGATCAGTTGGCTGTATAAATCTGGCTTTATTTCTGGCTTCTCTATTCTGTTTCATTGGTCTGTGCCTATTTTTATATGAGTACCATGCTGTTTTGGTGACTATAGCCTTGTAGTATAATTTGAAGTCAGGTGATGTGATGCCTCCAGATTTGTTCTATTTGCTTAGTATTGCTTTGGATATGCAGCCTCTTTTTTGGTTCCATATGAATTTTAAGATTTTTTTCTAGTTCTGTGAAAAATGACGATGGTATCTTGATGGGAATTGCATTGAACATTTATCTTGCTTTGGGCAGTATGGTTATTTTTACAATAACGAATTGTTTTATTTTATGACTTTTGCTCATTGTGTCCTACTTAATAAATCATTGGCTAACCCAAGGTCATTAAGATATTCTTCTACATTTACTTTTAAATATTTTATAGTTTCACTCTGACATTTACATCTATGCAACGTAAGTTACATTTTGTATGTGAGGTGAGGTAGCAGTTGAATTTAGTTTTTCTTTTGCATGTAAATATTCAATTATTCCACACATTTGTAGAAAAGTTTACCCTTCCACATATAACTACTTTTGCACCATTGTCAAAAATCAGTTGTCCATATATGTGTGGGTTTGTTTATGGACTCTGTATTTTGTTATACTGATCTATTTGTCTAACAGGATGACAATACCATACTGTATTAATTACTGTACCCTTATAATGAATATTGAAGTTAGATAGTTTTGGCTCTATGAATTGTTCTTCTTCAAAGTTGCTTTTGGAAAATTTCCAAAAGTTGCAAAGCAGCTTGGTACTTTGCATCCTCATATGAATTTTAGAATCAGTTTGTCAGTTTCCTTAAAAATAATCTTCCAGGATTTTGATTGAGATTACATTGAATATATAAATGAAGCAGGGGAATATTGACATATTAGCAATATTTAATATTTCAATCCATGATAGAGCATATATCTCCATTTATTAGACATTTAAAAACTTATCTGTGTTTTGTAGTTTTCACTATATAGGTCTTTCACATATATTGTTAATGTCCTCTGGTAATATTTTATATATTTGATCCTATTGTGAATGGTAAGTATAAATTTCAGTTTTCAAATGTTTGTTGTTAGTATATAGAAATACAATTATGTTATCTTATGAGTCTTGTATCCTGAGATCTTACACAAACTTACTAGTACTAGTATTTTTGTGCTAGATTCTTGAAAAATGACTATAGATGATGTCCTTTGAAATTTTTGTGGCTTTTGTATCTTTTTCTTGTATTATTGCACAAGCTAGAAAATCCGTGAAATTGTTATAGTGAGAGTGGGCATGCTTTCCTTGTTCCTGTTCTTATGGATAAAGCATTAAATATGAGGTCAATTGTAGATTTTTCATAAATTTCCTTTATCAGGTTGAGGTATTACTAGGTTAATAAGAGTTTTGTTAGGCATGTATATTAAATTTGGAAAGATGCTTCTTCTTTATCTAGTGAGCCGATCATGCTTCTTTTTTTTAATGTGGTGAATTATAGCAATTGTCAATGGAAAACCAACCTGGAATTTCTGCTGTCATCCCCACTTGGACATGATGTGTTATATTTTTTAGGTACAGCTGAATTTGACTTGAAACATTTGTTAAGGATTCTTTTCTTTTTGGTTAATGAGTAATATTGTTCTATAATTTTTATTAATATATTTTATTTTTATAGATTTAGATTTACAAAAAAGTTGATCAGATAGTATAGAGTTTCCGTATACCCTTTCCTCATCCCACCCCCACATTTTCCCCTATTATTAGCATTTTACCTTAGTGTGATACATTTATTAATATTAATACACATATACACATTATTATTAGCTAAAGTCCATAGTTTATTAAGATTTCCTTACTTTTTAACCTAGTTTTCCTTTTCATTTCAGGATCCCATTCAGGATACCAGATTACATTTAGTTGTCATGTCTCCTTAGGATCTTCTTGGCTGTAACATTTTCTCTGACTATCCTTGTTTTTAATGATCTTCACAGTTTGAAGAGTACTGGTCAGGTATATTTGTGTAGGATGCCCCTTTATTGGAATTAGAATTTCTTTGTCATAATTAGTTTGGGGTTATGAGTTTGGGAGAGGAAGATCACAGAGGTAAGTGGCATGCCATTTTCATCATGTCATATCAACAGTACGTAGTATCAACATGATTATGATTGTTGATGGTCACCATCCTTGTCTGAATGAAATAATGTTTTTCAGATTTCTTTGCTGTAAAGTTACTTCTTCTCACCTTTCCCCTTTCCAGGCTGTGGAAGGGGGAAAGGTGAGAAGGAGTAACTTTGGAAGGAAGTCATTATGCTCCCCTCATTTTGGATGAGGTATCTAAATAATTCATAATTCATATGGCTGGGAGATGTGTTTCTCCTCCCCTATGTATTAACTTACTCAATTATGTTTTTATGTCAATATGGAATCATGCATACTTATACTTTGAGATACATTCTAATAATACTTTATTAATTTTTTTACTCAGATTGTTTCAGCTTTGGCCATTGGGGGGAACTTCAGTTGGCTCCTAGGCCCCTTTGACAAACACTTATCTATACACATATATTTTTGAGTACTTTCTTACTTTCCGGTACTACAAGATGCTCCAGACTCATCTTTTATATTTTCTGCTCCAGTCCTAGGATAAGCCATTTCTCCCAGAAGCCCTGGTTAACTGCCCTTAAAAGTGCCTATGCTTACCTATTCATTCCTGTCTCCTTTTCTTTAACCCTGGCAGCTGCTGACCTGTGCACTGTCTCCATGGTTTTACTTATTCCAGAGTGTTATATAATTGAAGTCCCGCAGTATGCTGGCTTTTAAGACTGGCTTATTTCACTGAGCAATATGTATTTAAGGTTTCTCTGTGTTTTATCCTGGCTTAATAGCTCATTTCCTTTTATGACTGATTAATACCCTATTACATGCATGTACCACAGTTTGTCTATCCTTTTACCTACTGAGGGACATTTTGGTTATTCTCAGTGTTTGGTAATTATGAATTAAACCGCTATAAATATCTCTGTACAATCTTGTTTAGACGTAAATTTTCAAATTAGGTAGAGGAATAATTAAAAGCATGATTGCTGGATCATAAGTGAAATAGTGCTGTGATTTCAAATAGTATTGCAATGAACCTGTAGATCAAGCTGGGAAGAATAGGTATCTTAGCAATACTGAGTTTTTCAAAGCGTGAACATAGACTATCTCTCTGATTGCTTTTTTCTTTTTTTCAATATTAGATTAAGGTGGTACATGTGCAGGATTATTACACAATTTATTGTATAATGCTGGAGTTTGACTTTCTCTTGAACCGATCATTCACACAGTAAAAAACTACCTGAGAGATACCCAATACATAGTTTTTCAACCCTTACCTGCCTCCCTCTCTCCACCCTTTTGAAGTTCTTAGTGCCTATTGTTTCTATCTCTATATCCACGTATACCTATTACTTAGCTCTCACTTATAAGGAAGAACAGGCAGTGTTTGGTTTTCTGTTTCTGTGTTAATTCACTTAAGATAATAGCCTCCAGTTACATCCATGTTGCTGCAAAGGGCATCATTTCATTTTTTATGACTTTATGGTGTTCCATGGTATATATGTACCACATTTTCTTTATCCAGTCCTCCATTGATGGGCACCTAGGTTGACTCCATGACTTTGCTATTATGACTAATGATGTGGTATCTTTTTGGTAGAAAAAAATTATTTTCCTTTAGGTAGATGCCCAGTAGTGGGATTGCTGGGTCAAATGGTAGTTCTATTTTTAGTTCTTTGAGAAATCTCCATACTGCTTTCCACGGGGGCTGAACTAATTTACATTCCCGCCAAAAACGCAAGTGTTCCCTTTTCTCCGCATCCTGGCAAACACAATATTTTATGACTTTTTATAAAAGCCATTCTGACTGGTTTGAGATTAAAGACTTAAGTGAAAGACCTAAAACTATAAAAACCCTAGAAGAAAACCTAGGAAAAACTCCTCTGGGTATTTACTTAGGCAAATAACTTATAACTGAGACATCAAAAACAAATGCCACAAAAATAAATATTGGCAATTGGGGCTCATTTAAACTAAAGAACTTCTGCACAGCAAAAGAAACTATTCAACAGAGTTAACAGAAAACCTAAGAACTTCAATCAGATGCAAACTAGGCATCTGATAATGAACTAATCTCCGAAATCTATAAGCAACTAAAACAAATTGGCAAGAAAAAAATAATAATAATTCCATTAAAAGGTGGGCAAAAGACACGAACAAATACTTTGCAAAAGAAGACATAAAAGTGTCCAAAAAACATGAAAAAAATGCTCAATTTCAATAATCATTAGGGAAATAAAAATTAAAATCACAATGAGGTCTCCATTTATTTAGATCTTTTAGTGCTTTCATCAAAGTTTTGTAGTTTTCTGCATATAGATCCTGTACATATTTTGTTAGATTTATACCTAAGTATATTATGATTTTGTTGTTAATGGAAATGGTATTGTTTTTATTTCCAAATTTTAATTTTTCATTGCTGAAATAAAGGAAAGCAATTGACTTTTTTATATTAACCTTGTATTCTGCATCGCATCTCTTTTGCCATTTGTTTAACTTTTATCCTATTTGTATCTTTGGATCTAAATTACCTCCTATAGACAGCATATAGTTGGATCTTGTTTTTTATCCAGCCTGATGATTTCTGCCTTTTGATTGGATAGCTTAATCCATTCACAGTTAATGTTATTATCAATATTGCTGGAGTGATGTCTCTCATTTTAGTTTTTATTCTACATGTCTCATGTCTATTTTGCTGCTAGTCTTCCTCCACTATATTCTTTTGCATCAAGTAAATATTGTCTAGTGTAACATTTTATTACTTTTAATCATTTTTCACTATAGTTTTAAGTGATTTCCTTAGTGGTTTCTCTAAGGCTTATCACATACATCTAAACTCATCAGAAGCTACTTCAGAGTTTTACTAACTGAATTCCAGTGAGATCTTTAAATGTTACTCCCCTACAGTTGTATCCCTCTTCAGTGAAATTATTCTTATAGCTGTTATATAACAATATAGTGATATTACTATCTATTATATGACAATATAGTAATATTATTGCTACACATATACCTTTTAGTGATATTATTGTTATATACATATTGAACCATTTCATGTTACAAACCCAACAATACATTGTTATAATTATTACTTTACAAAATTTCATGTCTACTAAAGGAATTTACAAACAACAAATGTAATATTTTCAAACCATACTCCTTTGTTGTTAGGTTTTCTTTCTCTGACATTCTGTGATTTAACTAGTGGCACCATCAACACCAGCAGAAGGATACTAGGCATCATCTCTGTCAGCTCCTTTTTCCTCGTTTCCCACAACACATCAGTCAGGAAGCCCAGATTCTGCCAACACCACTACATTCCCACTCCCAAAGTCTTAGTACAAACTCAGCTTCAACTGAACAACTGCCTCAACCTTATACTCGTCACCAGTCCCTCCTCCACTTTGGCCATCAGCTATTTTTCTAAAGCACAAATCTGAACAAATCAGTCTCTTACTTAAAAGCCCAAATACTTTTGCATGATATATAAGGTCCTGCATTATACATATATACCTAACCTGTCTGTCATCATCCCCCTGCCTCTCAACACTCCAGCCTTTTGCCTGGGACACCATCCTCCCTTGCTCCCCATAACTAAAACAAGACACATTTCTGTCAAGAATTTTAGCCTACACACATGCTATTCTCTTTCTGTCTCTGATGCTTTAATTCTACTTCTCGGCTGGTAGACTCCTCTGCATGGTCTAAGAAACACTTTAGATGGGCCTTTTGCCTTTGGAAAACTTTTTTATGATTGACCCAGGAATTCATCCTGTCTTCTGCATTTTCATAATGATTCATAAGCATACTCATCACAGTATTCACTATTTTAAATTATAATTGTATATTCGTGCATTCCTCTTCTCCCCACCCATTTCCGCCTTATCCTCTGAGTTCTCCTAGGCCTGAGACACTATATTATTCATCTTGGAATGCCAACAAGTGGGTGTTCACTAAGTATTTGTTGAAAATGGATAAATTAACTAATTAATTTATAGATAATAGTGACAAACATTGTCTTCCTTATGTTACCCTGCCATGGTGGGCCCCCAATGATATCTGCACTTCTTTGGGACAGATTATATTCCACTACATATTTATTAAAATTCTTTGAAAAAGCCTCCTTGGACTTATGATTTCATCTCTATATTCTATCTCTGTGCTAAGTTAATTATTGATTTACCTAAGATTGCAAAAGCTTTAATCTGCAATCTTAAATAAAGTGACGTTAAACATAGAAACACATAGATTTTGCTTTTCTGTAATCATATGTAATCATTTTATAATTGAGCCATGTTAATAGTATCTAGATTGAAGTTGGTTGCTAGCACTATTTGCAACAAAAGAAATAAGGTTTTTAACCAGAATGTACAATGCTGAATTTTACAAAATCAAGAAAAAGCATTTACTAGCCATGGATAGGAGTGCAGAAAGTTCTACATATTAACATAAGCAAAATGAGGTTTCTGGCCTTAGGCATCAAATTCAATCACTTCATCTCTCCAAGTAGCTCTTTCTCTATTTTAATATCCCCACAGGCACACACTCACAAGGATAGAAATGATGGAAGTGATTTTGAATTTTAAATCCAAATCAAAGTCTAAATGGAGTACAGAATACAATATTTAGCATACCAGGCTTAGCATCCTAGCTCTTAAGTCTCAGAAAATGAAAGGATCTATTAAAAATTATGATATAATAATGTTTGCTTATTGAAGTTCCTAATATGATTTGGTCTTTGAATTTTAGGCACCAAACCTAAATGTGGAAAGTAACCAGTATACATTGAAACATTACTATTATCACAAAACTATAATTATTACAAATACTGTTAGCCCTCTCTACAAGTTAACCAATTACATATTATATAGATAATCTCTTCATAAGTTTAGTTTAATAAAAAAAGAACATAACTGACAAATGCATGTTATATAGAACAAAAGATATAAAAATCATATACAAATATGAGCAAAATGGGACATTTAACTAAATATTTATACTATTTTAAGCAATTACTTTAGATTATATATTATGTACAATTACATCAGAAAATTAAATAGAAATTAGAAATTCCAACCCTTACTTCAAATTAGGCGATTTCTGGACTAGGCAATCTCATGAAAGCAACTCACCTTCAACATCACCAGCAGGTTAATTTAATTAAATGTAACTATTAACAAGTTACTCTATTCTTAATAAACATTTGGTGGTTACTCATTACCTAGGGATAAATTTCACATTCCTAATGCTAGCATTTAAGGCCATTCAGTCATTTAATGGCTACAGTTTTATACCTTATCTATCTTCCAGAGCCTTATCTTCAGGGATTTTGTGTATGAGACTAGGTAGTAATCTATGTAAAGTAAAAAATAAAAATTGAGAACTGTGCAAGTAAGAAAACAATACCTATTTCTAAATGAAAGGTAAAAGCCAAAGGGGGAATTAAAAGATCAATACAAAGCACAGCATTTGTTTTGATGGACTAGGAGCTGGAAAGATATCATAAAAATATGTTTCAAGGTCAAGGTAATAGCATTTATGTACTTATTCAAGCATCTTCCCCAGCAGTCAAAGATCCTTTCCCCATCCTGTCCCCACTACCATATTTTGGTGTCAGAATCTGAAACAAAAGCTTCCATGAAGGTAGTATAATTGAGAAGTAATCTCAGGGAGCAAGAGTGAAGTATCAAGGGAGTAAAACATGGAAGAAGGGAATGGCAATAAAACGATACTTATTCTGATGTTTATTGCTGGGGGCCACTGGCGTTCAATTCCACAGTAAATGTTTGAAAAGCTTGTGAAATAAGTCACCAAAGTGTCTTCTGGAGGACCAACATCAGTGGCACTTATCTGCCACCTCAGCAGTCAAAGATACATATGTTCCTGAGTTGCCCAGGCCGATATTGCCCAGGAGGACTTCGGATTTGAAGATATTTGGTGGAGGGCTTGAGAGTAAAACATGCATCTAATAAGATGCAAATATCAAGTGTCCTGAGGGATCCTGTAAGTGTACCATTCCTTGGTGTCACAGGAAAACTCAGCGGAGGATGAGAAGGGTAAAAAATAATATCTGTGCAAAGCAGATCAGTATCTTGCAAAAACTGGCTGCCACAGCAGTGACTTAAGTAAGAGATAGGAATGAGAGAGGCTGATGCACATGTAGTTAAGCATATTAATTAACTATCACCTGTTGTTATGGTTACAGACTGGCAACTGGAAAATTTGAAACATCACCAACATCAATCTACATTTGGGTACATTACATAGACCTCTTCGTACCCTCTAAGAAAACATAACAACCACTAGCACCTGCTCTGTTAGGCATGGTAGGCAAACTACAAATACTAACAAAACATGTTTTATAAATGAAAATAAATTTTGGCATTCAGGGTTGGGCTTACCCTACCTAGTGATAGAATCCAAATTTATGTGTATATTGGAAAGCCTTGTAACAGATGGAAGAGACATCGGGCAATCTGGATAAAAATCTTACTCTATTAATTATATGACTGTAGAGAGGTAACTTTATCTGTAAAATTGAGAAAATATCTAGCAGCTAAGGATTGTGCAGAGATAATAACTGGTATTTTTTTTTCAGAATGCAATAAAACAGCACCAAAAACAGTCCCTATAGATCAGTAAATGACATTTTGTATTAGTATGATTATACATTATTATGTTATGATAAAAGTATAAAGACAATCTAAAGAAAATGTATTATTGGTTCTTTTTTTAATGTGTTGTAAGAAAACCGATCTTAATCAAGGAAATCTTCGAGGAGGACATTGGATTTGAAAGTCTTTGACAGAGAACTTGAGAATAAAGCACATGAATCAGAAAAGATGCAAATATTAAGTGCAGTTATTTCCCTGTGTCTATCAGTATTCATTCCTTCATTTACTTATTCATTCAACCAGTGTTCAGATATTCTCTATGCCAGGTGCTGTGTTTGGTACTGATCAGTGGAGATCAAAGCAGAGGTTCTGGCCTCCTGGATCTTTCACTGTTGGGAACTATGTGTCTTTTTAATTTTTGAAATAATTTGTTGTTTTATCTTGTTTTTCCCTGATTAGTAATGGAGGGGAGAGTCTTCTCCCATATATACTAGACAATTTTTCCTAATGGTTATTAGATTTCCTCTTTCATTAATTTTCTTCTCATATTTTTGCACTTTTCCCTGTTGTATGTTTTTTCTTGTTGATATGTATACAATATTTATATATTCTGTGTGTATTTTATCTAAGTAAAAACTATTTTTTTGTTGTTTTCTCTCATTTTGGTTTTAAGTTGGTTTATGGCACATTTTGTCACAGAAAATTTTAATGTATATGCAGCCAACCGTATCAGTATTTTATTTACGATCTTGCATTTATGCTTTGCTATCAGAGGTTTTCATTTTCCCTGAGGTTACTGAATTACTGTCTCAGAATTTTCCAATAAGTTTATAATGTGAGGTGTTTATATTTATTCCTTTTTTTAATTTAGACTTTATTTTACATATAGTACATCATAAGTTTCCCATTTTTAATTTTCATATGGATAATCAGTTTCCCAAAAATCATTTATAAAATTTCCAGTCTTTTCCCAGTAATTTGAAATGTCATCTTCATCACCTGTGCTCAGAGGCATTGACCTACCTACCAATTTATTTATTTATTCTTTATTTTATTTCTGTGGTTTTCAATATATTTTTCTATGTGATAGAAAAAAAATACATCTCTTATTTGCTCTCCTTTTTCAGTTTGTTAGCTATTCTCACACATTTTATTTTCTAGATAAATTTTAGAATTAGCTTATCAAGATCCCTCAAAATCATGTTGTATTTTAAATGAGATTGCTTTCTAATTTTGAGAAAACAGATATGTTTTGCAATACTAAACAGTTCCATCCCAGAACATGCTATATGTTTAAAAAAACTTTTGTCTAATTTCTCTTTATATGTCTGGAATTCTCAGACACTTGCAACATAATAATGAATATTTTTGTCTATTTCAGGAAAGAATAGGAATAACAATTTGTCACTTATAACTTTCATTCAAGCAAAAAACACAGATATATTTATTTGCCCATTTCTAAAAGATAAATTTGACATTATTGCAAGAATGAAAACATGTAATGCTTAAAAACTTCCTGCATGAAACCTCTATTTGTGATTGTACCAGTTTGCTATTTATTTTTGTTATTTAAGAATAGAGGCATATTGTGACTTCCAAAATGGAAGTGTGAAGAGCTTGGTGGCAAAACAATCATTTAACCGGTGAAAATTATGAAAAAAAAAGATCCAACCATTTAAAGTATCTGGAAATTGCCTGAAGTACATACAGCAAATAGAAAACAGGGACTGTTACATTTGAATCACACCTTGCTCCCATCCCCACCCCCAAGGTCAGTAAAATTAAGATGTTTACTGAGCAAGAGCAACAATAAAATGGGTCACCCACTGGCTCCAGTGCCTAGTCTTGGGCTACAGTTTCAAACCAGGAGGGGCAGGGGTCTCCAACTGCCTCCAGCACCCAGTCTGGGGCTATAGTTTCGAGGCTGGAGGGGCAGGCGTCTTGAACTACCTCCAGATCCCTGTCTAGGGCTATAGTTTCAAGCCAGAAGGAGCAGGGAGCTGGCATCTCTCATCCCTCATAGCTCCGTGTTGCAGAAGCTCTATTCCAAGCAGACATGACAGAGAGGACTGGTGGTCCCTTCCACAATTCAGCCTTCACCTATACAGTGGATCCTCTACTATAGACATGGAAGGCTGAAAATATTGGGCTTTAATGGGCCCCACCACAGTTTTATCATAAAATGTTAAGTTCCATTCCCAGATGAGCAAGCCATGTGCACATGGAACATTCTCCAGGAAACACCATATGCTAGGTCATAAATAAGCCTCAATAAATTTAAAAGTATTACAATCATACAAATTATATTCTATAGGTATAAGGCAATTAAATTAGAAATCAACAACAGAAAGACATTTGGAAAAGTCATGAATATGTGGAAATTAATCAAGGTCCTAAATAAACAATAGGTCAAAGAAGGTATCACAGGGGAAATTAGAAAATATTTTTATGTGGATAAAAAAGAAGTTCAACATCACAGAATGTGTGGCATGCAACTAAAGCAGGATTTGGAGGGAAATTTATACCTTTATACACCTTTTAGAAAAAGAAAATAATTATCTCAAATCCATAACCTAACCTTCTACTCTAACATTTATGGTCAATTAATTTTCAACAAAGAGGCCAAAACAATTCAATGGAAAATGAATGTTTTTTTCAACCACTTGTGCTGGAACAACTGTGTGAATATGTGCAAAGTACTGGGTTCCTACTTCTTACTATACCCAAACTAAAAGTGATTCACAGACCTACTATAAAACCTAAAACTAGAAAACTCTCACCAGAAGACATAGGAGTAAATCTTCATAATATTGTGTAAAAGTATAAAAGCACCAAAATCATAAGCAATAGAAGATTAATAAATTGGACTTCATGAAAATTAAGAGCTTTTGTGCTTCAACGGATACACCAAGAAACTGAAAAGACAGTATCTTAACCATATTTAAGTGTACAGTTCAGTGGTATTAAATACGTGTATAAGGCTGTGAAACCATCACTGTCACCCATTTCCAGGACTCTTTTATCTTGTCATACTGATACTCTGTACCTATTAAACAATAACTCCCCATTTCCCCAGTCCCCTGACCCAGTCCCTGACTGGGTCACCACCATTCTACTTTCTGACTATAATTTTGACTACTGTAAGTACCTCATGTTAGTAAAATCACACAGTAATTGTCTTTTTGGAAATGAAATTTCACTTAGCATAATGTTCTCAAGGTTCTTCCATGTTACAGCATATGTCAGAATTTCCATTTTTTTTAAGGTTGAATAATATTCCATTGCATGTATATACCATATTTGTCTTATCCATTCATTCATTTATAGACACTTGGGTTGTTTCCACATGTTAGCTATTGTGAATCGTGTTGCTATGAACGTAGATATAAAAAATATCTCATTGAATCCCTGCTTTCAATTCTTTCGGGTGTATACCCAAAAGTGGAATTGCTGGATCATATAGTAATTCTATTTTTAATTTTTTTAGGAACTGCAATACTGCTTTGTGTAGTAGCTGTTATCATTTTACATTCCTACCAACAATGGGAAGCAATTCCAATTTATTTTCTTTGGAGAAATGTCCATTCAAGTCCTTTGCACATTTTGAATTGGATTTTTTGTTGTTGTTGTTGAGTTTTAGGAGTTCTCTATATATTCTAGATATTAATCCCTTATCAGTTATATGACTTGCAAACATTTTTCCCATTCGGTGGGTTGCCTACTTTTTTTGTTGATATGGTCCTTTGATGCACATTTTTTTTTTAATTTTCATGATGCTCACAATTTGTCATTTTTTTCTTTTACTGCCTGTGCCTTTGGTGCCATATCCAAGAAATCACTGCCAAATCCAAGGTCATGAAGCTTTTACCTCATGTTGATTCTTCTACAAGTTTTATAGGTTAGACTTCACATTTAGTTCTTTGATCCATTTTGAGTGATTTTTTTTTAAATGGTGTTAGGTAAGGCACAAATTTCATTCTTTTACATGTGGATATCCAGCTTTCCCAGTACCATTTGTTGAAAGAACTGTCCTTTCTCTATTGAACGGTTTTAGCATCCTTGTCAAAAATTATTTGACCATATATCACAAGGTGGAATTATGGGCTCTCTATTTTATTCCATTGGTCTATATGTCTGTCTGTATGCTAGTACCACATTGTTTTGATTACTGTAGTTTTGCAGTAAGTTTCAAAATCAGAAAATCTGAGTCCTTCAGCTTTGCTCTTCTTTTTCAAGATTGTTTCATCTATTCAGGGTGCTTTCAGATTCCACATGAATTTTAAATGAGTTTTCTATCTTTGCAAAAAAAAAAAGTCATTGGGATAGTGATTACATTGAATCTGTTCATTTTGACATGAACATGAGATGTACTTTCATGAATTTACATCTTGTTTGATTTCTTTCAGTAATGTTGTCTACTTTTCATTGTACAATCTTTTACCTCCTTGGTTAATTTCTAAGTGCTTTATTCTTTTTGCTTCCATTATCATGGAATTATTCTCATACCTTCCTTTTCAGATTGTTCATTGTTAAAGAGTATAGAAATGCAACTGATTTTGTGTATTGGCTTTGTATTTTGCTACTGTGATAAATTCATTTGTTAATGCTAACAATTTTTGGGGGGATCTTTACTTTTCTACATATATGATTATATCATCTGTGAACAGAGATAATTTCACTTCTTTCTTTCCAATTTAGATGGTTTTTATTTCTTTTTCTTGCCTAATTGCTCAGGCTAGAAATTCTAGTCTTATGTTGAAATGAAGAGAGCAGGCATCTTTGCTTTGTTCTTAATCTTAGAGGAAAAGTTTTCAGTCTTTTTATCTTTGTTTATGATGTTTGCTATGTGTTTTTCACATACGGCTTTTATTATCTTGTGGTAGTTTCTTGTATTCCAAGTTTTTTGAGGGCTGAAAAGGTATTGAATTCTGTCAAATGCTTTTTCTGTACCAATTAAATAATCATGTGTTTTTCTTATTTCATTCTGTTATATATATATTATACTGATTGATTTTCATATGTTGAAACATCCTTACATTCCAGAGATAAATCCCTCTTGGTCATGGTGTAGGATTCTTCTAAAGGACTGTTGAATTTGGTTTGCTAGTATTTTGCTGAGGATTTTGCATCAAGGGGTATTAATCTGTAGTTTTCTTCTCTTGCAGTGTCTGCCTAGTTTTGGTAACAGGGTGATGTGGACTTCATGGAATGAATTAGGAGATACTCCCTTCTCTTCAACTTTTTGGAAATGTTTGAGAAAGATTGGTGTTAGTTCTGCCTAAATGTTTGGATGAATTTTCCACTGAAGCCATCAGGTCCAGTGCTTATTTTTTAAGGAGATTTTTAATTACGAATTCAATATTTGTACTGTTCATAGGTATATTCACATTTTCTGTTTCTTTGTGATTTAGTCTCAACAGGTTTTGTGTTTCTAGGAATTTGTCCAGTTCATCCAAGTTATTCAATTTGTTGGCAATTATTCATAGTAATCTCTTATAATCTTTATTATTTCTGTAGAATTAGTAGTAATGGCACCACTTTCATTTCTAACTTTAGTAATTTAAATCATTTCTTTCTTAGTCCATTTAGCTAAAGTTCGTCAATTTTGCTGATCTTTTTAGAGAACCAGCATTTAAGTTTTTATTTTCTCTATTGTTTTTCTATTCTCGTTTTTGTCTATCTCTGCTCTAAACTTTATTTCGTTATTTCTGTTAGCTTTGGGTTTACTTTCTTCTTTTATTCGAGTTCATTAAATTATAACGTTAGGTTGTTGAGTTTAGATCTTTCTTGTTTTTTTGTGTGCATGTGTTTTGTTTGTTTGTTTTGTTTGCTTGATATTGAAATGGGGTTTTGTGTATGTTGCCCATGCTGGAATGCAGTGGCTACTCACAGGTGCTTTCATAGTGCACTACAGCTTTGAACCCCTGGGCTAAACTGATTCTCCCACCTCAGCCTTTTGAGTAGCCTGGACTACAAGTGTGCACCACTGCTCCCTGCTCTTCCTTATTTTTTTAATATAAGCATTTATAGCTATAAATCCCCCCCCCCTTAGCACTGCTTTCACTGTGTCCCATAAGTTTTTGGTATGTTACATTTTCATTTTCATTTGTTTCTAAATATTTTATAATTTATCTTGTAAGTTCTCTTTGATCTATTGGTTCTTTAAGTGTATGTTGTTTAATTTCCATAATTCTATAAATTTTTCAGATTTACTTCTGATACTGATTTCCAACTTGATCTCACTGAGGTCAGAGAAGATACTTTGTTTGATACCTACCTATAGAGACTTAACTTGTAGCCTAACATATCTTCTTTCCTGGAAAATGTCCAGTGTATACTTGAGAAGAATGTGTATGCTGTATATGAACTATATACAGCATCCTGTATACCTCCATTAAATCTTGTTGGCTTATTGAGTTTAAGTCTTGCATTTCCTTACTTGCCTTCTGTGTGGTTCTTCTATCCATTATTTAGAGTGAGGCATTGAATTCTGTAAGTATTATTGCAGAACTGTCCATTTCTCCCTTCATTTCTGTCAGTTTTTGCTTCATATATTTTGAGGATCTGTCATTAGGTGTGTAAATGTTTATATTATAATTATTGTATCATCTTGCTGTATCGAACCATTTATTAGTATATGGTGTCATTCTTTGTCTCCTGTAATCTTTTTTAAGTCTATTTAGCTGATATTAATATGGCCATTATTTCTCTCCTTTGGTTGCTATTTGTGTGGAATATATTTCTCAATCCTTTCATTTTCAATCTATTGGCTTCTTTGTATCTAAAGTGAGTTTCTTGTAGGCAGTATATATGTCTTTTGATTGGAGAATTTAATCCATTTTATTTAAAATAATTACTGAAAAGGAGGGAATTACTTCTCTCATTTTGATATCTATTTTTATGTACCTTATAGGTTTCCCCTGGCATTTTTTTCATTATTGCTTCCTTTTTGGTTTAGTTGGTGTTTTCTAGTGAAATGTTTAAATTCCTTTCTCATTTTCTTTTGTTTATATGCTGTTGTTAGTTTCTTGGTGTTATCATGGGAATACAATTAATGTTCTGAAATTATAATACTCTAACTTAATACAAACGTAACTTCAGTAACGTAAAAAAAAACTATTCCTTTGACAGTTTGCCCCACCCCTTTTGGTTGTTGATATCATAAAATTACACCTTTATACTGTGTGTGACCAAAAATATAAACTAATTGTTCTTTGAAATGCATGAGTTTGTTAAAATATGTAGAAAACAAAATGTGGACTTAAAAACTGAAGTTATGGTAATACAAGCTTTTAGATTAATAATTGTTTTAAAAAATTATTAGTCTCTTAAATTATGATAGAAAAGAAATCACGCCTGTAATACCAGCACTTTGGGAGGCCAAGGCAGGCGGATCACGAGGTCAGGAGATCAAGACCATTCTGGCTAACACAGTGAAACCCCGTCTCTACTAAAAATACAAAAAATTAGCCAGGCGTGGTGGTGGGTGCCTGTAGTCCCAGCTACTCAGGAGGCTGAGGCAGGAGAATGGCGTGAACCCGGGAGGCGGAGCTTGCAGTGAGCTGAGACGGCGCCACTGCACTCCAGCCTGGGATACAGGGAGACTCCGTCTCAAAAAAAAGAAAAAAAAAATGTGCAGCTACAAGTCATTGTTTACAATAACACTAGTTTTAATAATTGCCCATGTTTTACATTTATTGAGATTTTAATTTTTTATATAGCTTCGAGTTACTGTCTAGTGCCCCTTCATTTCATCCTGCAGGATGAAATGAAGTATTCAGCACTTAATTGTATACTCTTGAGTATTTCTTGCAGAGCAGGTCGAGTGGTAACAAATGCTTTCAACTTTTGTTAATCTGAAATATCTTCATTTCTCCCTCCCTTTTGAAGGATAGTTTACCTGGATATAGAATTCTTGGTTGATTTTTTTTTCTTTTAGCTCTTTGAACATGTCAGACCACTCCCTTCTGGCCTCAAAAATTTCTGATGAGAAATGTGCTGATAATCTTATTAAAGATCACTTCTATGTGATAAATTGCTCCTCTCTTTCCCCTTTCAAGATTTTTCTTTGTCTTTGTTTTCCGAAAGTCCGATAATAATGTGTCTTGGTGTGTGCCTCTTTGAATTCATCCTACTTAGATTTCATTGAGCTTCTTGGGTGTTTATATTCATGTCTTTCATTAAATTTCAGAAATTTTCAGCTATTATTTTTTCAAATACTCTCTGTGCCCCTTTCTCTCTCCCCTCTCTCTGTTTTTTTTTTTAAATTTTATGTGTGTGTGTGTGTTTGTTGTTGTTGTTGTTGTTTTGAAACAGAGTCCTACTCTGTCACCCAGGTTGGAGTGCAGTGGCACAACTACGGGCTCACTGCAGCCTCAAACTCCCCGGGTCAAGCAATCCTCCCACCTCAGCTGTCCAAGTACCTATGACTACAGATGTATGCCACCATGCCCAGCTAATATTTTTTAATATTTTGTAGAGATGAGGTCTCTGTATGTTGCCAGGGATTCTCTCTCTTCTATATCTGAAACTCCCACAATGGATAGATTGGTCTAATTGATGGTGTCCCACAGATCCCTTAGGTTCTGTTCACTTTTCTTCAGTCTTTTTTTCTTTCTGTTCATTGAACTTGATAATTTCCATTGTTTTATCTGTAAGTTCACTGGTTCTTTCTACTGGCCTGCTTAAATCTACCTTTGAATCCATGTAGTGAATTTTTTATTTCACTTATTATATTTTTCAGCTTCAGATTTCTTTTTTTAGATTTTTAATTGATATTCCCATTTCTTTTATGTTTTTTTTTTAACTTTCTCCACATCTTCCTTTTGTTTCTTAACCTTCTTTAAGATAGTTGTTTTAACATCATCGTTTTGTAGATTTTCCATCAAATATTTTCAGGGACAATTTTTGTCTATTTTTTTCCCTTTGAATGGGCCATCCTTTACTGTCTCTTTATATATCTTGTGATTTATTTTTGTTGGAAACTAGACCTTTGAATCTAATAAAGTAGCATCTCTGGAAATCAGGTTCTCCCCTTTCCTAGAGTTTTCTGGGTTTTCCTGTTTTGTTTATGTATTTATTTTAAATTGCTGTAGGCAGTCTCTGTGCCAAGGATCAGTCTAAGGTATCAACTTAATGTTTTCTTAGATCTTTTCTAAGCCTGCGCCTATCCCTTGGCATGCACAGTCACTTTCCAATTTTCCCCATATATTCAGTTGCTTTTAAATATCTTAGCCTTTTAATATCTGGCTCTCCAAAGAAGGGAAAATGGAAAATGAGGTGAGGGAGATGTGCTGTCACTTTAAATCTTCTGGAAGTTACATCAGTCAGAGAGGAAGGGGCTTACATCAATAGGGGAAGATGAATCAACAATGGTTACTTATCACCTTGTTTGTACTTCTGTGATTAGAAGCAGCAATCATTGGTCAGAGCAAAGATATCCAGTATTTGTAGTATAGTGTCTGTTTTGCCCACTCTGGCTCCCACAAGTGGTGTGAAGCTTGCTCCAGGAACATGTGCAAAACTGTCTACCATGATGCTAGAGATTGAGAATGGATAGCTGCTACTGTGCTAATTGCTGAAATTGACTGAAATTAACTGCAATATACTGTCTAAGCCTTTCCCTGGAAGGTTCAAACCTTCAATAGGCTCCAGAGTTACAATATATTTACGCCAGACGGACTTTGCCAGTACAATTGTTGTCTAGGTGGGGAGACAGATTCTTGGTGCTTGCTACTCTGCCATCTTCCCAGAAACCCTTCTCCATGTACGCAAGTTTCTTACTGAGAACTTGTTTTCAATGTTTTTTAAATTTCAACTTTTATTTTAGATACAGAGATACATGTGCAGACTTGTTACATGGGAATATAGTGCGATACTGAGGTTTGGAGTATGAAGCCCATCATTTAGGTAGTGAGCATAGTACCCATAGGTAGTTTTTTTAACCCCCATCCCTTCCACCCTCTGGTATTCCACAGTGTCTAATGTTTTCATATTTATGCCCATGTATGCTTAGTGTTTAACTCCCACTTACAACTGAGAATATGTGGTATTTGGTTTTCTGTTCTTACATTAATTTGCTTAAGATTATGGTCTTCAGTTCCATGCATGTTGCTACAAATGACATGATTTCATTATTTTTTATGACTATGTAAGAGTTTTATGGTATGTGTGTACCACATTTCCTTTAATCCACCATTGATGGCACCTGGGTTGATTCCATGTCTTTGCTATTGTGAATAGTGCTACAGTGAACATACAAATATATGTATCTTTTTGGTGGAATGATTTTATTTTCTTTTGGGTATGTACCCAGTAGTGGGATTGCGGGTCAAATACTAGCTCTGCTTTAAGTTTTTTGAGAAATCTCCAGACTGCTTTCCACAGTGGCTGAACTACTTTACATTCCCACCAACAGTGTATAAGCATTTCCTTTACTTTGAAGCCTCTCCAGCATCTGATGTTTTTCACTTTTTAGTAACAGCCATTCTGACTGGTGTGAAATGGTGTCTTGTGGTTTTTATTTGCATTTCTCTATTGATTAGTGAGGTTGAGCATTTTTCTCATGTTTATTGGCCACCTGTGTGTCTTCTTTTGAATATATACCTAGGAATGGAATTTCTGGATCATATTACCCTATAGTTTATATTACCATATAACTCTATGTTTACTTCTTTAGGAACCACCAAACCATTTCCCAATATCTCAATTACTTTTGTGAATCTATTTTTTAATTGAGAATTACTTGGGTGTCTGCTAATCACAAACATCCATTCCATAAATGAATGACTTCCCTGCATCCCCACGTTTTCTCTCTATATTGCTGTTAATCAGATATCACCACCCAATATTTTTCTGCAGAGGAGTTTCTATGAAGTCCAGTCAAGCTGAAGGCCATATGTCCCTTCTTATACCATTCAAATGAATCTTTGCTCAACTATGCTGCTTTTTATACATGTCCACATCTAACTACAAATGTCTACTAAACAAAAAATTAGTGACTTCAGAATTGTAAATATGTTAGCCTTAAAAAAGCAGGGCTATAGGTTCTAGATGAATGTTTGTTACTTAACGTGGGCATTCAGAATCTCAAAAAACATTTAATAAATATATTTATTTTAATGATATGACATTTTCAATTCTGCTTAAGTATCTCTACTAATTATTATGCCATGAAAAAGTTTATGACTAACAGTTCACCTAAACTTACAAAGATCTGGGGGAAATTGCTGGACTGGCTGAGGTAACTTATAGCTCATAAATAAAGTACACATCAAATAAAAACAAACATGTAATTTCTTCCCAATACTACAACGACTATGTTATTGACCAAATAAAATCTGAATTAGTCATAGAGAGATCAGTTTATTCTCTACCATGTGGCACAATCAGGCTTTTACATTCAAAGTAATGCATTAATTTTGAGAGAAAATTGGATACCTTAAGCCTAACCAGTGTCTCCCCTTCTTGTATCATTTTATGAATTCTTGCCTACTTTTGTGAGTGAATATATAGCTATTTCATTTGTCTTGGACTGAAAGCTTTAATGGTGACTTCACATTAAAATAAGGAATATACTAAGTGTTAGAATAAGAAGTCAATAAATGTGATCTTCCCTTATGATTTTAACAAGTAAGATAGCCCACAGGGAGTAATTTCAAGCTATACTTAGTGGATTAAAGAGCACTGGGCTTACTATAAAGAAGTCAATTCAATCCAAGTGTGATTGAGATAGACTTCAACTAAATACCAAAATTACCAGCTGAGCCACTTACTTTAGCTGAATAGTCAAACTTGGCAGGGCAGGGTACTGCTGTTCTTGGAGACCTGCTCAGTTGTCCTCTGGGCATAACCTCTGTGCTATGACACAGAAGGTGGGGAGGGAACTGGGAATGAATGCCGCAGACTAGTATAGATCTGCTGCACCCCAGAGCTGGAGTAGGTGGGATCTGGGGATGTTCACAGGCTGCAGGTCTCCCAGGAACAGTGGCACACAGCTATGGGGAAATGAGGGGCTGCATTCTTCCCCAGCTGTCCTGCCTGAGCCCTCCCTACAAAGCAGGACCTGGAAGTTGGGGGACATTGAGATATTGCTTAGAGCATCTTTAGATCCCCACTGAAATGGCCGCTTCAAGACACAGAGCTGGGAGGAAGTGTGGGGTTGTCACCCCTAGATAAATGCTGGCTTCTTACTGTTCTCACAGAGTCCAATTAATGTTGATGAATAAATGACTCCTAATTTGTTGTAAGCCCTTGGATCAACCTCCAGAGACTGAATAATTGTCTTTACTAATTTTGAACAGCTTAATATTTGTCTCTTTGAGGGAGGGTCTTCACCTAACCCCTTTACACCTTTCTAGAAGTCCCTTCTTTCAGAGTTTTAGGATCAGTCTTGTAGCCCTCTAAACTCTCAAACCTTGGACAAGTCGCTTTGACTCAGTTTCTTTATCTGTGCTTTTGTTTCTTCAACTGTATAATAGAGATAATGATAGTATCTACCTTACTAGGTTGTTGTGAGGATTCATGAATTTCATTTTTATAATACATTTATTTTTAATACATTTTGTAACACATTTAGAATATTGCCTAGTACATTGCCTAGCTTTTGCTGCTCTGAAACTGGCTACTTTCCTGGTCTAAGGAGCAAGTTGAAGATACTTGCCAGGACAGATACGCACATACACAAAAGGTTTTTACTCGCCACTGTGAACATCTAAGATAGATGTTACTCCAGTAAGAGTGGTTCTCTGGAACTAGGGAGACTCACATCTTCATTTCCCTTTGACATAAAAACCTACCTTCTATTTTAAAAAATATTGTCCAGTAAGTACAAAGTGCTAGCCAGAGTAATCCCTTTTTTGCCCTGGAGGAGCAAAAGGGAAGTGAGATGGAGAGAATACAGTCACATGCCACATATTAAAGTTTTGGTCAGTGATGGACCACATATGAGACAGTGGGCGGTAGCACAATTCCTTTTATTTTTATAACTTTAATGCTGCCTAAATGTACAGAGTTTATAAAGTCTACAGTAGTGTACGGTAATGTCCTAGGCCTTCACATTCACTCACCACTCACTCATTGACTCACCCAGAGCAACTTCCAGTGCTGAAAGCTCACTTCATGCTAAGTGCCCTATACAGATATAGCATGTTTTTCCTTCTATACTGTGCTGTTACTGTGCCTTTTTAATGTTTAGATATACAAATATTTACTTACCATTGTGTTACAATCACCTACAGTATTCAGTACAGTAACATGCTGTGCAGGTTTTCAGCCTGGGAGCAATAAGCTGTACCATTTAGCCTAGTTTTGTGGTAGGCTCTACTATCTAGGTTTGTGCAAGTGTATTCTGTGATGTTTGCACAGTGACGAAATTGCCTAATAATACATTCCACAGAACAATCCCCATGGTTAAGTGACATATGACTGTACTTAACTGTCCTTTTTTTTTTTTTTTTTTTTTTTTGAGATGGAGTCTCACTCTGTCTCCCAGGCTGGAGTACAGTGGCACAATCTTGGCTCACTGCAACCTCCGCCTCCCAGGCTCAAGCGATTCTCCTGCCTCAGCCTCCTGAGTAGCTGGGACTACAGGCGAATGCCACCATGCCTGGCTAATTTTTTTGTATTTTTAGTAGAGATGGGGTTTCACCATGTTGGTCAGGCTGGTCTCAAACTCCTGTACTCAGGTGTTTCACCCACCTCAGCCTCCCAAAGTGCTGGTTTACAGGCATGAACCACTGTACCCAGCCATGTGTTCTCTGTAATATGCCACATTTATTTGAAAATGTAGAAGAATGCAGGAAGATATGAAGGAGTGGGACTAATAATTTTCATTTCTGAGCATAAACTCTTGAATATATTTGATACATTTTTACTTCATTGTGCTTAGTTTTATTTCCATGTACTTTACTTGTAACTCTTTCAAAGACCATGCAAAAATTCTTTGATGAGCCCAGTAACAGAGACTTTCAATGGACACATTAATACACTTGCTTTTTCCTTATGTCAATGTTAAACTTTTGTAGTTACATTTAAATGTGCATTTTTTTTCTATGCTTCAATAAGCCTGCATCAAGGTTATCTGCAAAGTAGAGACCAGACTGCATCTACAGAATCACTTAAACCTAGCTGGCAAAGGAAAACAGCACAGTAAAAAAAAAAAACGCATCAAAACATTTAAAGAAAAGATTTAGTGTATAGGCCAGATAGCTGTGATGATAAGCCCTTAAAAAAAGTAAACAATATCCTTAGGTTAAAAACAATTACAGAAATAACATGAAAGAGAAACTAATAAGATGCTTACTTAATGAATATTACCAACGTAAATATTTTACTATGGTTTTAAAATTAACTTCATAGCTTAACTTTGTTTTAGGTTCAATTGTAGAACCTTTGTTTTATGTTCAATTGTTTTTTAATAGTTTTATATTCATTTGATAATATTCTCTTTACAAAACTATTTTTAAATCTATAATTTCTTTATAAATTTGACACATAATTCAACATTCATAGCACATACTCTGTCTTTTCTAGGTCCTTCTCTATACTTTCCTTGTGTGACAAACTTTACTGAGGATAATAGTAATTTTTTTCTAGCATTTCTTTGAGAATATATCGCCCCTTGTGTTTTCTATTTATTTTCAGTATTGATAAAGACTAGGGTAATAGTAGAATAGAAAAGTATACCGATGGCCCAGTAAACTCCAATATACTTGTCCTTGTGAATTAGTAAAGTCAATTCTGCAATTAAGGATTCCAAAGTTCTGTAAAAAAACAAACTGGTGGATTAGAAAACACACTTGAAACAAGAGGATATTAGTCTTTTTCAGGTTCTTCCATATATTAATTGTGCAATTTAGGGTTTGACATGTGAAGACATTGTGCCTCAATTTTCTAATCTACAAAATGAGAGAGTTAGCAATATCAGGACCCAAACCTGGCTAGTCCAAGACATTAGAATTGCCTGGAGGCTCTCTAAAAAGAGAGTCCTAGGAACCACTCAGGAGGTGCTGAATCTAGGGAAGTAGGTTATGGGAATCCATCTTATGATTTATAGACTGGTTCTTGGAAAGCCATACGAATGGATCTACACTTTAGATACACTGAGTCAGATAAAATCTAAGATTCCTTTACGGAGTACTGCAGTTCTGTAAAAAGTGAAAATGGTAGACATCAAAGTATTTCCTTTCACTTTTCTGTCCTCACTTTCGTGGTGGATAGTCTCTGCCAGAATATTTTTCAAGACCTTTTAGAAACCTCTCCAAAGTCCAAGCACAAAAGCTGGAATTTGGAAGTAGAAGTCACTTCTAGACATAAAGTGGCTCTAGAGACCTGAGTAGCAGGAATTCATAGCTCTTCTCCCTGATTTAGATCACCAAGAGACTCAACTACATTCTGCCCATCCATGACTCTGTCTCTTTCAGATCCCACCTGGCCAATTTGTTCCCACATTTCAGTGAGAATGCTGGAAAGAGGGAATCTAATTGATCCCGCTCAACTATTCTTTCCAGTCCACACAACCAACCATAGAGGGCCTGACCTGGAGTTGGGTACATACTGCAGGTAATCAGCTGCTACACGTGTGTAAGTAATGACCCAGTGCTATCCCTTTGCCAGGGCCTGTGGGTAAGACAGATTCACCTGGCATATCCTTCTCAGGTACAGCTAATAAGCCAGTTTTTTTTTCCTTTTAATAGGTCAATATTATTCATGCCATGTAGACAAACTTAAAGCTTCATTTTTGTATGTAATATTAGTAATTTACTTACCAAAATTTCATATACAATATGACATCCTGTGGAAAAATCCTTATTACCCAAATACTAAATCATACAATAGCCTAGACTTTTTCAGGGAACTCATGAGATAAAAATTAACTTGTGCTACCTTGGGTCCAGTTTAAATTTTATGACTCTTTGTGTAACAGAGGTGTAAACTACGCAAAAGCTGAGATACGCTGCCATTAAGAGGGTGTGGTGTCTCATTCATACATTAGATAAGCATAAGTTCCTTTCCCTTTGCTCCACAGAGCTGAGGAAAAAGGGACCAATTCATAAATTTACAACAAGAGACCTGATGAAGGTTAGTGCACAACTCTCATGCCTGCCAGCTGTTCGTAGCTCAATCAGAACAGCCTATTACTAGTCTCCAATTTAAGTACACTTAGAAGATCATAAACATTATCCTGTTCCTCAGAATTGGCATTCAACTTTGCGACTGCATCTCAAAATCACAGTCCATTCTCCATTCCAGAATTAAAACTAAATTGGATATTTTTATTTCTTTCCACGGCTAACACATTGCTGGGTACCATTTGTTATCAAGGCATTGCACAAGCTGTTCCCAGTTTAATGACTATTTGTGCCAGACCATAAATTTCAAGGTCAGCTCAAAGTCATGCAGCACTGTGCCAGAGGATGCAGGAATCTGTGAGTGAACTTCCTTGGCAGTTCTCTCCAAGTGATATTTCCACATTCTTCTTCTGGGGTTCTATATGAGAGTAAAAGGGGTGTTCACACAGACGTCGCTGTGACAAGAGCACAGCTTTAACAAGATTGTATTATTGTTCTAGTTTCACACTGTCCCTTTAATTTATGTAAATACCATATTAATCTAAAGTCAAGATACGTTTGCAGATAATATCTGTCATCTGAAAATGCACCAGGGCTGATTCTGAGCTTTATGAATGAGGTCCTGGCTATGTCTACCCACACAGAATAACAGAAACTAGTCTTGTAGTATAGTTCACACGCTCGTCTTTAAGATCAATGTAGTTTACTGCACGGTTGATTTTGCTAAAGTGATCAGTATTGATCATAAAGACACACTAAGTTAATGTATCAGCAGTTTAGTTCCTACACGCACGCATCCTCAGCCATCATCCACCAGATGCTGCCGGTGTAGATACTGGGCATTTCAGTAGGCACAGTCATCATTTCAGGCCACTGGGGCATCATTTTGCTAAATGCAGTGGCTGCATTACTTTATTTCTCAGAGATACTCCTGGATATATATTCAGGAGAACAGAGAAGACAAGACACATTTTTTTAAAAAAAATCAAGATTCTTTAGTCGGCAATCAAAATGTCCAGTGCCTTGTGATTAGCAAAACTTTGAACTTGGGTTAATCTTGAAGCCTCAGAGATCACACACACATACCCTTCTAACCTGTTGGGCTTCCTGAAGATGTGAGACCAGTGCTCAGAGGAGGGAATAGAGAAAACTTCTCTCCTTCCTTACCCAGAGCAGAATTTCTCCTTTTTCTTCTCAGATAGTCCTCCTGGGTTTGGAGTGTAGGGAGAGAGAGGAAGCAGTGTCACAGCCCAGTTCTTATTTCAGAGTTGCAGGGCTTTGCCTGTCTGTTGGCGGGCTAGACCATTTGCTGGATTCTTCTCATCCCTGGGGACCTCTGACTTGCTGTTCTGTGGACGGAGATGGTTCCTTCACCTCCTCCCTAAGCCTTCCTCACTCCCTAGGGATCCTGTGGCAACTGTTAACTTCTCTCCTAAGGTCTGTTCACTCTCTTGCTCACATGAATCATACGCTTGGCCCCAGCAGACTCTAGGAGTAAAGGCTACACCACGCGGCAAGTCTCTGGGTGTCCCCTTACTAGCTGATATCTCAGGCAATTGATGGAACAGCAGCTCTGCAATCCTGATTTTAAACAGCATTTCATTTTAAACTAAAAACTCTCCTCAGAGGCAAAATACAACATCATGAGCTACCGGAGATAACTTTAGATCACTTTTCCTACGTCATATGGAAGGCCACAAACTTACTGACCCATGTAGCTAACAATAGACAGCCTCTAGGATTGTACCATTTTCAGGGTAAGGGAAGGACCTCCTTTATTCAATTATATCCATTTTTACTTCTTGTTATCTCTCTAGCTCTAGAGTTCCACTGTAGCTCCAATGTCAGGAATTTGCTTGGTGAATGAATAACTAAATAAATGAAACGCCAATCTGGAAATTCAAGGGTTTATGTGAACTAGGTTTTACTTCAGACTCCACCCCCGCTAGAATGCAGCCTCCAGAAGCTCAGGAATTTCCAGGGTGGTTATACACTATAGTACCTGTAAGGGAGAAGACATCCAATAAATATTTGTTAGCTAGATTGAATGAATGCTTCATACAACTTGAGCAGAGGAAATGACTGGTACATTGTGGATTCTCTGTGGAGTGTGGCTGTGGCTTGGAGGCAGAGGCTCAGTCCTTTCCCGCATGACTTCTGACCTTATGTGTAAAAGGGTGGATGGTCTCATATTGTGTTGGTTTTTCTCTTTTTCTATTTTAGTCAAATGTTGAGCATCTTCAAAATAAGCCAGCTCCAAGGGGTAATTTTCTATGTTGTCAAATGTAAGCATTGTTTTTAAAAAATATAAACATTTTAAATTTATAGTTAAATAGTCACAGATTCTCAAATAGTGTGTTTTGGCTCATGAATGTTTGTAATTTGAGGTTTAGGAATACATCACTGATACCAGAATTTTCTTCACTGTGGGGGTGTGTGTGTGTGTGTGTGTGTGTGTGTGTGTGTGTGTGTTTTCTGTCAGTCGATTTCTGGAAAGAGTTTGACAACTTTGCCTGCCAAGTTTTTCTTTGCAAAAGTTTAATCCCATGCAATTCATGTGAATGAAACTGCTGATATTGGCCAGTGTTGCCATATTTTCCATATAATGTTGTTAAAATTCTACTACTTGCTATTTTACTTGTTAGTTTATCCTAGGAAAAGCAGATTTTATTTCTATTTAGTTTCAAAAATATCTTCACAACTTTTTGAAGAAGTTTAAAGTGCTTTGGTATATATTTTTGGTTATGTTGTAAATCAAAAGTCTCACGTTCGAATTTAATTTTAAGAATGTATGACAGTTACAGTATAAATATAGTGATTTATTTTTGTTCAGATTTTGTAGTTCAGCAGCTCCTAAATAGAAACACATATTCTAATTAGTTTTCAAATTTCAATTAGAATGCTCTAATAATTCTTAGCTTCCTGACATTTCATTTGGCAAGAGAAATAACTGTAGTAAAATTCCTATGTAAAAGGCTACTAAAAGCAAAACATTAAAGGCACTGAGTTAACTAATGCAACTAAATGTAAATTTATATTCTTTGAGGCTCTAATTATTTGTTAATTAGGTGCCAATTGACTTCTAAAGCATATTTATTGAGGCTGAACAACAAAGATATGTCTATTACCATATATACTTGTTTGTCTAGAACTATGCCCTCCATAATTAAGTGTCATTGCTTAACCATGAATACCTTCCTCTAGAAATCAGATTTGCATATTCATTCTATTACAGAGGGGCCTTCATTCTTAGTGACAGCATGTATGTTTTCCCTTCTGTAACCAGGCTCCTGTTGGTTATGATGGTCCCAATGTACTGGGGTGAGAAAAAGAGACATTCCCCAATTCTTATTCTGCTTTTAGAAGTACACACGCACAGAAACTGTGGTTTCTTTTACATTTCATACTGGCAATTTCAAAAGCAATGCTTTTCAGAAAAAAACAAGTATACTTACTATAGTACATACAGGTAACACATTGCACATTAAAAATTCCTCTTACTCTTTAACCTTGGGATGTATAAAGGGAAAATTTTAAATATATCAGGCATATAAGATTTTGAAGAACTGATATCCAGAGCACTTTCTAAAAGAAACTTTGAGATTTTAATGTGAGGGTGAAAAACACTTAGCTCCTCTACATGAACTCTTCTTGCTTTTAGACACCAAGAGTCTTGTGGAATGAAGACTGTGTAGACTACAATTTTCTCGACTTAAAGAACACAGCCAGAAATGTGCTTCCTAACGAAATATATTTCTGGGTAGAATGTTCTCCAAGTTTCAGGAAGAAGTGTCAACATCATAAAGACTGTAAGGTTGACACTGGAAAGGGCCCAATAGTGCCACAGATGCCTTTGTTTAGTAGAGGGGGAAATCATGAAGCTGAGTTTCACTACAGCAAAATTCTAGAAGAGAAAGACTATTATTTTCCACATGATTTTAAAAAAACAGTTGGTATATACAGAGTGCAATATGCTGTCTTAGAAAATAAGAAGCAGGGGAAGAATTTTAGAATTAGATCCTTACTTTCCAATTATTTTTTCTTTGTAAGTGAAACTTAATCTATGTGTCTCAGCCTTATTATAAATGAAGCAGATTACCCTCTTTCACTCCAACTTTTCCTTTCTAACCTTCAGACATAAACACTAAGAGAAAAAATAAATAAAAAACTAAACCACACACACACACACACACACACACACGATAGTAACATGGCTTTGATTTGCCTATAGGATGTTTATTTTACCAACTTTTTTGTGATATCTATCATATAGTTCTCAGCGCCACACCGTTACTCTGATATAAAATTATATTTAAACATAAAGCCCCTTATTTCAGGAAATAATACACTAATTAGTGCCAAACAACTTGGAGTTACTTCCTGAATTTGAAAAGAGTAAATATTTCTTTGGCAAGAATATATCTAAACAAAGGGCAAATTCAAGGTTTGGAGAGAATGAATGGAGACTCTTTTTGAAGAATCGGCAAAAATGGAATATATTAAAGGGTTTTAGGTCCAAGAAAGATCAAATCTACAAGTTTATACTGTATTTGCAAACAGTATTACAGAAACAGACCAATCTTTCTACAATTTTAACGTACGATTTAAATAGATACTTCATTAGTAATATTTTGCCTTATAACATGTCACTTCCAAAGTTAGAAGCTTAAAACAACGTATGTTTATTGTCTCATTGTTTTTGAGGGTCAGAAATATGGGCATGCTTTATATGGGTTGTCTATCTCAGGGTCTTTCCCTTGACTGCAATCAACGCTGGAACCATGGTCTCATCTGAAGGCTCAAGTGAGAAAGATTGGCTTCCAAGCTCATTCACACATATGTTGGCAGGATTCAGTCCCCTCATGGGCCGTTGGACTGAAGACCTCTGTTCTTCACTGGCAGTTGGCCAGGGGCTACAATCAGCTTCTTGCCACACAGGTGTTTTTAACATGACAGCTTGCTTCATCAAAGATTGTAACCCAAGAAAACAATAGAAAAGGTCAGAAGGTCATATCTTTTTTAAAAAAATTATACTTTAAGTTCTGGGGTACATGTGCAGAATATGCAGTTTTGTTACATAGGTATACACGTGCCATGGTGGTTTGCTGCACCCATCAATGCATCACTTACATTAGGTATTTCTCCTAATGCTATCCCTCCCCTAGCCCCTCACCCCCTGACAGACCCCAGTGTGATGTTCTCCTCCCTATGTCCATGTGTTCTCATTGTTCGACTCCTACTTATGAGTGAGAACATGCGATGTTGGGTTTTCTGTTCTTGTGATAGTTTGCTGAGAATGATGGTTTCCAACTTCATCCATGTCCCTTCAAAGGACATGAACTCATCCTTTTATATGGCTGCACAATATTCCATGGTTTACATGTGCCACATTTTCTTTATCCAGTCTATCATTGATGGGCATTTGGGTTGGTTCCAAGTCTTTGCTATTGTGAATAGTGCCACAATAAACATACATGTACATGTGTCTTTATAGTAGAAATGTGCCACATTTTCTTAATCCAGTCTATCATTGTTGGACATTTGGGTTGGTTCCAGGTCTTTGCTATTGTGAATAGTGTGAATAATAAACATACATGTGCATGTGTCTTTATAGCAGCATGATTTATAATCCTTTGGGTATATACCCAGTAAAGGGATTGCTGGGTCAAATGGTATTTCTAGTTCTAGATCCTTGAGGAATTGCCACACTGTCTTCCACAATGGTTGAACTAATTTACACTCCCACCAACAGTGTAAAAGCGTTCCTATTTCTCCACATCCTCTCCAGCATCTGTTGTTTCCTGACTTTTTAATTATCATGATTCTAACTGACTGTGAGACGGTATCTCATCGTGGCTTTGATTTGCATTTCTCTAATGACAAGTGAGGTGAGCATTTTTTCATATGTCTGTTGGCTGCCTAAATGTCTTCTTTTGAGAAATGTCTGTTCATATGCTTTGCCCACTTTTTGATGGGGTTGTTTTTTCTTGTAAATTTGTTTAAGTTCTTTATAGATTCTGGATATTAGCCCTTTGTCAGATGGATAGATTGCAAAAATTTTCACCCGTTCTGTAGGTTGCCTGTTCACTCTGATGATAGTTTCTTTTGCTGTGCAGAAGAAGCTCTTTAGTTTAATTAGATCCCATTTGTCAATTCTGGCTTTTGTTGCCATTGCTTTTGGTGTTTTAATCATAAAGTCTTTATGCATGCCTATGTCCTGAATGGTATTGCCCAGGTTTTCTTCTATAATTTTTATGGTCCTAGGTCTTACATATAAGGCTCTGATCCATCTTGAGTTGATTTTTGTATAAGGTTTAAGGAAGGGGTCCAGTTTCAGCTTTCTGCATATGGCTAGTCACTTTACCCAACAACATTTATTAAATAGGGAATCTTTTCCCATTGCTTGTTTTTGTCAGGTTTGTCAAACATCAGATGGTTGTACATGTGTAATGTTATTTCTGAGGCCTCTGTTCTGTTCCATCGGTCTAGATCTCTCTTTTGGTACCAGTACCATGCTGTTTTGGTTACTGTAGCCTTGTAGCATAGTTTGAAGTCAGGTAGCATGATGCCTCCAGCTTTGTTCTTCTTGCCCAGAATTGTCTTGGCTATGTGTTCTTTTTTTTGGTTCCATATGAAATTTAAAGTAGTTTTTTCCAACTCTCCAAAGAAAGTCAGTGGTAGCTTGATGGGGATAGCATTGAATCTTAAATTACTTTGGGCAGTATGGCCATTTTCGCAATATTGATTCTTCCTATCCATGAGCATGGAATGTTTCTCCATTTGTCTGTGTCCTCTCTTATTTCCTTGAGCAGTGGTTTGTAGTTCTCCTTGAAGAGGTCCTTCACTTCCCTTGTAAATTGGACTCCTAGGTATTTTATTCTCTTAGCAGCAATTGTGAATGAGAGTTCACTCATGATTTTGCTCTCTGTTTGTCTATTATTGATGTATAGGAATGCTTGTGATTTTTGCACATTGATATTGTATCCTGAGACTTTGCTGAAGTTGCTTATCAGATTAACGAGTTTCTGGGCTGAGACGATGGGGTTTTTCTAAATATACAATCATGTCATCTGCAAACAGAGACAATTTGAATTCTTCTTTTCCTATTTAAATATGGTTTATTTCTTTCTCTTGCCTGATTGCCCTGGCCAGAACTTCCAATACTATGTTGAATAGGAGTGATGAGAGAGGTCATCCTTGTCTTATGCCAGTTTTCAAAGGGAATGCTTCCAGTTTTTGCCCATCCAGTATGATATTGGCTGTGGGTTTGTCATAAATAGCTCTTATTATTTTGAGATATGTTCCATTGATACCCACTTTATCGAGAGTTTTTAGCATGAAGGGCTGTTGAATTTTGGTGAAGGCCTTTTCTGCATCTATTGAGATAATCATGAGGTTTTTGTGATTGGTTCTGTTCATGTGACAGATTACATTTATTGATTTGCATATATCGAACCAGCCTTGTATCCCAGGGATGAAGCCAACTTGATCATGGTGGATAAGCTTTGTAATGTGCTGCTGGATTCGGTTTGCCAGTATTTTATTGAGGATTTTTGCATCAGTGTTCGTTAGGGATATTGGCCTGAAATTTTGTTGTTGTTGTTGTTGTTGTTGTTGTTGTTGTATCTCTGCCAGGTTTTGGTATCAGGATGATGCTGGCCTCATAAAATGAGTTAGGGAGGATTCCCTCTTTTTCTATTGTTTGGAATAGTTTCAGAAGGAATGGTACCACCTCCTCTTTGTACCTCTGGCAGAATTCGGCTGTGAATCTGTCTGGTCCTAGACATTTTTTGGTTGGTAGACTATTAATTACTGCTTCAATTTCAGAACTTGTTATTATTTTATTCAGTGATTTAACTTCTTCATGGTTTAGACTTAGGAGGGTGTATGTGTCCAGGAATTTACCCATTTCTTCTAGATTTTCTAGTTTATTTGCATAGAGGTGTTTATAGTATTTTCTGATGGTAGTTTGTATTTCTATGGGATCAGTGGTGATATTCCCTATGTCATTTTTTATTGCATCCATTTGATTCTTTTCTCTTTTCTTCTTTATAAGTCTGGCTAGTGGTCTATCTATTTTGTTGATCTTTCCAAAAAACCAGCTCCTGTATTCGTTGAGTTTTTGAAGGGTTTTTCATGTCTCTATCTTCTTCAGCTCTGCTCTGATCTTATTTATTGTCTTCTGCTAGCTTCTGAATTTGCTCTTGCTTCTCTAGTTCTTTTAATTGTGATGTTAGGGTGTCAATTTTTGATCTTTCCTGCTTTCTCTTGTGGGCATTTAGTGCTATAAATTTCCCTCTACACACTGCTTTAAATGTGTCCCAGAGTTTCTGGTATGCTGTGTCTTCATTCTCATGGGTTTCAAAGAACATCTTTATTTCTGTCTTCATTTCATTATTTACCCAGTAGCCATCTAGGAGCAGGTTGTTCAGTTTCCATGTAGTTGTGCAGCTTTGAGTGAGTGTCTTAATCCTGAAATCCTGTTTGATTGCACTGTAGTCTGAGAGACTGTTATGATTTCCATTCTTTTGCATTTGCTGAGGAGTGTTTTACTTCCAATTATGTTGTCAGTTTTAGAATAAGTGCGATGAGGTGCTGAGAAGAATGTATATTCTGTTGATTTGGGTTGGAGAGCTCTGTAGATGTCTATTAGGTTTGCTTGGTTCAGAGCTGAGTTCAACTCCTGAATATACTTGTTAATTTTCTGTCTTGTTGATCTGTGTAATATTGACAGTGGGGTGTTAAAGTCTCCCACTATTATTGTGTGGGAGTCTGAATCTCTGTGGGTCTCTAAGAACTTGCTTTAATAATCTGGGTCCTCCTGTATCGGGTACATATATATTTAGGGTAGTTAACTCTTCTTGATACATTGATCCCTTTACCATTATGTAATATCCTTCTTTGTCTCTTTTGATCTTTGTTGGTTCAAAGTCTGTTTTATCAGAGACTAGGATTGCAACTACTGTTTTTTTTTTTTGCTTTCCATTTGCTTGGTAAAGATTCCTCCATCCCTTTATTTTGAGCCTTTGTATGTCTTTGCACATGAGATGGGTCTCCTGAATACAGCACACTGATGGGTCTTGACTCTTTATCCAATTTGCCAGTCTGTGTCTTTTAATTGGGGCATTTAGCCCACTTACATTTAAGGTTAATATTGTTATGTGTGAATTTGATCCTGTCATTATGACATTAGCTGGTTATTTTGCCCATTAGTCGATGCAGTTTCTTCACAGTGTCAATGGTCTTTTCTTTACAGTTTGGCATGTTTTTGCAGTGGCTCATACCGGTTTTCCTTTTCACGTTTAGTGCTTCCTTCAGGAGCTCTTGTAAGGCAGGCCTGGTGGTGACAAAATCTCTCAGCATTTGCTTGTCTGTAAAGGATTTTATTTCTCCTTCACTTATGAAGCTTAGTTTGGCTGAATATGAAACTCTGGGTTGAAAATTCTTTTCTTTAAGAATGTTGAATATTGAGAGAATGTTGGCCCCCATTCTCTTCTGGCCTGTAGGGCTTCTGCAGAAAGATCTGCTATTAGTCTGATGGGCTTCCCTTTGTGGGTAACCTGACCTTTCTCTCTGTCTGCCCTTAATATTTTTTCCTTCATTTCAACCTTGGTGAATCTGATGATTGCTCTTGTCGAGGAGTATCTTTGTGGTGTTCTCTTTATTTCCTGAATTTGAAGTTTGGCCTGTCTTGCTATGTTGCGGAAGTTCTCCTGGATAATATCCTGAAGAGTGTTTTCCAGCTTGGTTCCATTCTCCTCATCACTTTCAGGTACACCAATCAAACGTAGATTTGGTCTTTACGCATGGCCCCATATTTCTTGGAGGCTTTGTTGGTTGCTTTTTATTCTTTTTTCTCTAATCTTGTCTTCTCTCTCTATTTTATTAAGTTGACCTTCAATCACTGATATCCTTTCTTCCAGTTGATTGATTTGGCTATTGAAACTTGCATATGCTTCATGAAGTTCTCGTGCTGTTTTTCAGCTCCATGAGATCGTTTATGTTCTTCTCTAAACTGGTTGTTCTAGTTAGCAATTTGTCTAACCTTTGTTCACCGTTCTTAGCTTCCTTGCACTGGGTTAGAACACGCTCCTTTAGCTCAGAGGAGTTTGTTATTATCCACCTTCTGAAGACTACTTCTGTCAATTCGTCAAACTCATTCTCTGTCCATTTTTGTTCCTTTGCTGGCAAGGAGTTGTGATCCTTTGGAGGAGAAGAGGCATTCTGGTTTTTGGAATTTTCAGCCTTTTTGCACTGGTTTCTTCCCATCTTTGTGAATTTATCTACCTTTGGTCTTTGATGTTGGTGACCTTCAGATGGTGTCTTTGAGTGGACATGCTATTCCTTTCTGTCTGTTAGTTTTCCTTCTGACAGTCAAGCCCCTCTGCTCCAGATGTGCTGGAGTTTGCTGGAGGTCTCCCAACCCTGTTTGCCTGGATATCACCAGCAGAGGCTGCAGAACAGCAAAGATTGCTGTCTGATCTGTCCTCTGGAAACTTTGCCTCAGAGGGGCACCTGCCAGATGCCAGCCAGGGGTCTTCTGTATGAGCCACTTGAGGAGGCAGTCTGACCCTTAACAGAGCTCGAAAGCTGTGCTGAGAGGTCCACTGCTTTCTTCAGAGCTGTCAGGCAGGGACAGTTAAGTCTTCTGAAGCTGTGCCCACAGCTGCTCCTTTCCCCAGGTGCTCTCTCTCAGGGAGATGGTGGTTTTATCTATAAGTCCCTGACTGGGGCTGCTGCCTTTTTTTCAGAGATGCCCTGCCCACAGAAGGGAAATCTGGCAGTCTGACCACAGCAGCCTTGCTAAGTTGCAGTGGGCTACACCCAGTTCGAACTTCCTGGATGATTTGTTTACACTGTGAGCGTAAAACCACCTACTCAAGCCTCAGCAATAGTGGACGCCCCTCTCCCCACCAAGCTCGAGTGTCTCAGGTCAATCTCAGACTGCTACTGTGCTGGCAGCGAGAATTTCAAGCCAGTGGATGTTAATTTTCTAGGCTCCATTGAGGTGGGACCTGCCAAGCCAAACCATTTGGCTCCTTGGCTTCAGCACCCCTTTCCAGGGGGGTGAACGGTTCTGTCTCGCAATGCAAGAACAAATGGCCTACCACATAGCCCTTATCTTTCTAGTCACTTTTCCACAGTTAACTGATTTAGCCCAAACCCCTTTGTCTTGTCATTTTTTCATAAATTCACTACCCCTTGTCCAGCCTGGTATACAACCTTTTGGTCCTAACTGCTCCTATGGGTCATTGTTCTTGTGAAAGCTCCCATATACAAGTAAAACTTACAAAATAAAATATGTATGTTTTTCTCCTATTAATCTGCCTTATGTCAGTTTCATACTTAGACCCAGCCAGAGACCCTAAGAGGGTAGAGAAAAAATTATACCTCCCCTACAATTTCTTTTCAACATATGAATTGGGTTGCACTAACTAAATTCTCAAGAAGAACAAGTCAGTCTGGCTATAGAGAAAAAATTATACCTCCCCTACAATTTTTTTTCAACATATGAGTTGGGTTGCACTAACTAAACTCTAAAGAAGAACAAGTCAGTCTGGCTGTTGTATTTTACAGCTTTTCCTGGGTGTACTAGGATTTGTGTAGGAATTTTTGTTCAAGTTAATCCCTTAATTCAAATACTGTACTGTTTTCTGATGTTTTCTTAAGAATCATGGAAAGTATGGGGCAATACATGCAGCCTTCTCCTAATGACTTTTTTTTTTTTTTTGAGATGGAGTCTCGCTCTGCTGCCCAGGCTGGAGTGCAGTGGCATGATCTCGGCTCACTGCAACCTCTGCTTCCCAGGTTCAAGCAATTCTCCTGCCTCAGCCTCCCGAGTAGCTGGGATTACAGGTGCCTGCCACCACCCCCGGCTAATTTGTGTGTGGGTGTGTATTTTTAGTATAGATGGGGTTTTACCATGTTGGCCGGGCGGCCTTGACCTCCTGACCTCAAGTGATCCACCCGCCTCAGCCTCCCAAAGTGCTAGGATTACAGGTGTGAGCCACCATGCCCAGCTTCTAATGAGATTTTAATCTTCTTAACTATTAAAGTCTCTATTCTATTTAGATTGGTACAGATGTATGGCAGAAGTCACCATTACGCATCTTTAAGTTATATTTGATAAAACATGGCAATTACACACTCTAATAAAATATTTCTGTTTGTCTAAATGTACCCAGTAGTTGCACACACAAACCCAACTTCCCTCTTTCCAAAATGGTCACTATCTAAAAAGATGTCTTGACATAAACATCTTGACTTTGCTCTGCCATGATTGTATAATTTCTAAATCAAACACTTTAAATTTTATTCAGAAGTTTTCTTGTTTCTCATCCATATCTGTCTAGACTTAATCTGCCCAACTTCACCCAACAGCTCAGCTTTCTACAATAATCACTTGTCTTCATCTATGTTAATCATATTATTTTACTGTGGGTTACGTGGTCTTCTTTTTCATTTTTCTGTAAAAAAATGCCATTGAACACTACCTGTCATTATTAGAACCTTAAAAAAATAAAAGACTCTCCTCCTATCTGTTACAATATTGAAATCCCTGTAAGTCTTAGACACCTCCCTGCCAGAGTTCTCCATCTTTCTGTTGTAACTTGGACTAGAGGCTGCTTAGTCTTTCTCCAGTCTTTTTGACCACCAGACTTTTTCCCATAGCTCTTCTGGGTCAGTTTCCTGAATCTTATGGCTTTTTTTGTTTCTATTGTCTTAGGAAAATATTTGTGGAAGGTAAACTTTCTGAATCTTGCCAGTATGAAAAGGTCTACCCTCATACTGTTGTCAATAATTTAGTTCAGTACATAATTCAAGAAGCATGTGGAAGAACTGCTTACAAATTCACAATAAAATCCAGTTTTAAGTCCCATACCACATTCTACATTCTTTTATAAGTAGCATTTCTAAGTTCCAAGGCCAGGTTATTAGGTTTTATAGGGAATATAGGCTCAATCTTCAGTTGTATGCCCTTAAAGCAGGTTGTGACTTCTTTTCTCTATTTCATCAGTCTGACCTCTCCATCAGCTTCCCATCCAATAGTTTATTGGAAACTTCTTTGTCATTTTCTTTTCTGTTGTGTTTATGCATATTTGTTTTTTGTGGGTTTTTGTTTGTTTATTTTAGACAAAGTTTTTTTTTCTGTCACCCAGGCTGGAGTGCAGTGGAACGATCTCGGCTCACTGCAACCTCTGCCTCCTGGGTTCAAGCAATTCTCCTGCCTCAGCCTCCTGAGTAGCTGGGATTATAGGCACGTGTCACCATGCCTAACTATTTTTTTTATTTTTAGTAGAGATGAGGTTCCACCATGTTGGCCAGGCTGGTCTTGAACTCCTGACCCCAAGTGACCTGCCTGCCTCAGCCTCCCAAAGTGCTGGGATTACAGGCATGAGCCACTGTGCCCAGCTGTTTATGTATATTTGTTTTTTACTATGATTTTCAAAGATATTTTATTTTGAAACAAAAACTCATTTTAATGTAGAATATTATCCAAATATTGACTTTTATTTATTGTATTTATTTCATTTATTATTGAAATAGCTAGAGTCTAATTTTTTGCTAGGACTCAACATTTATTCAATGCTGGAAGAAAATATAAGCAGGCATGCTGTCATTCTTACTTTAGAACTAGCCATTAATAGCCTTTTCACAGTTTAACTAAATTGGCATGGTGAAAACAGTTTGGACTCTCAAGTCAGATATGCTTGGGCTCAAATTCTAGTTCCTCTACTGATGAGCCATGTAGCTTTGGGATTGTTGCTTATCCATCTGAAAATATAGTTTATCTTGACCTATCTTGGAAGGATTAAAGGAGATTAATATGTTAAGTGCCCAGCACTATCTATGCCCGATATATACGTGCTGAAGAAAAGGTTAGTTCTATTGTCAAATTTATTTTATTTTTCTACACCTTTAATTATTCTGCAGACAATACTGATAATAGCCAATATTTTCCAGTAGATTTTTCTTTTCTTATTCCCATGATCCTAACCCTAATTCAGAACTTGTTATTTCTGTCTAAACAACCTGATGTTCACATCACTAGACACTTTCATTTTAAACTCTAAACCATCAGTTTAAACTTCTGAAAGTACAGCTCTCATTATGTCCTTGTGTTACGGTCATCTGCCCAAATATCTTCACATTTTATCTACTAAATTCAATGCAAATCTTTTGACGACCACCTCTCTGGCAACCTGTAAAATAACCCTAACCTCCATTCTAGATGTGGGTCATATGTTTCTTAAAAATGTACCCTCTATTCCAATAAAACTTGATATTTCATTTTCTTTATTTTTTTTATTTTTTTATTATGCTTTAAGTTCTAGGGTACATGTGCACAACGTGCAGGTTTGTTACATATGTATACATGCACCATGTTCGTGTCCTGCACCCATTAACTCGTCATTTACATTAGGTGTATCTCCTATTGCTATCCCTCCCCCCTCTCCCAACCCAATGACAGGCCCCAGTGTGTGATGTTCCCCTTCCTGTGTCCAAGTGTTCTCATTGTTCAGTTCCCACCTATGAGTGAGAACATGTGGTGTTTGGTTTTTTGTCCTTGCGATAGTTTGCTGAGAATGATGGTTTCCAGCTTCATCCATGTCCCTAAAAAGGACATGAACTTATCTTTTTTTATGGCTGCATAGTATTCCATGGTGTATATGTGCCACATTTTCTTAATCCAGTCTATCATTGATGGACATTTGGATTGGTTCCAAGTCTTTGCTATTGTGAATGGTGCTGGAGAGGATGTGGAGAAATAGGAACACTTTCACACTGTTGGTGGGACTGTAAACTAGTTCAACCATTGTGGAAGACATTGTGGCAATTCCTCAAGGATCTAGAACTAGAAATACCATTTGACCCAGCCATCCCATTACTGGGTATATACCCAAAGGATTATAAATCATGCTGCTATAAAGACACATGCACACGTATGTTTATTGTGGCACTATTCATTATTCTCTATTTTTTTAACTGGAATATACAACTTAAATCCTGACCTGTCAAAATCCTTTCTGGCTTTTAAGCTCAGCTGGCACCATACTCCATAAAGCCTTCAAAATTTTCAAGGCAGAAATGTGCTCTCACTCTTTAGAAACCTCAAAACTTGTCATTTGAATTTCTTTAAATACACAATTATAGTATTCACCATGATTATTTCTCAGCATATTCAGCTTACCCATTATGTTATATGCTATTTAGAGGTAGGAGCTAAATCTTATTTATTTTTATACTTTTTCATAGTGTACACTGTATTATCTTGTACTTAATAGAAATCAATCATTTTTTTTTAATGAACATGTAGGTAAATGCTCTGTATATGCTTTATGCCTTGATAATTTGTCTTAATATCCAGTTAACCTTTTAATATTTATCTAAAATTACTATTTAAAAATATATATTTTTGTTTAATTAGCAGAAGAAAACTAGTATTTTTTTGAGTGGCTACTATGTCCCAACTAATATGCTACACTTTTTCTTAAAGCATATGACCTCATTTTTGTCAGCATTACAAACCATGATATGATATTATTGGGGTTACTGTTTTTTATTTGGAGAAATCATAGTGCTTAAATAATGTTCTAGATCATAGCTTGGACGTTGCAGAATTAAGACTGAAATTCAGGTCTTTCAGAGTTAAAATCACATATTCTTTGCATAATGCTACACATTCTGCTTTCATGGCATGACTCAGTATCAACCAAGATTTTATATTATGAGGCCAAAGCGTATGTATTTTTGTCCCTCACTAGTTCTATCTCTGTATTTTGCATAAAACAAGTGCTCAATCAATATTTCATGGATGACTAAATAAGCATAAACCAATCAAGTAATTTTAAGTATTGGCAGCTTTACAGGAAAGAAGACTCATCATAGAAAATTCAACCCCAAACAATTTTTTTCGGAATTTAGGACTTATACATTTAGTCAGTAAATATTATTGGAGACAATATTGTTTACACACAAGAATAAATAATGTATTGCCCTTGCCACTGGGAGCTCAACACTAATAGTTTAAAATGCTGTAAGATAAACTACATGCGAGGTACGTATATGCTTTGGACATACCAACTCTTTCAAGTTGGAACAATTAATATCTCATTTTGGGAAATGGGGAAACTGGACCTCAGAGTGTTTAGGTAACTTGCTCAAAGTCATACAGCTAAAAATTTCCAGATTCGATATTTGATCCCAGGCAGCTTAGCTTAACTGAGTCTACCCTTTTCCTGACCACAACTAAAAGCTCAGATCCACACAAGATTTCAGGCCCACGCATGATTATTACAAGTTTAGACAGAAATGTATCTTATTGATTTCTCCAATTTGAGAGAGTAAAATATTGCTGTAAGAGTTCAGAAAACAAAGTGATTGTGGGAAGTTAGGAAAAGCTTAACAGAAACAACAGCATTTTCTGTAGATCTGGAGAACCAAGTAGATGTTCCATAGACGACAAATTCCACAGAAGAGTTTGTACAGCCAACATGAGTAAGGCAAGAAATGAAAAGGGGTTGGGTTTTGGTTCTAGCTTTGCTTTGTGTTTCTTAAACATGAGGAACATATCAGCCTGGCCAAAGTAGCACTTCTAGGTAGAAAATTAGTATCAAACAGGAGTAAAGAAACAGATTTTGAAGGACATAGTTTGCCCAATGTGTCTAAACTTCATTCAATAGGCAGGATAGAGCTGTTGAAACTTCATACCAGAGAAGCCTTATTAGTGATAACTTATACATATTAATATGGCAGAAATAAAAGGGTATGTGAATGGAGCAACCAAGACAAAATTTTGTAGAAACAGAAGCAGCATTTTTATTTTTATTTTTTGAGACAGGGTCTTGCGCTGTTACCCAGGCTGACGTACAGTGGGATGATCACGGCTCACTGCAGCCTCGACCTCCTGGGCTCAAGCCATCCTCCTGCCTCAACCTCCAGAGTAGCTGGAACTACAGGCTCATGTCACTATGCCTGGCAAATTTTTGTATTTTTTGTAGAGACAGGGTTTTGCCATGTTGCCCAGGATGATCTCAAATTCCCGGGCTCAAGGGATCCACTCTCCTCAGCCTCCCAAAGTTCAGAAGTTACAGGCATGAGGCATCACACCCACCACAGAAGCAGCATTTTTATTTCCAGAAAATGAATTCAAAATGTTCTTTATAGTTTTGGGGAAAGTTGACTACCTAATATCCTCAGATGGGCACAACAAGGAAAATCCCAAACAAATGACAGAAGATAAAAAATGTGTTCCCGATTGGATTAAGCTGGAATAAGAGGGTGAAAGGTAATCCCTATACCATTTTCAAATGTTTCAAATCTTTCAGAGGCCATAATTTTAGTAGTAAGCTTCACATTTTCTGAAATATATAAAAATTATGCCTTATTAAACTATCCGGCCTTCTGCTTTGGGAGTTTTTCTGTTCTTTAAATGCTCTATAGTTAGCAAATTTGGGAAGTAGTGCACAGTTGGAACAAGCAGGCAACTTTATCAAATAAGTCAGTGTTGTCTCCAGAAGAGGTGAGACATCACATATGTTTAACTTTACAGACTGCTTTCTGAAATAAAGATGGTAACAAAATTAAAACATCTCCTTCCACTGAATGAGTTCAATCCATTACAATGATGTTTTCTTGTTATAATTCTTCTGGAAAATGGTATTTTCAACTACAGTGACAAAATGCATTTTTATTTTACTTATGGTTTAAATTGTATGACATGTCAAAGTTGTTGCATTGGAGATAGTAATCTTTTTTAAAGAATATATCAAAGGAGCACAAGATATTTAAAACTGGATAAATTTACAAAATATCTTTACTCTTTATTGTTTCTATTGTTAGAATTTGTTCAGCTTGGAAAATGTATGAGGCAGGTACATTTCATACTTACATTTAGTCAATTTCATTTTATACTACTTGAGCAAATTTTAATCTTACATAGAAGAAAGATAATCAGTTTTCCCCCTTATTTGCCCTTTTTTCTCCTCATCTTTTCCTCTCTGTCTTCTCAATCAATCCCTCCCAACCCAAATGAAATTGCTCCAATTGAAATTTCTAAGAAGTTCTATTACCAAAAAAAAAAAAAAAAAAATCCCTCTCCTGGAAATTGCTATAAAGGAATTTCACCCTGTTACTCACTCTCTTCTTGGCACTTCATTAACATCACTATTAAATCAGTCCCCAACTGGAATTCTGTATTATGCATGAATTATTCTGCATGAGTGGCGTATTATAATTCAAAAGTCTTTTTTTATTTCATTCAAGCTATATAGTTATATTGTTATTTAATAAGTCACTTTTCCAAATCTGGATAAGGCACCTAAAGTAATTTTGAATATGTCCTAAATTATTAAAGCTATTATTTTTAAGGTATAGTCCTTTCAATATTCAAATAATAATTTGGCTACCAGTAATCCACAACCAATTGTCTCCACTTTGTTCTGTATACATTATTTCTTTAATAAATTGATTACACCAGTGTGTTTTCTTTATGAAATACATTAAGGTATGCAAAATAAATGGAATAAAACAAAATTATATTAGAAGCATCCAAGTACAGTAGCAATTAATATTTTGACTTCATAATTTAGATTTATTAATCACTACATATGCTGCTTAATGAGAAAAAATATGCTATTCTGAGGATGTGGGTTTTGTCAATTCAGGCATATCTGGGTAAATGCTAAACATGTCCAATATTTGATTAGCTATATAAATGGCTCAAAACCCACTGGATAATTTATAGTTATCTGCACTATTTCCTTCTGTCTTGGAACCTGGAGGATGCATAAGCTAGTTACATCAGGGCAGAGCAATTAAATGGTAATTTGGAGCATTTAACTGGAATACTGGCTTGAGAAGAGTTCTCCTAGCCACTTTTTTCACAGGAAATAGATTCTGTTTATAATCTGGCTCAAAAAAACGATTCATGAAACAATTTCACAGCAAGACCATATCAGAAAACAGTGAGCCCTTATGAAAATGTTTATTAGGGAAAAAATTCGATCTAGTCTAAGACTACTTTATAAACAATAGTTAAATTAACGAGATATCTTTATTTTTACTTCAAGGAGCCTCATCTTAATATGCAGAAACAAAGTCCAAAAGCAGATTGAGGGATATTTGGAAGGTTTACATATTAACAATTTATAACCTAATATCTTTTCCATAACTCATAACTTTAAACATAGCTCCTAAATTTCTGTTCCCGCTTTGATTGCTCCATCATGATGAACTCTGTTCTTAAAGGGTTTCTTCATTCTGACTATTCGATCAGTTCAGTCCAACTTCCTTCAAAGCCTAACAGAATTACAATTTAGAAAAAATTATTTGAAGAATGTGTACCTGATCTCCTAGTCAAGAAACCTTAAATCCTATCATTTAAGAAAAATCAGACCCATAAGAGGCCAAAATTTGGATCAGTTCATTGGAGCTAGGTGAAAACAAATCAAATAGCACAATGTGCTTTTTTGTTTGGTTGGTTGATTGTTTTTTTGTTTTTTTGTTTGTTCTTTTTTTTTCTTTTTTTTTTTTAGATGGAGTTTTGCTCTTGTCGCCCAGGCTGGAGTGCAATGACGCGATCTCGGCTCACTGCAACCTCTGCCTCCCAGGTTCAAGCGATTCTCCTGCCTCAACCTCCCCAGTAGCTGGGATTACATTGTAGCAACTAAAAGAGAAAGGGATAAACTAAGTGGAGCAAAAGGGCACAAAATTAAAGAGCCTAAAACAGACTGAGTTCATCCTCCAAAGAAAACCTCCATTTTGCCCGTTTAAAGGAATTCCATAATTCCAGATAATTATAAGGAAATGACTCTATTACTAGAACTAAGGAGAGCTGAAAGAGAAAGGGAATCTAATGTAAGAAACAATGGAAGATGAATTAGGAAGGAAAATACTTCCATGAGAGCAAAAGTAGATGAGTTGTCTGTACACAAAATGCACTCACTTTCCTTGCTTCTGCCAAACTATTAAATCACACGATTATTCCACATATTGTATAACTTTGTTGGCCATTAGGGGTTCAAGCTAAACTATATTAGTGTATTCCTTTTCAGATTTTACTTAACTGAAGTGTATTTGAATATTGTATTATGTATTATGTATAATATGTATGTATTAAGTATAATATAGGAATGGTCGTATGAAATCCATTATTATACTTCCTGAAAGGATGTTGTTGACAACAGTGCCTACTGAAAAACTTTGTATTCACTAAAGCCCATCATGAGAAATTTCTTTCTTTACATTATTCAGTATAAGGAAGAGCTATGTGTCACTGAAGGAGCATGCATGTTTTCTCCACTCTGATAATACAAGTTCCATAATTGATTGCACCTTACTTTTACTAGCAAAATATAGGCCATTCATTTTTCTTAAGAGAAAAATTTAAAATTCACATATCACAGCCAAAGTCTCGGATATGGAAATAAATAGGGTTCAATTTGCACTTCCTACTTGGGTAATAATGGGCAGGTTATTTAATATCTCATGAACTTTCAATTTCCTTACTTATAAAATGGATATAATAACAGCTCTCAAACCACTAGAATCTAAAAGGCACAACCAGAGGATATATTTGTAATAATAACAATGATACTAACAAAAATTATTTGTTGAATATTTATTATATAACAGTTACTGTACTGAGCTCTTCATATACTTTATCTCATTTAGTACTTATAATGACCCTCTGAGATATGTGCTATTATTCCAATTTGACATCTGAAATTATTGAGGTTTGAAGGGGATGAGTAACTGCCCAAGGTTAAAGAGTTAAAACCAGTATGTTTACCTTGGGCCGATTTCAGTATCTCTGCTTTTAATTACATAACAGCATTAAGCTACCTCTGTTCTAACTGTGCATGAGATGAGGGGAATATAAAGAACATACTTTGGATATAAATTGATATGTAGAAATAAATCTAACAAAATATATGCAGGATTGTCATGATGAAAGAAAGAAAGGAAGGAAAGAAGGAAGGAAGGAAAAAGGAAAGGAGGGAGGAAAAAAGAAAGGACGGGAGGAGGGAAGGGAAGGAAAGAGGGAAGGAGGGGTGAGCAGGCCCTTGACCAAAGCAGTCTGAGTAGGGTGGTGAGGAAAGACGCCCTGTCGGAGCAGACCCAGAAAAGAATGTGAAGTAAAGGAGTTTTCTATGAAGAGATAGAAAGATGAGGTGGAAGGGAATGGGTGAAATAAAAGTGTTTTATTCTTTTTAAATAAAGGAAATGTTAGAGCATAAGTGTTTGCTGATGCAAAAGTTCATCTGAAAGAAAAAAAAAATGATACTGCAAGAAAAGAGGAATAGTTAGCAAACCCTGATCAATGCAAGAGGTGCACACAATCCCCACACAAGAGAAGAGTTTGTCCAGGAATCCTCTACTCATGGTAGCAAAATGGAATCGAACTTGAACTTGACAGCACATAATTACATAATTACCCCCACTACCTCATGAACATATATTTAAAGATAAACTAGAAGAGATACCATCTGAAGAAAGCAGAGGAATAGGTGTTTTTCAGGCAAATGAATTGAGCAGATTGTAACATTCCGGTAAGACATTAATCACTATGATTTTTGTCAAGAGAAGTAGAAAATAAAATGTGTCTGGTTACACACTTCTTTTTCCACAACAGGGAGCAGGCAAGTTAATCTACGCAGCCACAGTTTTTCTTCACATTAAATTCATGTGGGAATTTACCATGTGTTGAGCAGCCCCTAAGTAGGTTCTGCAACTGCAGTTTTGTTTTGTAAAAGAGCTATGAATTTCTCCTTTCAGCCACCTAGGAAGGCAGAGAGAAAGCATGGATGCATAGCCCAGCACAAGAGATTCTGTGAAGATCTGAGATGAATGCATAGTTAAAATTTGGCTGGGAGAGGAGTTTTAAAAATATACTGTCACAGAATGATAGGCAGGTACAAGTAGGGAGAAAGATGCAAACACTACTAGAGTATGAAGTTCTGTCAAATATTACCCACAAGAAAGCCTACCCTAGGCCAGGCGTGGTGGCTCACTCCTGTAATCCCAGCACTTGGGAGGCTGAGGTGGGCAGATTATACGAGGCCAGGAGTTTGAGACCAGCCTGGTCAATATGGTGAAACCCCATCTCTACTAAAAATACAAAAATGAGCCGGGCATAGTGACAGGCGCCTGTAATCCCAGCTATGTGGGAGGCTGAGGCAGGAGAATTGCTTGAACCTGGGAGGTAGAGGTTGCAGTGAGCCGAGATCACACCACTGCACTCCAGCCTGGGTGACACCGCAAGACTCTGGCAAAAAAAAAAAAAAAAAAAAAAAAAAAGAACCTACCCCAAATATCATACTTTTTCTTTGTTTGCCCTTTCCCCCCCATATTTCTCATAAACTGCAACCTCCATGAGGGTTAAGGGTTTGGTTACAGTTGTACCCCAACTTACATGTATGGCTTTACATTGTATCAACCCTCAACTGTCTATAGAAGGATTAGTTCAAATCACTGGGGCAAACAAACAAACCAACAAACAAGATGAAAACCTACTCCCAGTATTAGGAGGCTGAGTTCATCTAACTATGTAGCACCACAGTTGTAAAATGGCTCCCACAGAATACACACAAAATTCAACAAATAAAGTACTTATCATGGATTGATTAATTCCAAAAAGGAGGAAAGTAGTCTTTGCTATATAAATGGGACAAGGAAAAGCCAGACGTAACCACCAGAATAAAGAGATAATAATATTTTTGTTATCCTTTTGCAACAATTTTTTAAAATATATTCTCTACCTGAATTGTTCATTTCATTCCCAAACCATATATTTTCCAAGTTAAGATATGGTTCTTTTTGTAACACAGCACGTATAATTATTCAGAAGATATTCAGCAGTACAAATTTACTTCCTTTACATTTCTCTGATTTTCTGACTTCCAGTGCTAGAAACTCTGAAGTGTTAGTGGTCCTCTTCAAGAGACGATTGTTAGCAATTCTGAGTTGTAGGCCTCTGTGGTGCCTACCCTCAGGTACACAGACAATTATGTTTCACCTCCTCTTATCACTGTAGTTCACTTTTTTTCTCCTCTGTGACCTTATATCCTTCTTCAATATAGCATCTTTTGTGTCTTTTGTACTCCTAACATTTTTATGATTCCACACAATGCTGGTTTATTCTGTCCTGTCTTTTTGCTCCAAGCTCTATGTGCCTGAATTTTGTAATAGATGGTAAACGTGGAGTTCTTTTCATTAAAAGTAATCTCTTTTTTTTTCAAAGCACTGTCTTTGAAAGCTGCTGACTTGTTATGCATGTTCAAGGAAGAATTAAACTTCTGAAAGTTGCTGCATGCTGCTCTACCAGAGGCTGTGTGTTCGTGCAGTGGAAGGTGTACGAAACAGGAGGACAAATTTCTTAGTTGTTGGAGAAATAATAAAATAGTAGCAGGTGTGACAACTGACATAGATTGAAACGGGTGTACAATCCAGCAAATATGTATGAAAACAAAGCCAATCTGAAATGATTCAATATCACACAATTCAATATCAGTCCCGTCACTACTTCACAAGATGAGCTTTGAGGAACACAGCCAATGCAGCAAGTCCAAAAAAATTTATTCTACTGGTAATTACATTGCCGCAAAAAGTACCATTGTCCTCACATACACCTGCCAAGTAGAAACATACAAATATGGACAGCACCAATTCAGGAAACTGTATTTGATTAAATCTGTGACCAAGAGATGCTATCTACAATTAGTCTTCCTTTAAGAAATGCAGATATTTTCACAGAAGATGTTTTTAGAAACAACAAATTCTTTGCTACCCTTTGGCTATAAACTCATCACATTTGGAAGATGAAGGTACACTCTGTTATTGATGAGAGAGTAAATTTGCTAACTTCTACCCTAATCACTCAGAACTCTGTCACATTCTGCCTCTATTAGCATCACCATTTTCCTCACCTTTCGTTCCCATCATAGTCACCACATCAATCATCATTTCCAGCAAACCCCACCAAACCTCTGACCACTTTTGTTAAATATGCAACATTTCCTTTGCTGAGCCCATAAGGTTTTTCACTTACGAAAGTTCACATTGCAGCCAGAACCCATTCATTAGCTCTACGCTACTTTATTCTGCCATTTCTTCAACTCTTGAAAGCTATGTTTTTGAGAAAAGCCAAAATGGATGGTAGGGCTCCACCAAAGGGGCCCTGCCCTAGGATTGTTGTCAGAAATGTTGACTTCTAGTTGTCATTTGACAACTTATAGAACTACTTTGGGCATATCACTTATTCTTCTGGGTCTCACTTTCTCCCATAAGTAAAATGAAGAGGATGTGCTAAATTATTACTAAATTCCTTTCCAACTTCAGCATTAAATGATTTCATAGAGACAGTGTTGAATGTTCTCTGGAGTTTTCCATTCATCAGAATTTTCGGAATGAATGACTTGTTGATGAAAGCTTGTTGGGAATTTTGGCCTTATGAGTGTTCAGCATAACATTAGCCTACTTTGCTCAAAAGTCTCATAAATCCCTGAAAAGGAGTTAACTATTAAAGAGGTCCTGAAAACAGTTGGTTAGCTCAATGAAAGATAAAAGGCACATTCTCTGATTAAGAAGACCCTCTCACTTCAGCAGAAAAACTGGCAAATTTTAATTCCCAGTTGTGAGTGAGCCAATGTCAGAAGTCTTGGAAATGATCTGAGGACCACAATCTATAGCCTCAATCAAAGACACATGGATTCTATAGCAAGAATCATCAGGCTGGAATGATGATAGGATCCAAGAATTGATTAACCACAAGCACGAGGTTTAACACTTGGGGAAATGTCATCAACACTATGGAAAAGAAAATGAATCATCTATGTGCTTAGGCAAAGTTTCCAAAAAGAATCTAAAGTGAAGAACAGATGGTGAAATGACAAGCCAAAGATATCTGACATTTCTCCAACATCTCCAAGACAGCGGCTTTTGTAATGTGAGTGACAAGACAAGCTATTAAGTATTTATTGAGAAGCTTTTCCTTATGATGCACAGTGGTAAACACTGGACAATGTAAAAGAGAAAAAGAAAGGAAGAACATGGAAAAACATGTAAAGAATGTTTAGGAATGGACTAACACCAAGGAGATTACATAAGGAGGCTGCAAGAAATTAACTATTTGTTTTAAATAAACTTAAGTGTCTAGAAAAAGTATATCCCAATGTACTACAAAAACTCAGATGACATTAAAGATAACTACCAAAAATTTTGAGAATATGTGGAGAAGAGGTACCAGGGTAGTAAAGATAATATTCCTTGAATTGAAAAAAAAGGAGGAAAATGGCATCCAGATATTAGTTACCAAGATTAAAGATATCTTAAACATTAGAACAAACTGTTAGTCAGATGGTTTGTGATTACTTAGCACAGAGAGGTGCTTACTAAAGCCAGCACAGGCCTATTTATTTAAGAAGTATTAAGACCTCAGTGAGTATGAAACATAGAAAACTCTAAGCCAGAAATACGTCTTAGGAAAAACAATATTCTGTGAAGGGGCTGCTTGTCTGTTTCTTTCTCATCTGAGAACCAGAGTCTTGGTTGTAATACCTAGTTAATGTTATTAACAAAAATATATATATTTTTGAAAATCATGCTCTTAATAAGAACCATGTATATTTTTCCAGACATTATACCATTAAATTAAAAGTTTACAGAGTGGATTCTAGAGCCACCTGCTGTCTCCATGTCTTCCTGACCTGGCCAAGTGCCCCCTGAGCAGCTGACCTGCTGGCCAGCCACATCTGTGTTTCTGAAGACCTGTCTCAAGCTGATTTCACTAGGATGTCACTTCTTAGCTTGAAAAGCATAACTACTCGGTTTTGAGACCTTACAAACATGCCTCTCATCCCTTAGAATTTACAAACATGCTTCTCATCCCTTAGGACTGCATGTTTATCAGTAGATTTCCATCAAAGGCTTTCTTATCTATAATATGTTCGGCAAAACTCTGGCTGCTGACTTAACTAGGTGATGGGAATTCCTATCAGAGTGTGGCAAGTTATCTCTCTGCCTAACCTGAGTGCAGGATTTCTGTCCTTGCCATTGTCTCTATTATGCTTGCCACTATCTGTAGTTTCAATGGAGGAGGTGGTTTTAAAATCTTTCTGGCAGAAGAAATTACTTTATGTTTGGAATTAGCGCTGAAAAGTGGTTCCCCATTGCATAACACCAATACTATTTCTGTGCCAGTCTATTAAACATTGCTGAGGAAATGTGGCTTATCACATTTGCAAAAAAAAATTACAAAATGAGAAGGGGTAGCCATGATGTGGGATGATGGAATCAAGGTTCAAAATTATCTCTAGTTTGGAAACAACAGGAAATTAAAGAGATGAATTTTTAAGTAATGAATGAAAACATCTTATATTCTAATTTGATTCAATTGATTGTACAAGTAACATGTAGAGATCTAGCTTAGCAAAAGTTTGAGTGACAATGATATAAGTTTTAAGCGATTACAAACTCAATATGAGAATACAAATCACTACCAAATACTGTATTGAATGGAAACTTAGGTCTCATTAAATACAAGTGCATTGTTCATTTGAGGAATGATAATATTCCAATGTCATTCTACACTATTCAGATTGCATTTAGTACTGTATTTCATTTCACATGCCTTTTTTTTTTTTTTTTTTTGAGACAGAGTTTTGCTCTGTCGCCCATGCTGGAGTGCAGTGGCACAATCTTGGCTCACTGCAAGCTCCACCTCCTAGGTTCACGCCATTCTCCTGCCTCAGCCTCCTGAGTAGCTGTGACTACAGGTGCCCGCCACCACCCCTGGCTAATTTTTTTGTATTTTCAGTAGAGACAGGGTTTCACCATGTTAGCCAGGATGGTCTCGATCTCCTGACCTCGTGATCCGCCCACCTCAGCCTCCCAAAGTGCTGAGATTACAGGCGTGAGCCACTTTTTTGAGATGGAGTCTCACTCTGTCCCCAGGCTGAAGTACAGTGGCCCGATCTCATCTCACTGCAATCTCCACCTCTAGTCTCAAGTGATTCCCCTGCCTCAGCCTCCTGAGTAGTTGGGACTACAGGTGCGCACCACCATGCCCAGCTAATTTTTTATATTTTAGTAGAGATGGGGTTTCACCATGTTGGCCAGGATGGTATCAATCTCCTGACCTCGTGATCCACTTGCCTCTGCCTCCCAAAGTGCTGAGATTACAGGCATGAACCACTGTGCCCAGCCAACATGCCATATTTTAAGGTAAACATTGTCAGTCTGGATCTCCTATTTATTACCTGTTTTGTCTCTGGACACAGGTCAGACTATACTAAATTGAGGGCTGGGGGCAGGAATACATGTATGGGTTATCAATTCTTGCAGCTTCTCTCAATCGTTGATATCATTTACATCAACCAGTGTCCTTCTTGAAGGGATCGCAACATCCTTTTTCTATATTGAAAATCTCTTTGGGGTCCTCCATACTTCGCCTCCAGAACTCTTTCACTGTTATGAGAAAAAATTATGCTTTTGCCAAAACCATTGCTCATTTCAGAAGAGTGTGGATTCGTTGTTCTATGTTATTAAAATTCTTTCAACCTCATGAATCAGAAGATCGCATATTCTTGTTGTTGTTGAATGCACAGGCCCAGAGCCAATAGACTCAGTTATCAGTCACAGTTGTAAATAAGAGTTTACATGTATAATGTAAGGGATTTATTTATTATATGAAAGATTCCATAAGAATTTCCAATTAAGCTACAAGAACAGCCACCTATAGCACCAAATGAGGGCCACCTCTATTTTTAAATGATGGTAACCAAGATCATGAAGAATAGCAATCAACACATAAGGAGAGTAGAAAGAACTATGGTTGTGTGGCCTGAATATAAGAGAGGGAGCACATAGGTATATTTGTAATACGTCAAATATGCCAAGAAGAATGGGAGCAGTCTTAGAGGTGGACCTAGGATTGGTGAACAATAGCTTTTTGCATTTAGAATTTAAAATGAAAAAACTAACAATTTGGATCTATCCAAATGTGGAAGAGATAGCTTCCTGAGGTCAGGGTTTCCCAACATAGGAAGTATTCTAACTTCATAACGTACAATGAGTTTAGCCAAGAGAAGTTTTTATAGAACTAAGGAACTGTTTTGTTAAATATTTGTTTATCTTTTCTGTGTTTTAAAAGTTGTTATGCACAATGAAAGCATTTTCCAGTTTGTCCTGACTGAGCCCAAAATCAAGCTTAGAACCTCTCCAAATTTTGAAAATCTTGTCTTAAAGTTATCATGAAATTTTTTCTCTGCTAATAGAATACTCTACATAATCTATTAAATTGAAGATAGAAAAATTCATAGAACATTTTTATGCTCCTAATCTGAAGCATAGAATTAGGATGGAAATCCCAAATGCTTTAAAGGTGACACTTAGAAAAGTTTAACAAAGAGTAATAAATCCAACAACAAGTTTGGCTAGATCACTGTCTTTCTATTAACAGAAAATATCTTTACAAGACATAAACAAAATTAATTCAGTCTTCATTCTACCAACTCAATTAACCACCCAACTAGTAGATTTTGTAAAGTGGAAAAAATTGGAAGAGCTAATTGAAACTTTTTTTATTAAAGCATTGTAAGTAATATAAATACTTAACATAGACTGCTTTGTGTTATTGTTAATATTTTACCTCATTTTGCATATTTAAAGCATATTTTTTAAAAAATTATAATGCCATTTTATTAAATTTAAGTATAGACTGACTCTGGAGTAAATCAAATATGATGCCATAGCTTAAACTGAGCAGGGCATTGTTAATGATTATTTTCTGTGAAATCACAAAATGATGAAGATCTGTGTATTACACCAAGTGTATTGTATGAAAACTATATATTACCTATAGGAGCATATGATCATGAGGCAAAACTAAAAAAATACCCAGAATCCATGATGGACATAAGTAATAAGGGATTGTTAGTACTTTTTAAAATAACTGAAAAACATATTGTCAAGTATTGAAATAGATTTACAAATGGATATAGTGATACAGAAGTGTCCGTGTTCTAGCCTCGGCTAAGTAAGGGGCAAATCTTTGGTTACGTCCTATTTCCTGGGAAGAATTTTGACTATTCTCTAATACACTCGTTTCATTGTCAATAGATAAGTACATCCAGCAATAATCTGTATTCTCTGCTTTTTATTAAAATATATTAAGTATGACACATAAAATACCTATTAAAGTATACATACAGAAAATAGCACAAATAATACGTGGATAGTTCAATGAATTATCACAAAATGAACCCATCCATGTAACTACCCCCAAAGACAAGAAATAGAACATCTCCAGCACTCCAGAAGTTCTCTTGTGACCACTCTTTCCTCACTAAAGGGAACCCCTATCTTGATGTCTAATACCAGATATTGGTTTTACCTGTTCTCAAATGTTTTACAAGGGGAATCCTACAGTTTGAGTAATTTTATGTATTTTTGTCATCCAACATCATATTCACGAGATTCATCAATATTACTTTATATACGTTTGTTCATTTTCATTGATGTATGGTATCCTTTTGTATGAATAAACTGCAATTTATTTTCCCATTTTTCTGTTTATGGGCATATGAGATGTTTGCAGTTTGAGACTACTATGATTATTTTTATTTATGCCTTTTTGTACACATATATATGTATTTCTTATGGGAATATAACTAAGAATAAAACTGCTAGGTTGTAGAACATGTGTGCCTTCAAATTTAGTAACTACTGCCTAACAATTTTTCAAATGCATTATACAATTTTTGTTCCACCAGCAGTAGAAGAGCATCACAGTTATCTTCACATCCTCACTAGCACTTGATATTGCCAGTCTTTTTAATTTTAGTCATACTGATGGACGTGCAGTGGTGTCTCAAATTTTAATTCAAGTTTTCCTGATGACCGCTAAGGTTGGGCACCTTTTGATATCTTTATTATCTCTTTGGAGATCTTCTTTTCATAAGTGCTTCTAGAAGTTTCGGGCTTATTTTTAAATTGCATTGATTGGGTTTTTTTCTATTTGCATTGTAGAAGCTTTACATGCATTCTGGGAACAAGCCTTCTGAGGGTTTATTTGTTGCAAAGGTCTTAGTAGAAAAAAAATCATCTTCTTTTATCAATGTTTTCATCGATGGCCAGTAATTTCTTTTTCTTATTCAGGGCATACTTTGAAATATTCCATATTTCCATAACTTTGAAATATTCCACTATATTATCTTCTAGAAACTTTATTGCTATACTCTCAATATTTAGGGCAACAATATACCAGAAATTGATTTTTATCTATGATGTAATTTCAAGCCAAGTTTTGTTTTTCTGTATGTATATACCCAATTGACCCAACACATTTATTGAAAGACTGTCCATTGCTCGCTTTTCTGTAGAGCTACCATCAATATAAGTCAAGTGACTTCACATATGTTTGTATATATCTGAACCCTCTATTCTGTTCCATTGGTTGCTTTGTCTTTCTTTGCGCCAATACCACATTGTCTTCATTAAGGTAGCTTCAAAGTAAGTATTGAAATCTAAAGAAGTACTTCTATTTAGTTATCCTTCTTCAAGATTTTCTCATCCATTTTTGGCTTTTCAATTACCATATGAATTTCAGGAAACATTTATCAATTTTCATTAATATATTTTCTGGAACATTTATTGGTATTGGGCTGAATCTGTAGATCAATCTCAAGTCTTTGATTGAACTCCTGGGGAAGCCATTTGGCTCTATAGTTTTCTATATTTCCTTTCTTTAATTCTATTGAGATTTAACTTGCTGTTCTAACTTCTTTAGATAGCTAATAAAAATTGATTCTAACATATCTTCCCTTCTGATATATGACTGTGTACTTTGCTCTAATCATGGCTTCAACTGTATCCAACAAGTTTTGATATGTCTTACTACATATGATTGAAATCTTTCAAAATTTGTTGAAACCTACTTTATTGCCTAGTATATGGTCAATTTTTGTAAATGTTCCATATGTAATTGAAAAGCATATATATCTCACAGTTGTTACATACAATGTTCTATTAACACATATATCATTTATATCAATGATGTTAGTTCTGTTATTTAAATCTTCTACATCATTATTGATTTTTTTGTCAGGCTGTTCTCCCAGTTACTGAAAGATGTGTTATAATCTTCTGCTATTATTGTGAATTTATTTACTTCTTATTTTAGCTCTGCCAATTTTTACTTTGCATATTTTCTAAATTAGGTGTACATTTATGATTATTAAATCTTTCTAGTAAACCTTTTTGTTATTATAAAAAGACACATTAATCTTTAGTTTAATATATTTTAGATACTATTTACATAACATAATGTACCTGTCAATTTAATTTCAATACTTCTGACATCCTATATTCAAATGGGTCACTTATAAGCAGCAAATGGTAGGCTATTTTTTAGATCTGAAAATCTTTGCCATTTAATTAATATATTTAGTAACATATTTAATGTGATTGCTGAAATTTGAATGTTTAAATTTACCATGTTACTATTTGCCTTCACTTTCTATATGTTCCAACAGTCATTCATTCCTTCTTTTCCTTTTTTCTTGTATTATTTTACATAAGTAATTTTATTATTTCATTTGCTCATTACAACTTGTTAGTTATACATCAATTTACTATTTTACTAATAGTTATTCTAAAAATCACATACATTTTTAACTTACAAATGTCTATCGTAGATTAATACTCTTATCGTTTCTTAGATAATTAAACTATATTAGAACTCTTAGCATTATTTACTCCGTCTTTGTCATATGTTGTGTATTATATATTTTAATAGTCAATATATTATTGTTGTTATTACATATATGCCAATGATAATTCACATTTATCTATATATCTACAACTTATTCTGCCATCATTTTTTCCTATGTCTCTAAATTGCCATAAAAAATCATCCCTCAGGCCAGGCACAGTGGCTCACCCCTGTAATCCAAGCACTTTGGGAGTCCAAGGTGGGTGGATCACGAGGTCAGGAGTTCGAGACCAGCCTGACCAACATGGTGAAACCACGTCTCTACTAAAAATACAAAAATTAGCCGGGCGTGGTGGCATGCACCTGTAACCCCAGCTACTCAGGGGGCTGAGGCAGGAGAATCGCTTGAACCCAGGAGGCGGAGGTTGCAGTGAGCCGAGATCTCACCACTGCACTCCAGCCTGGGTGACAGAGTGAGACACTGTCTCAAAAAAAAAAAAAAAAAAAATCCCTTCTACCTAAAGAAAATTATTTATTTTAATTTGGGTTTGCTACTGATAAATGTTCTCAGTTTTTATATGTCTGAAAATGTATATTTTCCCCTAATTTCTGTAGGGTGCTTTCAGTGAATGTATACTCTAGGTTACTGTTTGGAGGTTATTCTTTTCACTCAATTGCTTTTCAGATTCTTTTATAATACTTAGAGGTAATTGTTATATGTTATGTGTCTATTACACATTATTGCTAAAATATTGTACTATATATGTTGCTGAGAAAATGTATATGTGTATGTTTTCCAATCACAATATTAATATATTACTGCTGTCTGCTCCCAATATCATGGCTTGGTAAACTACATAACACCCACTTCATCCGGGATGGCTTGGCCTACTTGGTCACTGATGGCCCAAAGTCATGTGTTCTGTTTCTATTTGGATCTTTTAGCAAGTTAGTAGTTGTTTCTCAAACAGAAACTGAGTTTCTAAAAAATACAGCATGATTTTATTTTAAAGCCCTAGAGCTCTGTGCTGTTATTCTCCAATGGGTAATTGTTAGATGCTCCAAAAAGAATTCCGAGTTGCCACAAAAGTTCAGCTGGATTTTCTCTGCAGTATGGATCTACTGCAGAGCCTTCTCTGGCAGGTTACTTGTTATATTGATCAGAGCTGCACACCCACATGTGGTATATGTTGTCTCCAAAATACAAAGAGGACTACCATGCCTTGGGGTTCTTTTTTAGTGACATATAGGGCAAGATCCAGCACCAGATTTTGCACTTTGGAGTACATATTCCTACATAGCACAAACCGGTGGAATCTGTATTTTTATGGGGTTTACCTTCCACCATCTAAGTTAAGAGGTGTCTTATGAAGTAGGTAGAGCGAGGGTTGTACTTCTCAAACTTTCTAGCTGAAGAACCAGTTTGTTTTTTTTTTATTTTCCCCAATTCACCGTGGGCTGATACTTTTGTAATCTACAAAATCCCATGCTTGAATGTTCTATCAATGTCAAATTGCTACAAAAGTTTGCAAATACTTTTCTCACATAATGTACTTATCTTGCCATGAACTGATAACACAAAGTTTACAGGCTAATACTTGGAGTACCTACTATGTGCCAGATTCTATTCTAGACACTGTGGATTAAGAGAACAAAACAAACAAGGTCCCTGTTCTCAAGGTGTTTATGTTCCAATAGAGGAGAAAAAAATAGAAATATAAATAATGTAATATCAGGTGGCAATAAGTATTATAAAGAAAAAGTAAGGCACTATCACAATATAAAGAATCGGCTGGGCACAGTGGCTCACGCCTGTAATCCCAGCACTTTGGGATGCCGAGATGAGCGGATCACGAGGTCAGGAGATTGAGACCATCCTGGCTAACACGGTGAAACCCCGTCTCTACTAAAAATACAAAAAAATTAGCTGGGCATGATGGCGGGCGCCTGTAGTCCCAGCTACTCGGGAGGCTGAGGCAGGAGAATGGTGTGAACCCTGGAGGCGGAGTTTGCAGTGAGCCGAGATCGCGCCACAGCCCTCCAGCCTGGGAGACAGAGCGAGACTCCGTCTCAAAAAAAAGAAAAAAGAAAAAGAATAATGGGTGGGTGCTGCTTTAAATCGACTAATCAAAAGAATTCTCTCATCAAGTGGCATTGGAAGGAGACTAAATGAAGTGAGCAAACAATCCAAATGAAGATGGTAGAAATGAGTATCTTTAGTATTTTCTAGGACTAGGAAAAAGGCCCATGTGGCTGGAGAAAAAAGAGTTAGGAGAAAAGTGGTGGAAATTGAGATTGGCCTTATTGGGCTGGGAGTTATGTTAAGACCTTGGATTGTTGTCTGCTGTTGTTCTTATTGTTTAAAGTGTGATATGAAAACAATGGCAATCTATTTATGTTTTTAAGGTTAACTTCAGCTAAGGTATTATGAATAGTTGAGTTTGAGAGCTTAACCATGGTATATATGATCTGTAAGAACCTTGTATAAAGCAAATTAATTTCAACACATTAATGTCAGTGAGCTGGGATTACAAATCCATGGCTGAATAATCTGAATTTTTTAAAAAGCTTCCTCTGTAGCCATATATACGGGGAACAATGAAACTTTCAATTTCTTAAATGGTCTCAGCCATTTCTTCCCTCCGGCATTTAAATTAACGGATCACCATATGGAGTCAGCTTCCAGAGACAGGACAACTTCTAACACAGTTAGGGATGAAGCCATCTATCTCTTGAACTCCTTCGGGTTTGGGGAAAAGGGTTCACTGCTCCCTTCTCTCTCCTGCTGTTGCTGCTGGAGGCAGTCTGTCTGCCTTAAGCCTCCTGTAGCTAATCCATTTGTTTAAAACTCTTTTTCATTGATTGTTATGTTTTAATTTTATTATTTTTCAAGCCTGACATTTAAACTCTATTGAAAATGTAAAGGGATTAAGTAGTTAATCTTATGTTATATAAATTCCTTCTCAAAATGTTTAAAGGAAAAAATGTAAAGGGGAAATAATATATGTATATTTTAAATGGAGCTCTAATATTTGGTTAGACTACATCTGCAGTATTTGCGGAAAATGCTGTTAGTCAGATTAATTGTACTTAAATCATTCTTATTCCCCCAGAGTGCATTCTAACCATTCGGTAAAACAATACTTCTCTCAAACAATTATATTGAGCTTTACTGGGGGAGCTTTCACTACACTAAGCCAATTTTTCTGAGGAATAATTTAGCAGGAAAGTTATTTCATGAAAATCAAAAGAATATATTTTGTTGCATTTAGTTTTCCTCTCATTTTAATAAAAAAGAGAGAGCTGTTTACCTGAAGCTAAAGTCAGCTACCAATTTAAAAAATTGATAACCTCCTTCTGTTTTTAAGATGAGATATAACTTGCAGCATCTCTAAGAAGGGAGTTACAGAGCAATCTAGATGTAAAGTTATATAATTTGATGTTCTAGAGGTGTCTTAAAATCTCACAGGTTTTCATGCCTGAACCTGCCCGCATCATCTTCTGGAAGAGTGAATTCCCACAACCTACTAGAGGGTAATAAGAGCCTGAATTCCTGCCCATCCCAGATGGGAGCTAAAGTGTCCCCGGCCCAGATGAGGAAGGGAAGGGAAGAGGTGGGGGTTGGGAATCTTGAGTGTGAGAATTGTGAATTGGGACAGAGAGACTACAATTAGGCTTTGTTTGGTGCCAAACTGGAAGAGACTATAGTACCAGTGCCCACGTGATCAAATTTTGGCATAGAAATCATGAAAAATAAAAATGCACAGAAATCATGAGAAAATCTTCAAAGGAAGTGAAAACCTGAAACAAATGCTCAGAAGAGATCTAGAGGTCCCAGAGAGACAGAGCCTGACAGCCTCTCATGAGGTCCATTTGCATTTTCTTCACATGTGTTACTCTGAGTTGAAGAAACAAAATAAAAACTTTATTCTCTACCCTATTTCCTTCAATACATTCACTCTATGAGACTCTAGGTCCCACTAGGCTCAGAGTCAAAACTACCAAGCAATTTAAAACATTGATTTTTTTCCCCCTTAATCTATTAGTAAGTATTTTCTGAATCCAAATCAGCAACTTTTGTCCTGCCACCTACAAAAACAGCCAATTCACATAGATGGTTTGCTTTTTTCAAGGCCTTCTATTGGTTAGAAATTCAAAACTAAAAGATTGATCAGAACAGAATCAATGCTGCTTGGGAGACAGGAAGCCATAGTGTTAAATGAACATCTGTTTATCTTGATGAATTATCCATGTGAAGCTCAGAAATTGTTCAAACATTCTGATTTTGTTGTGGTAGTGGAAGTGTTTTATTAATTGATTTGGGATTAATTAATTTTCCTTTCATCTCCCTAATTTCCACTTATCTGCTATTTAGGAATGTTTCCTATTGATTACATAGCATAAAACTCATAGGTTTTTTCCTATTTTTCAAATTATTATTCTACACATTTGGATAAGGAAAAGTGAATTTCAGAAACACAAATGCAAATGCTTGAGCACGTACACAGGTGAAGGTGGCATTGCTAAGTCATTGGGACAAATATTTGTGCCAGCCACCCAGTGAAAACAGAGATGGTTTTGTGCCCTCTCTGATAGATAATACATTTGTTAAAGAAGATGATAGGAATGTCATATTTTCATTCGGCACATAAATAAAATAAAAATGTCATAGAATTGCATAAACTGGTGATCCTCCAGTGGGGTATGAAGGTCATTCCTTCATGAATACAGAAATCTTCCACATCTGAGCATAAACTTGCAAATGCATCATGTAACATAATACTGTATGTTTATACTTTATACATTTTAATGAAATATTAAACAGGCTTATTTTGAGTTCATAATATAAATTGCAGTAGAGGTCATGACAGTAAAATGAATGCAATCATTTCCCTGGAACAGTTCTTTTAAAACCTCACACTTCTTCTATAACCTAGGTATAGTCTAGGTAGCTGCTCAAAATAATACAATTATAGAAATTCCTATCATCATACCTTTCTTCTCATTTTTCCCTCTCCACCCCCATTAGTATCAAGAAATACAAGTCCCCAAACATCTGCATGTCCCTCTAACCAGCTTCCTCATTCATAAGGTCAGAAGCAAATTGGCTACAAAAGATTTTTCTAAGGTGAGAAGATGTCTTATGGAAGAAAATCATCTAGATGTCTATTTCCTCCCATTTCTTCATATTAAAGAGTTCTGCTGCACAGTAGGCATAAAATTAATAGGCAGTTTACATAACATTTGCAATAAATTGCCAGATACAAAAGCTTTCTCAATTGTGTGACTCTGAGATTGAAGAAACAAAACTATAAACTTTATTCTTTACTTGCGTGGCTGCCAGCATATTGTCTAAAACATCTGCTCGGGTAATATGTCATATGCAATAGCCTGTGCAGGTTAGGCCAGGACATAATAGAAGTAAATGTATTTTTAAATGCCAGGTTTTAAAAGAAGACAGGCCCGCTTTGTATCTCATTATAAGTGAAATGACTTTTCATGTCATCCCATCAGTAGTCACGAAGCTTTGGGGAGAGTTTCAAAGGTCAATATCCATAACTCTTTATTCTTTACTCATTCACTATTTTCTCATGAGGGAAATGCAGGAAGACTCTTTTCAGAGTGGACTTGCATTTCATCTAACAAATGAAAAAGTTTGTTGCTCCGAGTTTCTGTATATGCCAACAATTCCTTCAATTTAATATATACTGTTACCAAAACAAAACATCACAGAGAGAAAATTTAAGTCTTAAACTCTATTTCCTTCCTTATTTTCAAAATATATGGTTGCAGGAAATATACCTACAATAATCCAAGAGTATACCTACAGTCCCTCAAGGTAAATGAGAATAGCATGTGCTTTCTTTAGAAGTGCAAGGTCGTGACTTTGGGGAAACATGTTTTGGAAACTTTTAGTCAGTACATCATCACCCAATAAACTCCACCAAAAACAGTTAATAGGATTAGTAATGCAAAGTAGTTACCTCCAATAGAAAACAAAGGTTCCAGCCTGTTTCCAAGTTGTTAATTCATTACTTCACTTAACAATATTACTGAACCTCTCCTATGAGCTAGGCTGGTTCTAGCTCTGGAAACAGAAAAGTGACCAAGGCCATCAAGCCTCTGGCTTCATCCAGAAGATGGTGACAAATAAGCAAATAAATTTAAAGGACAATAGCTTTGGATTATAAAATGAAAAAAAAAATCAAGATTGTTAGGTCTTTCTATTAACTATTCTCAAGTCATGTTTTAATTAGTAAACTCAGAAAGAAAAATAAAAGGGGAACTTGATATGGTAAAGTCAATTGTGCTGTTGCAGGTGAGGCAACCCTCTTATGGAGGTCTCAGCATTACAGTTACACACCAACAGGTTGGGGCTGCAACATACTTGGGTAGATAAGAATCATTCCAAACCAATTTTTAAAAACATTTTTCTTTTTGCCCCTCATTACCCACCCCCACCCCCAAATTAACTTCTTTGTCTACACAAACTGCTAGTCTCATTGCAATACAATTGTTAAGAGACCCTGGTAATATCGCCAACCAGGCTCTCTAATTTCCACTGTTGTGTACTTCTCCTTTCCATTAAGACTCATGTGCTCTCTGTTGTTTTCCCTCAAGTACCCTGATGGATCAATAGCTGTATAATCCAATAATATGGTTCAAGATAAAGTGTAAATGGCAGAGAGTGGTTTTTAATAGGTTAACCCTATCAAGGGCTTCCAATAGCTCAGCATAAACAAAGGTTAATGATGTCAGCATTCCAGAAATTATGCCAGAGACAATGGGAGAGTTATCTTTGGCAAACAAGCTTTTAAGGTTTGCCCAGAGAAAAGCTACCAGAGCACCAGCCCTCCTTTATAAGTAACACTGCCTGGCACCATTGCCTGCTGATCAAGAATTATTTGGAGCACAACTAAACATTCTGTACCTACTGAAACAATGCAACACAAATTCCACTGCTTCCCCAGTGAGTATTCCCACCAAAAGCATTTAACCTAAATTTAGTCAAATATTTAGATCTAACTTCTAGACTAAGAGAAATATGGAAGAAAGAGGAATAAGTTGAACCGGGGTGTCCAAGGGAGAGAATAGTCATAGGTTCTTAGTTTCTGTTTCTCGATGGGCCAGTAAAGCCCCCTTCTCATTCCACTTTTCCACTTGTCACTAAAGACAGAAACTAAAAACCATGGCTTCGGGCTGCTAAAAGTCTAAAACAAACAAACAAAAAACCAGAACAACAGCAACAACAACAAAATAAGGCAGATTGGACAAGCTTGCGTTAAAACCATGAGGAAACTGTCAGACAAATCAAAGGTAAAATATTCTAAAAGACAATGGGCTGATCCTTCAAAAAGTCAATGAACTATTTATGCATAAAAAAATGGATTGTGGCCAGGCACGGTGGCTCACGCCTGTAGTCCCAGCACTTTGGGAGGCCGAGGCCAACAGATCACGAGGTCAGGAGATCGAGACCCTGGCTAACACGGTGAAACCCTTTCTCTACTAAAAATTAGCTGGGCATGGTGGCAGGCACCTGTAGTCCCAGCTACTAGGGAGGTTGAGGCAAGGAGAATGGTGTGAACTCGGGAGGAGGAGCTTGCAGTGAGCCAAGATCGCGCCACTGCACTCCAGCCTGGGAGACAGAGTGAGACTCCGTCTCAAAAAAAAAAAAAAAGAATCGTTATACATTCATAGGCTAATAAACTAGAGCAGCCATTATCCTTGAACACTTCTGATTTTATTTATTTTTTAAGAAATGATTCTGAAGGGGACGACGTGGGGGTGGCTCACACCTGTAGACCAAGCACTTTGGGAGGCCAAAGCGAATGGATCACTTGAGCCCAGGAGTTCCACACCAGCCTGGGCAACATGGTGAAACCCCATCTCTACAAAAAGTAGAAAAATTAGCCAGGCATGGCGTTGCATGCCTGTAGTCCCAGTTACTCAGGAGGCTGAGGCAGGAGGATCCGTTGTGCCCAGGAGGTCGAGGCTGCAGTGAGCTGAGATTGTGCCACTGCACTCCAGCCTGGGTGACAGAGTGAGACCCTATCTCAAAAAAGAAATAGAATAAAAAGACTCTCAAAAGTACTTTTATGACAACTGCTGCAATTTAAATGTAGGTTCAATATTAGATGATATTTTTGAATTACCATTAATATCATTAGCTGTGATAATGGCAATGTGTTGAAGTGGGACAATATCAATATATTTGGGGAAGTATTTATTGAAAAGGGACATGGGAGGCCTGGCACAGTGGCTCACACCTGTAATCCCAGCACTTTGGGAGGCTGAGGTGGGCAGATCACTTGAGGTCAGGAGTTCAAGACCACCTTGGCCAACATGGTGAAACCCTGTATCTACTAAAAATACAAAAATTAGTGGGTCATGGTGGCACATACCTGGTGGTGCAAATGTAAAGTGTTGCTCATCTGAAATTACCATGAAACTATAAACTATCTCCTCTGATAATTAGGCTTTACAGAATATAAATAAATTAATTTTTCCTGAATTTAGGTCATTCTTATAAATGATTAATAATGTGACATTAGTGATAGAATTGAGGATTCAGTTAGGCTGATGTTGACATATGTTCTAGGATTTATTTTCCTGAAAATCTGCCTGGTGTCAACTCGATCTGAATCATTTTTTTTCTTCATTCCTTCAGTGGTATTTGTTGGGCATGTGCTTTGTGCCAGGTGTAGCACTGGGTTCCAGGAATGAATGCCCAAGAGGCTGGATGGAAGGAAAGCTGGGAAGAGGGAGGTCAGTTTTGGGTAGCTCCCAAACCTGCTAAACATCATAATCACTTGAGAGAATTTTCCTTTAAAATATATATATACATATACATATATACATATATATACACATATATATACACACACACACACACACACACACAGACATATACATATATATATTTGAGGGTCTAGCATACAGATCTCTTAGGACTGGCAAAGGATCTCCAGCTCAGGTCCCAGGGATTCGAAGTAGCTGATGTAGAGGCCAGCATTTGGGAAGCAAGAGAAAGAGGCTCACAGGATGCCTGACCTCACTGGGGAGTTTGGGGGGAATTCAGCAGGAGTATTTCTTTAATTAACCTTGGAAGATAAAAAGGAATTTGATAAATAGGCAAACAGTGTGGGTCCTCAGATATTTTTAATATGTGTTCTGCAAAGATAATGGTGTTTTCAATGCAGAGAAGAGTTACATTGTTGAGATCAATTTTTTGTTTTTGTTTTTGTTTTTGTTTTTGTTTTTAGACAGGGTCTCGCTCTGTTGCCCAGGCTGGAGTGCAGGGGTGGAATCTCGACTCACTGCAACCTCAGTCTCCCGGGTTCAAGTGATTTTCCTTCCTCAGCCTCCAGAGAAGCTGGGACTACAGGTGTGTGCCACCAGGCCCGGCTAATTTTTGTATTTTTAGTAAAGACAGGGTTTCTATACATTGGCCAGGCTGGTCTGGAATTTCTGACCTCAAAAGATCCGCCCGCCTTGGCCTCCTAAAGTGCTGGGATTACAGGCGTAAGCCACCACACAAGCTGAGATAAATTTTAGTAAAAAAGATCATGAGTTCAGTGATGGATAGGTTGATGACATGATCATATGATAAGCTCTCTTACCAGGCTATCATTGACAAGACAGTAATAATCGAGGTCAGATATCACTGCTGTCTTCTATTTTGCTAGTCTTTTAAAAAAGTAGAGAAGAAATTCTAACATACGATCCAAGCCTGCCTGGCTTCAAATTCCTGCTCATTAACTTAACAGTTGAATGACCTTGGGCAAGTTAAGTTCTATGTGCTTGAGTTTCCTTAAAAATACCTCATAGTAATGTTGTTAAGAGGTTTAAATGACTTAACACATATAAAGGGCTTAGAATAGTGTCTGGGAAAGTATGTATGCAATAAATATTAGTAATCATCAAATTATTAAATATGCAAGGTTGAGATAGCTTCAGTTCTTACTGTCACATTGTTTGATCAAAAATGTCATTTTATAACTGATTTTTAAATAATGTTCTTTTTTACAGTTTCAACTTTTAGATTCAGGAGGTACACATGCAGATTTGTTGCATGGTAATATTTTGTGATGCTGAGGTTTGGGAGCATAGTACCCAATCATTAGCTTTACAACCCACACCACTCCCTCCTTCCCCTCTCTAGAAGTTCCCAGTGTGGACTCAACGTTTAGCTCCACTTACAAGTGAGAACATGTGGGCTGGGCGTGGTGGCTCATGCCTATAATCCCAGCACATTGGGAGGCTGAGGTGGGTGGATTACTGGGGGTCAGGAGTTCAAGACCAGCCTAGCCAACGTGGTGAAACCCCGTCTCTACTAAAAATACAAAATTTAGCCAGGCGTGGTGGCACATGCCTGTAGTCCCAGCTACTTGGGAGGCTGAGGCAGAAGAATCGCTTGAACCCAGGAGGTGGAGGTCGAAGTGAGCCGAGATTGTGCCATTGCACTCCAGCCTGGGCAAAAAGAGCAAAACTCTGTCTCAAAAAAACAAAAATTTTTTTAAAAAGGTAAGAACATGTGGTATTTGGTTTTCTGATTTTGCTTTAATTCACTTAGGATTCTGGCCTCCAGTTCCATCCATTTTGTTGCAAAGGACATGATATTCTTTTTATGGCTGTGTCATATTCCATGGTGTATATGTACCACATTTCCTTCATCCAGTCTACTACCGATGGGCACCTAGGTTGATTCTATGTCTTTGCTATTGTGAATAGCACAGCAATGAACATGCAAGTGTGTGTGTCTTTTTGGTGGAACTATTTATTTTCCTTTGGGTATATACCCAGTAATGGTATTACTGGGTTGAACAGTAGTTCTGTTTTAAGTTCTTTGAGATATCTCCAAATTGCTTTCCACAGTGGCTGAACCAATTTACATTCCCACCATGAGTTTATCATTGATGGGCATTTAGATTGATTCCATGTCTTTGCTATTGTGAATAGTGCTGTGATGAACATACATATGTATATGTCTTTATGGTAGAATAATTTATATTCCTGTTGGTATATACACAATAATGGAATTGCTGGGTTAAGTGGTAGTTCTGTGTTTAGCTCTTTGAGGAATTGTCACACTGCTTTCTGCAATGGCTAAACTAATTTATACTCCCACCAGCAGTGTATAAGCATTCCCTTTTCTCCATAGTCTCACCAAGATCTGTTATTTTTTTGACTTTTTAATAATAGCCTTTCTGACTGGTATGAGACAGTATCTCGTTATATTTGATTTGCATTTATCTCATATTTAGTAATGTTAAGCATTTTCTTCATGTTTGTTGGCTGCTTGTCTTCTTTGTTGTTGTTGTTGTTGTTGTTGTTGTTTTACTTTTATTTTAGGTTCAGGGGTACATGTGCAGGTTTGTTATATAGGTAAACTGTGTGTCACAGAGGTTTTGTGTACAGATTATTTCACCACCCAGATACTAAACATAGAACCTAAAGGTTATTTTTTTCTGATCCTCTCCCTCCTCCCATCCTCCATCCTTAAGTAGGCCCCAACATCTGTTGTTAACCTTCTTTGTTTCCATATGTACACAATGTTTAGCTCACACCTATAAGTGAGAACATGCAGTACTTGATTTTCTCTTCCTGTGTTAGTTCACTTAGGATAATGGCCCTCAGTTCCATCCATGTTCTGCAAAGGACATGATCTTGTCCTTTTTATGGCTACGTAGTGTATATAGTGTATATGTACCACATTTTCTTTACCCAGTTTATCACTGATGGGCATTTAGATTGGTTCCATGTCTTTGCTATTGTGAATAGTGCTGTGATGAATATACACATGTATATGTCTTTATGGTAGAATAATTTATATTCCTGCTGGTATATACCCAATAATGGGATTGCTGGGTCAAATGGTAGTTCTATGTTTAGCTCTTTGAGGAATTGTCACACTGCTTTCTACAATGGCTAAACTAACTTATACTCCCACCAGCAATGTATAAGCATTCCCTTTTCTCCAGAATCTTGCCAGCATCTATTACTTTTTTTACTTCTTAATAATATCCATCTAACTGGTGTGAAATGGTGTCACATTGTGGTTTTGATTTGCATTTCTGTAATGATCAGTAATATTGAGTTTTTTTCATATGATTGTTGGCTGCATGTATGCCTTCTTTTGAAAAGTGTCTGTTCATGCCCTTTGCCCACTTTTTAATGGGGTTGTTCTTCTCATGTAAATTTGTTTAAGTTCCTTGTAGATTCACTACAATAGATTTATTAGACCTTTGTCAGATGCATAGCTTGCAAAAATTTTCTCCTGTTCCGTATGTTGTCTGTTTACTCTGTTGATAGTTTCTTCTATCAACAGAAGCTCTTTAGTTTAATTTTGTCCCATTTGTCAATTTTTGTTTTTATTGCTATTGCTTTTGGCATTTTCATCATGAAATCTTTGTGCAGTCCTACGTCCAGAATGTATTTCCTAGATTAGCTTCCAGAGTTTTTATAGGGTTCGGTTTTACATGTAAGTCTTTAATCCATTTGAGTTGATTTTTGGACCTATGTTGTAAAGAAGGGGTCCAGTTTCAATCTTCTGCATATGGCTAGCCAGTTATCCCATCACCATTTATTGAATACAGAGCCCTTTCCTCATTGCTTGTTTTTGTCGACTTTGTTGAAGATCAGATGATTATAGGTGTGTGGCATTATTTCAGTGCTCTATTTTGTTTTATTGGTCTATGTGTCTGTTCATGTACAGTACCATGCTGTTTTGGTTACTGTAGCCTTGTAGTATAGTTTGAAGTCAGGTAACGTGATGCCTACAGCTCTGTTCTTTTTGCTTAGAATTGCCTTGGTTATTTGGATCCATGTGAATTTTAAAATAGTTTTTTCTAATTCTATGAAGAGTGTCATTGGTAGTGTGATAGGAATAGCATTGAATCTATAAATTGCTTTGGACAGTATGGCCATTTTAACAATATTGATTCTTTCTATCCATGAATGTGGAATGTTTTTCCATTTGTTTGTGTCATCTCTGATTTCCTTGAGCAGCATTTTGTAATTCTCATTGTGGAAATCTTTCACTTCCCTGGTTAGCTGTATTCCTAGATACTTTATTCTTTTTGTTTTTTGAGAAGTGTCTGTTCATGTTCTGAGTTCATTTCTTAATTGGGTTATTTGTTTTTTGCCTGTTGATTTGTTTATGTTCTTTATAGGTTCTGGATATTAGACCATTTTTGGATACACAGTTGGCAAATATTTTCTCCTATTCTGTAGGTTGTCTCTTTATTGATATTTTCTTTTATTGTGCAGAAGTTTCTTAGTTAATTCTCAATAACTGTTCATAAAAACACTACTGGCAATAATATATAGGACAGTATAATAGAATTACTATTTCTACTTTGTCAAAGAACATTTTAACAGACTGCCCAGTGAAGCAAATGGTGAATAAAGAAAAGCACCTTCAAAGTACCTTCAACATTTAATTCCTGCTCCCAATGTGGTTCCTGCTAGTATTCACTTGGCTCTGAAAGTTTCACATTAAGAAGGTATAATATGCTTGGGGACATCCCCAACATTCAGTTCCTGCTGCCTCTAAGGATGCCAGAAACATCTGGAGAGCTCTCTCCCAGACATCAGCTACATTTACTGGCCCCAGTAACATATGACTACATTGCCAGGATATTTGCAAACAGGCTTATTTGGTCTTCTGACTAAATTACTACTCATAAACTTTTCTCTATTGTATTCTAAACTTATTGCATACTTCTTAAAGAGACTGAAGAAAATTGCAGGAGGCATGGTTATCAACAGGAGAAAGGGTTTTCTGGGTTCCATATTGTGCAGCTCTTCAGAAGTAGGCCTAATCTGGAGCTAGTACAGAAAGTGAGTTCCGCAGAGCTCAGGTCACCATCGGACTCCCATATAATGTCAGAGAGACAATAAGAAATCCCTTTCTCTTCTTGGGGGCTTATTAAGATTACTCCAATCCTTCATTTTTCTTTTTCCCAGGTCTTTCTTTTATGCTTCTTTGTTCCATGCAAGGTCTTTCTGAAAGGCCTCTTGTATAAACAGGGGGACAAAAAAAGGAAAATAAAATGTTGCATAGAAAACCCATGGGATCTCTCCCACTCGCTCTTATTTTTGCTTCCTTCTATGTCTTTATTTTTCATCCATTCTAGCATGTTTGGAAAAGATGCATTGGATTTCAAATGTATGAGAAAAAATAAATATGCTGTAAATAATCTTTCCTTTCCTCTAAAAAAAACCTCCCAGTATCTTATCCCACAAACAGGACATGGCCAGCTCTATGAAGTTAATCAGCTATAAGAAATAGTATAATATAATTTGCAATGCCTTTCAGAACATTAATATAAGTGGCATGAAATAATGATTTAATATTATAGAGCACTTCACTTTATCAACAAAAGTACCCATGCAGCCAGGAATGCTAACAAATGTGCACACTCAATTCAAATCTCACCAACCTGACATGTTTTTCATTATTATAATGTCAACTTCTCGAGAGCAGGATGGATAAAATGAAAGCTAACTCCAATTCATGAGTGTTTGAGGGTGGCCATCTTTCTTTCCACGCTGCCTGTGTGAAAGGCATTAATGACCTACCAGCCTCTGCTGCTTTTGGCTTTGTTCTGATGTGTGTCTCCAGCAGATGCAAAGAACAGCTGGATCTTTTCCTTGCATTGTCTCTTTCACCTTGGAGAAGAACTTCCATTAGCTTTCTGATCCAAAGCCTAGGAATACATACATTCACTTCCAAAATGTACTCAAAGCCTCAAAATATATGTCTCAACCTAATTCTCTTTTTCATGAATTTTTTCTTTTTAATGTTCTAAGGACCTCAAACACCAAAAGTGTATCCAGTATTGTACTTTACATTAACAATCTTGTCCACATTCACAATACAGTCTTTCAATCCAGAAAAATGGGAGGAAGTCATTTTATTGTAAAATGTACTTGTATGCTATCTCTCTCAGTGATGAGAGAGGTGATTTTTCTACCAATTTCAGAGTGACTGTTACAATATTATGTTAGACTTCCTGGAACAATATTTATATAAAATACTTTATACCATTATCAGCTTGTCTGTCAATTAGATTGGGGATTATCCATATGGTCACTATGTTCAAGTAAAACCTTGTACCATCTTGATTATTCATATGCCCCAGCAGGGTCCCATATATTCCCAGTGCTATATATTCATGGCTGCCTAAGGAGAAAAGAATAGAGACTAACATGCCATTCTTCCAATTGCAAATAAAGGGGAAGGGATACTGAGAAAACACATGTACAAGGTAATGATGGTTTTATTTTTGATGGGGGGGATTCATTTTTATCAAATTAGCAAAATTATGTGTATGCCTTTCATATATACATATATAATATTATATATAAGAATATGTATATAGGCTGGGCACAGTGGCTCACACCTGTAATCCCAGCATTTTGGAAAGCTGAGGCAGGTGGATCACTTGAGCCCAGGAGTTCAAGATCAGCCTGGGCAACATGATGAAACCCCATCTCTGCTAAAAAAAAAAAAAAAAAAAAAAAAAATCAGCCAAGCATTTTGATGTGCATCTGTAGTCCCAGCTACTCAGTAGGCTGAGGCAGGATCACTTGAGCCCAGGAGGTTGGAGCTGCCATGAGCTCTGATCTCTCCACTGCGCTGCAGCCTGGGTAATAGAGCAAGACCTTATCTCAAAAAAAAAAAAAAAAGAATATGTATATATTAGTACATATTCTATATGTACTGTATATAAAGACATAAAATCTTAGTGTCCAAACTAGCACATCCTTGGAAATAAGATAGGTAATGCAAACAAGCTAAGATTAATACTAAAGGGCTAGAGAACTAACTAGGACAAAAGACACCAAGAGAGTGGGTTAATTTCAGCCTAAGTAGGGTTGATACCAGTATATCAGTGAATGGAAAGGATGTGGCCAAAGACAAAGTGGGTAATAGTTTTTAGACTCAAGTGGGTTTAAAATTATAAACTAGTAAAGCCTATCCAAGTGATCAAACATCAAATGGAAGGTAGGGTTCAAATCTCTGAGGAATTAGGAATCCCCAAAAGAAAGGAGATTCAACACTATTCAACATGCTAGTCAGAGGACAAATTCAGCACCAGGGACCTGGACAGTCAAGCACTCATGGGGTCCCTGATCACACTGACAATGAGCAGTAAGAATTTGCAGAAGGTACCTGCTATGGGGGAAGGAGCCCTATAGACTGTCAGACTCAGATATTGATGATTCCTGGGCCACATTGCATCTGGGGAAGTAGATTTTAATCACTCACAGCTGGGGCAGCCAGGCTCGGCTGTGGCAATCTTGGAGGAGAAAAAAACACGTAGGACCTCAACAAATGAAAGTAAAATAGTAAAATGTCAAGAATTATGGTGAATATTTAGATGCGGCACACACAGACACATTTTTTCCCTTCAAACCGGGCACACCTGCAGTCCCAAGTAGTTGGGACTATGCAACTACTTGGGAGGCTGAGATGGGAGGATCACTTGAGCCCAGGAGTTTGAGGCTAAAGTGAGCTATAATTATGCCATTGTACTCCACCCTGGGTGACAGAGAGACACTCTGTCTTAAGTGAAAAAAAAAAAAAAAGAGAAAGACTTCCCTTCAAATTACATCTGATAAAAATCAATAGGAAAACAATCTGGTAATCAGACAGGGTCAAGGGTCTTCTCTGAGCATTTTGAATATTTCTGACTTTATGTCAAGAAATACCCATAGTAAATCCTGCTTGCCCAGAAGTTCACATAACAGGAGTCCAAAATAGAGAGACCCTTAGTCAATTAAGTAAAAGGCCACATGCCTGTAATCCCAGCACTTTGGGAGGCCAAGGCAGGTGGATCACAAGATCAGGAGCTGGAAACCATCCTGGCCAACATGGCGAAACACTGTCTCTACTAAAAATACAAAAATTAACCGGGCATGGTGGTGCACTCCTGTAATCCCAGCTACTCGGGAGGCTGAGGCAGGAGAATCGCTTGAACCCGGGAGGCAGAGGCTGCAGTGAGCCGAGATTGTGTCACTGCACTCCAGCCTGGGCAACAGAGTGAGACTCTGTCTAAAAAAAAAAAAAAGCCACCAAGCTATTAGCATCACAACCTTTTATTTTCAGTTATATTGACCCTTACGGGGCCTTCAATAACTTAAGAAAGAAAAAGTATTTCTGGGTGAAAGAATCCCAGGAAAATTGATTGATTTCTTGTTGTCATATGGCAATATTAAAGCCTGTTAAATTAACTTCTGAACAAAAAATTACATAAGAAAGAGAAATATGCCCCCATTCTGTTACAGCATTTCACAATGGTTGCAAATAATTAACTAGCAGAGGATTAAAGGCAAACACTTAGACACAAGGGAGTGTCGGATGATTCAATGGGATCAGTATAACTGAGAAGAAAAATAAGTGTGTTGAGAAAAGTTGTATAGAGCCTCTGTACTTAGCCTCCAGCAGAGTAAGTGGGGAAACATGCCATTCCTCCTGTGGCAAATGAAGGTGAGCATGTATTGGGGCTCAAGGTCTTTATTGCTGAGGAGTTCTGTGTGCTTTTCATCAAGCATGGAAATGTTAGGCAAAGAAATGAGTGAAGAAAATATTTGATGAGATTCATTCTTGAAATAATGAAAACAAAGACCAATGTTTCTCAGTTGCCATCTCAACAATGGAGTCAAAAATTAGAGACAATGCTGTCGGAACCATGTAGGATATTTTATTATATGTGACTGCCTCGTATTTTTGACTTTTATTTTCTTGGGCTGCTCCTCTCAGACAATCACAGTTAGACACCTGTACAAATGGTTGTTTCTACAATAAGCAGGAAAGTCTTTTTCTACATTTAATATCCTGGCATGCAAAGCTGCCAAAGGAAAGAGTGTGTAGCAGCAGATTTAAATAATAAGTCAACAAACAAATAATTGTTAACCTTTAGAGTACTTGCTAAATATAAGGCACTTTTCCAAGAGTTATATAGATAGATATAGATGTAAGATATTGAAATGTATATGGATGGGAATAGGGTTTGAGAGGTTCAGACACAGATGTACAAAGTCAAAGAGAAGGAATAAGCAACTGTAGCTCCTACTGCATGTCCTAGAGAGGAAAGGCTAGTAGATGCAGCCGACCTTGATGGAAAATGGTCTGAGTCTTAACCATGTGATTTCCCAGTTATAGTGCACTCATGTTCAGGGAAAGGGCCTGAATTTCTGACTAACTGTGGTTAGCTTCCAGGTACTGGACCCGAAATCAGAAAGATTCCTAAAGCTGCAAGAGCATCTGGCACCTCTGATTCCCACATGGAGAGGTTGAATAGCCCCAAAATGTGCCACTGTCTTTCAGAGAAGACACGGACACAAGGAATCCTATAGCCAGACCAGGTAAGTGGACCTGCATTTCTTGTACTATGGAACAAAAATAAAATACATCACAATGACCTGGAACCCTTTTTCTTTCTGTCTTTTGGACCTTAAGTGCCCAGAATTGAATCATGGCAGATTGTCATGACTGGCCCAAGGAAGGCTCTTATTTCATTCTATTTCATTGCATTGCACTTGGCTTTACTTTTTTTGTATACTTTCCGTCATTCTCTTTTCTTACTAGCTCATTCCCCTCTTATTATGGGCACTCGGGTCTATAATACTTAATGCATGTATTTTTAACCCAACTTTCATATCTTTATTTAGGTATATGTTACATCAAAAATATACATATAGTATATATGATATCAATTATATATGTGTATATTACTGAAAATTTTTGTTTTATACTTTGTTTAAATAATACTGTGTGATAAATCTTTTTTCCCCACACTTTATTTGACTTAACAATGTATCTTTGAGAACTTCCACACTGTAGTGTACGAAGTTAGTTCACACTTCTGAGCTCTGAAGCTCATTCTATCCCATGCACATGCCACGTTTTACCTTTCCATTCACTTTTGGCAGACACTTTATTTTGTTGTAACTTTGTTTTGTTGTAAGAAAGAAAATGCTTGGGAGGGCAGTAAAAAGCCAACTTTTATGAATTGTAGGGACATTCTTGAAAGTGATAAGACAGCAGTAATGATTTCCTTTAGAAAATTATCCCAGTTGTCAGTGGCTGCATTTTCCAAAATGAATTCTGCAAAAATTTGTTCTGCAAAATACAAGTAAATATTAAGGCAAACAAGAGTTTCTGCATTCAAGTAGATGTGGGAACAAGAGATTTGAAAAAGTTAAATGCATTTTTTATTATAGCCTTTCTCTGGGCGTTTAATATCTAAATGAGCATGTGACTCTTCAAAGATAAAAAGTAATGAGATAAACTATTGCCTAAACCCAAATCCTTATTAACCAGTGTAACTAGCATTCCACAGATCATTATTTTATTGTTATTATCATTATTTTACTTGTTCCAGGAACCTAGTGATAGTGTTAGAGCAAATGAGATTTCCATCAAAACAAATTGAGCCTTGAAAATTAAAAGTGTCCTTTTTGAGAGGAAGCCACTTTTATTAGATTTTTATATCATTCAGTTACTTTTTTCTAATATGACACATTTTATGATTTCTTGATTTTTGTCTTTTTCCAATAGATTAAATTCCAAATTTCTGCATAAAACCACGTTTAGAAGAATCTGTGACTGACTGATTACTAAACAGTGGCTTATCCTTGGAAACTCATTATGCCTAGTGAAATCTACCAATATAGGCAAGAGTTTAATCTGCTGCAAATGGTAAACCATGGAAGTAGACTTGGAGTTTGGTAGTGATGAGAACAGAAGTCTCTGTGAGCTTGTCAGCAAGGCCCAGGGCATCTCTGTCGCCTGGAACAGCTCTGAAGATGTTGGCCACACAAGTTCTATTAATCAGCACCTGCAGAGCGAGCACTCACATCTAACTGAGTTCAGGGTCAGCAAACTGGATTCAGTATGTTCAATCTAAAACTACACGCCATTGTTAAAAGGCAGTGCATTGTTAATAAACAGGAGAACAATTGTCCAAAAGCCTTCGAAAACTAGGTTTTCAGGGTTTTGGTCTACTCTAAACAAAACTGGAAATTGAACTTTAGGAAGGAAATTGGGAACCATTATTAACTATATTATATTCAAACGTGAAATTTGCAATTTAATAAGCAAAGGATGGCTGTATGCATGTTGTGAAAGCAAGAAATGATTCCAAATGAAAGGCTATACATTAAAGTATTTCATCTTTATCATTTATTTCTGTAAACTGCTAAAGCTGTGCTTTATTTATTGCAGTTCATCCATATATAATTCTCTGTAGTTTAGAAAACTGCATCTAACATTTTTATCCCAACTTTATAAATTGCATTGATTTATTTCTGTCTCGTAAGCCTAAAACCATTTATTACAACAACAAAACATCCTCCTATTCTGGTGTTCCAGGAACAAAGTCTACCCGCTTACTGTGTAGGGAGCATTGACAGATGGCCAAATGGGGTGATAGCTTTGATTTTAATGTGTCTTAAGAGAGTAAATGAAGCAAAGGCAATCTTCATCTCCTGTGAAAAGTTGGATTTTTGTGTGGCTTGTCGGCAACACTGAGGTGCAATTCTCACAGCACTTCATTGATTTTCCACTCAACCATGACCATTCAAACAGCAAAAAGCAGGGTCAAAGAATTTTTAAAGTTTTTTTTTCTGTTTATCTACAAGAGCACAAACAAAACTGACCACACTTACTTCGGTGATATTCCATGGTTGCTGGTGCAAAGCCTTTGTGAGTTTCACAGGTTATGAATTTCTAATTTTACATAAAATGAAGTGGTTTTGTCGAGAGAATCATTAACATCATAAAGACTGTAAGAATAAAAATTCTTCACATCGCCCCCACCTGTGATTTTAGCATATATCATGGATGACAAAGCACTCTGCATTGCTTGCTTTAAGCTCTGAAAAGGGACAGACTTCAACAGCAGGACATGAAATAATGCTTGTAATACAGCAGTAAAGTCTCATTGCCGTAGGATGGTGTGTTATTCTGTACTGGGCCTCAAACCCCAATTTAACTTTAAATACAAAGCACCATTTAAATATAAAGATTAACTTCTTCATCTTCATCTTCTGTGAGAGCATGAAAGCTTGAACAAGAATTTGCCGAGGGAAGATGTAACAGCTAAACTCTACAGAAATTTTAGCCACTGGACTAGCATTTAAAAAGGTGGAAGCCTGACATTACCAACCTTGTGTACTGCAAATTTGGGTAGAATCGTACTTCTGTGGTAGTACAAATGATAGCTGTAGAAAATCATCCAGTAATTTAGTTGGCGTATTTGTTCTGTTATTTAGTTGGTGTGTTTGTATTTACATTTCACCTTGCAGTATGATAAAATGAAACAAGAACAGGCTCTGGAGACTAAAAGACCTGAATTCTCATCCTGCTTCTGCCTTTCCCCTGCTTTGTAAAACTGGGAACTTCCTTTGCGAATTGGGAACTTAGCCCCTTCAGTCCATGTTTCTTCATCTGTGTAATAGAATGGTAATATTTTACAAGTTCCACTCATTAGATTATCTGTGAAATAACTAGTAGTGTCTGACATTCAATACATTTTCGTTCACTTAGCACACGAGGCCAATGTGATACAAGGAAGTTTCTATTTTAAATCCATTTGTTAGGAGCACGAAATGCACACTCTTGATGTTCAGAAAAGAAGGCTCCTACCATGCAACACAAAGCTCCCAGCACCAGAACACACCAGTACTCCCCAGGCAAAATGACTGTTAAGTTCACTACCAGGACATAGTTAGACAATCAAGGCAACATCCCAGGCACTCAATAATCTACTGTGTCACATCTGACTGACAGGGCAATGGCATGGGGACGTCCTCCATGTCCGTGCTTCATCTTCTAGCCTCAGTAAGTCTGAGTTCACTCAGGTGTGCTGCTAGTGGCAGGTGGCAAGAAATGAAAACTCCAGCATGCAGCACATGGAAGGCAGTGTCTGCTCATTCACAAGTGAATACTGAGTGCCCACAAATGGAGATGCAAACGTTGACAAGATAATGGCAAATATTTAGAAAATGAAAAAGCATTTCAGCTAGCCTAAAAGAAGGAAAGCCCAGAGTCATTCTTCCCTGCACTCATTCTGGCTAGCTTCCAAAAACATCTATTTTCTTTTTTTTCCATAGCCTTACTAAGCACCTGATTGCCCTGACCTTGCCCATGAAGCAGCCACTCCTTACTCTTTTAGAGGAAAGAAGGGCACTAGGGCTATTTTTTTTTTTTTTTTTGAGACAAGGTCTTGCTCTGTCACCCAGGCTGGAGTGCAGTGGCGTGATCTCAGCTCACTGCAGCCTCAACTTCCCAGGTTCAAGCAATCCTCCCTCCTCAGCCTCCAGAGTAGCTGGGACTACAGGCATGTGCCACTACACTTGGCTAATTTTCCTACTTTTTGTAGAAATGTGGTCTCACTATGTTGCTCAGACCGATCTTGAACTCCTGGGTTTAAAGGATCCTCCCACCTCCCAAAGTGCCGGGATTGCAGACATAAGCTACTGTGCCCTGCCAGGCACTGGAGCTAATACTCCAGAGCCAAGTATGAACTTTTTCTCCCTCCCCGCAGCGTGAAGGTTACATTAAAGTAAGCAAGTTAATGAGTTAAGCTCACTGGGCAAGTCCCTTGTTCAGGACTTTAATTTGTACCTTAGGCTGAGAAGTGCAAGACAGAAAGAACCCATCCCCCACCCGGAGTCGAGATGGCCACATAGTATATTTCTCCTACCATTCCTTTCAGAGTGAAAGGGGGTGCCTATATCTGATGGGTCCTTGAGACAACAGGCATAAGCTGGCACTGCCCGGGCAAAGCAGGACACGTAGCCAACTTACCCCTCGCCTATCCTGAAGGCAAAGAGTCAAGCTCTTGACTCTGGTGCTTTACACACGCTGACTGTGTTAAATTCATAAAAACACAGAAGTTTGACCAAAATCAAAATTTTTATAATGATCAGAATGTGGGAAGGAGGATATTATAACATGATTAGCTGCTCCATAATTAGTCTAACATTTACATTTTTAGTGTTTTGGCCATGAGATCAAATAGACAGCTAACCTTGAATAACCATGGGAAAATCAAACATTATCACCCTAAAACTAGACCCATGACTGAATTCCCCAAACCATTGTCTCTTCCTGTCATGCCCTGAATTTAGGAAAAACAGGCACTCAAGATGGAAATTGAGTAGCCATCCAAGAGAGCTGCTCCTTCTCCCATGTTACATGGCCAGCCATACCATGTGATTTCCTCCCTTAAACAGATTTTGATTCCTTTCCGTTTGCCATAGGCTTAGTTTAATCCATCAGCTTTTCCTGCTTCTATTGGTTTTCTATAGCCACTGTAACAAATTACCACACACTTGGTGGCTTAAAACTGCCCACTGTTTTATGAAAGCAACAAACAGCATTTCCTGTGTTAGGGTCCCGGAGGCCAGAAATCTGAAATTAGCTTCACTGGGCCAAAACCCAGGTGTCAGCAGGACTGTGCTCCTTCCAGCCTCTGAGGGCTTCTGGCATCCTTTGGCCTGTGGCTGCATCACTCTCATTTCTCCTGCAGTCACATTATCTTCTGCCCTTCCGTGTGTTTCCACCTCCCTCTGCCTCTTTCTTATAAGAACATTTATGATTACATTTAGTTCCTACCTAGATAATCCAGCATAACCCCCATCTTGAGATCCTTAATTTAATCACATCTGCAATGTCTTTGCCATACAAAGTGTTGTGTGTTGTTATTTCATCCCCCTAAAATTCGTATGTTGAAGTCCTAACCCTGGATGCCTCAGAATGTGTCCTTGTTTGGAAACAGGGTCTTTAAGAAGGTAAGCAAGTTCAAATGAGGTCGTTAGAGTGGTTCTAATACAAGGGCCACTCTATGTGCAAATTTCCCCCTTTTATAAGGACTTATATCCCTATAAAAATTTGCACATAGAGACATTCATAGAAGGAAGATGCTGTGAAGAGACATAGGGGGAAGATGGCCACTTAAAAGCTAAGAAGAGAGACCAGGAATAGATCCTTCCTGCTGACACCTTGATGTCAACCTTCAACCTCCAAAGCTGTGAGACAATACATTTCTGCTGTTTAAGCCCCCCAGTGTGTGGCACATTGTTCCAGCCACTCTAGCACGCTAATGTCTAAGGTCATATTTACAGGTTTCAGGGATTTGGCATCTTTGGGGCCATTATCCAACCTCCTACACTGCCTCAGCGTGTCCAACGTCTCCTTCTCACCAGGCTCTACTCTTCCAGTTCCTTCTCCATTCGCACTCCCAATCCTGAGATGCAAATGGGTATGTCCCTCCCTTGCTGCAAACCCTTTACCCTCTGGCTAGAGTTTCACACGTTCGGACCTACTCCTCATACACTGGCTGACAGAGCCTCTGCACCACCTGCTCTTCCATGTCTCTGTCTTTATACTTTCTGTCTCTTCTTCCTTGGAAACTTCTCTTCTGTGCGAGGCCTCATGACTTCTTCAAGAAAGCTCTCCTTGACACTTCACTTACCTCCCAGCAGGGCAGTGGCCTGTGCTTTAGTGTTCTGCTCTTGTCATCTTGAAATCCTTACTACATTTTGAATGGAAGTCTCACATATTTATTTTTTTACCGGGCTGTTATTTATGTAGCCAGTCCTGCCTCTCATCCTGGTAAGTTTCTTCCCTGTCAATGGGTTAACAGAAAGATCTCCCTTCAAAAGTTTCTTCAGAAACCTTCATCCAGGAAGGTTGACAAGAAGGCACTGGTTCAACCTGGGATTTTACAACAGGATTGTTCCAGTAAAAGAAGCTGTGCTTCTGCAGTGTGAATCCATGATCAGAGAACACCCTCATGGGTGATCAGTGACAGAGAATACTGGCACCTAAAGAGAAGGAAGTGGTCAATTAACTGTTGGTCCTAGGGAAGTTTTGAAGACACAACCACATGTGTCTGAACATTGTGGATGTTTAATCTGCCAAGACAACAGGCAAGGGGAAGTTACTGTTGGAGAGAGAAGAGTCCAACAGAGAGATCAGATCTATGTCAAGAGTTAAGGCCTCACTGACAAGTCTTCAAATTTTAGGTCACTTTGTTCATAAGATGCAGTCTGTTTTCCTTGGATGGACCCAGGTGAATAAAAGTTCTGTCTTTATTTTAGCCAGTTTGTACCTCCCATCCAGTGCTATGAAGAAGCCCTTCTGAACTCTCCTACCTGAGAATGTGAACTCCATCTCGGAATCATAGGATGGGAGAACCATCATTGTGCGGATCTTCTCAGGAAGCTCCAGCAACAATCTCTGCTCCCATACAGCTTATATTTTGATGTCCGAGGAAGTCATTTAAAAAGTAAATAAGCATAATATGTACTTGTGGTAATGAACACTGTGGGGGAAAGTAATGCAGGAAGGGCAGATATGCAGTTTGGGGAGAAGGAATTTGGAATTTTAATGGGAGGATCAGGGAAGATCTCGTTGAAAAGATTCCATTTAAGCAAGGACCTTAAGTAGGTCACTATCTGGTCATATCATTATGACCTTTTTATATTTCTGTACCATGATTGAGTTGACATCCCAGGACTTTGAGCACCACAATAAATGTACGTGGGGGAGCAAAGCTCTCCTGTCTCATAGTCAAAGGGAGACAGAAAAATCAACATAAAGACTAAGATGTTTACCATGTATACAGAATTATGGTTGAGAGCTTAAAAAGTTACGAGTTTGGGGTTTTTTAGATCAATATTCTACATGAAGTCCAAATAGGTCTTTTTACAAAAAAACTGTTCCACAAGTAATGATTACTATACTTTTGATCAATTTCCACAGAAATGTGTTAAGAATAATATAACATAATTTGCAGGTTGAAATGGTCATTTTTTTACACTATTAATCTAAGAACAACAAAAAGTTATGGGCTAAAAGATGGTCCCAATGGTAAACCTCTTTTAATGAAGATCTAGCTACATTAAAATTTAGACTTTCTAAAGCATAATCTCTTAGTACAGGACCTTGGGATCTTTAGTTTTCACAGACCATGTAAGATGCTTGGATGGGTGGCCACATTTGACAACTGTAGAGATGTGAGTTCAATGGACATCTCCTCTTTTTGAAAGTTCTTTAGAACTTTTTCTTTAATATACAATTTTTTTTACATGGGGTCAGAATGAGTAAATTGTATCCTGGCAGATTAAGTGTTAATGTCAAACAGGAAAAACAAAACTTTGTCTGCCTGTTCTACCCAATGTGAGTGTGTCTCTCTCTCATCTTGTACCTTAATCATTTAAAACTAGCTTTGCATACTTAGAACAATGGTTTTCAGACCGTGTTCACCAGTTTCTGAATCCACAAAGATTCTTGGGGACACATTGTGGAAGTGAGGGTGGTATCACATAGCAAGGTACCAGGTTCGTACTCTGATTTTAATGATACTCATTTTTATCAATTTTCACAATGAAATTTAAATATATCTAATTTCAATACAAAAGAAGATTCTTGTGAGGAGGATCATCATGGCAGACAAAAGGCAGGACTAGATTGCAGCTCCGGACAGAGCAGCATGCGGAGGCTTGCACTATGAATTTCAGCTCCAGATCGACTGCAAGAACAAACCAGCAATCCTGAGAGGATCCACAGACCCTCTGAAGGAAGTGGACTGCTCTTGCAGGACCCAGGAGACCCCCCAAATACTGTGAGTGCCCCAACTGTGGAAGTGGGAAAGGGAGACCCTCCTTTCCTGAACACACACCCCCAATGGAGAAGCCGAAGTTCTGTTTCCAGGAGACGTTTCCGACTTTACCTGCAGCTGTATCAATTTGGAAAGCCGAGAGAAATACAGGGGTAGAGAAAGCAGCAGAAAGGCCCTGGGAGCTCGCTGGGTCCCCTAGCAGCCCATTCCTGCCTGGCACCACAGGATCCGTCGGGTAAGGAGCAGGGGGTAAAACTCCACAGGGAGAAGGAAATCTCTAGCTGAACTTTGTAATAATTTGGAAGGGTTAAGAAGCCTCCTGGCCAGAACTCGGGGGAGGGCTCAAATCCGGTGTGCAGACTCCACAGCAGGGGAAGAACCAAGCCCTTTTCTTTTGCAGCTGGGAGGTGGGTAGCCGGGGGCAGGTTTTCAAGCCCGTATAGCTCTCTGCCTGGAAACAGACTGGGGGTTGTTGGGAGGGAGGGTGGGGGCAGCACAGTGGGAGTGAGACTGACCCTTCAGTTTGTGTGGGAGTTGGGTAAGGCCTGTGACTGCCAGCTTTCCCCCACTTCCCTGACAACCTGCATGACTCAGCCAAGACAGCCATAATCCTCCTCGGTACACAACTCCAGTGACCTGGGAATCTCATCCCCATGCCCCACAGCAGCTACAGCAAGACCCGCCCAAGGAGAGCCTGAGCTCAGACAAGCCTAGCTCTGCCCCCACCTGATGGTCCTTCCCTACCCACTCTGGTAGCAGAAGACAAAGGGCATATAATCTTGGGTGCTCTAGGGCCCCACCCACTGCCAGTTCCTACCCATACTACCACAGCTGATGCTCTCTGGAAAGTGCCACCTCCTGGCAGGAGGCCAACCAGCACAAAAATAGATCATTAAACCACCAAAGCTAAGAACACTCATGGAGTCCATTGCATCCCCCTCTCCCCTGCCACCTCCACCAGAACAGGCACTGGTATCCATGGCTGAGAGACCCATAGGTGGTTCACATCACAAGACTCTGTGCAGCCAACTCCCAGTACCAGCACAGAGCCAGGTAGACTCACTGGGTGGCTAGACCCAGAAAACAGACAACAATCACTGCAATTCAGCTCACAGAAAGCCACATCCCTAGGAAAAGGGGGGGAGTACTACATCAAAGGAACACCCCGTAGGATAAAAGAATCTAAAAACAGCCTTTAGCCCTAGACCTCTGCTCTGACAGAGCCTATCCAAATGAGAAGGAACCAGAAAACCAACCCTGGTAATATGACAAAACAAGGTTCTAAAATACCCCTAAAAAAGCACACTTGTTCACCAGCAATGGATCCAAACCAAGAAGAAATCCCTGATTTACCTGAAAAAGAATTCAGGAGGTTAGTTATTAAGCTAACCAAGGAGGGACCAGAGAAAGACAAAGCCCAATGCAAGGAAATCAAAAAAATGATACAAGAAGTGAAGGGAGAAATATTCAAGGAAATAGATAGCTTAAAGAAAAAACAATCAAAAATTCAGGAAACTTTGGACACAATTTTAGAAATGTGAAATGCTCTGGAAAGTCTCAGGAACAGAATTGAACAAGTAGAAGCAAGAAATTCAGAGCTCAAAGACAAGGTATTTGAATTAACCCAATCCAACAAAGACAAAGAAAAAAGAATAAGAAAATATGAACAAAGCCTCCAAGAAGTGTTGGATTATGTTAAATGACCAAACCTAAGAATAACTGGTGTTCCTGAGAAAGAAGAGATTCTAAAAGCTTGGAAAATATATTTGGGGGGAAAATCGAGGAAAAATATCTTGGCATTGCTAGAGATCTAGCCATCTAAATACAAAAAGCACAAAGAACACCCAGGAAATTCATCGCAAAAAGATCTTCACCTAGGCACATTGTCTTCAGGTTATCCAAAGTTAAGATGAAGGAAAGAATCTTAAGAGCGGTGAGACAGAAGTACCAGGTAACCTATAAGGAAAACCTATCAGATTAACAGCAGATTTCTCAGCAGAAACCCTACAAGCTAGAAGGTACTGGGGCCCTATCTTCAGCCTCCTCAAACAAAACAATTATTAGCCAAGAATTTTGTATCCACCTAAACTAAGCATCATATATGAAGGAAAGTCTTTTTGAGCCAAACAAATACTGAGAGAATTCACTATTACCAAGCACTACAAGAACTGCTAAAAGGAGCTCTAAATCTTGAAACAAATCCTGGAAACACATCAAAACAGAACCTCTTTGAAGCATAAATCACACAGGACCTATGAAACAAAAATACAAGTTAAAAAGCAAAAAAAAAAAAACAAACAAAAAACAAAGTACACAGGCAAAAAAGAGCACAATGAATGCAACAGTACCTCACATTTTTATACAAACATTGAATATAGATGGCCCAAATGCTCCATTTAAAAGATACAGATCTGCAGAATGGATAAGAACTCACCAACCATCTGCTGCATTCGGGAGTCTCACCTAACACATAAGGACTCACATAAACTTAAAGTAAAGGGGTGGAAAAAGACATTTCATGCGAATGGACACCAAAAGCAAGCAGAGGTAGCTATTCTTATATCAGACAAAACAAACTTTAAAGCCACAACAGTTAAAAGAGAGAAAGAGGGACATTATATATAATGGTAAAAGGCTGTGTCCAACAGGAAAATATCACAGTCCTAAACATATATGCACCTAACACTGAAGCTCCCAAATTTATAAAACAATTACTAATAGACCTAAGAAATGAGATACACAGCAGCACAATAATAGTGGGGGATTTCAAGACTCCACTGATAGCACTAGACAGGTCAGCAAGACAAAAAGTCAACAAAGAAACAATGGATTTAAAGTATACCTTGGAACAAATGGACTTAACAGATATATACAGAACATTTTATCCAACAACCCACAGAGTACACATTCTATTCAACAGCACATGGAATTTTCTCCAAGATAGACCATATGATAGGCCATAAAACAAGCCTCAATAAATTTAAGAAAGTTGAAATTATATCAAGCACTCTCTCAGACCACAGTGGAATGAAACAGAATCAACTCCAAAAGGAACCTTCAAAACCATGCAAATACATGGAAATTAAATAACCTGCTCCCAAATGAGCATTGGGTCAAAAACGAAATCAAGATGGAAATTTAAAAATACTTTGAACTGAACGGCAATAATGACACAACCTATCAAAACCTCTGGGGTACAGCAAAGGCAGTGCTAAGAGGAAAGTTCATAGCCCTAAACGCCTACATCTAAAAGTCTGAAAGAGCACAAACAGACAATCTAAGGTCACACCTCAAGGAACTAGAGAAACAAGAACAAACCAAACCCAAACCCAGCAGTAGAAAGGAAATAACCAAGATCAGAGCAGAACTAAATGAAATTTAAACAAACAAACAAAAAATGCAAAAGATAAATGAAACAAAACCTGTTTCTTTGAAAAGAAATATAAAATTGATAGACCATTGGCAAGATTAACCAAGAAACAAAGAAAGAAAATCCAAATAACCTCATTAAGAAACAAAACAGGAAATATTACAACTGACATCACTGAAATACAAAAGATTGTTCAAGGCTACTATGAACACCTTTATCCACATAAACTAGAAAACCTACAAGAGATAGATAAATTCCTGGAAAAATACAGCCCTCCTAGCTTAAATCAGGAAGAATTAGATACCCTGAACATACCAATAACAAGCAGCGAGACTGAAATGCTAATTTAAAAATTACCAACAAAAAGAAGTCCAGGACCGTCTATTTCCAAAACAGTTTCATCATCTCAAAATGTCCATTGAGCAGTCATTCCCCTTCCCCTACTCACCCTCCAGCAATCACTGATTAGAAACCATGAATCTACTTTCTGTATTTATGAATTTACCTATATTAGATGTTTCATATAAATGGAATCACACAATATGTGACCTTTTTTTCACCCAGCCTAATGTTTTCAAGGTTCACCCATGTTTTAGCGTCAGAACCTCATTATTTTTTATGACAAATAATTCTGCATTGTATGGATAGACCACATTTTGCTTATCCATTCATTTGTTAATGGACATTTGGATTGTTTCTACCTTTTGGCTGTTATGAATAGTGCTGCTGTGAAAATTCAAGTACAAATTTTTATTAAAATACCAATTTTCAGTTCTTTGGTGTCTGAGTTGAATTGCTGACTCATATGGTAATTCTGTGTTTAACTTTCTGAACTAGACGACCACCCCATTCTCCACAGGGGCTAAACAATTTTACACTCCTGCCAGCAACGTACAAGTGTTACAATTTTTTTAAAATCCTGGCCAACATTCGTTCATTTTCTGATTTTTTGATTATAGCCATCCTAATAAGTGTGAAGTAGTATATCACTGTAGCTTTGATTTACATGTCTCCAGTGACTAATGATGATGATCCTTTTATATGCTTATTATTGGTCATTTGTATATCTTATTTGGAGAAATAGCTATTCAAACCTTTTGCCAATTTTTAATTGGGTTGTTTGACTTTATACTGTTGACCGGTAAGAATTCTTTGTATATTCTGGATGTTAAACCCTTAGACTTTACTTAACTGCTACTTAATTCATTGTTCACTTTATAAGATTTTATGAGAAAAATTTACATAGCTCCATTGGAAAATTGTCTCTTCTTTCGACATAAACCTTATAAATGACCCTACTCCTCTTTTGGTGTTTGCCACCAAGAAGCTCAGAACAGAGTCAACCAATCAATTTAGTAATCATGTAAGAATTTTCAGCACTCTTTTCTATCTGCTTTCTACTTCTAGCCTTTCTCGTATCTTTATTCCTTTGTTTTTTTCTTTGCCTTCATTCATTTTTTAAATAATATGTACATATTCTTCTGAGACTTCTCAATTTTAATTCCTTTGTAGAAGACACAGTGAATAAATAAGTCATAAGACCCTTAGCCTGCTTCCTGGTAACAAGAGAAACACTGTAAGTGATAAATGGCATTTTGACCTTAAGCAACATGTTCTTTCTGTCACCTTGCCCTTTTTTGCATATTTTTTCTTCTTTTGGGCAACTGCCCACCCACCATCCCTCTCTAATTCTCACACTCACCGCCTCATGCTTTCAATTCCACCCAGTTATTCACAGCCCCCACACTGCACCTCCTCCCCAAACACACTCCATGTTTTAGCCCCTATTGGTAACTTCTGTAAAATGCATCTTTCTTTCCTAAATTCCATGCATGTTAGACCCAGTCTCATAATTAATGTAATGATTCATGGATTTGAAATATATGCTTGTTGTCAATGTTGATGCGTCTTATCCCACATAGAAAACATTTACATTTAACAGGTATTTTCAAGGTTCTGGTAAGAGGAGGTGGAGGAAGAGAAAGAGGAAGAAGGGAAGGAGGGGAAGGAGGAGGAAGGGAAAGAATTAGGAAGCACCAAACACCGTGGTATAGACAGTGAGGAAGACGTTTTAAAGAAAGAACAGTTGTGACTATCCCTAAACATCTCAAAGTGTGCCAATACACAGCCTTCCACTCCTTCATAAACACGTGGACCTAACTGGAATATCTGTATGCAGTGAAGAAAAGAATTTCTCAAGCTTCTTAACAACATCTGTGGTATTTGAGGGCACCCCAGCAATCCATTTGGTAACTGATAGGTGTTAGGAACTTTATTTCAAAGCAATTCCACATATAGTTAATAATTATTCTTCTCAGAACCATTGTTTGTACAAAGCTCCCATAAAAAGGGCTTTAGAACTTAATTAGCATCATTATTGCTGAGAAATTAGTAAAATTTATATTTTTATTGACCATCAGAACAATTAAGATCAAGAAGGCTACAGCCGACTACTTATGAAGATTAATACGACCATAAACAGATTTGCAGTTGTGTCAAAAAGTGGAACTTGAGTTTCTAATCTATAATTTCCCCTCTTCTTCCTTCCACTATCTTTACTGGTACAGAACACGCTAGCCCACATCCTTCCTTTGTGTAGAGGAGAGCACTCGCTCTATCCCCTTTTGGGTGTGGAGAAATCATGGGCTATTCTGAGCCTTGAGTCTAGCATCCAAGCTCACCAGAGCTAGAAAAGAAAACTCCTCCTGCCACTTGACATTCACCACATGCTAAAGGGGGAAATATACTGGAACACCAAAAGCATATGGCAGCTACTGTGCCTGCAGCAGTTCTACCCAACTATTGAAATCAACTCTACTATATCATACAGTGGACTCATGGCTATAGTATCAGAAATTTTAGGCTCGGCAGCAAACCCCAATTCAAGTTCTGCTGGTTTTAGGCATCTTACTCTTATGAATCTGACCCAGAATAACCTCTCCCTTTTCTGAACACTTCATGTACTTATTATATTGTGACTTTGCAAATATGCCTCTTTTTAAAAGTTGTGTTTCATTTCTCCTAATAGTTTATGAGTACTATATCATCTAGCTAGCTTTACCTCACCCCTCTTTGGCCAATGTATCTGTGTACTCTTATTGAATACAAGCTTAGTCATGATTGATTGGTTATGCATCTGTGTGTCTGTATCAGTGTGTAAGGTAAGATGGTACGTATTTGAACCATTAGAATGTGTTGATATATGAAACTGCATATGCCAACAGCCTTAAACAACCTGAGCTATCATCTAATGATGAACTCAAAGATTTAATTAATCACAAACTGCAGAATGCCTCTGTCAGCTATTCATATTTTGGCAGTTTGGGACTTTACATGTACTTCAAATGCAAAACACAAAAGAGTCCTCTTATGCAACTCAAAAGCCATGCTTTTATGTAATTTGTGGCTAACCAACCATATATTTTTGTATCAAAGCTATGGTGCCTTCTGTTTTGGTGCAATTTAAAACCTGCCTTTTGGGGAAAGGGGTCTGGCCCTTTAAGAATTAGAATTAGGTATGGATATAAAACTTGATTTCTGTGTACTGTAGCAAAGGAAACTGCATGTTAAAGTTCAAACTTCCATTCCAAAAGGCCAGGAGCTGACGGAACTCAATCATACAAAAGAAATGTTCTCAAGGTAGACAATGGACACATTAGCATTAGTTGTACACATAGCATAGAGTTCGTAGTCACTGAATCATCTCATTTGAGTAATGAGGATTTAGAGACAATCTTTTCTGATACTCTCATTGTACAAATGACTAAATTTATCCGGGCCTTCTCCCTACGCACATGCCTTCCCCTCCAGCAAAAGTACACCTAAGGATGTGGCCCAGGACCCTGGCCCTGGCCTCCAGGATGGGAGAGTCCCCTCACCTTACCTAAAGTCCCTGTCTCCTTCATACTGTTGCTTTATTACCTCTCTTCGTCCCCTCCAGGAGGGCACTCCCAAGTCTAATAGACTTGTTTTCATGCTTAGTTCCACTTTGTGTGCCATGCTTGACACAGCAATTGATTTGAAGACACGCTTGCTAACTCATCTGGCCCTCAGTCGTGATTTGCCATGGAAACCAAATCTCAACAATGTCCCTCTCTCTAGTTCCAGACCTGCACTCTCCTACATTGCATCCACCAACCACAGGGGGCTACTGAACCCTTGAAATGTGACTGGACCAAATTGAGAAGTGCTCTAATTGCAAAATACTTCAAAGACTTGGCGTGAAGAAACTTTAAAGTAGCTCAATAACTTTTATATTGATGCCACTTTAAATAATATTTTGAACGCATGGGATAATTCAAATTTACTTTGCCTGTTCCTTTTTGCTTTTTAAGTGTGAGTACTATAAAATTTTAAATAACCCATTTATGATCCACATAATTTTTCTCTTGGACAGCATTGTTCAAGAATCTAAACAGTGTTTCTCAGAGTCTGTTCAATGTAGCACCTACATCAGAAACACCAGAGGTGCTTGTTACTAATTTAAACAACTGGGCCCCATCTCAGCCTTACTAAAACACATCTGGAGGGATGAGGCCCTGGAATCTGCATTTTAACTGGCTCCAAAAACAAGCCTCAGATATTATTTCTTTTCCTCTCTGTTTATCACAATGGAAGCAGAATGATGAGTGAGTGCAGAAATGGAACATTAATAAAACAAAACAGCCTATATCTCTTTAAGTCTACCGATCTAGTGACTCAGTACACAAGATAACCTACAAAGGAGTTTGATGCTAAAATATATCAAAGTTCCAAAGCAGGAGAGCTAAATTCATATACTCTGACATGCTTCCAACTCTAAGCATGGAGGCAACACATATGGGCAGGTGACAAGCAGTATGGGCCAGTGACAATGGTTCAGGCTTCTGAGTCAGACAGATCTGGTGTCAAGGCTCTGCCCTTTCACTCAAGAGCTATTTACCCTGGGTATGTCACTGTCACCTCTGAATGCCCATGCTCTCATTAGCAAAGCAAAGAAAATAATGCCTACCTCAGAATGTGTTGTAAGGCTTAAATCAAATGATGTAAATAAAATACTCGCTACATACAATAGTCACAGGTTTTATTATCATTAAAATATTTGCAAGCTGAATTTCTTTTCTTAGTCTTAGAGCTAGAAATGTGATTAAATACAATTAGAATAAACAATATCACATAACTCTTCATGTATATGATGAAGCTTCAGATAATACCTAGACATTTACATTTTTAAAATATTGCCCTAAATTGTACATCATTTCTTTTAAAGTTAGCAATTAGAAACTATTTTCTGTGCCTCATTGTTTGAATACAATTCCTGAATTGAAAGGCATAACTAAATGACTCTTGTATTAGATTCCATTTTATTTATCCTCAGTTATGTGAAGTCTCACAGTTCAAGCCACAGAGACATTTCCATGCTCACTCTTCATCTGGAATCAATTACCAGAATTTTAGGTAAGTCCCTGGATAAAATAGACTCTGAAAATTTAACCTTCAAATTAAAAACAGCAACAAATATTACAGTACATTTGAAGGAACACAAATCTGCTCGTACATTAAAAAAATATACAATAGCATCCAAAATCCAAATTGAATCTCAGTTCCCCTGGATCTCAACTGAGGTATAATATCCACAAATGTTACATCTTCCCTCTTCAATCTGTATCAGCATTGTGATGGAGGTGTCAGACTGTCAGGCTGAGCAAAGTGGCAAGAGTCACGAGAATGTTAAGCACAGGCCAAAGGTGAGGAGAAAGCAGATGCTCACTGATGTACGTCAATGAGGAGTGTGGCCCAGAAAAACCTGAAGTCAAGCAGGCCATGTGAGACTGTGAGAGGAGGGGCTACGGTGATGGGAAGATGGGGAGGAGTGGGGTCAGGTTGACAGTTTTGAGTCTAAACTGTCAACCATTTTTATTGGTCTTTCAAAAATACTGTGGATTTTCAATCTGTTGACCAAAAAATTGATTAATTGCATATGTTTTGTATATCTCTCTCTCCTTCCTTTCATTTCCATTTTCCAGTGATCAAGTTGCCCAAAGCAGAGATCCTCCTGGTTCACTCATGCATTCATTCCTTGAATAAATATTTATTTTGTTTATCTCTACTAGTTTTCAGGCATTTTGACAGATCCAGGGGATATCAAAATTAATAAAACATGGTCCCCGTAGGAGATAATCATTTAAATACATACAGTAGAGATATGTGCAAGAGCTTACAGAAGCAGGGAAGAGGAGGTCTCTAACTGTGAAAGAAGACCAGGCAAGTGACGATGACATTTGAATTGAGTGCAGAGGAGTTCACAAGACAGGCAAAATGGGGCAAGCTTTTCCAGATGTACAATGCAGCAAAGCTGACAACATTGACGTAGGGTCAGAGTATATACAGAAAACAACAAAGAGTTCCATGTGACATCAGGATGCACATGGTGAAAGGAAAGAGGGGCATTGGGAAGGGAGACACAAGAAAGATTCTTCCATAGGCATCCACACATATCATGCTAAGGTGAGGGGCTTCATCCTACACCACTGAAAGAGTATAATCTGGGAACAATATAACGAAATTTGCAATTGAAAAGAATCACACTGGTGGCAAGGTGACAATGAATTAGAGAGGAATTAAAGCTGTAGAAAAAGAGATAGACTGGTTAGAGGTTGTCAGAGTAATTCAGAAATGAGTAGATAGCACCCTAAACTGTACTGGCAGGAGGGTTGTGAAGGAGGAGAAAAAAATGAAAAGATGCTTAAGAGGTAGTTTTGACACAGGGTAGGTTACTACTGTCTCCATCTATTTCCCCTACTAAAATGACCAGCAGTGGAGGAATTGTTAAATGACTTGATCTTCCCATATGTAGAATACTCTGTAACAGTGAAGCATGGAGGCCGAGGTGCATGTTCTGAAGAGAAAAAGTTCGTAAGACTTATGGCAGCTCCCATTATGTTCTATCAAATGCAATGTATCAATGGCTGGGAGGGCCTGGAGGAACCCACACTGTTAACTACCATATCTTCACCTTGCAGGTAGTGAGCTTAGGACAGAATGGAAGGTGAAGGAGAAGGGCTCTTTATGAGCTTTTATACTGATTAAATGCTTAAATATAGCCTTATCTGATCTATAATTTAAGAGACAATAAAAAAGGAAAGTGGGGTGAAATCAAGTGACTCCTAAGAACAATAATGACTGAATTTCAAGAAAAACAAACTAAGTTATTTGAAAAGAAGATACATTTATTAAAACTTTGAGGATAGTTAACAATTTCTTGTAATCAGAGAAATATATAAGTGTTTAACATACTTACTCTAGAAATCTAGAAGTCCCAGGAATTATATTTTAAATGTTGATTCCTTATGAATCACATTTGAAACACAGTTTTAATATTATATTATTTGTTAACAAACTGGGATTCAAACCACTTTGCCTTTGGTAACATTTTGCACCTGGACTATTGCCATAATAAATTAATGGCAGCACAAGAAATCGGGTAGATGAAAGGCGCATATTCACTCTTTTCCCAATGTACTAGAAAGTCCCACTTTTCCCACTTAATGGAATGCTTCTTCTGAAGTCCTTTGGAGCAATGAGCCTTTATCCTCCCCCCTACATCACTCAAACAAGAGGACTCAGGAGGACAGTGACACAGTGTGACTTCTCTCTAACACCTTGTGTATGTCTCAGGAGTTCAAACACAGGCTGAGTTATCACCGCGAGACCCCTGTGTGCATGCAGGTGAAAGGAACACAGGGAAGGTGGTTTGGTTCCATCCTTGTTCTTTCACATGTCATGTCTTTACTTGGCTGACCGTAACTAGGCTGATATATATGGGTGAAAATTTTCAGAACTCATTATCATTGGGTCCAAAAATAGATGAAGATTGTTTCTAAAATGAATGACAGAACAGCCCAGACTAACAGTCTTTTCCCAAAAGATGGCAATAAGTGGTCAGAAAAAGCCCTTGAGAAAATTTAGGAATCATAGGAAATCCACAGAAGCCTGGTTTGGCCAGCTGGGTGCATGGTGGTGCCCACCAACTGTGTAAGGTCAGCTATGGGAGGGGCAGGTCTGGGAGCAACATAGGCCTGAGGGGCTTGAAGAGCATTCACAGGAAGATGGCAAGTTGGATTCAGGACTGGAGTTTGAGAAAGATCTGGGAAGAATATATAAATTGGTGAGTCATTAGCTAATGGTTGCAGAAAAGAAAATAAATTAAATCCATCATACGTATTTGCTTAGAAAAAGCAAGTGAGAAGAAAAAAGTGGATCGTTTTTTTTCTTTCTAATCCTCAAAAGTAGCACATCAATTCCACTTAGATGCTATTGAATGATAACCAAGAGTAAAACTACTTTTTTCCTTTTCTAACTTTTTACCAAGGAGGGTTTTGAAAGAATTCTTCAAAACAATCTAGTGTGTGTTACAATCTCGGGGTGATACGTTCTTAGAGAGTAAATATTTATCAAAATCATGCTTGAAAAGGCATACTCATTATAGGAAAATGTGTAAGAATAGCTAATAAATTTAGTTTTAAAGTATCTACTCCAGCAGAAACATGTAACAATAGCACACTATTCAGAGGCATAAAGATATTTATAAGTATCTTTAAACACTTAATTCCCATTAAATGGTTCATATAACTATGGTTCTGCTATACTCTAAAAACTAATAATATAGCACAAATACCTCGATCACATAAAGATATAGATTTGTGTGATCTACTCAAAGGTATAGTTTGAGCTACAAGAAGAAGCCTGCAATCACAGCTATACCCTCCCCTGCCCTACTTTAGCCAGCATCAAACTTCTAGAATTTTAAATGCAACCAGCGAAGTTTCTCCTCCAGTACAAGCACTATTTTGCACAAGACATATTCTTAAAATTTATCTAAAATGAAATAAAATACAAGTTTAAAAATCTTTAAAATCTCTTAAAATAAGAGTTCTCGAGATTATGAGATGAGAAGTGAGAACGTTGTTAGCTATTTCTCTGTGCAATGCAATATGAAACATTTCCTGGGAAATGCTGTCATGTTTGGGAGTTGTTCTAAAAACAAACAATAGGAAAGGCTAGGGTAGACCTTCCCTCCATGAAGGGATCAAGCACAATGCATTACTAATTTAGTCCAGCAGAGCTAGTAGAAATAGTTCCTGGAGGCTTCCCCTCACTATCACCTGACCACAAGTGCCATGCTGACTAGCCAGGGACACAGGATGCAAGCTCCAGGAGGTGCACCAGTTGTGAGGTTTTGGAAAAGATCTCATGCTGTAGTGCACTAACTGGAGTCCAAAAAGGAGCTAATTTCACAGGGCTTAAAATCACACTAAAAATAATTCCTTGGGACTTCTCTATCTTGACAGCTTGGAATTACTACAAAATATCTGGTATGGCACAACACATTTTCCCAAATAACAGTAAACATGGACATATTTTATTAACTAATGACAGACTCTAATATGTTTAAGCAGCCAACTACAGTCTTCCATTTTCTTCACATAAAAAAGAAGAAATGGAATTTTCCATAGGAATTTCTTTCTTTTCATGGACAAAAACTTCAAAAATGTATAATAACCTTTTCACTGGTTTGAAGGTTCTTGGCAGGTCCCAGTTAGAGAGACAAAATGTAAACAGGGCTAGTCCAAAGACAGTTAAGTAAGGAGAGGCTATGTGTGTTTGTGTGTGTGAGAGAGGGAGATAATGTCAGTGTGTTTGTGTGTGTGCACGTGCACGCTTTTGGGCATGACTGCCCGCACATTCTTGCACTGGGGTGATGTGAGAGGGACAAAGTCAAAGGAAAGGAAAAGGTGTAGGGGACAGCATAGGCACAGGATGCAGTCATTTTCTCCAACACTCCCACGTGGAGAAGGCAGAGCACGTCCTTGAATCTGAAGACAGATTGTTGTGTGAGTCCCTTGTCACTCAAAGCTATACTGGTGAATGATCGCAGGAGCCTAGACTTGATATTAAAAGACCTGCCTTCTGGTCTCAATGTCGCTGAGGTTCAATACCCCCATTTATAAATCAAGGGCATAACCATCTACTTCCTATGACCAAATTCAGGCTTGCAAATGTTTGGTAAAGTGCTGTCCAACAATGAAGAGTCCTTACCATATCTTCTCAGGCACAAGTAGAAACTGAGTCTTGGGTATAGGGACCAGGGGAGGACACACTCACAAAGTGCTTATGCAACACTACATTGCACAGGGGTGCACCTGCTCTGGCCTTAAAACAAATGTGAAGGAAATAGAGTTTTACATGGAATCTACATTTAACTCTTCATCCTTAATAAAAAACAAGCCAGAGAGGGACAGAGAGAATACAGCGTACATGAATTCTGAGAAATCATAATGGTTCGGCCATGCATGCCTGTGGTTGACAGACATCCCAACATACATCACAAAAATGTCCAGTGACTGGACCATGCAGCACCATGTAGTCTGATGACGCTCCTGCTCCGAACACATCAGGCAATAGGGTTTCAGTTTCCACCATATGCAGTCTCAAGTCAGGTACCAAACTGAAGCAGCACAAGACATAAAACTATTTGAATACAGAAGGCACCTAATTTTTCTTGGAGCTGTGGGAGGACCAGATTGACCCAGGAGACTTCCTGAATATTGAGCAAGGCATAGTCATAGCTTGGGTACTAGATTTTAAGATGTGACTTTCCTCTGAGGTTATATTTAAGAATTTCTTAGAGAAAAACAAAATCACCAACAGGAAACTATCTTATCGTTGAGAACACTTACAGTGACAAAGAAGCTCCCCGCGAGTTGAATTTAGGATTAAAAAAGGAACTAAGCACCAAAACTGGAAAAAAAAAAAAAAAAAAAAAAAAAACAATCGAAGACAGAGCTGGTTTCAGGGCAATGTGGCCAAGGCTGACATACTGTTACCAGGCCCCAATTCCACTCATTCCACTCCATGTATCTCTCATCCATAAAGCTTCATTTTCAGCAAGCTCTCCCTTCAAGGGAACGAGTTCACAAAGCACCTTCACTCCTTACATTTTTTCCCTTTCAAATCCAATGAAAAAGAGCAAGAGTCTCTTACCCGGAAGAATTAGCCAAAATCTCCTGCTTTGAGTCTGAGTCACTTGCTCATCTATGAACCAATCACTGATTGTCCCTAGACAATTTGAGAGTAGGACTTACAGACCCAGGGTCCTTAAAGCTACTGGAAGAAGCCTCCAATTAATCTAGTGTAGACAAACACGGTGCTTTACAAACCTGAGTGAGTTGGAACTACAGTAGTCACCTACTTTCTCTACTCCTAAACTTTAGGGCTCACTATCACTGAGGTACAATTATCCTTGTATTTTATGATATTGGAATTTCTCTTACAGATACAATATGGTTAAAGGAAGTCAATATGAGGGGCCTCACAAAATAGATGTAAATATTTTATTTATTTGCCTAGAAACATATATCTCAGGCTCATGTTTTGTATTTCTCTAAACATCTAAATATCTTCCCATTAAATCAGCATTAAAAGTCAACAAAATGATTAAATCTTCATCAGTTCATTGAAACAAATTTCAAAGTTTAATCTCCCATTTCAAACTAAGTCTCTAGTGGTTTATTTGTAAACATTGATTAAATGCACAACCTGCAAGGAAGAAATAAATTGGCTGGTATACACACAGTTGAGAGTCAGAATGGAGGAAACATTTACAAAGCAAAGAATTACTTAAACTACTGCCTATTTCCCTAAATATTCACGTAATTGGTAATTGATGGATTATATATATGTCTTACCTTATGCCATACAGTATTCTTAAGGTAGTCAATTGTTACCTTTTAAAATTCCTATATTTTCTATGTCTATCTGAACTAATTATTTTCTAGCTGAATTATATAGTAAGACCCAGTTTACACAATAAATTAGAAAACAGAAGGGACTGTTTCAGATTCCACAAAACTTTAGCCTTAGCCCTATTTTTATTCTTCAAACTCTTCTTCAGTTACCATTCTATATAAGCGAATCATAAATCTCTATTTAAGTTCAGCCTTATTTTATTTCTAACTAAATTCTAGATTCTTCCACCTGGATATTTTACTTAACTCTGACACATAAAGTACACGTACAAACTTAACTCATCATATTTTATGCAGGTAAGTCTGTCTCTTGATGTCATGATCTCTAACATTGGGCCTTCCTACTGCCAGGCAACTGGGCTCCATCCATCTTTCACTCTTCCTACATTGCCAGGTCCAAAGAAAATGCTTCTATAATGCCTTCCCAATGTTTTCTCTGGCAATTCTTAGAAAGATAAAATGTGGACTGCAAGATGTCATTTTTATTATGTGAGACATAAATATTTGGCAACACTACATAAGCTGGAGAATTTGTAGCTATCTTGTTATATATTGGATATTTCTCCCTCAACTGTAGTTTTATAGGAAGAGAAATATAAATTTAGTAACGTATTTGACTATCTAGATCTTTAAAATAGTCTAGAAAATTAAGGCGTTCCTGGACATTCATTTCTTTATCAGAAAGACTTTATTTTATTTTAAAGTCATAATTGTACCTTATGGACACATCTTTCAATGGTAATATTTGTTAATTTTTATTTTGTTTTGTTTTTATGCTAATTATGCTAACAAGTTTTTTATTAAATATAGATAACATATTTAATAATATCTTATAAAATATCTTATTCAATATCCTATTGCCAAAGAGGATGAGAATTTGCAACATGGCTTTCTTGATATTCATCTTAAAATTAATGAAAAATTACTTTCAAAAATGCCTTTGAGGTTTGATGATTTGAGAAAATTATCAAAATATCAAGTATCTTCTAGTTGAACATGAATATTTTACTAAAGTTTCTGAGGGCAAGTTTTTGCAAATCTTAAGTAATGGAGCACAATTATAATTCCCTTGTAATTTAACCTGATTAGATTCTGAAGTGTAAATGCATGAGAGCAAAATTAATATGGTTTTCTTTTAATGTGAAGAAATACCTAAGGTATATGAAATAGGTGGGGGACAAACAGGAACCACATGGCTGGCATGAGCTCCCTGTCACCTGTTGTTTCCTCATTTGTTCTGGTTAATAAGAGCTCATTCAGCACCTAACACCTTCCAGGAATTGGGTTGTACATGATGAAAATTGGGTGAGGAGGTTGAGACTCTTCACACAACTCAGATACGTCCCCTCATTTTCGTCATCATTCACCAGCATGCCATAATGATACAGATCTTCTTTTTCCTGTTCCATCAGAAGGAGTAATCGTTTCAAGCATAGATATGGCAGGAGAGAAAATACATATATAGCACGGCAGATGATGAAAAATGCTATAGAGAACAACAAAACAGGATGAGGAAATGCTAAAGAAGAGAGGGTGAGGCTTACTCGTTTATATAGAGTGGGTAGAAAAAAACCTTGCTAATAAGATGACACGTGAGCAGGGATTTGAAGGAAGTGAGCATGTGGATACCTAGGGAAAGATGACCTAAGCAAGTGCAAAGCCCCTGAGGTAGGAGAGGCTTGAAATGACTGAGCACCAACCACGGAGGCCACTGTAATTGGGGAAGGAGAGAGGAGGCAGTGAGAGCTGATGAGGGCAGTCAGCCAGGTGCTGAATGAAAAATGACGTGTGATTTGATTGGGTGTCCAAGTTGCGCGTGCGTGTGTGTGTGTGTGTGTGTGTGTGCGTGCTTGTGTGTGCATATTGATAGATCTATATCTATGTCATATACACACACATTTTAGTAACTTATTTGAAACCCTAAGTTTTTATTTTTACTTATCCCTCACAATCACAGAGTCAACCACAGAAATAGAGTTTACACATATGTGTGTAAAATATTATTTTTTCTGTACTTGCTTAAATACTTAATATAAATTATATTATATTTTAAACTTTATATCACAATTAAACTTCATATTTAAAAAATATTAACATCTACATAAAATTTACGTATTTAAAATTTTAATTACACATTTATAGCACATTATATAGATATATTATTATATACTATAATATAACTATATGTAATACTTAATTAAAATTATGTATAATTTTAATATAGACAGTTTAAAATGCATGTAATGTATATTATGATAGGAACTATTAAGCTTAATCTACAATATTTTAAAAGATATAAACTATATTAAGGCTATTTAAACAGGTACAGAATAAAATGAATAGCATCAAGTTAACAGCACAAAGTAAACAAGCACTAAGAATTTGCACTCTGACTACATTTTATATCTTTTACTTCCGTGGTCCTAGAAAGAACAACTTGACATCACACAATATTCCCCATACACTTACACATGGCTTACCCTAAAGTTTCAAAACTTCAGAACAGATGGGGAAAGTTCTCTCTGCTTGGCTATTTGTGAGTTTTCATTCTGCAGAGCATACAATATACAAGTGAGGGAAGCAATATTTTGCTCTGTTCATGAAATCTGACAAACCAGGATGTAAGTACAGAGACAGTGTTATCTCTTCTCAAGCAGGATTGATACGTTTATCTATTTGCTAGATACCTATGAAGAAAAACCAATTCAAAAGATACTTAGAGTGGAAGAGTAAAAATAATTAATGAATTATATCGTTTTGGTTAGTACATACTTTGGATTTTCAATTTGTGTCATAAAATCTTGTCTTAATTTGGTTACCATTTGCATATATCATTCAAAGCATATTTTAAAGATGACATCTATATATAGTAAATTCAGTTAATTCATTTCTGAAGAATCAAAATCACTGGGAATAAAGTGAATTCAGTTTTGCCTTTTAATACTTTTAATATTTCTGGACTACCAATGACAGTTTTGAAGCTTGATGTTCTTAAGTCTCACATTTTGACAAATGGGTGAGCTGTAAACAGACTAGAAGGGAGCCAGAAACTCTGGAACTTTTACCCATGGTAGTAGCAAAAGTCTTGTAAAACACACCTAAGCAGGAAAGAAGAGAGGAGGAAAGTATGCCTCTTAGTAAATGCCAAACTTTAGTGTGTAGACAAATCTTTAAAAATTAGTAAAATTGATGTAGTCAAGCACAACAGTCAATTGGGAATATCCAACAGTGCAGGGGAATGAGTTATTTTGGTTTCACATTTTGGCATATCCCTCAGAGAACAGATTAATCAAACCTTCTATTTGTTATGAAAGCAAATAAACTATTTGATTATTTACTTTTAGTATACTTGGGATAATTTTACATAAACTATCATAAACCCTGCTCTCACACATTTTTAAAAGTTAGGGGGAAATATGACATCACCAAATAAGACTTCCATCCTGCAAAAATCATCTCCATAATGGTAAACATATATGCTTATAAAATTGTTATGAAATCCACCTGTAAAACATGGTTGATGATCCCTCTGGGGACAAAGAACAGAATTGGTCACAGATTAATGGCACATTGGCCTTTAGACAAATTGCTTCGCAGTCACATTTCACTTTGGAATCAGGATCCTTATAGTAGACCTATGCCATTATTCTCTTTGCCAATAAAAATATGTTTTTCTCCTCATTTGCAGTAGTTATGTGAGTACTGGGTAGGTTCTAGGTAATTTCTAAATGTAAAACTCCATTTAAGGAATACAGTACAAAGCCTACATGATGTCAATACACTTGGCTGAACTGTTACCTGTTCCACCTGTTCAAAGGCACTTAAAATGGGTCCAAATGTCTCTATTAAGAGCACTCTCATACCAGAATACATTATATTAGAAAGTTTGAGGCAGCTGTTACTAGGTTTATTAATAATTCAACAGAGTTGAATAATCATAGTACTTTGTGACAAAGACAATGGAGCCAGCCTAAGGGGCTAGTCCATGCCTTCATGGCTATTACTGTCTGATGGAATACCAATCGTACAGCACTGTGCAGAAAAAAAAGATATGCTCAATAAACACTAAATCACAGAAGTTTACAACAGTGTTATCACACAGAGAGGCTATGGGAAAAGACCCACAGAGGAAGTAAAATCTCAAGGCATGTCAAAGAGTAAGTGGCAACGAGAAGTGAGAGGAAGCCTGGGGAAGAGGGGACAGCATGCACAGAGAACTGGAGCTGTTGAAACCACGTGCTCACAGCCAGAGGACCACTGTGTGGTGTTGACTTAGGGCAAGGAGCCTGGAAAGGTAAGAGGAGTGCGATTTTGAGGATCTAGAAGTTTATGTTTAAGAGTGAACACTTAAATCTGAAAGCAGTGAGATGAAGTTTAGTAAATTTGGAGGCAAGAAAATTGCATCACCTAACTTTTATTTAAGCACACGATTCAGACAGCCATGTAAATAGTGGCCTGCTGTGAGACATTAAAGAGCTTTGGGGAATCTTCCAGTAGTCCCAGTGAAAAATAAAGAGAAACAAAATATTAATTCCCAAAAGCATGTGAATAATGTTTTTTATATATATATATATGTATATATATATATGTATATGTGTGTGTGTATACACACACACACACAATATAACTATGTATGTATATACACTCAATTTGTTCATTCATTTCTTGTGTACCTTTATGCACCAGTATCTATGTGTGAAGAATGGTACTATCTGCTTTAAGAACAATGAGGACCATAGGTGGGGAGAAGATGAGTTAGGCTACCTTTCTAACAGTGAACAACAACAACAGCAGCAATATGGAAATGTTTCCCGGTGGAAAGCCATTAAACAAAAAGACAAATAGGTATGGAATTACAGATTATTAAAAGCATCCACAGGAAAAGCATCCCATGCCCTGAGGGACAATAACTCAGTCTCTACTCCAGGCTGGAAAATGGGGAAGACTTCCATGAGCAGGTAGCACCCACCAGCACACAGGGAGAAGAGAGAGGGATCCCCATGTTCAGGACCCACAGAGAGGGTGGAAGGAAGATGGGCCAGCTGGTGTTGGAAATGCTGCAGAGATTAATTGTACAGAATTCACCACCAAATTAGAAAATGAAAAGCTAATTTCTGAATACAGAAGAGAACAAAGACACAAAGAACAAATCAAAGTTACAGGAAGGCCCATTTTGTTTCAATAAATAATATTAAGCATGAAGCCCCGTGAGGTGAACAGAAGCAAAAGGTAGGTGAGAGTGAGAGCTTAGGCTCATCTTCAAAGAACTCGAGGGATTCCATTAAAGGAGAAGCAGAAATGTCAGAAGCAGTGTCAAGGCACAATTTTTGTAGGAAACTTGAGTACATGGATAAGGCCGGGCAGAGGACAAATGGAAGGAACAAAGAAACAGAATGAAGGCCAGGCACAATGGTTCAGGCCTGTAATCCCAGAACTTTGGGAGCCTGAGGCAGGAGGATCACTTGAGGCCAGGAGTTTGAGACCAGCCTGGGCAACATGGCGAGACCCTGTCTCTTAAACATTTAAAAATGTGCAACTGCAGTGAGCCATGATCACACCACTGCACTCCAGTTTGGACAAAAGAGCGAGATGCTGTCAAAAACAATAACAACAAAAAAAGAGAGAGAGAGAAAGACAAAGAAGATATTTAGCATTTAGGTAGTCTCAGAAGTGTTTGTTACTGGCAGTTAACATTTGTGAAGCCTTTATTATTGCGTTCCCATTTTAGCATGAGGAAACCAAGGCTCTGAGAATTTGAATGACTTAATAGCAAATGAACAATATCATATGACCCACAGATCTAGCTTACTGCTAGATCTTTGAGAAAACTAGGAATAATTACCTTTAAGTATGTGCTTAGTCATTCATTAAAAAATAAAATAAAAAAATAAAAAACTATCTCCCCATTGCTTAGGCTCTAAGAGAGCAGAGAGGTGACAAGGGTGTTAATTTAGACCTCTGAGAGCATCTCTAAGCCAGTAATATGTCAGTGTGATGCCTGAAAAGCTGTTGATACCTAACTGGTCCTGGACTATCTCCCACAGCTTGTAAGAGAGTATCAAGAGTGCCCCTAATTGCCAAAGAGGTCCTGCATACAGCCCACATGGAGGTACGTGTGCCTGATTTATTCAGAAGATGGAGAAGCGTGGTGTCTCTCTGTGACTAGGTGGAAACACTTCCTTCTAGTATATTCTCTTAGAAAGCATTTCACATTCCTATTTGCTGAACACATAGTCACAATGGACACATTTACTTTTTGAAATTAAAGGTCACAATAAATTTCCTGCTCAGCAGCCTCTTCAAACCATATGAAAATTAAATGTATTTCTTGGAAACAGAGAAGCATTTAAAATATAGAGAGTCATCATGGAAATGCCTCCAAGAGCACTGTGAGTGTGCAGGTAATTGATGATGTCAAGCAAAGCTGTACAGTGGGGCAGGAGGGAGAAAATGACAGAGGGACACTTTTCTGCCTGTATCATGTTTTCTCTCTGCAGCATTCAAAACAATGCTTTCTGTAGAAAATGGAGCTTCAGTCGTGCTCCCCATTCTTTCACTTTCCTCCCTTTAAACCTGGCTCACATTCACTGGAGCAAAGGAGAATTCTGCTGAGGTCAAATCCTCTGGTCCTCCTAGTCATTTATGCTAGCCACTTTTCTGTACTGTTTCCAAAAATGAATCCAGATAAGCGTCCCTTCAAGATTTCCAAGATCATGGGGAAGAGTGCTTAGCATGATGCATGCCCAGGGCCCACACCCAGCAAGCCCCAGGGTAATTCACAAATAGTGCAAATAGTGGATGAATTAACTGGGCAGCTGTGTCCAGCTCCTCACACCTGGAGGGAAGCATTGTTTCTCTCTAACCTGGTCTGCCAGCTTACATAGACTCTCTGAGTTGTGGGGAGTAAGGCTCACAGTTAGTAGAAGAGTTTTAAATAAGAAAAAGTCTTTTGTTTTTTACAGCTTAAAATTATCTTCAGTGGTACCTGCTATTCTAGCTAACTGTGTTCTTCACTCGTCATTCAATTAATATCTAATCCTCTAAGTGCAACATAGTGGAGCAGTAGAGGGGATAATTCAACAAATACAATGGAAAATAACTTGAGAAACAGCAGGTCAATTGTTCAACATAAAACGCACATCAAATATAAGATTTTTCAAAGGGTAAATTAATTTGCATGCTCTAAAAATTCCATTTTGCAACGAGGTATTAATTTTTTACCTCAGCAGAAAGGTTTTCCAGAAAATGAAATTTTAAAATGCTGATTATTGTATCTCTCTTTTTTTCTCCATTTTTATCTCTCCTTTTCACTTTCCACTTCTCAACAAAGTAAGAAAAACAATCAGTATAGGCTTCTGGCAGCACAGCGAGAGAAATGTGAGATTGGCCCTTAAGGGAATTTTTATTCTCAAGTGGATGTAAATGTATTCATCAATTCAAAGAAATGCATAGTGTGTTATAGACACAATACATTAATAAATAGCCATGCATTAAAAAATAATGAGGTTTTCCACAAAACAACATCCTGTGGTGTGTAGGGTCATAAAAAAGATACTAAAAGAGAGAGAAAAGATTATGTGTAAAATCTGATTAAAATACAGAAACACCACCATATATGTAAGATGTAATAAATATTTTATTAATTAACTATAAACAAAAGAACAAATGCAGTAAAATGTAATTAAAAATGTAAAAGTGAAGGATGTGATTTATTTTACTACAATAATATTAATATTACAAATGGTATGTAAATCGTATCAAGACTATTGTAGAAAGAGTGGAAAGCAGCCATTCATTTCTTATAATGAGATTTCATCCCCTTTTTTGATTTACATTTGTTTAAATATTTCAAATAGTGAATGAATAATGTTGCTCTTAAACCTTACACAGCTTAGCACATTCTCAAATTTCCATCAGCCCTTGGATGAGATTTGCATGTTGGCAGGCAGTTTCCAGGCAGAACCACTAATTGTGAAAATAGAAGAAAATTGACTGGCAGAAACCAAGAGTATTTTTAGTGCTGTTGGCTGAATGAGTTTGGCTTTGAGTAGTAACCCCTACTAGTGAATGTGCTAGAACCCAAAATAGCATTTTACAGAAGGTCCCCCAATTAAAATAGGTGAAAAGACAAAAATGTAACATTCATTAACTACTATTGGCTTGAAAACTATTAGGGATTTAAACTGCTAAGATTGTTTGCATCAAACTTTCCTGCCATTGCCTCTGAAATTGAGCGGAGTGCCAGAAGTTTGTATTTGGGACCACTGAAACCCAAGCACATCAGAGACCCTGAGATTTGAGGTCCACCATCATATTGGAAGCCATCCCTTCCACTGGCTGAGCCTCAGTCAAAGGGACAAAATGCCTAGCAAAGAATTCTCTTCCATATTGATAGAGAACATGTGGCACAAAATCACACTCAAGCCAAACTACAGTTTGGTATCAACAAATGTCATGTGTTTACTACTTTCTACCATTTCCTATTGGAGCAGTTGTTTCATACCTCTCTTGAGGTATACGCCTCACAAAATAATAAAACCTCTTCTATTACTGTCACACAGGACATGCACTTGTGAAAGTGCGTGCACTAGCCAGCATGCTCAGCTAGGATATAGCAGAAGTGAGGTTTGAACTCCTGCCTCTGAGCCCACACATCCTGAGCTATCTGCTACGTCCCGCTGCTCCTCATTTCATCACATCTCTGGTGGCCTCTTCAGTTTTCCATTTTCATAAGTGTAGCCCTGTTTCTGATCTGCCTGCTGCATTATCTTTACCTAATTCCTACCTTTCCTTGTAGCATTATGAGTTTTCCTTCACACTGCCAGCTCTCAAAGCCCTCCTGGGGGGTCTGCGTCTATCCCATCTCTGGCTACCCCACAACCCTTCACCCATCGGCATAGCCCAGCAATTAGATCTTTGTATTTTGCTCATTCTATCCCCTTCTCCAGATCACATCCAAAGCAGTACCATATCTATGGGTATTTCTATTTCTTTTAATTCAAGCACCCAAGGCCATTTCTTCTGTTATAACAAATGATCATGAAATCCTCATTCTCAATGAAGCTTTTTCAAATCGATCAAAGAATAATTCTTGCTTTTCTGGTCTATTGAGGTTAAGTCAGAAATACTTTAGCTAAACAGGAAGGCAGAAATCCACATATAATGCCTTACACCAGTATGGATTTATTTTTTCACACAGAAGATGTTCAAAAGTAGCTTGTTCTTGGTTTTGCTTCTTCAGTGTAAAGACAAAAAGAACAAAGTCTCTGCTTTTCTCTTGCTCTCTCCTTCACGGTCCTAAGGAGGCTGCAGCCCAATCACTACCTCTACATTTTAAGCCAGGAGCAGGAAGAAGCAACAGTACATTTATGAGGAAAATAAAAGCTGTTCCCAGAACTACACATCAGATTTCCTCTTCTCTTTCATTAGCTAAAACTATGTCATGGGCCCAACACTAACTGGAAGTTGGCGAGAAAGAAGTTGGAAATAGTGGCTTGGTTAGCCACCCAAGAGTGTCTGCCACAGTCATTGAACCAAAGTAATTGTGTTTCCTCACTATGCAAACATTGTACCAGATGTTTATCCTCTCACGCAGTCAATAAACAAAGGCTAATTGAGAGGCTTTTATGTGCAAGGCATTATGTTCATATTATGGAAGGTACAGAAATAGACCAAGCACAGATACTACCCTCAGAGGACTTAGCCTAGTAACAAATATAATATATATGATCCCTGTCTTTGACCAGCTTAGAATCTAGATAGGCTGCATGACACTGAAGTGTGAGAAAAAAATGAAGAGTGCTTTAAAAACTAGCAAACTGTTGCAAACATCTACAGATTTGGCACAGTATAAAATGTAGATAAGGAAAAAAATATAACAGGGTAGAGTCAGCTACCGTAGAAGGTTTCTTGTAAGAAGGAATGGGGTGTCATGTTTAAAGGGTAAGGAAGGAACATAAATTGGTCGAGAACAGTTGTTTCCAAAATGTTTTTGCCTAGGTAAACTTAACAAAAATTATTAGAGCATTTACCCTCCACATGTGCATTGATCAGTTGTTTATAAGTTATATACCTACAGTATTGCACTGATAAAGTATATACATTATAAAAGATACAAAAAAATGAAAATATTAAAGGATGAAATTCCAACATATCTCCTCACAAGGTATGTATCAATTACAAAGTATAAAACAAAAAGTTTGTGATGGAGATGGAGAAACCAGGCAGACAGCACCTTAAACAAATGCTCAACATTAACATGAGCATGAATGGGCTATATATATCAATATCACATGCTTTTTGATAAGATGCACCAAGAAAGAGGCAATATCACTTCTGTAGTGCTCCTGCTAAAAATGTATCCCCTAAATTTAATCAAAAGAAAACATCACACAAACTCAAAGTAGGGAACAGTCTGCAAAATACCTGGCCAGTATGATTGAAAAATGTCAAGTTCATGAAAGATAAAGACAGAGCCGCAATCTTTCCCAGAGTGGAGACAAAGAGGGAGTCATGATGGCTAAATGCAATGTGAGATCCTGGATTGGATCTTGGACCAGAGAAAGGACACCAGTGGGACGATGTGCAACATTTGAATATGGTATTTAGATGAATTCATAGTATTGTATCAATGTTAATTTCCTGGTCTGGTTACCTGTACTAATAGTTATGTAATGTGTTAACATTTGGAGAAGCTGGGTAGAAAGTATACAAAAATGTTTGACACTGTTTCTGCAACTATTTTTTAAAAAAGCACTAAAAAGAATGAGACCTTTAAGATGTGGAAATAGAAGTTCTTGGCAATGTGTTATTTCCTTTACCCAATGGATTGTCTTGCTTACATCCTGGTCTGGAGTGTTTTTTAAATTCAGATCTGGAAACCTGATAAAGCCACAGAAGGAAGCCAGCCAGGATTTGTGTCAGAAACTCTCTTAAATTGATGTAACCTTTCCGGTCAGTGATTTTATTACATGTTCTTTAAAAAAAAAACAACAAATTCTATTTGACTATTTGATTAAGAAATTCCATTTCTGGGTACTTAACTAAAATTAATAATCAGAAATGGGGACAAAAGTGTAAAAAGATTTTCACTGAGGTGTTCTTTGTAAGACTGAATAATTAGAACAAATTTAACTTCCAATAATGAGAGGTAGTTAAATTTATAATAAATCCACACAATGGAATACTCTGTAGCCACTATAGTTATATGTTCCAAATCATTTAGTCATATTGCAGAATACTTAAGATATAAGTGGAACAAGCCTTATAAAGTTATACTTACAGTTTTATTCCAATTACAACTGTAAGCTATGTATATAAATGTACCAAACTATTAATCTGCCTTGTAATATGTAGACGGGTTTCTTTTTCTTCTTTGTGCTTGTTTTTCTAATTTCTATTGTACCTACTGTCTTAATAATGCGAAAAACAAATAAGCAGTTCAGAAAAGTAGAAACTGAGTGTTTATTTGTGTTTGAGGTTTTGAAAAAATATCCTAGGCTGGGTGTCATCCAGCTGAAAGATGCTTAGTGGTCTAATTAGGCTACATGAGACAAGGTGAAAGGTGCAACATGCCTTCATTTAATCTCTTTGAATCTTTAGGAAAGCAAGCTTTGTTTTTAAGCCTCATCCTCAGGAATAAACGTAGGTGAGCAAAATTGGTTACTATCCAGATCTCTTGTACCAGCTAGTACAAGAGTAGAATAAAACCAGCACAGAAACATTTTTCAGGGTGGGTAACCTTGCTTCCAGTCTTGTGATTTTTGTGTTTGTTATCCTTTGAAAGTTCTACATAATGATTAACAACAAAAAATTTTAAAACACAAATGGTCAGTGTGCCTGTCTTCAGTATCAAGAAGGAAAATGTGAGCTGGAGAGACTGCGTCTTTCCTCACAAGCAGACTAGGATTTGATGGATTCTGGGTTGTTTCCAGTTCAGAGCTCTTAAAATAAAACTGCTCTGAACTTTTACATGCAAGTCTTTGTGTAGACACATGCTTTCATTTCTCTTGGGTAAATATCTAAGAGTGGAATGGCTGGATCATATGGTAAGTATATGTTTTGCTTAACTTTTCAAGAAACAGCCAAACTGTTTTGCAAGCAGCTGTGCCATTGTACATTCCAACCAGTAACGTTTGAAAGGTCTGAATTCTCCACGTTTGCCAAAACTTTTTCCTATCTTTTTGATCATAGTCATTCTAGTGGGTGTGATGTTTCATTATGGTTTTAATTTGCATTTCCCTAATAACTAATGAGGTTAGTGTATTTATCTGTTGTAAATTTTTTAGTTTTACATCTTACATATAGATATATGACGTATTTTGAATTAACCTTTATATGTGGTACAAATCAGGGCTCAGAATCATTTTTTGTTTGTCAGGATCTAATTGTTTCAGCGCTATTGGTTTTTGTTTTTGTTTTTTAACTATCATATCTCCATGGAATTGCCTTTGCACAAAGTCTACCTAATACATCTTCCTTTTGGAACTTATAACAAAATATTGCAGTATTTTGAACCTAGAACTTTATCCAAATAGAAGACAAGTTATTATTTGATAATAATAATAAGGACCGTGTTTTATTTATCTTTGAAATAGCTTGGGTGCTAATAAATAGATAAATAAATAACAGGGTTGGACCAAGAAGAGAATAATAGGTCTGAGGTCAACCTAGAGGTTTCGGATATAAAAATTAACTCCTTGAGACAAGGAAATATGTAAGTGGATGTTTCTTCTCTATTGTAGTATCCTCTATGGGAAAGGCTCTGAGAAAGATATAAAGAAAGAAAGCAGTGGCCGAGGAAAGGGAACTATAATGAGGTGCTGCACACACTCTAAATAAAGAGCAGCAGGAATCTGCATGCCAGTGAAAGAGAGAGAGAAAGAGAGGGAGGGAGGGAATGAAGCGGGGGGAAATGGGAAAGGAAAGGAAATTTAAAAGAAAAAGAAAACCTAGTCATGACCGTAAGAACTATAAACCAGGCAACATGACCATAAGAACCTGGAAAAGCACCTTAAATCTCTGTTCCATCTTCATTCTTCTGAATAGTTTCCTGTTATTATCTTCTGTGTGTTTCTTAACAATAATTAGCAGATGACCCTTTCAACCAACGTGTTTTCCTTGGTAGTCAGCAAAAAAGAAAAGATGAGAGATTTTTGTCCTGGTTCCTAGATAGAAGAACACACCAGGTACAGTATGGAACAGCCTACATAGAGTAGGAGACAGAGGAAATCACTGAGCACACCAGCAAGAAAGAGGCTCGAACTGGAAAGATATTTTATTCCTGTAACTACTCTGTTCAACATGCTAGTTGCCATGGTGAATACACAAAACAGACACATAGCAAAGTTTGATAGCAGACAGACTCTAATAAATACCAGAGAATTTGGAGAAGGGAACAATTAATTGTGCCTGAAGAATCTCATAAAGACTTCTTGGAAGAAATGTCACTTAAACTGCAGAGTAAGGGAAGAGAAGGATTTCAGCAGGTGCCTGCAGAAAAAGGCCTTTTTGTTTTGCATTGCAGGTAGACCATGAAACTAGATAATGCCTCCTGCTGTGTACATCTCCAGTAATATCAATACCTCTGTACAGTCATAATCATTTTAACATCTCTATTCTGTCACATGATGGATGTATCTGAATATGTCTTCTTTAGGTGGATGGAGGCACGATCTGAGTCTGCCAAGTTACCATTTTGCAATGCAACTCATGTAAGAGTGATCTGTTTATTAAATGTTGATGACAGAGCAAAGCAATGATGACCTCAATGACACTCTCAACTTTTTTATTTTATTTTTTGAGATGGAGTCTCACTCTGTCTCACCCAGGCTAGAGTGCGGTGGTGTGATCTTGGCTCACTGCAACCTCTGCCCTCCAAGTTCAAGCGATTCTCCTGCCTCAGCCTCCCGAGTAGCTGGGATTACAGGCGCCTGCCGCCGCGCTCAGCTAATTTTTTTTTTTTTTTTTTTTTTTTTTTTGTATTTTTAGCAGAGATGGGGTTTCACCATCTTGGCCAGGCTGGTCTTGAACTCCTGACCTCATGATCCACCTGCCTCAGCCTCCCAAAGTGCTGGGATTACAGGTGTGAGCCACAGCGCCCGGCTGACACTCTCGACTTTTCACATGAAGAAGGGTTTGGGTTACTTCTTGCATTATTGTGTGTCTGTGTTAAGTAATGCCTGAGTAAAGGTGGAAAGACATCCTCCCTATGACTCATGTGACATCAATGGTCAGGCTCAATAAAACTCTCTGGTCAGCTGTCATCCATGCCTTCTAGAAGAGCTGAAGGTGGAAAATTTAACAGTTGACATTCAAGGTTAGCCTACAAGGCTTAGACACCTCAGACATGCAAGAATCACCTAGGAGAACAGGTAAAAGGGTAGATAATTAAGCTATCATTGAACCCAACTTTTAAATGCTCATCTGTTACATATATATGGATATATTTTTATGTGAAATGTCAAATTAATCAAAACAATAACAAATTTAGACCAAAAAAAAACTTGGGGAGTGGAAGACAGATGTAGGTCTTAAAGGCAGACTAAAACAGGCTGGGCCTGGTGGCTCATGCCTATAATCCCAGCACTTTGGGAGGCAGAGGTGGGTGGATCACCTGAGGTCAGGAGTTCGAGACAAGCCTGGCCAACATGGTGAAACCCTGCCTCTACTAAAAATACAAAAATTAGCCAGGCATGGTGGCACATACCTGTAGTCCCAGCTACTCGGGAGGCTGAGGCACAAGAAGCGCTTGAACCTGGGAGGCGGAGGTTGCAGTGAGCCGAGATCACACCATTGCACTGCAGCCTGGGCAACAGAGCAAGACACTGTTGCCAACAACAGCAACAACAAAAAAAGTACACTAAAACAAGGAAAGATTTCAACTAGTTTTTGATTTGAAGAATATTAAGAAATGTAATTTAAAATTTTCTGTATTTCAATAAACATTACAAAACCCATGTACCTCCATATTAAGTCTATAATCACTAAGAAAATCACTCTGTTTTAATGCTCTGTGAAAACAAATAATCAAATCATTTCACAGGAAGTTCTCAACCTTCTATGGGAGGAAAAAAACCTTTTTTCTAAATTATAATTCAGGGGCCTGTGTGAAGATTCTCACGGTGTCACACTTCATTGAAATTTTGAGGGGACGCGCCTGCAACAATGGGAAGAGAACTCGCATTTTAGAGCACCAATTATTGGCAAGGCATTTTAAGTTTTCAATCTTACCTTACTGAATCCTCATCGATACCTTTAAAATAGAGCATCACACTTATAATATTATCGTTTTGTTATTAATACTGCTACTGACCATAGAGTAAAACACATTCAATTTTTCGTTTTTTAGTCAATGTTTAAAGAGGAAATTAAGCCAAAATTGTCCCCATAAAACCACTTAAATCACATTTTAATGTCTATAAATGGACACTTAGGAGCTCCAACCAAGCATTTATTAACTTTTTTGTTGTTGTTGTTGTTTTGTTTTTTTTTTTGTTTTTTTTAAGACAGAGTCTTGCTCTGTGGCCCAGACTGGAGTGCAGTGGTGCAATGTCAGCTCACTGCAACCACCATTTCCTAGGTTCAAGTGATTCTCCTGCCTCAACCTCCTGAGTAGCTGGGACTACAGACATGCACCACCATGCCTGGCTAATTTTTGTATTTTTGCTGGAGACAGGGTTTTCACCATGTTGGCCAGCCTGGTCTCGAGCTCCTGACCTCAAGTGATCCACCTGCCTCGACCTCCCAAAGTGCTGGGATCACAGGGGTGAGCCACCAGGAGTGCCCGGCCCATTTATTAACTTTATCTCTCTGCTTTTGGTCTAGAGGCTTCTTTCTCTGTTGAAAATCTCTCCCTCTCCATCTTCCTCCCTCTTCCCTTCCCCATTTCTTCTCCCCTTCTTCCTCTCTTTCCCTCTCAATAGTTGCTTTTAGGTAAGTTAAGTGTGCACCTGAAGCAAGTGCATTATCATTTACTAAGCATCTTCTATGTGCCAGGAACTGTGCCAAATTATTTCAATGTGTATTATTTCTTATGCATAAAGAAGCTTGAAAAGTATAAAACTTTGTCCCTATTTTACATAATAAGACATAAAGCTCACTCACAGAGGTCAAAGTTTGCACAAGATCCCAAAAGTGATGAAGTCCCAACCCATGTTTTTCTGAGCACTAAACAATGCTATATATTCTAAAATATGGTACGATACCTCCTAGTCAAATTTGTTGGTGCGGTGGCAAATATTGAGTCAAGTCCCATTCACACCCTGCAGAATCTTAGAGTTCTGCTAAAATTTTAAATGTGAAATTTCTTCAAACCTCAAATAAACAAAACCTGCAATTTGGATATTCTGCCATTAGGTGGTAGAAGGTCTTCAATCATTACTTTGTGGTCTAAATGGCAATTACTATACAGTCCATATGTTTGAGAGTCTCCATCACTTACTAACAATATATCTTACACGTTTTTTAACCACTGCAAGCCCTGACTTCTCAGTTTGAAATCAAATAATATCAGTATTGACTTCATAAATTGGTTCTGAGAATTAAATAAAATAATAGGATACAAAGACATTCAATGTGTATTAACCAGCTGGAATTCTTTATCTTTTCCCTTAATCCAATATCTTACATAGTTTTTCATCCTATTCTTTAACAGCAGGGACACACTTCAGCCCTTTCTAGTCCTGTGATACACTACATCTTGTTTGCCAGCCCATAAAATCCAGCCCCTTCCAGCCAATTCTCACATTTTGCTGTTCACATTCCAATTTTTAAATTGTATTATGTATATACATGTGTGATATGTATTTGTCATAATATCTGAACAGTATCATATTTATGAAGATTGCATTTTAGAGGAACTTCTAAAGAAATACTCAGGATACCAGTAGGCATCGGATGTTTACTGCATATCTTTACCAAGTACTTTGCCTGTAAGTTTATTTGATCATCATAACAACCTTATGAAGCTGAATCATAATAATATCTTCCCAATATCATTGGCATTTTACGTATGAGAAAATTGAGCTTAGAGGGCACAACGAAAGACATGTAGTTAATAAGGGATCAGCTCAGATTCAAATCAGCAGATCAACTACATACACAGCCCAGGCTCTTAACCATTATATCAGTGATGATGAACCTTAACTGTGCATCATGGTAACTTGAGGAGCAATTCTAAAAGCACTGGAACTTCCCCAAGCCTACAGAATCAGAATCTCAGCAGCTTCCATTCCACAGGGTTATGCAGAGAGGCTTGTGACCAGTTGTGTGGCACTTTTCGGCCTCCCACTAATAACAACCTAGAGGAAAATTCTGCACTTTTCTCACTAATCCTGAAATTGTCTTTTCCTTGAAATAAATTCTAAATTTGCAGGGAGTTTGTACTCAATCTTCATGTTAACCCATCATCAAAGCACCTCTTGCTGCTTATCTGACAGAAACGAGCCTCACTCCTCTCTCACTGTTAGAAGAGGAATAACTGCCAGGGAGCAAGATAAATAAACAGTTTCTTTTCTGCGGTTTCCTGTTCCTAATTCTACTGCATCTTTTTCTGCTATTCTGTCCTTTCACCACTTGAAAGAAGTAAAACTGGGAGGAAAATGATAGAGCAACATAATCCCATTGAGACCCTACTACAGCCAGGGGCTGAGTACTTGGAAGGCAATAAAATAATTCTACACTTTTACCTTAAAGAAATGTCAAGCGGCCTTTCACAATTCAAATCTCTAGCTGGATATAGCTTCCTGAAATTAATTTGCAGATGACAGTTGCTAAAATTAGCCAGTGGGTTCAGCCAGTTTGCTTTACCAGTGCTCAGTAGCCAGTGCCTTTTCTGTCTTAGTTATGAAGTTGTTAAACAGTATTTCTGCTCTCAGTGAATTGAAGGATTGAGGGCCTGGCCCTGCCTCAACACACGCTGTCAAATGTTCTTTGGCCAATGTGCTTATTTTCTCTGGACTCTCAAATTTATCATCTGTAAAATTTAAGGATCATACTAGATGACTTCTAAAGTCAATTCATTTCCAAAAATACTGTGATGATTTTATCACCTTATTAAAATATTAACAGTTTTTAATTATTTCCCCTTCAAGTGCTTGCACCAGAATAGAAGGGAGAGGTGTTCATTTGTCAGAATTCTTCATGGAAAATACCTGGAATTTTAGATTATCATGAATTCAGTTAGTAAGTGCTGAAAAGCACAAGGTATTCTAGGCTACATTATAATAAATGGCAATCATTAAAAAGTCAGGAAACAACAGATGCTGGAGAGGATGTGGAGAAATAGGAATGCTTCTACACTGTTGGTGGGAATGTAAATTAGTTCAACCATTGTGGAAAACAGTGTGTGATTCCTCAAGGATCTAGAAGCAGAAATACCATTTGACCCAGCAATCCCATTACTGAGTATATACCCAAACGATTATAAATAATCTTACTATAAACACACATGCACACGTATGTTTATTGCAACACTGTTCACAATAGCAAAGACTTGGAACCAACCCAAATGCCCATCAATGATAGACTGGATAAAGAAAATGTGGCACACATACACCATGGAATACTATGCAGCCATAAAAAAGGATGAGTTCATGTCCTTTGCAGGGACATGGATGAAGCTGGAAACCATCATTCTCAGCTAACTAACACAGTAACAGAAAACCAAACACCGCATGTTCTCACTCATAAGTGGGAGTTGAACAATGAGAACACACGGACACAGGGAGGGGAATATCACACACCAGGGCCTGTCGGCGGGTGGAGGGCTAGGGGAGGGATAGTACTGGGAGAAATATCTAATGTAGATGACGGGTTGATGGGTGCAGCAAACCACCATGGCATGTGTATACCTATGTTACAAACCTGCACATTCTGCACATGTATCCCAGAACTTAAAGTATAATTAAAAAACAAAAACATAATAAAAGAAGTATGGCTTGTATATTAAAGGAGGTGAGAGATCCATTCTACTTTTTATTATTCAGATCACATTTAGATGCATTTTCAGTTCTGCCAAGTATTCCATAGGAAAAACATTGGCAATCTAGAAGACATCAAAAGAGCAGCAAAAAAGACAAATCCCTCAACCATTACATATGAGGAATAGCTGAAGAAGCTTGGAATATTTGAATTGAAAAATCAGCATGCCACATATATGAATAGTCTCCATGTGAAATTCAGTTTATTCAATGATGTTCCAGAAAGCAGAACCAAATGCAAAGGTTGGAAGTTACAGAGAAGCAGTTTTAAGTTTGATTTTAAAAAGAAGAATATTCTACAGTAAGAGTTATTAAAAATAAAATGGATTTCCTTGAAAAGTAAATAATTCAATATTACTGACCGTATGCAAGCAGAGGTTGTATGTCAACTATCATGGGTCTTATCAAGTGGGTTTCTACATTTGAACCAAGCTCAATTAATGGACATCTATATTTCCCAACAAGTCAAGACTCTCTGAAAGAAAAAGTGCACTACCTCCCCAGCTACAGCTAAGCCAAAAGGATAACTAGGTCAATTCTTTAGCTGAACTGAAGAAAGTACATGGTAGGTAGAAAAACATTTTTCCTCTTTATTCTGACGAGTTTGTAATGAATATTCCCCCAATCAGAAAAGGTAAAGCCAAACCATTAATTTATTTCTAGTTCAAAATTTCGCAAAACAATATCCATGAAAGGAAGATCATTGTGCATTTCCGCCATCAATCACTGCTTCTTTTCCATGATTACATGTAATGTGGCCTTTACTCTTACAAATTTTATATTTTTCATCAGTGATCACTGATGTAGAGTTAAATCAATATAAGGTGATCTTACATTTTTGTAATAAAATTGAGATCCTTTAAAAGCAAGAATTACTGTTCTAAAAAGCTACCCTATAAGCCAGATTCTCTGACATGATATTTCAAGAACAATCTGTAAGACTGTGGAAAAACAAAGGTCAATCTGAATATTTACATTAAATTAAGCAGAAAGTGAAAACAAATGACCATCTGCTAAAGAAATGGATGTTCTGTAATCATTTATACTGGCTTTTAAGACATTGAATGCAATTTGGCCTCCAGTTAGCCAAAGAATTCCAGATCATATCAAAATCTCTTTTATGCAGCTTAAAAACATTCTGCTGGCTCTCAGGATATTATGGGCACTTGTGCTTTTACATCAAACCAAGGGCCACCCCAACAGTCACCTGAGCCTTGGCAGCTAATGAACTCACCCATGTTTGTGAATCATAGCTTCTAAATGACAGACACAAAAGCTGACATGCTTTCAGAACATAAATTAAGAATAAAAATGCTCTTTTCTGCAGTTAATAAGGCTACGAGAGAAAAATGTTTCTCCCTTGTAGAGCAGAAAGATTTTAAATGATGAGCGAATGCACATATTGGATTCTGGTTTTAAGCACCTCTGGGTCAGTGGTTGACAGTAGAGACTAGACCTGCTGGAGAAGAAAGGAAGATCCTGTAACCAAATTCTCTGGTTTTTCTTCAAGGAGCTATTAATACTGAGTGCTTTAGGTGCTTCAGGTAGAAGTTAGTCAAGGCAAAAACACCAACCAGGGAAAGAGAAAGTAAAACTCTATTTTTTAAAATGTGTTGGCACTGGATCCCAGTAAAGCTTTATGAAAGAAAGTCACTTTCACTAATCCTAATAACTCTAACAAGATATATGGAGTGTGTCCGTGTTCTCCCAACATAGTGAATAGGAAGATTGTCTCAACATTCCCACTTTATTCTCAGACTCTCACCTTTGGGTATCTTCTATCTCTCCCTTAAAGCCTATTTACAGCACAGGGCGTGGTAAGTGAGTTCACACCAAGGCCATAAGCAATAATTCCAGATCTTATCAAAATCTCTTTCATGTCATTAGAAAACATTTTAATTGTTGTCAGGATGCTATGGGTGCTAGGGTGTTGGCTGACAACCATCCCCAGGATACTCACATTTTAACAGATTCGGGACCTTAGTTCTCAGGCTCTTCTGTAGCATGCTGGAATCATCCTGAGGGAGGTAGAAAAGGCCGTTCCAAAAATCCTAAAATTCCTGTAACCTGTAGACATGTACAATTACATTGGGTCAAATAATATCTTGGGTCATTCATAGATAGATAGATAGATAGACACATGGATACATAGATACATAGAGGATAGATAGATAGATAGATAGATAGATAGATAGATAGATAGAATTTTAAACAATATATAATTGAAACAAAAAAGTCCTAAAGTTCAAACCATACCTAGAAATCTCCATGAATTCCTAGCTTCGAAATAACAGCAGCTACTGACATTTCCCTGATGTGGTTTTTGCAATGCCCACCCTGAAACAGGCATGAATAAATATGCTTCATTGACTTCTAGCATCGTGAGAGTTCCCCATGAAAAGCTGCACCTGGAGTTCCCCCACCGTATCTGAGTTTGGGACATGCTACAGCCTTTGGAGCCTCAATGATCATAAGTGTCTTATTAACATGGCCATTAATTCATCAATTCAGAAAATATTTATTGAGTACCACCAGGTTTTACTGCTGGGAATGAATGAAACAGGGTCCCTTTCCTCAAAAAGCTGCTGTCTAAACTCCAGTCAAATAACTTTTTCCTTTAGTCATACTGTGATGGCAAACTCAAAAGTATAACACATGTAGGAGTTTGAACCGAACTTTACTGCTTTTTTTTTTTTCAAATCTGTGTGTTCCAGAACTTGCAGGGTTTGCTAGTTTTGTTATATAATATCATGTAACGTAAATACCAATATAGCATATGGACAACCATTTTGGAACTAATGTTTATGCTTAAAGCTAAGATTCAGCTCTGAGTTTTAAGGATCTTCCCACAAATGGAAGAGAAACCCCAAATTCTCAAGAAGTAAATTTAGTGGTCTCAAGTTACGGATGATACGTCTGCTGCTCTCTGTTCAGAACACTCATTTAGAATCAGAAAAGAAAATCTTAATTTCAAAAATTTTCCTTGTCTTTGGACGTCTAAAAGTCAGTCAGCTATTGATTTTTTTCCCCCTATATGTATAAGGCTAATGAAAATTCATAAATACAAGTACAAATCTATGTCATTCCTTGGGGTGGAGGGGGGGTTTTGGAAACATTACAGTGCCTTGGCGAGAAACCACTGAGCCAGGATGGGATTGTGTGGGCCCAGGAACATGGCTCTGGTTGCAAATATTAGGTATACACCCAATATTTAAATAGATGAGTTATCAAGTTAGAAAGCCAAAAGAAAGGTTCTCTTTTTGTGACTTGGTTGTGTTTCTCAGTAAATGTATTGTGGGAGTCCTATATGATAGTTTTGAGATATTACTTGATTTCCTAATTATATTATTATTCTAGAAATAATATCTTAACTGTCATGTATATTGAAGCAATTCATTCAAATTCACTTTAAATTTGGGAAGGGCTTCTACTGCTTAATTCTATATCTTACAATTATTATTTGAGCACACTGGAAGTCTCAATTTAGGCTTCTGTTCTAGAAAGAACTTAAAAAGAAGCATGTGAGTGATTTGTCATTTGTAGTCACAGGAAAAAATGTTTAAGTGTCTATAGTGTTTGTTAATGACTTACTAGTTTATGGGTATTTAGAAACATGTTTTATGGCTTACATAATAAAGAAAGGTCCACAGTTTGATATTTCAAAAGCAATGTAAGTATTGAAATACAATTCCTGTTTAACTATATGTGGTTAATCTGCAGACCAATTTTACCAGCCCTTAAGTTAAAACCACCCACATTCTGTAATTGAGACATGCCGATACCTTGGGTGGTCACTTAAATGTTGATACTTCTTACATTATGCCGCACTATTCCTTTTGATTTTTTCTTCTAGTTTCAGAATTCTCAACTTGAGCTCCCAAGCAGCACCACATGAAGTTACTTTACTATGATTATAAAAAGAAAGGGTAAAGCGTGCACTATTTTCATTCCCATTGCAATCATTGTCCCATGAATAGATTCTTGATCTGACATTTTCTATTCTTATTGCAATCTTTGTCACAAGAATAAGTTTTTTTCTTTTTTTAAAAAAATGTTTCATCCATGCTGTGAAAGCCAGCAGCAAAGTCTACTGCTTTGACCTTTTTAATGTTCTCCCATTTGATTGGGCAACGATTTCTCTTCTTTTCTTTTAACAGCATTGGTAACTTAGGAGAAAGAGGTAGAATAGCTAGTCAGTCAAAATGAGACCATATGAAAGGTTAAAACAGAATAGTTTATTGCCTTTCATAGATAACACTAGCCATTGAGATTCTCATATCTTGTTCTTGTGACAAAAAATGGCAAAGAAACAGAAAATGGCACAACATGAATCCATTCTCATAACAACAATTGTAACAAGAATGAAAACTAGTACAAACAACCTATTCCTCTTCTAATCTTATACTTGGAAACTTGTTGCTCTACGTGACTGTAGTTGCAGTTTTCCTCAGCCAACTACAACAATTCCTTTTTCAATTAATTAGTTAATTTAAATGAATTCAACTTTACGAAAATATCAACCACAGATGGATCGTAATCACTTGTATATTTCCATTCATCACTCATAATTATATACATTGCTCTCTATAGAAATTATTCCCATGTAAAGTACTAAATACATTTGACAATAAAATGCTTCAGATTTGTTTGGTAGTTTTTTTTTTAATCTCAGAATAAAACATTTGACAATAAAGCACATAACTGAGTTTGAATCAATTTGGGAAAAATTATTGACCAGTTGGTTTAATTTTTTTGGCATTACACATAGATTGTGAAGGGTAGAAGCGAGCTGACACTTTGATTAATTTAATTGGTGTGGACAGCCAATGCTGGCCATTACTCTAGATGGCTGGGGAAGGCTGTGGGGTAGACGTTGAGGTCTGGATGACACATACTGCCTTTCTGGTCAATCATGTATACTGTCAACTCTTACCTTTATTTTTAATATTTATACACAACTCGCTAGTGAACAAGTCATCTAAAGACATTATGTTTTAAGGCGATACACCCAGCTCTCAAAATAATTTCAAAAAAACATTTTATCTATATATATTTTGTAATCAGAATTAAGCTGAAGTTTTAAGCAAACATTGAATGTATTATATATTTGGCATCATATAGATGGCTGCATTAGTTTCATGCACCTAGTATGTGTTCAATAAATTTTGGTTGAATAAACCAATAAATGACAGCTCAAATTTCTGTCTTATGTAGCTACCCATGGATTGAATGTCTGGTGTTATGTCTAATTTTTAGGTGGTTTCTTAATGGAAATCCTGGAGAATAATGAGAAAGCTCAGAAAAGACACTACTAACAAGGGAAATCCTACCAGCCCAATGGGGATGGCTTTGTTAGTAGGAGATTAAGATAAATTGCACACTCTGAGCATTTAATCCAAGCAATCACTGGCTGAATCTAGCAGGCAAAACACTCTAGAACAAGCTGATCTTTGCTTTGATAAATTCAGGGGATGGCCAATATTTGGCCCCTTAATGATCATAAAATGCCGAATTTCTGTTTCCACATGGTGGGCACTCAAAGAGAGTTGTTAAATTGAACAATTGTTAAGGTAGAAGTTTATAAATACGCCTTTTTGAAATTAGTGATTTAAGGGCAACATAAAAGTTTAACACTTAATTCATGTTGTTGCTTTAAAAATACTGTGAGATAAAACTTCAGGACAGAATTAAGAGTATTCTATGGAAGACAGCCATAAAGATGGTCAAAGCTATTGCCATAACCTGACAGATGAGAAACAAGAAAAATCTTCTGTACTAGAGAGGGGTCAAGTGAAATCTTTACAGCTGTTTTGTAATCACTTGGGGTATAGGGTTTTTTTCAAAGGCTATAATAAAATTAGTCACTTATTGTAGTTGACTGGTGTCAGAGTTAATATCCTTCAGACATTACAGAATCTGTGTCCTAGGAGCTGTTTCAGTCCATCACTTTTCTTGCTCTTCTTGAAACATATATTCTTTTTTGAAGCATTCTACTCCTTCCTGTGTTATATTTTGAAAATCCCGTGTGAATATTTTAGTACTTTTACTATAAGAAGACTTACTTCTTATAGCTTTGCTTCATTAAATGAAAAAGTAAACTGGCTTGGAGTACTTTGGTTTTCTGAGTTTGAATTTCTGTTTTAAAAAAGCAGAAACAAGAATATACAACTTCATTTACTAAAACAGAAATGAATACAGTTTGTACAAACACAGGCTCCATTTTGGAGGTTCCCTTCAAGTAAAAAGGAATCAAAGCAAACCAGAAGGAAAGCAAGGGTAAAAGTTACATAATCAGAGCAAGAGCAGGAGCATTCTAGAATCAAAGGCCCTACCATCTATGGGGTGAACCTCACAAGATTAGTGATGAGATGATGAAAGACCAGGTCCCACTGGACTGAGAGAGCTTTGTGTGAATGGTGTTGCAAAGGTGTTGTTGCCATTCTGTGCGTATTCTTTTGTTTGTGCCTCAGTTTCCCTTCTATTCCTGTGACGCCCTTCCCCCTTCTTCTTGGCCTGGATAACTTCTTTGGGGTTTGCAGGACATGGCCTATGTGTTGCCCTATTGAGGAACCCTTTCCTGATTCTTCACAGCTTCAGGCTGGATACCCTTCCTGGGGATTCCATAGGACTTTGTATTGTAATTAATTGCTTCTCTGCTTCTCTCATTCCTACCAGGTTTGTTCTTCCATGAGAGCAGGAACACACCTTTCTATGGAGGGCACCTGACTCAGTGCTCATCACAGAGTATGTACCCAGCAAATATGTATGAAAGAACAAATGAACTCAGGAGAGAAAGAACTTCTAATGCAAGCAGAATATCTTTGGTTACCAATGACTAAGAACTGTGCAATAGAAAATACTAGCCCTGAAGTTAAGAAGATGGCCCACTCAAAAGATCTGATCACACCAAACACCCAAAAGAGGATGCAGGTTGGTTGAGCAAAGATTTAGGGTTGGTACGAATTTTCTAGTTCTATCAGAACCTATCTCTAACTTTTAGCGTTTGTTCTAGTACAACACATTGAATACTACCCTCTTTATGGAGAATGGGCTCAGCAAGTTTTAACAAATCCTTTTGTCATTTTCAAAAATACCTGATTTCAAACACATCCTTAGTGTTATGATAAAATGTCTTATAATGAGAAAGACCTCATCTAATTATCATAGTTAAGATTCCTATATGTGGGAAAACCACAAAAGCATCCGTTTAAAGAAAGGTATGTGAGTATACTGGCTGTTACAGTTATTCTCATTCAAAACCATCCTCAGGGGTTTCTAAGTCTTGACAGGACAGTTTTGTTTTCCAAGTAGACGGTGCTTAGAAAAACTATGCATGAGGTAAAATTGTATGGAACTATTTACCCCCAAAATGCACTACTGATATAACTATTCTTGCATTGTTTTTGAACTATTTTCCCTATTTTTGAGCTATTTTCACAACTTCTTATGCATCCAAAATTTTTTCCAAATAAAAACTTTTTAGAAATACACCTTTGTGGTGAAACAATTATCCTATGTGTACAGATTAGGTAACTAGAGAAGTTATCCGGTTTCCTCAAGGTCATCATGCTGGAACAGGGCAGAAGAGGGGCTGAAATCCAGACCTGCTCACTGTCTCCCAAGATCATGCTTTTCCCATTTTAGCACACAACTTCCTTAAATCAGCTGAGTGTCCTCTAAGTATTTAATCAAATACTCATTGGACGCTTTCAAAAGCTTTAACCTTTTTCATGTTTTCTGTCAAATGGAATATGTCCCTTTACCAATACCAATACCACACACACACATACACACACATTCTCTCTAATACACATGTGTACACACACATATATACACTCCCAAACACGTGTGCACATACACGTGTTGGCACACACACACCTACTTTCATCTCCACCTTCACTGCCACCACTTCATGTAACCAGTGTCTATGAATGACTTAAAAGGAGAGATCTAGAACCAGAGGAAGTCAAAGTTGGCAATAAGAACTCTTTGGTGTGATTTTGGTTGAACAACCACACTCGCAGCTATGGTCGTGGCAAGATTTACATATTTGGAACTGAAATTGGCATAACAGTGGTGGGGAGAAAAACTGAGACTGAAGAAGGGTTTTTTTTTAGCAGTATGCAGTTCAGAAATGTGTTCTTCCATATGTTCTTTAGGTTAGGCCAATTTTTTCACTTTTAAGTTTAAAAATTATTCTATTTTTTTCCCTACCTCACAAGCTTAAGTAATTATCCTTTATAAAATTATATAATTTCCAAATTTTCCATGACAAAGTCAGACACCAAGTTTTCTCTGTACTTAGGACATTTCTATTTAGAAGAAGCATCTCCTGGGTCTGATACACCAGGAGACCAGTCCTCAATGTGTTCAGTGGTAATTGTTAACAGTCTCAAATCATTGATCATTGTTCTTTCAGAATGAGGCTTTGACAACGGAGAGAAACCACTTGGCAATGACAGTATACCTGCTTGATTATTTTTGTTTCCATATTCTCTTCTTCCAATCTCTACCTGAGGTCACAGAAGAATGTTCTAATTACATTAGAAAGTATTGACAATGCCCTTATACTTTACACAGCCTTTTTTTCCTTCAAAATGTCTAATGTACTTTTTCCTTTATGTAATTTGTCTAGGGAGACATAAAACCTTTGTATTCTGGAGATGAAAAATGAGAAAAAGAGATGCTGTCAGCCACCTAAGACAACATAGTTAGAGTCAGTAATAATACGAGAGAGAGAGTCAAGTATTAAACATCAGACTGCTATTGCTGAATATGACAATGAGACCATAGCATTATGCTTACATACCTCTTTATTTCTACTCCAGTATATCATACTCTGATTAGGAAGCATTCCAAAAGATCATCCCCTGATGTCTGTTATGACTGAATTGTATCCCCCAAAATTCATATGTTGACACCTTAACCCCCAATGTGACTGTATTTGGAGACAGAAGCTTGAAAGAGGTAACTAGGGTTAAATGAGGTCATGGGATGGAGCTCTGTTCCGGTAGTACTGGTGTCCTTATAAAAAGAGAAAGAAACACCAGAGACATACATGTGCACAAAAAAAAGGGTTATGTGATCACACACAGGAAGGCAGCCATCTGCAAGCCAAGGAGACAGGCCTTAGGAGAAACCAACCCTGCTGCCACCTTAATCTTGGACTTCTAGCCTCCTGAACTGTGGGAAAATAAATTTCTGTTGCTTAACACATTCAGTCCTTGGTATTTTGTTATGGGAGCCCTAGCAAACTAGTACAATATTCATGATTCTGCTGGAACCTAATATAGCATATTTGACTTTACTAACTTCAATGAATATTTGCTGTGCACTCAAAAGTTTCCCTGTCCTTTCAATCAACACATGTTAAGAACTCCTGGTGTAAGTGACATGTAGGATAACTTGGTTGGATAAGGTCTCATCCTTGCCCCATAGAGTTTTGAAGTCTGATAGAAAAAGCAAAAGTAAAATACATGAAGGAATTATTAAAATCTCTAAAATGGTTGTTCACACAGACTCACAAGACAGTGAAATTCTGTGATACAAATTTAGCATGTTCAGAGAAAGAAGGGCTCAGTAAGACAAGTCTCTTAATGTGGATTAACACAAATGGGGGCAACTTGTTCTGCAAAGGGCCACTTAAAAAACATTTTAGGCTCTTTGGGCCATGTGGTCTTTGTTGCAACTCTTCAACTCTGCCATTAAAAGCAGCCACAGACAATACATAAGGAAATGAGTGTCAAGTATTCCAATAAGGCTTTATTTTTGGACATTGAAATTCAAATTTTACATAACTGTCACATGTCATGAAATACTCTTCTCCTCTTGATTTATTTTAACCATTCAAAAATGTGAAAACCATTCTAAGCTCACCGGCCATACACAAATTAAGGGTAGGGTCAGATTTGCTCCACAGGCCATGATTTACTGACCCCTAGTATAACTCATTGCATTTCAAAATGGTTTCAGCGACAGATTTCTTTGTTCAAATGAAACTTGGCAATGAAGCACAATGAAGACAATGAATAAATTAACATGAGGAGGGAGAATGAAGCACCCTGTTTGGCTGTAACTGCACTTCCAGAGAAGCTCTGGAGCAACACTGATACAGTGGTTTAGGGATCAGAAAACCAGGCTTTTGTTCTGGTTCCCTTATGATTTGTAAAGACTTCATCAATTATTTAAATACAACACACTACCTTTTCCTGAATTTCAAAAGGAACATCTTTGACCACTTTTGCTCAAAACTTCTATTTTTTATGATGAGTATCAATAATTGATTCATGCAGTAGATTCTTATACCTGAGCTTTGGTTTAAAGCATGCTAGGGACAGCCAGCAAAGTGGAGTGCCCTTCCTCATCTCTGCTTATGTGACCCCTCTCCCTTTGAATGCCCTCCACTCTGAGGATGGATAGGCAAAGGGACAGGCTCCTCAGTGGCAGCCTTGGAGACATGATTTCTGAAGCCAAGCAGAATGGAAAATATTTGCCAAGACACTAGAACAAGAAAGTATTATTCCAGGAGAAAACAAGTACATTGTAGCTTAAGAAAGAAATGGAATTTGGGGAACTGAGAAAAATGAAACAATCAGTTTGGGATGCTATATATAGTAGGCTGCAATGACAAATAGGGTTGGATGGGTTGATGGGGATAGATCCTGGCAGGTCAAGAAAAGGAGACTGCTAGGTTTACATTTGATGTAATCAGGAGACAGAGGTGATAGCATGGCATGATCTAGTGATCAAGCAGCAGAAGGAGAGGCAATGTGGCAAAAAGTTTAAGAGTTCAGACTCTGAAACTATACTGCCTGGGTCAAGTCCCAGATTTTTCATTTGCTGGATGTGAGTTTGGGCAAATTATTTCCCATCTCAGTGTTTCTGTTTCCTCAAAAATATAAATAACAATAATATATCCTTCTTTGGTTCTTATGAGAATTAAATTGTTAACACTTATAAAATAACATGGAATAGTCCCTGAAATATAGTACCTGCTCAATAAAAGTTAGGCTATTGCTATTATATGCCAATGATTACATACACAAACACACACACATACACACCCACCCACACACACACACACAGCTTCTCTCAGATAGATATTTAGCAGGCAGTGTTACTATGGGAATGACAATAGGATTGGAAAGGATGCAGTCAAAAGAAGTTTCAAAGAATTATCCTTTTGACTCAATGATAGATTGAAGAAAATGATGCAATAAAAGATGGATCTAAAGTTTTATGCCTAGAAAACTAGGAAAAATGTGGTGGTGTTAACAAATGGAGCAGTTCTGAAAGAGATTTGTGAAGGAAGAGTTCTGTGGTTTCAGGTATCCTTTTTGAAGCGTTGAGAAATTCTTTAAAGATCATTCAAAGACATGAGACTGTAGTTTGTGCCAAAGTTTGGGCCATTGAAAACCATGGTTGAATTGTAAGAGGATATCCAATCATTAAGTCAAGAAAGGAAGCTAGAAGGGAATGGAGGCCTAAACCTTCCAAGAATGGCCAGAATTCGGAAATGGAAACAGAAAAAAAAGCCATGAAAGCAAACAAGAAGAGATCTGTCCAGAGAGGTGGTGGACAAACAGAAAGCTGTTGCATGTTGGAAGCCAGTGACAAGAAAATTTAAGGAAGAAGGAGATTTGATCAGTGAAGCAGTATCTATTGTGATACTATTAAAAAGAACGAGAACAAAAAAGACAATGCTGAATTTTTAAAGAAGAAAGTAACTGGATATCTTTAAAGCAACAGATTAAATAAATTTGTCAGGATAAAAATCATATTGCAGAAGGTCAACAGAGAATAGTGTAGGAAAGAAGAGTTAATGAAGATGGACAATTCAGTCCACTTTAAATAAATTAGAAATAGTAAGTAATTAGACAAGATGCTACCATTGAAGTTTCCCTACCTACTTCATAAGCACAGTCAGTAGGAAAGGTGTTGACAGCCTCACAGGATGACTAGACCATGGTGCCATTTTAAGAGACTGTCCATCATCTCCCATTATTAATCCATTCCTTCCTTAATACTAGAACTCTGATTTTCAGTAAGCATACTGTCAGGCAGACATACAGCTACATTTCCCAGCTTCCTGTGCATCTAATTGCAGCCATGGGACTCAGTTCTGGCTACTGATATGTAATCAGTGTGATGTTGTACTTCCAAGATGTCTTCTTAATAGAAAGGGTGCAAATCCCAAGCATGCCATTTGCCTGTTCTTCCACCCTGAGACAGATGGACTGCCTAGACATTCCAAAGTCATCTTGGAGCTCCTCAGGTGGGTGGAGTAGTGAAAGGAAGGAGCCTGGCTCCCTGATGCCATAACATCACTGGCATATACATTTCAACTTCCTTAATGTGAGAGAGAAATGAGTTTTCATCCTGTTTAAGCATGCATTATTTGAGCTATTTCTATTATCGGCCAAACCTAATCCTAACATTTAATCAATGATACTCAGGATGCTCCAGGGATGAGATAAAACAAATGGATAAAATAAACAGATTCACATAGCAATCTGAGCCTAATCCAGGCCCTTCTCTGTTTATAAATTAGAAGCAATATACATTCTGAAAAACCGGAGGAGACAGAAAGAATCTCTAGTGGTAGGGCTCTTCACCCAAGTGAGAGGCACACTCAAAAGAGGCGATTAAGAGAATGCAATGAAGATATTATTTATCTAACAATGCAGGGTTAAGCAAAGCCAACAGCACTAATGAAGCACCTTGGAACTAGCAAAGTGGGAAGCTGTGGGCACTCTCAGGCCTAAAGGCACTCGACAGAAGCTCTCACCTTCAGGAGGGATATGCAGCAACTATGTCCTGTTGGGGAGGGAGGCAAGGCAATGAGTACCCCGAGATCTCCTTATGCTCACTTGTCTCCTGCTGGGGACTCCCATTGGCAAATCCAACCAGAAGCAAAGAGCAGGGAGCCTGGTAACGCCAGTTCATAAGGTTCAGCCTAGCGAGGCACCAAGCAGGGAGAAGAAGTAGAACTGGAGGGGGAAAAGGAAAATATCCCGTTCAGGCATGATTCGAAGTGTGAAAATGGTGTGAAGACAGCTATGACAGAGAAAACTGAACGATATACAATGAGCAAATACATTGTTTGGAGCAGAACCTATGAAGAGGGAACGAGACAAAGGGAAGGACCCAGTATATTTAGCAGAGTCAAGAAGAAAATGGTTCTGTCCCTGAAGATCCAAAAAGTCAGATGATCATCTTAGCTAGTTGTTTCTAAACCATTCCCCTTCTACTTACGGGATCCATAGTAACAAGCGTCGACACTCAAAGTACAGAAAATACTTATCCTTCTAATAATGCATTTTAAATATCAAAGCCTGGGTGTCTCTGAATTTAAACCAGCCCTCTTTTTTCCTTTTTGTATCCAAAGGAAACCAAATATATTATCTACTATAGAGATATATTGAGATACATTTACATCATTTAGGGAGAGGAAGCTCCTTCTCATAACCATCCATGACTTGGAAAAAAAGAGGTTAAAATTGACAGATTCGGACTTCTCGTGTGGATACACATAGCACACTATTTCCTCACTTCCAAATAAATGTATTGACTGCCCACTGTGTATTTGGTGTTGCTCCATATTAAGTTATTATTAAACTTGGCAGAATCAGATGTAATAGAGTAATAAATATTTATAATTTTAAAGAAGATTATCTGAGAAAAGACTCAATAACCCTGAAGTTGGAGATTATAGTAATGGAAGCCAAATGTGGTAATCTTGCACATCAATAGCAAATGAAATCAAAACAACAACAAAATAACACCACATGTTATCTCTTTACTTCCAACATCTCTAGACCCTTGATATATGTTGCCTGAAGCAGAGCCACTCCTAGATTGTGTGGGGCTTTGTGTAATATTTGTCAGTGGGGACCCTGTCTATATAGATAACTTGATTTTTAAAATGCACTGCAAAATTCATGGGCCCATATGAGGCACAGTCACCCCTGGATGGGGAATTTCAAATCTCTTTATTGCAGGAAAAGGTAGCAATGCCAGGACTTTCTAGAATACACTTGTATTGAAACAATCTTGTTCTTACCTTTGCAGTTCCCAAGCACCATTAATGCAGTGCTGGTTACATCACTGCTAATGAACTGCATCATCCACTGTGTCCAGCACTCTAGTTGCCAATGACACTCTCAGTGGTTGTTACCCTGCTTCTTTGATACTGACCCCAAATGCAAGTCTTATCCAGAACACGTAGGAAAATGGCAATGCTGATTCATTTTCTATTCCTATTACATTTACCTTTCAGAATTTTCTAAGATCAGCTTCGAGCAACACATCCTCCAAAGTATGAGCTTTAGGCTACACTCACTGCATTCCTAAAATGAGATGTCTTTCAGTGTTTACCCCACCAGGCCACCAGCAGGAGGAACATGCACAGAGTGAGAAAAGCAATCAATCCACCCCCACACGGCCTAAGTAAGATGCACCTGGAAGGGCAATGTCACCATAGCCACTGCAGACAAGAGCAGCCAGCGAACTGAAGGGCCCTAGGGAGTTGGGTCTGGAAGGCCCTCAGAGAAAACAGAGGGCTGCCTGACACACAGTGTGCAGTCTTCAAAGGACAGGGCAACCGCCCTGCATGCGTTCTGTACCACCATGGGGGCTGTGGCCAACCCAGGAACCTCCCTCTCCCCTACACATGGCTCAAGCCCAAGTAAGAGCCCTGTGTCTTATTTAAATGAGAGTTACTTAAAATCAGCCTATTAGTCCCAATCTGGTGGCCCAATCTCCTGTGATCCAGGGAGCCGAGCGGATTGCCAGGCCACCCATCTAGAAACAGGGCCAGCCAAGGCACCCACCACTGGCCTGTGGTGTAGAGGGTTGAAGATCTCCTGGCAGAGGAGAAATTCAGCCAGGAACCCAGAGGGTCTGGTCCACTCTGGGGCCACCCTGTTATTCTGCAGAGACGGTGCTGTGGGACCTGCCCCTGCCCTCCCCTTTGGGACAAGAAGTTCCAGGAAGACATTCCAAACTCAGGCCTGGGGCAGGACCCTGCTTGCCCAGGTCTAACTGTGGGCGGGTCTGAAGCAGGTAAAGAATAAGTCTAGAACTAAACTCACAATAAACTCTTCTAGACATAGAAATGAGGGCACTTAAAGTGACTGTTTTTCCTAAACTTCTATGCACCCATTCATCCTAATGACCCTTTGAGAAACAAACACACTGGTTTGGGTGTTCCAGCAAAATCAAATCACATCTTCAAATTGAAGTTTCAGCACAATAAGCATAACTGTGGGAAAATCCATTCAATCTTTTCATTTAGAAATTCCCTCTTTGTCTTTCTAATGGCAACTTCCAGTGATGCTTCCACTGAATAATTGTACGCTTTAATGAAACACACACACACACACACAGACCCCTAAACAATGTTCTACACTTGTACGCTTGATCTTAGCCAAAAAGCCGAGAAGTAATCTCCACATCTGTAAAGGGAAAAAAGAAAAAGAAAAAAAGCATCCAGGTGTAAGAACCTACGTAAAATTCCAGGGTGGAGTTATGCAGGCTGAACTTCTCAGGCAAGCTAGAGCCTCAGATCTCGTTGAATAGGAACACTTAGCCGACTTGTTGAGCTAATCTACTATATGTAACCCTTAGTAAAGCAAAGTGAATGTGAGACTCATATCTCTAATATAAAGCATGGTACTTATACATAAATAAAAACATGTAGAACTGGGGCAATTATCTGTGTAAATAGAAGGGAAGAAAGCGCTATGGGAGGAACAAGGGGAGATTGACTATTTACACCCCTCAGTTTCACCCAATGATTACTCAGTTCTCCAGTGTGCTGTGAAAATGCAGTTTGAAATTAGTTATGGGCTGAGTAAATAGCTTTACCAATCTAGCCTCTGCAGAAATCCTAATATGCAGACATGACAAAATTGAAACTATCTGGGGAAGAGTTACAATGTGGGACTAGCTGTTGCTTAAGAATAGACAATTATGAGGCTGTGTCCTGGTCAGGAATGAAGCGCTGTATGATGGAGTTGAAAGGCCACTCATGGTAGACTTTAAATTGAGTTTACAACCAACTGGACTGCATACGGTTTTGCACTTTAATCAAGATCTCTTTACATTCCCTGCTTCTCATAGAAGGTCTTATGGGAAAATAGCGGAATGCAAGCCCAGAATATTTCATCAGCTGTTTTGTGCCAGACTGAATTTCTTCAGTTTATATTTAGAATACTTAGGTTGGCAAGAAGCACTGAAAAACATACACTGAAGTAGTTCTTGTATAAATTACAGTACATCAGTGTCACACAAATCACCAAAACTAAGAAATCCTAAGAATTTTATTTATAAGTTATACTTTTAAAAATAAAGAAAATGAAAACACTGAGAAACACAGAAGAATTTTCATGGTTGACTTCTCCCCTCTTTAAATTGACAAGAGATAAAAAGGCATCTCATTTTTTTAACTAATTAAAAAAATTAAAATGTGTCCATCTGTTTTTGCTGTATGGGTTGATTGCTTTTCTTTTCAGGATTTCTTCCTAGACTGAAAAAATAAAAATAAAAAAAACCCTTTGTTTGCTAAGTAGGAATGTAGCCCTTTAAGACATATTTTTTCATCACACTCCATGAAAGGGGATATCATAGCCTCCCTTATTTATTGGCAAATAGTCCTATATTTCATTTATGCTTTCAAGTGTTTCATTGGCAATCTGTGACAAACTGTAAAATTTGCCACCTCTCCCCAGAACAGCTTATGAAATCTGTCAGCTCTCTGTGTAATTTACATGAACCTTAATTATGAATCAGTGTTTCGTTATGAATAGAGGTGTTCGTCGTTAATGCCTTCACCGCTCAGTAAGCAACACCGCTATCGCCAAAAACAGTGTTCCTCTCCCACAGCACTTCCTTTTGGATGGCCACTTCTGTGGTTACAGACATTTTACTCAATCTGATGGTCAAGTTATAGGGAAATGATGCATGATCTAGGGACTTTTTACATTGCAAATAAGCAAGGATATTCTTACTGGAAAAATGAAAATCTCCTGAGACTGTTGGTGACTGACACTATATTTTATCTACACACTGAAACAACACACTTATCAAATGAAAGAGAAGAAGAAAAATTACAAGAGATTTGATCTTTTTTATAGCTTCTAATAGTAAAATACACTGTATGATTAATGAACCTGTCAGTTGTAATGGAAAGAATATGTAACAAGTAACTGTGCATTACTCGTTTGTGATTTTATCTTTTATAAATTCAGCCATGTGTAGTGTGATAAGATTAACTCTTTACAATTTTAAGGTAATGCTATAAAGTAAGTTGAAAACTGAGTCTGTTCTATTTTTGCCTTTCTGCCAATTGTTAATGTGACTTTTAAGAACACATTTCCGTCAATCGATAATTACTCAATCAGCAGCTTATTAAGTTTATATGTCAATAAATTTCATTACCAGGTGTTTGATGAAGGGGAAAAATGCTCTGGCATTCTTAGTGTATGCAACGGCTCCATGAGAAAAAATTATTTTTTAAATATGTTCTTTGCTAGATTTATTAGCCTATATAATATTCATAGAATTCAAGCCTAGACATACAACTACCATTACTCAGAAATATATGCACGGCTTAAGTTAGGAAGCATAGGTAGTGAGAATATCATCTTAGCATCAGATTTATTACAAAGAAAGAAAGAAAAAGAAATTTTTTAAAAAAGGAAGGAAAGGAGGAAGGGAGAGAGGGAAAGGGGGAGGAAGAAAGGAGGAAGGGAGAAAAGAAGATAGGGAGGGAGGCTGAGCACAGTGGCTCACGCCTGTAATCCCAACACTTTGGGAGGCCAAGGCAGGCGGATCACCTGAGGTCACGAGTTCAAGACCAGCCTGACCAAACTGGAGAAACCCTGTCTCTGCTAAAAATACAAAATTAGCCGGGCGTGATGGCGGGTGCCTGTAATCCTAGCTACTCGGGAGGCTGAGGCAGGAGAATCGCCTGAATCCGGGAAGTGGAGGTTGCAATGAGCCAAGATTGCGCCATTGCACTCCTGCCTGGGTAACAGAGTGAGACTCCATGTCAGAAAAAAGAAAGGGAGGGAAAGAAGGCAGAAAAGAAGGGGAGGGAAGGGCAAGGGAGGAAAGGGAAGAGAGGAATGGTTAGAGAAGGAAAGAGATAGTAAGGGAATAAAGACAAGCTCTAGCGGCAGTAGAATGCTCTGAGGAAAGGGGTTGAGAGAAGCGGTAGGTAAGAACAGTGTTATAATTGAGTCTCCATCTTCCTCTTTGCCTAAACTTACTGAGATGGAGCAAAGTATTCTCAATTACATCCTCTATGAAAAATACAAAACCTGTGTGAGCATCTCAACATTTAAGTGCAAACCTGATGATATTAGCGGCCAGGACCTGTGTGATTTGATGGTTGCCAGAAAACAAAAATGCCTCATGACTCTTCTGTTAGTCTGCCTGGGTTCCCTCCTTGCCCCTGGAAACCAGCCTGAAATCCCACTGCTTAGTTACCTTAACAGACTACAAAAGTAGGGTGCAAAGAGAGAAACGCCAAATTTAAAATGCATATATGTTAAAATGAGGGGAGAAGATGAAGACGAAGATCAAGACAAAGAAGAAAGAAGAGACATTTGTTGCGCTTACTACATTCCAAGTTTTGTGATAATAACATTATGTTTTGCCTCTTTAAATATTTTTGTAAAAAATAATGTTACTATTATTTGTATTCTCATTTTACTCATGAGAAACTGAGGCTGAGAGCAGATATATCACTAACTCAATGTCAGAGAGCCAATAAATAGCAATGATAAAGTCTGAACTTGCAAGGGCCATAATAGTCCTTAGCCAGAGTCTGCAAACTGAGACTCAAGAGAGGTATTGTTTCCCAGGGGAGAGACCACACCTGGAGAGGGTGGTTGGAAGTTTCATTTACAAAGTCAGCAAGAGGTCACAGGCCAGTGGGAAGACGAAGTAAAGACCCAAGTGGAGGGTGAAGAGGGATGGCACCGAGGTGCTGTAGATAAACCTCTCTTACCTCACCTTTCTCCTGCCACAAACTAATCACATCTATACAAAGTAACAGTTTAGGTTCTTCTTCCACGAAGGGGAATCCATTCCATATTTTTTCTGTAGAGCAACATACTAGAAAGGGGTCTGGTTGTAAAGAAAACAGCTGAGTTGTACCCTGGTGGGGCTTTCATGTGCCCTGCACAACTCTAGGGGATGCCAAATTGCAAAACCATATGTGAAGCCAGGTGCAGTGGCTCACGCCTGTAATCCCAATATTTTGGGAGGCCAAGGCGGGTGGATCACTTGAGGTCAGGAGTTCGAGACCACCCTGGCCAACATGGTGAAACCCTGTCTCTAGTAAAAACACACAAATTAGCTGAGCGTGGTGGTGCATGCTTGTAATTCCAGCTACTCAGGAGGCTAAGGCAAGAGAATCGCTTGAACCCAGGAGGTGGACAGAGGTTGCAGTGAGCCGAGATCATGCCACTGCACTCCCGCCAGGGCAACAGAGCAAGGTTCTGTCTCAAAAAAAAAACCACGTATGGCAGGACTTCTCACTGTTCAGATAAAGCTCTGCCCCCTTGGGGAATTTATGTAATTTTTCTGAACTCCACTTCCTCAGATGTAAAAAGGGATACAAATTTCCACCTCATGGTATTCTTATGAAAATTTAATGGGTATTACACCTGGCATAGAGGTTAGCAATCTGATTGTTGAGAGTCTGGTGTCTGGTTCAATGTTAAAGATCTGTAAAATAAAGAAGTATAAAGTAAGTTTAAAAGTGTGACTATTCCTACATATGTTCAATGCTTTACCAACTATAATTTGATATATACACACAACTGGCTAATCAATAGATGTTTTCACACTACTAGGGGAATCATTTCAGGTTATATTTTGGACAAGTATTGGGAAAAGGATTATGTCTGTGGGATCAGGGAAATTTTCTGAAATAAGATGAGATATAACTATTGGAGTGTTGTCAATTTATGGCAGGGTAGGCTGGAGAAGATTGAGAGTCATACGCAAATATTTTATTTTTTAAGTTTTGTATTTTTACTGGAGGGAATCAACTTATTACTTCACATTTCTCTTTTATTTTTATTTTTTAAACTTGTTTTTAGGTTCAGGGATACATATGAAGGTTTGTTATATAAGTAAATTCGTGTCACAGGGGTTTGTTGTACAAATTATTTCATCACCCAGGTACTAAGCCTAGCATCCACTAATTATTTTTTCTTATCCTCTCCCTCCTTCTACCCTTCTCCCTCAAGTAGGCTCCAATGTCTGTTTTCCCCTCTATGTGTCCCTAAGTTCTCATCATTTAGCTCCCATTTATAAGTAACAACATCTGGTATTTGGTTTTCTATTCCTATGTTAGTTTGCTAAGGATAATGTCCTTGAGCTCCATTTGTATTTCTGCAAAGGACATTATCTCATTTTTTATGGCTGCATAATATTCCATGGTGTTATATGTGCCACATTTTCTTTATCCAGTCTACATTGATGGGCATTGAGGTTGATTCCATGTCTTTACTATTGTGAATAGTGCTGCAATGAGCATATGCATGCATGTGTCTTTATGGTAGAATGATTTATATTCCTTTGGGTATATACCCAGTAATGGGATTGCTGAGTTGAATGGCAGTTCTGTTTTTAGGTCTTTGAGGAATTGCCGTAGTGCTTTGCACAATGGTTGAACTAATTTACACTCGACAAACAGTGTTTAAGTGATGAACCAATAATTTAAAGGCCAAAATCAGACAAGAGAACAATGAATTCATGTAAGAAACACCTATAGGAAGTAAGGAATACTCAACAGGAAAAAACAAAACCCAGGCTTTAGGGAGAATTACTGTTTCCCTGGATGAGTCATTGTATGCCAATCACAAACTTACAAAGTGTCATCTTGATTCTATTCAGAATTTGGAGAAAGAAGTGACTTAATAGCATGTTATTTCATTTAACAAAAAAATTACCTGGTATTTATGAGATTGTCTATATTGTTAAATTTTTGTGTGCATATATTTATTACTTATCTTATAAATCTACCTACTATGGTATCCAAAACTAAAGAATTTTGCCTGCCAAAAGAAAATTCCTAAGCCACAATCATAGATAATAATAACAATACTCTGTGGGATATTAATTTATAATCTAACTCAAGGTTAATTTCAACTGTCTAATTACTATGCTATCTGTGGTTTGAGTGCTAGAATTTTTCATGTTTAAGTAACCCATAGATTAGGGTTTGTCAGAGGTTATTATATCTGACAAATACTGTGAAGTTAAAGCTCTAAATTTGAACATGTAACTTATGACTGTATCATTTCCTGCAAGTTTATATGGAGACCACAGAAAGCACTGCCAGGAACAGTTGATTGGTGAATCATAGAATTCCTATGCCAAACATATACAAACAAGTAGAAACTTTATGTCTAAAGATAATTGGCCTTCCTTGAGATTTATTATTGCACCCCGTACTGAACCTGGCAACACAGGTGAGCTTTGTGACTGTACACTTCGAGATCATAACTTACCCTTAGTTGAAATCTTGACTCACAAAATAATTGTGCTTGGAATCTTTGTTGCAGCCTAATGAGTTACATATGGAATGCATGCAGTATCTTTTTACCTTCCAACTATCCAAGCAAAAATGAAACCACAGTTACATAAAAAATCATCCTTTTATTAAAACCCAAACGTTTTCAATTTGAGGTGGAAGCTCCCTTTAGGACAGACAATGCTAGAATCAAGTTTCTTTTGATGGTATTTCTTTCTCTTTTCCCTGCCTGCTTCCCATACTCCATGGCCGAAGATTCTATAATATTTTGTGCCCTTTTCTTACCTCTGTTTTGATAAGAAGTATACTTTTAAAATATTCATTAGTGAAAACATTTATTAGTGAAAATTGTTTTTCCTTAATTAACAGGTATATCCCTTGACAAGGAAAGAAATTATACTGGGCAAAAGTATCAGTTAATATTTAGTATCTCAAGATTTTTAGGAAGTTATACATTTTTAAAAAATTAGCTATTTTAAAGCTTTTTAAAGCTTTTCAACAACCTTTCAATTTCTACCATAGCTTTTCCTTTTTGAAAAGTCTTGTGTTTTTATTCTCTAAAATCCCTATTCATGTTTAGAAATAAGAGTAGCGTATTTGAAATAAGTTAATTTCTCAGTTTCCTAAGAGGCAGAGTACATATCCATTGAAACAGTCATTTTCTCAATAATTTTAACTAATCGTGGTCTACCAACTATAAACTTGATTTTATGTCTCTTCACAATTACCACCTGCTTTGAACATTATTCTTACTTAGATTGGGACAGAATTACAGAAAGTCAGAATCCTAGAATTTTAGTACTATATGTTACCAAAATCATTTTGTCTCTACTTAAGCAGCAGCATTTTCCATGATGAAAATAACACAATCAAACTATAGGTTGCATATATTTCTGAATATATTAAGTTGTCAAAATAAAGCAGTAAAAATTATGCTGAGTTTCCTCCCACAGAAATCTCCACACTCTTATAGCAGGCAACAGTTAATAAATTCTTTATATTTTAATTGGATTGATATTCCCAGATATAGAAATGAGTATGCTTTTGAAATAACAGCCAACCATGGGTTCCTAAACAAAATTTCCAGAGCCAGTAGAATCAATGTAGAAGGCCTGTTATTTTATGACCATTTAACTTACTACGTAGGATCTCCTTCAGAGAAGAAACTCAGTTTCAGGCTGATTCTCCTTTTAGGACACTAATATTGTCAAATTTCATCAAACTATATTAATATGAAATTACTTTTCAATTGGAACTAAAATCTAATAATTCTGGAATATTTCTTTTCTCTTTTTTTTCCTCCTCTGAATTTTCTAAATTGTCTTCAGTAACTATATATATACATATCTTTTGAGACATGTGTTAAAAGTTTTATTTTCTATTTTAAAGAAGCCAACAAGAGCCCTACAACTGCCTATAGGTAGATTTAGGGAAAGTTTGTCTCTCTCTGACATCATACACCAAACATAGTCTATCAAACTAATCCCTTTCGATGGTATACAATTAGCCTGATTCAAGGATTGTACTTTTAATTCTTAATTCTCAGACATTTAAGTTTGCAGTCAAGTTAAAAATTGCTACCATTTTGGTTATTTTTTTCACCAACATTTAAATGCCACTTTTACTCAAAGTGGAACCACAGGATTTGTAAAATAAAGGGCTGCTGGGCCATCATCATACCAGGGTTATCATGACCAGGACAGGACATGGAATATGTCTTGTAAGCCAGCACTGTTCAAAGCAAGCCAGACATGGGCACAGCCTTGCAACTAAAATTAATCTGATAAAAATGGAAGTGAGGAGGAAAGTTAAGAGTCATTGCAAGGGAATACTTCTCTTCCCAAGAGAGAAATCAGACACACAACCAAACCCAGACCTCTTAAAGGAGGCACTTCAAAAGTGAACATCTCTCTACTTCCTTCAGCGTTGCCCAGTCCTGCCATTCACACTGGCTAGGTCTGACAGCGATCCCACTGTCCTCCCTCTCTCTCGCACACAGCAATTAAAATTAAATTTGCAATAGAATATTTATTGACCTAAAAATATGTTCACGATATATGATTAGGAAGATTCCAAAGCATGTACACTACAATTTAAATCTGTAGAAAAATTATGTTAACACAAACATACATACATACACACATGGAAAAAATGTGGGACTACATATATTCATATAAATACATATATAGGTATTTTATATTTACATATACAGATGTTTATATTTGCATATTTATGCTAGGTGGTTAATTCATGTGGTGGGGTTACTGTCCATTTATATTGTCTTATTTTTGCTTTTCTATTTTTCACCCCAATAAACATTTGTCATGTGTAAAATTTTTCTAATAGTCAATTGTGAATTGACTCTCCTTTATCTAGAGGATAAAGTTTCAAACTTCTTAGCTCCCACAGAGATTCTCCAGGACCCATTCCTGACCACCTCACAGACTTCCCTTTCCCATCATGCTCCTTATGCGAGAGTCATTCTTTCCCCAACATGCCTGATCTTTCCTGTTCGAAGGCTTTTGCGTATTGTTACTTTTGCCTGGAGTGTGCTTTCTCTCCTTGTTATCTGGCAAGCTCCTATTCTCCACTCAAGCCCCAGAATTTCCCAGGCCTATCCCCTCTTTTGTTCCCCTCTTGACTTATACAACCTTCCACCAACATGCTAACCTACCATGACATTGTGAGTGGTCGGAAGCAGGGGCTACCTATTAGCCACCTTTGCTTCACAAGCCTCTGGTGAGAGACACTGAAGTATCAGATGAATGAATGAGTGAGTGAATGAGTGCGTGAGTAAATCTCATAGGGTTAAGCGGAAGGTTAGATGTGATGTTGCTTGGAAGGTGGAAAGCAGAGAGCCCAGAATACAGCGTTTGTGTGGTGAGTAGCGTCTGTCATCATCATGACTGTACGAAGCACGGCTGTCTGTTTTGCTTTGAGTGTTGGATCTCTGCATTGCTCATTCACCTCATTCAAGGCAAATGAATGATTACGTTCCATCAAATCAAAAATTCTGCTATGGGCCCTGCATACTGGGTGTTATTATTCTACAGCAACAAGATATCCAGGGCAAGGCAGCTAGAGAACAGGGGAGATCTGAAAGCTGATGATTTTTTTAAATGCAAAAGATTGAGGGCCTGAGGCTTTCATAGTTAGGTTACCATGAGTCAGAACAAGAAGAAGTTGCTCAAAAAAATGAAAAAGCGTTCTACCCAGCACTTCTGCACCCTTCCTTCAGGAAGAGTGCTGCTCTTCTCTGATAACGTTTGCCATTCACTTTTACTTTTAAAGCTACTATCCATGATCCACCTCATCCCCACTCCTTCATCTCTCTGTAAGGCTGGGCTATCTAGAGTACCTCAAAATAAATACTAACCATAGTTAAACATTGAAAGAAAACTTCACAGTAAAAGTAGAATGTCAACATATTAAAACTAAACTTGTAAAATGAGCTTTCACCTGGGAAGGATGGAAAGTTGGCTAATGTGAAACTTCAGAAGTTTCTCTCTTTGACTAAGAAAGCCACGGGTTCCAGGATGGTGTTCCTCACTTAAGACCCAGAGATATGTTACCAATTGGCATAATTTTAAAACAAGTATCAGCGATTACATGAATACTAATACAAAATACTTTCCCAAGATTATTTCTCTGTTTTGTCAGTAGGAACTTTAATTTTTTTAAATTTGTCTTTAGCCTTCTTATTTGCCACTGACTTTGGTAGCAGTTTACTTGGGGCCAGTCCAATTCTTTCAAGTCACTTACGTCAATATTTTTAGGTATAGGGATATTTTACATTTTCAAAAACACAGCTTTTCTGTATCAATTTTCTTAAATGTTCCACTATAATTTCTCCACTTTAATTAATTTTCATGTCCTTCATTATCCTTTTTTTCTTTTTCCTGGAATGGTGAGTATTCTGTAATATGCACAACAAAAAGAATTCTTTTATCTGGCATGTCATTCCACAATGGCTAGGTTCTAAAAAGCAAAAAGACTATAGGCTGTCTTATTACATCAATTATATCAATTATTTTTAACTAATTGGTTTTATAAAAAAGATCTCAATTAATCTAGAAAGATTGCCATCATATTCCTCACATGCTATATCTCAGACAGTTGGTACTTGTGGGTGTGGGCGATTGTTTTATGCAATTACTCATGTTGTGTTGCGAGCGTGCCCCATCACATCACTCTAATTAAGATTCTGACAACATATCCCTTTGGTTGTTGAAATGCTTATTGAACAATGTCAAGTGGTTGTTTTTTCAGACTAAATTCTAACATGAATAAAATACTCAAATCACACATCTGTTTAAAGTGAGATTCCAGTTCCAAAAATGGCTCTCAAGTTTCTATTTAAAAGCAAGAAAATAAAAGGCATGTATACACAGAGAGTTGTCCTCATTTGGACAGATACATAAGTAGGTATGTATGTAGGCATCACTTGAGGAGCACTAGACAGGGAGTGTTCACTTTGGAAATATCTGTACCTGGAATTTCACCATTAGAAATTAAATCATTTATATTCTGTGTTTCTATAAGCACAGAATGCTTTAGGGTCTTTAATGTCTCATTAAATCTTAAATATATTGGAAAGGGCAGTTCCTAATGGTTTCAACTACAGCATATGGAAGTTAACTGACAGATGGCAGAAGGACAGCCTATAGAAACGAGTTGCACATAGGTAACTGGTTGAGGGGATCATGAGGAACAGTAAGAATCTTGAAAAAGTAGCTAAGAGAACACCAAAGCCACCAGTGTTTGTCACTGAGAATGACTTCATCTGGATAGATGGCAACACCATTTTTAAGCCAGCTTGTTCTGCTGAAGATAGTGGAAATCTGCATTTAGAGATCTTGACCTAATCACTGAACACATAAAGGGCTTTGGTTTCAGAATTTTTACATATGCCAAAAAATATTCACAATGCAAAAATATCTTCATGCAAATACATTCAAATGTGTCAATACCAAACAACTTACCAGTAAGCATTTTTTGCTAAAGTGAGAACTTACAGAGAATACAACTGCGAGAACAACTTGGAGACATGCTGGATTAGAAATTAAGTATGTTTAATTGAATAATTAAGTAAATGGATGGCAGCTGGTGGGAGCCAGGTTCTCACTGTTGAAGTGGGAGTTAACAGATAAGCAAGGTAGGAGGCTACAATTACCCAAGTGGCAATGGATTAAAGTTGAGGACATCAGCATGAACTCATGCTTAGGTTAATATAGATACAGATGGGTACACATGGATATATTTATAGATACCGGTATATACACAAGTTAATATGTACACACATTATTTTCTTGCCCTGTAAGCTAAGAGGGCTCAGAATCAATGATACCCCAGAAGGAAGGAGCACACCAGCAGATCTGGAAGAGTCCAGATCTTGCTTTCTAATACCATTCTCGAATAAATGAACATAGAAGTATGTCAAAGCATCCTGGGAATCAACTGAAAGAGTTCCCAATGGCCAAATCTGGAACAATTTAAGCAACAAAATCGAACAATATAGAATTATAAGCTATGAAATAAATATTTGTATATGCATATTAATATAATCACAGTAATTAAATAAGTAAGTAAATAGGGGAGAAGAGACAGATTTCCAGATAATTTATGTGAATACTCTGGCCTCAAGGAGATGGAGCATAACTCCCCACTCCTTAAATGTGGGCTCAATATATCGACTTCCTTCCAAAAAGTACAGCCTGGAAAGGGAAAAAAATAGAATAACTTTATAGCAGAGAAACCTGACAAACACTATATGAGCCAGGAGATCAAAGTCAACAGCAACAGTGATTGGTCATGTTGACAATATGTACCCTTGATACGATGTGATAAATTGAAATAAGCCAGACACAGAAAGAAGAATACTGCATGACTCACCTATATACGGACTCCAAGAAAAAAGATGAATTCAAAAAATAGAGAGTAGAATGGTAGATACCAGGGATGGGGAGGAGGAAAAAAATGGGGAGAAGTAGGTCAACTTGCTATTATGTAAGATGAGTAAGTTTAGTGATCTCATGTGCTGCATGAGGACTGTGGGTAATAATACTGTATTGGATACTAAAAATGTGTAAAGAGTAGATTTTAGGTGCTCTTACCACACCACACACAAACACACACACACACACACACACACACAAAACTATAAAGGTGATGGATATATTAATTTGCCTGACCACAGTAATCATATCACTCTGTGTATGCATATGTGTGTGTGTGTGTGTGTGTGTGTGTGTGTGTGTGTATATATATATATATATATATATATATATATATATCAGAACCTCATATTGAATACCTTCAACACATACAATAAAAAAAGACTTAAAAATGGCATTTTATTTCTCTGATCTTCCTTCTGAAAACACATAAACCCAGACTAATCATAGGAATAGGACCAGACAAATACCAGTTAAAGCACATTCTACAGAATACCTGACCAAAAACTCCTCAAAACTGTCAGCTCATCAAAAATTAAGAAAAGTTTGATCACTTGTCATAGCCAAGAAGGACCTAGGAGATGCAATAACTAATGTGATTGTGGTAACCTGGAGGGGATGTTGGAAGAGAAAAAGAACCTTAGGTAAAAACTAAGGAAATTTGAATAAAATATAAACATAACAATGTATCAATATTGTCCATTAGTTGTTAACAAATGTACCATACTACCGCAAGCTGTTATTATTCATTGGGGAAACTGGGTGAAGGGTATATGGCAGTTCTGTACTCTCTTTTCAATTTTATGAAGATCTAAATCTGTTCTAAAGCAATGTTTTTCAAAAAATGTAATATGGTTACTTTAGGTTGAGTGCTTGACACCAATTTAATCATAAACTCATGTGTGTTGAAATCACAGTTGTGCTCTATAATACCCATATTATAGATGACCCAGAATAGTTCAGTGTTTAGATATTCACTGAGATAGAAGCACAGCATATTTAAAACTTTCATTCGGGACTCTCAGATCACCACAGAAACCTTCTATGATCCCCTGATAGATTCTAGTTTCTGGAATTTGGTTCAAGGACCTCTGTGCACTCAGCCCTTAGGCACACACCAATGAAGAGAAGGCCAATCACTTTAGAGGCTTCTGTTCCATCTCCACTGAGAGCAATTGGCTTTCATCTCCCAAATAACAATTTGTGATTGTGATTGACCTGTAGATAGGTTATATATATATATGTAATCATGTGTATGAAGAACTATAGTGATTGCCTGCTGTCTATTGATTAGTAATTGATGGTTTTAATACCTAAGACTCAAGTTTGGTGCTGCAGTGTCTAACATGTGTGGCTCACTTAGATACAGTGAAAAAGCACATGCTCTGTGCAATTGGCAGACCTGAATTCAAATCTTCAAACTTTTGTCTGGCAGCTTAATAGTGCAAATTATTGAAACTTTCCAAACTACGTTTTCCCACCTGTAAAGGGTACTATGATAATACGTCAGGCAGGCTTATCTGATTTGCCTGATATGTTATCATGCTACCCTTTACAGGTGGGAAATCAGACCATATATAGAAACACACAAAGCACACATACATATACATATAGATAAACAGGTAGGTAGGTAGGTAGATAGATACAATGTAACTAGGACATTGGAAATACTCAAGTAAAAGGTTGCTAACATTATTACTCTTCATGAGATTCTCTGGAGGCTCTATCCACTGGCATACTTCAACTCTAATTCCTCCCAGGTCCCATCACAAAATACAAGCCTCGTTGGTGTACCGAAAGCTGGGTTTTGGTAAGCATTATATAATTCCTCCATGCCTTTTGCTGGGTAGCAGATTTTAAAGCTCCCCAGGCAATTCAATGAGCCATTGTACTTGATCAAAGGTCTTTGCAATTTCCCACCAGTGTGGAGCTACTCTCATTCTGGGACAGGGTACCATCAGCCAACACTAAGCATCTCAATTCCTCTATAGAGAGGCTATACTGACAATAAAATGATACCTTCCTGGGAAGGATGCCAGTATTTTTGGTACCTTTGCAACTCAAAAGGCAAACAAATGGTCAGTGTCATCTTAGAGGGTATTGAAATAAAACAAATCCTGGTGCATTTGTGCCTGTGAAATTTCACATAGTTCTAGTGGCCACAATTCAAGAACAGTAAAATGGAGCTGGAAAATGTGTGAAAAATAGGAATTCAAATGTTCAAGTGAAAAACCGAGATTTTAGGCCAGACACATTAGATTACTGAAGTCAAAATAGTTTCATTTTTTAAGCATTCATCTCAGATATTCTCGGAGGATAGATTCCAGGGACTGTTGCTACAGTGAAATGCCATTAGAGGTTCAAATAATAGAGCATAAATACATTCATTAATAACAGATACATTATGCTCTTTGTATCCAGTTATTTTCAGGTACACGAAAAAAAGTCTTTATGGATTTTTTTGTTGTTGTTGCTATGCTTCTTAATCCTAATTTAACTACATGGTCACATTGAAGCCACTTAATTACTGTGTTTCCACTCAACACATCTCTATTCCCTAACCTCCCAAGTGGTATATTAATAGACTCTTATAAACAGAATTTCTACTGACTTCCATTAATGTTGAATATTTATTTTCATTGTAACTAAATACTATAAAATATTAAAAGGAACACCACGTAAGAAATACAGACATTTCTCTATCTTTTTTTTTGCAGGCATAAGTACACATAATAAGTTGCACAAAAATAGCTTCATCTCCAGAGAGTTAACATCACTACCTCACCCTTATGGTACATATAGAATACTTTGGGGATGAATTTTATTTTTCAGTATTATTTCACTCCTACACTCTCTACAGAAGGCAAAGAAATGCCTGCTTTCAGAGCTGATGAGATCAGCCTCACAATATCACTGAAGAAAGAGTCTTCCTTTCAAGGGGCTTGTGCAACACTATTACAAAATTCTGTTCTTAGAGATAGATTATCTTAAGGTATATTTCTCAAACACTGAGCATTTGAAGGCTCTAGCTTTGCTAATGAGTATTCATGGCAAGAAGGAAAGGGGTAGATCCCATGGCTTTAGTGGAGAAGCTAAATGCTGAGAAACAGCTCTTTCCTCCTTGGATTCCATCTCCTTAGAATACATTAGTCCCTTGATGTGGCTGGATTTCAATAGGACGTACAATCCTACTAGAAGTGAGTCACAGTACTAATGACTTAACAAATGTCTACCAACTGAGAGGAGTACATGGAAAGAGCCAGTGAGTAGAAGGAAGTACTTTTCTATCTTAATATTTATTCACTCTTCAAACATTCCTTGAGTGCCTACTCGGCCACACACTTTGCTTAGGCACCGGAAACACACCATAACTTTTATAAGTTTGATTCCCCCACATTAATTAGAATGAAATAATATTGAAACTGTGCTTTGTAATGTTTAATTTGTCATTACTGCAGCAGATTTCCTCCATCTTGTTATGAAGATCCACCCTTAACTGCAGTCAACAAACAAGCTCTCTGCTCAGCCAGAGCCAGAGGTGCTCTCAGTTTGTCTTTGCAAGACGTTCCTAGCAGAAAATCGCAGCAAGGAGAGCTGGCAATGAGTCTAGAGAGCACCTGGAAAATTCCCTCTTCCTACTGGGATGCATTTGTTAAGTGGGGTGCACCCCCACTTGCAGAGAAACTCACCCTGGTTTGAATCCAGTCTCTGTGTGACCATGGGTTTCTCAGCTCCCTGATACAGAAAACAGCAGGTATGCACAACAGTCACTGCTCACCGTTCCCGGAAAAAGAATTAGGATTAGGATTATGGGAGAAAATTTACAGAGCATAGCACGTGGTCACACCAATTAGTGTTCTCAGGCAACATTATTATATCATTGTGCTATCATTATTTTCATATTTCTGTAATATTATTATCATTATAGCATTATTATAATTAGTGAGTAGCAGAAGACTGAAGAGTTTGAGAGAAGAGATTCCGAAGCCATATTGCCTGAATTATAATCCCATGTCTCCCAGTACCAGTAAATTACTTAACTGTCCTCTGCCTCAGTTTCCCCATCATGCATAGAGAGATAATATTAATACTGCTACAGGGTTATATGAGGATTAATCTAGTTTAAACTGTCAAAAAAAAAAGCACTTGAAACAGTGCCTGGCATACAATGAACTCTATTTAGTGTTTGCATTATTACTAAATAATAATAATGATTATTTACAGATTTGGAAACTGAGGCTTCCTTAGGGGAAGGGACTTCGAAAAACTCACAGAGTTGACACTTAGAGCCAGAGTTCACAGACCTTTTTTTTTCTCATTAAGTAATAGAAATACAAACATGGAAAACAAAATATACAGCAATATGTATTTTATAGTACCTTTCCTTCAGGTGCTACTTTTCTATCAAATTGTACTATTTCTCTTAAAAATGAGTTTTTAAAAATGAAGCTCAAACTATTGCAAGGACAGAAAGCAAACTCCGCATGTTCTCCCTCATAGGTGGGAATTGAACAATGAGAACACTTGGACACAGGAAGGGGAACATCACACACCGGGGCCTGTCGTGGGGTGGGGGGAAGGGGGAGGGATAGCATTAGGAGATATACTTAATGTAAGTGACAAGTTAATGGGTGCAGCACACCAACATGGCACATGTATACATATGTAACAAACCTGAACGTTGTGCACATGCACCCTAGAACTTAAAGTATAATAAAAAAAAGATTTAAAAAAATGAAACTCAAAATGAGGAAAAATCAAGGCATCCAGGGACATATGATTTATTTAAAATGACAAAAGAGATGATCGATTAATTTCACATAGCTCTGAACTCCTCTGCTTCTATTTCCACCCTGGTTCCTTACCACCACCAGTGTATTTAGCAGAACTTCACGATTCACTTAAAGGTTGGTTGAAACACTGGCTTATGGAGAACCTTTCCCCCAAATCCCATTCAGATTCAAATGCTTCTTTTTCATTTCCACATGCTTTGCTTACAGTAACACTTCACTGTGCATCTCCCTGCAGATATTTTGCATCCGCCTTTTCTCTGATCAGAACAAGCATCTGCCCTGTGATGACAAACTCTCCACGAGTCCTGGGCTAATGGCTACGTGCTGTTACATCCAGAGGATATACCCTAATTTCCTCGATCACTTCTCTGATGTTGAACATCTAGTTTTCCATTTTTCGTTTCACTATTATAAACAACATAATGAATGTCCAAACAATACCATGAATTGTCCAAACAATTTTTGGAAATTGGAGACTTTAAAACATTAATGTACGTGAGTTCGTTGTTGTTTTTGCAGTGAGTCATCATCCCTGTTTGTGTCTCACCTTTCCAGGTGGTCATTTGACGAACTTATTTTGCCAAAACAACACTCACACACAGACACGGCAAATTGTTGTATTTATGACTTTTTTTCATGTTTGACTTTATAGTGGCAATGTGGAACATAATAAAACAATTGTGATAGTGCTTTGAAATGGCATAAAGAATTATACCAAAAATTATGATGTTAATCATCTGAGGTGACAAAATATTTTCACTCTTCTTCCATTTTTTCTTTCAGTTTGTTTCATTTTTAGCTACCGGGAAAGGACCATATGTCTCTCAATGTTTTTTTTTTTGCCTTCTTAAGTGAAATTTTTCTTGAAAAATAGGCCAATAAATGGGCAAAAAAGTTTGTCTTGAAAAGTATACCAATTTTCTTAAAACTCCAATTTCCAAGTTATTTCTCTTAAGGTTTACTCAGCAGTATTTTACTTCTCCCACCTAGTTGTAGCTTACAAAGTATATAATAAAAAATGGAAATATCTGTTTATGACTCATTTATTTATAGTCTTGCTACTTTTAATGGAGCCTTTGAATCTAGGCCACACAATAGTTTTGCAGAGAAATCCCTTTGTATTTCTTGGAAAAAATGCTTTGTTAAAACCTATTCAGATGTGTGTTTAGAAACTAAATACTAAGAAAATAAAAATAGGGTTTTTTTTTCTAAAAATGTAATCTGTGCCAGAGGCCCAGCTGCAAACCATCCATAAAATTTTAGTCTGCTAATAAATAATCCAGTGACATTTAGATTAATCAGTCTACCAGAAAGGGGAAGATAGCAACAATACTTACGGGAAATTTTTTAAAGTATTTTTAAAAGAAGACAAAGAAGCTAGCTACTAAGAAACATAAGGGAAAAAAGTATTAAAATGTTTAAGAAAAGAGAGAAAGCAGAAAGTAAAGAAACCTAAAGGCAAAAAGTTTTCCCTTAATGGTTGTACATAGAAAGTTGTCAGGTTTCTCTTATTAGAGGGAAAAAGGAAGTAAATTTTAAAAGGAAAACTTCTTAACAGAAAAAAAAAAATCCATGGAATAGTTTATTACCCATAGATGCTAATAGAAGCTATTGAAGATTTATCTAAGCTGAGAAAAATATACAGTAAGCCAAGTTTATTCAATCTTTGTGGGAAAATAAATCTAAACAAATCCAATTTAACTAACAAGATTCCACCATTAGTGGCCAGGTGCGGTGGCTCATGCCTGTAATCCCAGCGCTTTGGGAGGTAGAGGCGGGCGGATCATCTGAGGTCAGGAGTTTGAGACCAGCCTGGCCAACATGGTGAAACCCTGTCTCTACAAAGACTACAAAAAATTAGCTGGGTGTGGTGGTGTGCTCCTGTAGTCCCAGCTAGTTGGGAGGCTGAGGCAGGAGAATCGCTTGAACCCAGGAGGCGGAGGTTGCAATGAGCCAAGATCGTGCCACTGCACTCTAGCCTGGGCAACAGAGCAAGACTCTGTATTTAAAAAAAAAAAAAACAAAGTTCGTCATTAGTAAAATGGATATCTAACTGTACCTGGGTTCTTTTTTTTCTTTATATTATACTCCAGTTTGGATATTCTCATTTTAAATACCATAAATGAATAATTTTAGCAAAGGTCATTTTGTTATTTGAATAAAATACTACTTTATAGAGAGTTAACAATCAAAAGTACATGCTAAAGTTTTTGACTCAACTAATTATGCATGCCTAAATAAGCCTCTTGGTTAGAACCCTGAATACTTAACCAGGCAGCACCATCCACATGATGTCAGTTTGCTACATTGCCACCTTAGGAGGAAATATATACCAGATTGTTGGCCATGCACATTTGAACCAATGAAGAAATAACAAATATTTAAAATTCCATAAACTACTTGCTTCAGGTGGCCCCATTTGTTATCCATCTTCACAAGGAAAAAAATAATAATAATATCTGCTACTATACATCAGCTGAAAGAGCCATACCAGTCAGAAGAAAATATAACCAGCTGAAGATTTCCAACCAGGAGACTGAAGAAATCAAGTATGAACCATCAGATGGTAATTTGGTAACCACAGGAGTGGAGTCTCTAGTGTTCACATTCTCTTAGACATATGTCACATGACACCAACTTGGCATTGCAGACACTGTTCTGCTTATTTATTTGATATGAGATGAGTTGATTTTACTGGACCATATCTCTTCATACATGCAGAATTCCCACTGAAGTAAAGAACCCTTCTGTTTACCATTGAAGTTTATCATCATTCTGTTTATTATAATGAAGTAAATGGGAGCTCTGTGCACACAAGGAATGAGGCAGCCAGCAAAATCAAGCCCTAAATACTAGAAATCTGGATAGAGGCCAAGGATGAACTGGCATGAAAATGGAATTACCATCTTGCCTCTACAGCTGGTCTCTTCAAACGGAATGGGAGAATATGGCAGGATGCGCTGCAGAAATGGTACCTCTGCACCGCATTTAGTCTCTGGGCAAACAGAGGACCGGAATGCGTGGTTGTCAATCTGCCACTGGATCCATGGGACCACTTTCATCAACCCTTTATGAAAGTAATTAATCTAAGGGAAAATGAAAGTGAAGCAAAGTTATCTTGGAAGTAAAAAAAGAAATTCATCTTGTAACGAAATGGTAGGTTCAATAATTTGAAAGGAAACAGTGGCTGAAGAAATGAGCTCAGCCACATTACAGCATGAGGTTCCCTCTGACCCACCCACACCCACCACAAACACTCATTTTCTGAAGGGCAAGATTGTCTCAGGTCTTATCGGCACTAACTGCATTACGAAGGCACACAGAATACAATCACATCTCTCCCCTTCATAATGTAGATGTTGTCTTTTTAAAGCAAGCTTGATTATATTCTGAATAGGTCAGTCTGTGTGCCTGACATTTCTCCTCAGTTTCCTGTGACCTTTTAATAAGAATGACTTGGTTTTGCACTGCAGAAAATGGAACTGTCCCTTTTCAATCAGTGAATATGAGAAGCACAGTGTGAACATATCACATTTTCTGTACTGCATTATTACTCATACGACAACAAAGTCCATGAAACCCTATCTTTCTTCAAAAGCATGTGTCCTATTTGGCTTTAATTTTGCCTTCTTCTGCTGCTCATTCACCTACATTTGTAAATATTTAAACCAATGTGCAGTCACATTTGCTCAGAGAAAGTAACAAATTAATAAATTCTCTGTTGAACAAATCTGACTTTTATAATGTATGCTTAAACAGATATCATCTTTGAATAGTATGGCAGAGAATTATTAACATGGACCTTCCATGGTTATAGAAAGACAATTATCAACAGTAATCCAATTTCTAACATTTCAGAATTGTTGCTCTTAAGTTTCAGTGACAGAGGATTCAACCAGACAGATCATCAGTGCTCAGACAAACACAAGAACGGTCTCCAGCCTGCCTATGCGATGCTGTAACTGCAACGTCACGGGGCCCAGCCTCCCGACTCTTCACAGGAATACTGGTAAGTCTGTGAAACTCACAATAGGTAGCCCTTATGCACAACCCTAGAAATGCAGGGTCACACTGCTGAATTCACATGTGCTGGAAAGGAATGTGTACAAGTTTTATTCCCACAACTGAACTGGGTTTCCTAATGCAGAAATTACATGTGACCAATTACACAAAGGTAAGCACAGAAATGGTAACTAACCTGGTGTGATATGAGCAGGAGCACCAACCATTAAAGGACACCTGAGAAGTTGAACTGGGAAGTGAAACAGAAATATATATTTAGCACTCATGGCAGCAAGACACGTGGGAGACACTGAGCCGTACACTCAAGAATTCTGCAAGGATGACCTCTGTCCTTGCAGAGGTAGAAAGGAATCAGACCTTCAATAACTAAGGACCCTAAGAAGAATATAATTGCAAGGTGAGGTATGCGATATAAAGAACATAACTAGAATGCATTGGTAGAGACAAATGAATTTAGATAGGAGTTGACAAACTTGCTATAATAGGCAAGACAGTGAATATTTGGGAGTTTGGAGACCACATTTCATGTCTACTGCATATTTTTTCTACAACTCTTTAGAAGCATAGAAATGATTTTTACTTAGTTCAAGGGTCTTACAAAAACAAGGCAAAGGCCAAAACCAGTTTGTGGGCCATAGTTTGCCAACCCCTAATGACAAAAGAGGAAGATAAGAACCGGAGAACAATTATGCACAAAAGCTCCAAGGTGCAAAATCAAAGCCAGTCCAGGTGATGTGTTCACCTCGGAAAGGAGGAGAGAGGGAGGGAGCCGAGGCTGGGTGCTGGGGAGGTGCGTGTGCTGGGCTTCACTGGTGCCAGTGAGGGATATAAACATCATTCTAAAGGCAGAGAGCCACTGAATAGTTTTGAGCAAGGGAAATAATTTAATCCAATTTATGTTGTTAAAAGGCCAGTTTCCCTCCTGTGTACAAAATTAGCATGAGTTTTATATAGAGAGTGACGCCCAGAAGGTGCCACTGGTGAGAGGGAAATCAGGAGAGGGCGAGCAGGCAGGATGGAGTGGTGCGGGCTGAGAACAGGAGATGGATGAGCGCCTGTTCCTTCCTTCGCGAGGCTCTGTCGTGCCTCCTCCCTGCATGCAGGCTAAAGGTATCTTCCATCTGGCTGCTTCTAAGGCTCTTCTAGTAGGGTTATTGCTCCTGGACATTATTTTGTATTCTTTTAATTTCCAAGAACCCAATTTTGAGCTTAAAAAATATTCATTTTCTCTAATGTGGTTGTTCAATCAACAATATTTTTTAAAGTATGAATGCGTCTACTTAGAGGAAACTCTTCAGGGATTTTCTGGCTGAAAATGGGGATGGAAGAACAAAAACAAGTACCTGGAGCCAAGGAGAAAGGCTGTAGTATAAAAGGGTCGGCAGGAAAGAGTTATGAGATCATAGGTGTCCTCCTTTTCCCCATGTTTTCCCCTCTTCTAGAAAGGGGAGTAAACTTAATTCGATGTGCTTGGACATAGAGGGCACGGAAATCAATTGTTTACTTTCTCCAGGATGTGATTCACCTTTTCTAGTCTCACACATTCCCTGCCTCGTCCGGAGACTTAGCACGCTCCTGCCAAAGTCCCCCCTCCTATAAAATTGCCCTCAGGACTCACCTTTTTTGCGATGCTTCCACAGGAAAAAAGAAACCCTTGCCTGCTTTATCTGGTGATTGCATATGTGCGCATATGTGCTCGGGACCTCCTGGATTCAGACTTTCTTCTTGGCTCCGGGTACTTGTTTCTGTTCTTCAAACCCCATTCTCAGCCAGGAGCACTCACACATTCCAGGACAACGTCTACTTAATGAAGTTTTCCCGAAAAGGGTTGCCCAAGGTGATACTAAGGAGAGTATCAGAAGTAGGGTCAGCCACATAAAAACAAACACTACCAATGTGATATAACTCAAATATCACAAAGGGAAAACTTCCCAAAATGTGTCCCCTAATCACCTATTAAGGGCTTCAGAAATTCCCACCACTTCTTTAGGTCAAGCCAACAATTTTTAAAGTATCTTACACAGAATACTATTCTCCTAAAAGGCTCTATTTAAAAAAATAAAACCAGCTAGATGTGGTCAAATATATTTGGGGTATCTTATATGTTAACTTTGTCTCTTGGAAACCAGTGAAGCAGATTAACACGTTAAAGACTCTGACCCTCTTAAAGTTGACACAGACCAACTGTTTGCAGTTCTTTGACCACAGAGTCTATTTTTCTTCTAACACAGACTAGTTCCTCAAAACACTTTGGGCAATGCTAACTTCAGGTGCTTCCCCCAGCAGGTCTAGCATAGAGAGTTGTGGGGAGAAAGCAGCCATTTCTTGAGTGGTGTGACTCATTAACACTCAACCCCATGTCAAATTAGCTCCTTGCACAAAGAAGGTAACTCGGGATTGGGGATGGGGGAAGCAGAACAGCGTGCCCAGCCTTGGGCCATTTCCTGGGAAGGGTTGGCAGAGCCATTCGAGAGTCAGCTCATGGCCATGCCCATATAAAGCCCAATCCCTCACCACTAGGCATTGTTGGAAAGTGAATGGGCTGCAGAGCAAGACACAACTCATGGCAGAATGGGTGTCTCAGCGTCAAAGAACAGGCTCTTTGCCTCAGACAGGGTTGAATTAAAATCCAGGCCTTTTTTTTTCTTTTTCCAGCTGTGTGGGTTGCCCAGTAAGTTCTGGATTCTTCAGCTGTAAAATGGGGTTAATGATATTAATGTAGGATTGGTGAAAGCATAAAGTTAATTTTCTCAAAGTAACTAATATATTATGATGAATAGGAAAGACTATATAAATGGAATATCTGAGAGAACTTTAGAAAGTGGTTTCAAGGACTATACTTAAATTTAGTCACAATTATCACTTTTCATCTCAGATTCAAATCTTCCCTCGTGCAAATTTAAATCAAGTATTAATTTTCTTCAATTATATTCTAACCTAAATATATGTTTAGCTCATATACCTTATTTTCATTATGATAGGAAAATATCTAATGATGCATAATTTTAGAGAAATAAATAACAATTACTGATGGAACTAAAAATGATGAACTTCTGGTCCAATGATACATGGGTGGGTACTGGCTTATGTTAATTTCAAAATTATGTATGCATTTCTTAAACATAAGGCTTTTCCATTAGACGTACCTCCTAATTAGTTTTGTTTTACTTGTATATTTATTTCATCAGTAGGCAAAGGATGATTTTTTTTTATATCAACTTAGCCTTAAGATAGAAAGTGACTCAGTTTGGGCAAGGAAGAAATAAAATGCCTGGTGGATAGTCACCAGAATTCTGCAGCTGCCCAAAATACTCTTAAAAATCAGCTGTGCTTACCATCTTTAATTTTGACGGTGAAATGTTTTTGGCCCAGATAACACAGTATTTGCTACACAAAAGCAAATCAAAACACATCTACCCATGTAAATGTCATGAAGGAAGGCAAATTATACGGAGGTGTTTTGTTCATATGTCTAACTACAGGCAGCTTAAATTGAAAAGAATCTCATTATCTCAGGCCTACCATATGTATATGTGCATATAAGTAGAAGGAAAACAAACTCAAAATATAGCCTCAGCTGGTAGGATTGTGAGAACCAGTCCAAGCACTCTAAATGAAATGTTGCATATTAGATTTAATCTTTCTGACACACATACTCCAGCAACCTTCAGGTCAAGAGAGGATAAGGGCACTGGCATTTTTTACACTCACAATTTATTAAAAATTAAAGAAATCTCAAAACAATATTACAAAAGTTGTAGTATAATTTAAACGTTTCCACTTAACAAATTAACATTTTAACTTAAAAATCCAATGCCATATAAATGTGCTTTTCATGCGATAATTATAAAAAAAATTACTGCAAATGGGGTGTCTAGTAATAGGAAAAGAGAATAAAGCTCTATGATTAACATTTTCTTTCATTTATGTCAGAGTTTCTCTGTAATAATGTGTACACCATCACTTGGTAATAACATCAAATATCCAAATGTAACGCATTTGAACAAGCAAAAAAAAAACGACCCCATTAAAAAATGGGCAAAAGACATGAACAGACACTTCTCAAAAGAAGACATTCAAGCAGCCAACAAACATGAAAAAATTCTCATCATTAATTATCAGAGAAATGCAATAAAAACCATCATGAGATACCACCTCACACCAGTCAGGATGGCTGTTATTAAAAAGTGAAAAAACAATAGATGTCAGTGAGGTTGTGGAGAAAAAGAAACACTTATACACTGTTAGTGGAAATGTAAGTTAGTTCAGCCACTGTAGAAAGCATTTTGGAGATTTCTCACAGAACTTAAAACAGAACTATCATTTGACCCAGCAATCCCATTACTGGGTATATGTCCAAAAGAAAACAAATAACTCTACCAAAAAGACACATTCACTAGTATGTTCATTGTAACACTACTCACAATAGCAAAGAAAATCTAGGTGCCCATCAACAGTGGATTGGATAAAGAAAATATGGTACATATACACCAATGAATACTATGCAGCCATTAAAAAAAACAAAATCCTGTCTTCTGCAGCAACATGGATGCAGCTGGCAGCCATTATCCTAAGCAAATTAATGCAGGAACGGAAAACCAAATACTGCATGTTAGATACTCATGGACATAAAAATGAGAGCAATAAACACTAAGGACTATGGGGGGGTGTATGGATGGAGAGAAGCAAGGGTTTAAAAAATAACTGTTGGGGACATATGCAAAAATACTCATCATCGCTTGTCATTAGAGAAATGCAAATCAAAACCACAATGAGATTTCATCTCACGCCAGTTAGAATGGCGATCATTAAAAAGTCAGGAAACAACAGATGCTGGAGAGGATGTGGAGAAATAGGAAAGCTTTTACATTGTTGGTGGGAGTGTAAATTAGTTCAACCATTGTGGAAGACAGTGTGGCGATTCCTCAAGGATCTAGAACTAGAAATACCATTTGACCCAGCAATTCCATTATTGGGTATATACCCAAAGGATTATAAATCATTCTACTATAAAGATACATGCACATGTGTGTTTATTGTGGCACTATTCACAATAGCAAAGACTTGGAACCAACCCAAATGTCCATCAGTAATAGAACGGATAAAGAAAATATGGCACATATAGACCATGGAATACTGTGCAGCCATGTAAAAGGATGAGTTAATGTCCTTTGCAGGGACATGGATGAAGCTGGAAACCATCATTCTCGGCAAACTGTCACAAGGACAGAAAACCAAACATGGCATGTTCTCACTCATAAGTGGGAGCTAAACAATGAGAACACATGGACACAGAGAGGGGAACATCACACACTGGGGCCTGTTGGGGAGTGGGGGTCTGGGGGAGGGATAGCATTAGGAGAAACACCTAATGTAAATGATGAGTTGACAGGTGCAGCAAACCAACATGGCACATGTATACCTATGTAACAAACTTGCATGCTGTGCACATGTACCCCGGAACTTAAATTATCATTAAAAAATAAATAAGTAAATAAATAAAATAACTGTTGGCTACTATGCTCAGTACCTCAGTGATGACATCATTCATACCCCAAACCTGAGCATCACACCATATACCCAGGTAACAAAGTTGCACATGTACCCTCTGATTGTAAAATAAAAGTTGAAAAGAAAAAAAATATAAAACCAAATGTAAGACCATTGTGAGTATGACGATCAGGCAAACATGTCCTCATCATCACCCACCAATGACAAGCCAGGTTGCCAACAAAACTCTTCCATTTATTGATAATGTCCTAAAGAAGAAACTTAAGGATGTCATCTAAATTCACAATTGGAATTAATATTAGATATAACCTAATTCCATACGATTTAATGACAGATGAGAAAACTGAGACTCAGGAAGACTAAATGACTTGCACATAGCACACAGTTTATAAAATCCTCATTAAGACCAAGAACTAGGTTCCTTGAGCAAATTACCAAAATATTTTTATTATATCTAATTTTAAAACACATACCTAGGACCTGGATCTATTTGGTATCATGAAGGGAATGGGAAAAAAATCTCATTTGATAATTGATATATTCCTAAAATAATTTAATAAATGATTAACATTGAATACAGAATATGCTGTGCACTTACATTTATTCTTAAATGATAACCATGTACATGCTATTCTAATCAAAGAAACTAGATAAACAAGTATAATACAGTTGGATAAAAAGATATATATATGGAATCTTTCTAATAAATGCATAAAAGTTATACCAAAAAAGTCATAAATAATTAACTTTAGAAGAGGGTTTTGTTATATACAAAAACAATGAAAGAGAAATTTTACTTCTCATTTTATTATTGTCTTTTCTGTTTTATTTTTGTAAACATGGTTGTCTAACTTTTATTTTATAAAAAAAGTAGCCAAGCTCTGAGGCTGCGGAAATAACCACCTGAAAGAATTAGAGAAAACAGTACCCAGCCGCACTCACATGACACAGGGAATGGAACCTGTCTGACCAAATACTCATAATTCTTGTGGAACTGGGTAAAGTACACAGGAAGTGGTAGAAAAGCTTCAGTAGAGGAAAGTAATTAACACTAGTCTAGGACTCTCCTAATCTTAAAAGCAAGGCCTGAAGGGTCAAGCTATTTTTAAGTAACTTAACATTGACTGAGAATCAAGCAAAAGCATATTTATAAATTGTTCTTCTACCCAGAATGATAAAATTCATAATGTCTGTTATCCAATTAAGTTACCAGACATGCAAACAAGCAGGAAAATATATCCTCTAATGAGGAGAAAATTAACTATTTTTTAAAAATGACATAAATGTTAGGATTAGCAACCAAGTACATTAAAACAATTAACGTAACTGCACTCCAAATGTTCCAAACATTAAGCAGAGACATGAAAGATCCGAAAAAGAACTAAATTAAATTTCAAGAGATGAAAACTTGAGTGTCCTGGATGAAAACTATATCGGATAAGATTAATGGCAGAGTAGACATTGCAGAAATTATTATTGACCTTAATAACCTAGCAATATAAACAATTCAAAATTAAATATATAGAGAAAGAATTTTTAAAGCTGAATAAATATATGAGCTTTAGGTCACAACAAAGTGGCCTAATATACAAGTATTTGCAGTCTCGATAAGGGAGAGAGAGCATTATACAAAAGAAGTTGGAATGGTCAGGGATTTTTTAAATATGGTGATAGCTATAAACGTGCAGATCCAAGAAAATCAATGTATTCAAACACAAGAAACATGAAGAAAATGACACCAGGGCAACTCATAAACTGCTCAAAACTAGTGATAAAGAGGAAAATCTTTTAAGGGGGCCAGAATAAAAGACAGGTTACACACCAAGAAAGAGGATGAGGATGACAGTAGGTTTCTCATGCAAACAAGGAAAACAAGAAAAAGTTACACAACTTATTTAGAGTAGTGAAAAAAAAAATCCCAATGTACAGTTTTATACCCAGCAAAAGATCTTTCCAAAACAAACAAAATGTAAAAGTGTTTAGAACAAAGCTATACTACAAGAAATATCAAAGTCTTCCAAGAAGAAGGAAAATTGTATCAGATGGAGAGGGTATGGATCTACAGAAAAAATGAAAACAACAGAAATGCTAATTATTTGGATAAATATGTAAGATTTTCAAAAATACATTTTTAAAAATAACTGACTGCTAAAACAAAAATAATATGAGTATAGTGTGGGGCTTAAATATTTGAGAAAGTAGAAGGTATGACAACAATAGTAGAAGTGCCTGGAGGGAACAAATGAGTGGCTCCTGCACTATACATGATGTGTTCAATATAATTTGGAGGTACAGTGTGCAAAGTTAAAGATAGACACGTTGAGCATTTCATATCCAAAAGTCCAGAACTTGAAATCCTCCAAAATTCAGAATTTTTAAGTGCCAACATGATGCTCAAATAAAATGCTCATTAAAACACTCTGGATTTCAGATTTTCAGACTTGGAATGCACAACCAGTAAGTATAACTAATGCAAATATTCCAAAATTTGAAAAAATTTGAAATCCAAAACACTTCTATTTCCAAGCATTTCAGATAAGGTATGCTCCACCTGTATATTTTAGAAAAACATACTAAAATAACAAAACAACAAATTGTGGCCAATAAGCCAACAATAACAATTAAAAAATCATAAAAGATACCCAAAAGAAAGAAGAAAATAAAGGAAAGGGTAGCAAAGAATAGATGAAACAACTGGAAAGTGAATGGCATGATAATATACTTAAGTCTAACCATAAATTCAAACTAAACATGCCAATTCAAAGGCAAATGTCAGATTGGATAGAAAACAAAGATTTGACTATATGCCACATCAAAGGAACACAATTCAAACATAAAGATGCCAATAGGTTTAAAATTAAAGAAATAAAAGATGGAAAGGGAAACTGATGGAAAGGGAAACACTAATCAAAAGAAAGCTGAAGTGGCCATATTAACATCAAAGAAGACTTCAAAATGAAGAATATTGTCATAGATAAAGGTCATTTCATAATAATAATAAAGTACATTCATCAAGATTGCATAACAACTCTAAATGTGTATGTACTTAAGACAGAATTTCAAAGTATATGATGAAAAAAAAAAAGAACTGCAAGGTGGAATAGAAATGTCCACTATAACAGTCAGAGATTTCAAAACCCTATTTTCAATATCTGATAATACATGTAGATGGAAAATCTGTAAGGCTTTTACAAAAGACTTGAACAATACTATCCATCAATTTGATCTGGTTGATATTTATAGAACACTCTAAGCAAAAATAGCAGAATATGCATTTATTTAAAATACACACAAAATACTTACCAACATAAACAATATTTGGTAATTAAAAAGTTTTCATATATTTTAAATACAAAGTATTTTCTTTGCCCACAATAGAATTCAATTAGAAATCAATAACAGAAAGATCTCTGAAAAAATCCTCCATATTTGGAAACTAACACTGTTAAATAACACTTACATCAAAGAAAAAAATCAAAAGGGAAAGACAACGTAGAGTGAATTGAATGAAAATGAAAGCACATATATTAAAATAAGTAGAATACTGCTAAAGCAGTACTTATAGAAAATTTGTAATATTAAATGCATATGTTACAAAATAATAAAGGTTTAAATCAATTACTTCAATTTCTACATTAAGAAATTTGGAAAAAAAAAAGCAAAGTAAGCAAAAGAAAGAAAATGGTAAAAATGAAAACAAAAGTCAGCTGGGCATTGTAGTACATGCCTTTAGTCCAAGCTACTCAGGAGGCTGAGGCAGGAGGATTATTCAAGCTCTGGAGTTTGAGGCCAGCCTAGACAACATAGTGAGACCTCTCCACAAAAACAAAGACAAAGAAATCAATGCAATAAAAAATAGAAAAATACTAGAGAAAACCAATGAAACCAAAACCTCTTTTATTGAGAAGATTTATAAAAGTGATGTATTTTAACCAGACTAATCAGGAAAAAAAAGAGAGAATAAAAAAACTACTAATAATAACAATGAAAGAAGCATCATCCGTACAGATTCTATAGCTAATAGTAAGATAATAAGGACATATCATGGACAACTTTATGCCAAGTAATTTGATAACTTAGATAAAATGAAAAAATTCCTTGTAAGATAAAAACTACCAAACCTCACTCAGAAAGAAATACATAGCCTGAATAAGCCTATTTCTATTGAAGAAATTTAATTTTCACTTAAAAACTATCCCACAAAGATAACTCTAGGTCTAAATGGGTTCACTGGTGAATTCTACCACAGCCTTAAGGAAGAAATAATACTGGTTTTAAACAAATTCTTCCAGAAAAGTGAAGAGGAGAGAATAATTCCCTGTTCATTCTATGATGCCAGCATTACCCAAACAAGACAAAAATGCTTAAGAAAAGAAGACTACAGGCCAATATGTCTCATGAATATAGAGGTAAATATTCTAAGCAAAATTTTAGCACAAGGGCTCCAAAATATATAAAAAAATATAATGTTCAACTATAATAAATCCCAGCAAAGGATTATATTACATGTATATTATATATATATTACATATCTATTATATGTACATATACATATAAAGATCAAATATAATTAATCCCACCAAAGTAAGGGTTTATTGCCAGGTATTTTGTATTTTGATGTGATATTAAAAGATATGTTTAATTTTTTATTGATTGGGCTTTCAGCATATTTAAATAGTTTCTCACTATGTTTTACAGTTTTTAGGGTACAAGTTTTCCACATCTTTTGTTAGGAATACAATTAATATTTGTATACTAACTTATATCCTGCAACCTTGCTAACCTCACTTGCTAGTTTTAGTACTTAGTAGATAATATAGGATTTTCTATATAAAACAATCATGCCATCTGTGAATAAAGATAGTTTTACTTTTTCCTTTCCAAACTGGATGCATTTTATTTCTTTGTCTTGCCTTACTATACTGGTAGAACCTCCCCTATAAAGATGAATACTCTTATTCCTGACAGCCTTCTGCCATTAAGTACACTGTTAGTTTTAGGGTTTTGTAGATGCCATTTATTAGGTTAAGAAATTTCCCTTCTATCCTTACTAGGTTGAGAACTTTAATAAGAAATGGATGCTTAATTTTCTCAAATGCTTTTTCTGCATTAACTGATTTGACCACATCAATAGACACAAAAAACTACCATTGAATATCACATCAAAAAATATTAAATACTTAGTGATAAGCCTGACAAAAGATATCTAAGTTCTGTGTAATAAAAACTACCAAACATTGGTGAGAAAAGTAAGAAGACCTAAATAAACAAAGATATACTGTGGCTATGTGACAGAAAACTCAATATTTCACAGATTAAAAATCCTTCAAAGAGAGATATAAATGAAGCAAGGCAGCAAATGAGCTGAGAGGCTTTCCAGAAAAGGAAGGTTCCAGGCAGAAGGAACTGCAAGAGCAAATACCATGAAACAGGAGCATGATAGCTGTTTAAGGAACAAAAATGTGACCATATGGTTGGAGTGCAGAAAGCAGGCAAAGAGAGAATGGGGATGAGATTAGAGAATTAACCAATTGCCAGATCATGCAAGGCTAAAAACATGAAGTTTGGAACCCATTGAAAAGTTATAAACAAAAGAGTATTGTAATCTGATTTAGGTATTACAGGGAGGCAAGACAGAAGCACAGACATCACTGAGAAAGTTATTACAATAACCCAGTAGTAGGGTGGTGGTTGAAACCAGACTGGTAAAGGTGGAAGTCATGAGAAATGGTTGGATTAGGAATGAAACCACAAAATTCTACCAAACTTGCAAAGAAGACCTAACACCAATGTCTTCAAAATCGAAGAGGAGAGAATTCTGTCTAACTCATTCTACAAGATCAGTATACCCTGATACCCAAACCAGACAAGAATACAATTTAAAAAACCCCACAGGCCAATATCTCTAATGAACATAGACACAAAAATCCTTAACAAAATACTAACAAATTGAATCCAGCAGCAGCAGCACATCAAAAAGATAAAATATATCATGATCAAATGGGATTTATACCAGGGATGCAAGCATGGATCAATATACACAAATCAACACATGTGATACATCACATCAACAGAATAAAGGACAAAAATCACGTTTATCTCCATAGATGCCGAAAAACCATTTGATAAAATTCGACATCCTTTAACAATAAAAACTCTCAACGAACTGGACATAGAAGAAACCTGCCTAAACATAAAGACCGTATATGACAAACCCACAGCTATCATCATACCGAATGGGGAAAAGCTGAAAGCCTTTCCTCTAATAACTGGAACAAGACAATGATGCTCACTTTTACCACTTGATTCAACACAGTACTGAATCTCCTAGCTACAGCAACTAATCAAGAGAAAGAAATAAAATGCATCCAAATTAGAAAAAAGTAATTCAAATTATCTGCTTTTGCAGATGACATTATTTTATATAGAGAAAAACCTAAAGATTTCACCAGAAAACTTTTATATCTGATAAATAAATTCAGTAAAGTTGCAGGATATAAAATCAGTGTACAAAAATCAGTAGTGTTTCTATACACCAATAATGAAATAGCTGAGAAAGAAATTAAAAAGGCAATCCTATTTATAATAGCTACAAAAAAATAAAATAAAATACCTAGGGATCAATTTAACCAAGGAGGTAAAATATCTCTACAAGGAAAACTATAAAACACTGATGAAAGAAACTTAAGAGAACATAAACAAATGGAAAGATATCCCATGCTCTTGGACCAGAAGAATTAATATTGTTAAAATGATCATAGTGTCCAAAGCAAGCTACAGGTTCAATGTGATCTCTATCAAAACACCAATGTCATTTTTCACAGAATTAGAAAAAAAAAAGAACTAAAATTCATATGGAACTGGAAAAGAGCCCAAATAGCCAAAGAAAAACAAATCCAAATCCTGAGCAAAAAAAAACCAAAAAACAAAAAAAAAGCTGGAACATCACTCTACCTGACTTCAAAATATATTACAAGGCTATAGTAAACAAAGCAGCATAGTATTGCTATAAAAATAGACACATAGACCAATGGAAGAGAATAGAGAACCCAGAAATAAAACCAGATATTTACAGCCCACTGATTTTCAACATAGGCACCAAGAACATACTTTAAGAAAAGGATACTCTCTTCAATAAATGGTGCTGGGAATATTGGATATTCATACGCAGAGGCATGAAAATAGACTTCTATCTCTCACCATGTACAAAAATGAACTCAGGATGATTAAAAACTTAAATATAAGCCCTGAAACTATACAACCATTGGAAGAAAATATAGGAGAAACATTTCAGGGCATTGATATAAGCGAAGATTTTATGGTTTAGTTCTCAAAAGTATAGGCAACAAAAAAATCAACAAATATTAAATGAAAAAGCTTCAGCACAGCAAAGGAAATAATCAGCAGAGTGAAAGAACAACCTGTTGAATAGGAGAAAATATTTGCAAACTATTTATCCAACAAGTGACTAATACCTAGAATATATAAGAAACTCAAACAACTCAACAGTAAAAATAATAATAATAATAATAATAATAATAATCCCATTAAAGAGTGGGCAAAGTATGTGAATTGACATGCCTCAAAAGAAGACCTATAAATGGCCATTAAGTATATGGAAAAAGGTTCAACATCACTAATCATCAGGAAAATGCAAATCAAAACCACGATGAGGTATCATCTTGCCCAGTTAGAATGGCTATTATTAAAAAGAAAAGAGAAAAAAAGTAACAGATGCTGGTGAGGATGTGGAGAAAGGGAAACTTTTATACAGAGTTTGGGAGAATGTAAATTAGTACAGCCATTATGGAAACAGTAAGGAGATTTCTCAAAAAAGTAAAAATAGAACTATCATAAAATCCTGTAATCCACATACTGGGTATTTAGCCAAAGGAAAGGAATTCAGTATATCAAAGGAATACTGGCACCCCATGTTTATTGCAGCAATATTCACAATAGCCAAGGTACAGAATCAACTTCAATGTCCATTAGTGGACAAATGGAGAAAGAAAATGGGGTATATATGCACAATGGAATGTTATTCATTTGCAGCAACCTGGATTGAGCTGGAGATCATTATGTTAAGTTAAATAAGACAGGCACAGAAAGACAAATATCACATGTTCTCACTCATATGTGGGGGCTAAAAAAGTTGATCTGATGGAATTAGAGAATAGAAGAATAGGTCATAGAGCCTGGGAAAGGTATGTATGTAGGTGGAGTTGGGATGAAGATTAATGGGTACAAACATATAGTTAGATAGAAGGAATACATTCTAATGCTTGATAGCAGAATAGAGTGACTATAGTCAACAACAATGTATTGTATATTTCACAGTAGCTAGAAGAGAGGATTTGAAATGTTTCCAACACATAGAAATGGTAAATACTCAACGTGATGAGTACCCTGAATACTCTGAGTTGATCATTACACATTCTATGCATGTAACAAAATATCACATGTACCCCATAACTATGTACAAATTGTGAATCAAAAATAACCTTGGCATAGTTCAAGTTAATATGCCTATCGGGATGTCCAATTGGAAATGTGGGTCTGAGAGAAGCAGTTCTGGCAGAAGCCATCTACATAACATTAGAGACTTGAACCTGGATGAGTTTATACAGGGGAGTGAGAGTCAGCCCTGAGCTGTCAATGTTTAGAGATGGGAAAGACCAAGAAAACAACAAAGAAGAAGAATGGGAAGAGCAGCTAGGTGGATATAAGGAGACCAGGGAAAATGGCATCCTTAAAGCCAGTATACACAATGTTTCAAGAAGGAAGTAATTAACAAATGTGTCAATCCTGTCTGAAGACTGACCACTGGACTTAGGATCAGAGTTCACTTGTGACCTGAACACCAAAAGTTCTAGGTGTGGTATTAACAGAATTGGATTGGGCTCCTGAGAGAAGGGGAGTAGAGGATTTACAGACAGAGGGGACAACTATTTTGAGGACATTTTCTGCAAATAGTGGCAGAGAAAGAGGTCAACAGCTGGAGAGGAGATTGAGATAAAGGGGAATTGAGAAATGTGTGAGATGAAAGGAGAATTGTAAATAAATCAAAATTTGCCTATGGATGATGAAACTGTAGGAGGGTGGTTTTCTTTCCTTTTATTTTTAGTGGATAAGTAATCAGTCTATATTTTTCAAATTCCTATAATGAGTATACGTTGCTTTTTTAACTGGAAAATAAATGACGTATTAGAAAAAGAAAAATATATGAGCAATTTCTCCTCAGTGTTCCCACTGCAGAAGGATTAAATATGTTAGTAAGATAAAGGATTATTGAAAAGCAAGTTTTTAATTATATTTATTTATTTTATAAGCCAAGCCACAGTATCAAGAGACAAGCTATACAGGCTCCACAAGGTGAGTGGAAATTCAAGTGCCTTGGCTCAGCCTCACCATGCCTTAGGCTATCACGGAAGGTGCGTCTGCCACCCAGAAAGCACTTTCAAAGTCTTGGAAGCTTTTCATTTTATTATCCATCTGTTATGATGATTCAAGTTGCTTACAATTATTGTGGAATGGAAAGTGCCTTTGATACCAATAATTTTGCTTCTGATTCTAGGCATTAAAAAACCATGGGCTTAGGTCCTTTAACTACTTCTCTGATTAATTCTGCTTAGTTTTTACAAAGGCTCCAAACTCAAGTCAATCAAGGGTGTAGGCAAGTGTAACCACTGCATGCACTATCTAGATGATGAACTCTGGAGAGGCCACACCACAGACTCTTTAAAAATAAGTAGCAACCACTGGATCCAGGCAGTTGTCCTGTAGAAATACAGGTACTGTGTTCTTATCTTTTCTAGTCAAACAAACAAACAAACAGGTAACATTATTTTTCATTGGTAAAACCATTTTTAAGAGTGGGATCAGCGTTTATTTTAAAATAGAGACAGGGCCAAATGAAACATGATGCCAGTAATACCGCAGGTCCTCTGATACACACATGCAAGCCCTTCTTTTTCAGAACTCCCTCACTGTGTGAAGGAGTTTCCCACCACTGTGGGAAACAATGACAGTCGTTAGGGCACTGTGGGCACTGCAGCCGGGTGCAGGGCAGCATGACCTCCTCTTTCCCGGCAGAGGGGGATGCTGTGTAAAGCCATTTTGGAAATGCCAATACAGGACTGCTGTTTAATGTCCTTCAACCTGTTTTGCACCTGCCCCAACACAACCAAGGCCTGTTTTGTTCTCATGCCACTCCTCCACGTTGTCCACAGCACTCAGCTCTGTTTGGAAGGTCACTGCAGTTTCCTTAGGCCCGCCAAGGCCTTTCTTTTGCTTCAGCTTATCTGGCCCTGTGGTTCCCTGATGATCAGCTGGCCTCTGGCCCACCAGTTCACCTCCCATTTTACAGCTGGCCTTCTCAAAATATGAACTGTTATACCTGGGTTGGCCTCAGGACTGCCACAGAAACCTCACTGCATGCCAAAATAATCCTAAAATAAACTCGTTGTTCCTAAAACCGACTGGTGTATTGGTGGCCTCCTCAGTCTCTATTCCCCCTCTTCAACAGTTGTTAATTTCCGCTTGGAAGACATGCATTTCCAAAAAAGCAGTATTTACCCATAGGGCTCAGCATGTGGACTAAGCTAACCCAATCAGCAAATCCTGCTCCTCTGGCTTCAGATATTAGTTCAGTGGTAGACATGTAACAAACACATCCAATAAACATGATTTTAAAGAGAAATCTGAGGCAAACATGTCTCTGGCTAGATATAAATATATATAAGTAGATGTCCCTAGGATAATCAGACATTAATCTAGGAACCATAAATGCAGCCAACCCGAGAATGAAGAGTCAACAACATAAGAGAAAAAGCAGAAAAAAAAAAGGAAGTGGGTTTCTTGATGAAATTATTAAATGTCTTGATCAAGCTATACCTGACACTTGCACTAATTTTAGATTTTTCATGTTAATAATAACTCTCTTTTATAGAATAACCAGTTTGAATAGGATTTTCTGTTACTTGAACAGAAATAATTCTAAAGAGGCCTTCTGTCATTACCAGATTCTTGTCCAAGTAGTGGGCAATTATAACAACATTGACTATAAATACTGCACAAAATTAAGTGATTATAGGCTATCTGATCAAGATTGAGCTGAAATTTATTATTTAGAGCAAATTAGCCAAAATACTACAGTTTTTCCCAATCTACAAAATTCAGTAGATTTGGGAGTTGATTTCTGGGAATTCAATGGAAAGAAACTGACTCAAAAGTTGCACAAAGTTAATGAATGTAATAAATTGTCAAAGACAGCCACAAGTTCCTCCCATCCCAGTATGCTCACCCTTTTGCAATGTGACTCTGCTGCTCTCCCCAGGAGCTGATGACCACTTACCTCCCACCCTTGAATTCAGACCAATATTGTGACTTGTTTTGACCAATAGAATGCAAAAGAAGTGATGTCATGCAACTTCTGAGATTAGGCCTTACGAGACTTTACAGCTTCTGCTTTTTCCTTAAGATCACCACACAAGGAAAATGTTTAGCCCACCGGAGAAGAGGCGTTGTGAAGGAGAACCGGGGGCCCTAGCTGAGGATCAGCACCTACTGCCATAGGTGTGGATGAAGCCATTTCAGCTTTGCCTGCTTACACAATCATTCAGCTAAATGCAGCCACAAGAGTGAGCCAAGGAAAGCCAGAAAAGAATGTGTTCAGGCAACCCAGAGAATCATACATCATCTGTTTAGTCCACTAAATTGTGAGAGTGATTTAATCACCAGCAAAATCTGACTGATCCAATGAAGTTTAAAAAAATACATAAATAAAGACTCAAAGAATTCTCCAAAATATATCATAACTCCTAAAATATTCTATAGGCTGAGAACTCTCCCATTTGAGGGGGAAAATTTAAAAATTTGGGCTCAGAGCAGGAAAGACCATGTCAAAAAAAAGAAAAAAAAATAGAGAGCAGACTTGGCATGAAATGAATACAGAATCTTGCATTATTTATTCAAGAACCTGTGCATACATTTTCAAAAATAAGACAGAATATGTGAAAATCTGACTGAAGTGACAGTCACATCTCTTTCTGGGTTTTTTTTTTTTTTTTGCTTTATGCTTTATTGTATATATTTAAGATGTACAACATGATTTTTTGATATGCACACACATTGTGAAATGGTTATTATAGTCAAGCCAATTAACATATTCCTCATCTCACATAGGTACCCCTTTTTTGTGGCAAGAACACCTAAAATCTATTCCATCAGCAAAATTCCCAAATATTATACTATACAATATCATTAACTACAGTCCTTATCTTGTACATTAGATCCCTAGACTTGTTCATCCAAATGTCTCCAGTTTGTATCCTTTGAGCTACATCTCCCCATTTCTTTCCCTCAGCCTCTCCATAACAGCCATTTTACTGTTTTATTTTTATGCATTAGGCTTCATTTTAATTCCACATATAAGTGAGATTGTGCAGTATTTTATTTTTCATTTTTTTCGTCTTGTATCTGGTTTATTTCCCTTATCATAATGTCCTCTATGTTCATCTACAGTGTGGCAAATGGCAGTATCTCCTCCTCTTTGTTTTTTAAGGCTTAATAATATTCCATTATATAAATACACACACACACACACACACACACACACACACACACACACATAAGCACTCATCACATACATATCTCACATTTTCTTTATCCATTCATCTGTTGATGGACACTTTGTTTCCTTATGTTGGATACTGTGTATAGTATTGCAGTGAACATGAGAGTGCACACATTTTTATAAGATGGTGATGATATTTCCTTTGGGGATATATCCAGAAGAGGGATTCTTGGGTCATATGGTAGCTGTATTTTTAATTTCTTTAAGAATTTCCATACTGTTTACCACTATGTCTGCACCGGTCTATATTTCTACAAACCATGTACAAGGATTCCCTTTTCTCTTGGCAACACTTGTTATATCTTGTCTTTTTGATAACAGTCATTCTGATAGGTATGAGGTCATTGTGGTTTTGATTTGCATTTCCTTCATAACTAATGATGTTGAGCACCTTTTCTTATGCCTCTTGGCCTTTTTTATGTCTTCTTTAAAGAAATGTCTATCAGATCTTTTGCCTATTTTTAAATTGGGTTATTTATTTTTCTTCTATTAAGTAGTGTGAATTATTTGTATATTCTTGGTATTAACCTCTTATAGGATATATGATTTGCAAATACTATCTCTCAGTCTGTAGGCTGGCTTTTAATTTTTTTAATTGTTCATTTTACTAGTTTGATATAGTCCCATTTATTTATTTTTGCTTTTATAGCCTAAGCTTTTGGTGTGATAGCCAAAAAAATCCTTGGCAAGGCTAATGTCAAGGATCTTTTCCCCTATATTTTCTTCTAGGAATTTTATGGTTTCAGGTCTCACATTTACAGTTCTACCAATTTTGAGTTGATTTCTGTGTATAGTGTCAAATTAAGGGTACAGTTTCATTCTTTTGCATGTGGAAATCCAGCTTTCTCAACATCATTTATTGTAGAGATTATCCTTTCCCCACTGTGTCTTCTTTGTGCCCTTATCAGAAATTAGTTGACCATATATATTTGGGTTTATTTCTGGGCTCTCTATTCTGTTCCTTTGGTCTATGTGTCTGTTTTTAAGCCAGTATCATATTGTTTGAATTACTGTATCTTTGTAATTAATTTGAAATCAGAAGGTGAAATCTATGAAGTGTGATCATACTTTCCAATTACAAATTATATTACAAAGCTACAGTAATAATTTTTTTTCCTCAAAATTGCTTTGACAATTCAGTCTTTTGTGGTCCCATATAAATTTTAGAATTGTTTTTTCTGTTTCTGTGAAGAATGCCGTTAGAATTTTAATAGGGATTGTATTCAATGTGTACATTGTTTCAAGTAGTATGGACATTTTAACAACAGGGATCATTTTTTATGTTGGCAAACAGAACACATTTACTTTAAATATGTGTAGCATATAAGAAGATTATTCAAGAGATGTAGAAGAGGGTCATTAAGAAGAAAAATGTACTTACTATGTGAATCATTCAGTAGAGTAAAAAGATCAAATTCTTCTCTTCAGAATATTCTGATAGTTTCGTTGAGGTACAAAAGAAAAATAAATATTGACAATTAAAAAGCTTTTTTCCCTAAACAAATATTGGTGCTTAAATTTGTAAATTATTTGATTTAAAAGATGAAAGGCCAAGTGGTCAATTCCTCCCCACCTCAACAAGATTCCTTAGCATTTATTGAATAGTGTTAAGTATGAACATAGACTTTGGCAGAACATATTTTCTGGTCAAATATAAATGCAGTTCTAAGATATGAGTAAATACCTAGGGCTTGGCAAACCTGAAAACAACAAGAGGCTTGTCTTGGTGTTTTGGAGCTCAGGATTTTCAGGAGAAGAATCAATGCAAAAGGATGATCCATATAATAAATGAGTTTCCTCTCCCCATCTGCCTACCTTCAATCTAAATGGTCTACTTAACAATTCCTTCATTCATTTAATGTTATGTGACAGGTACTGTTAACATGCTGCAGATACGGCAATGAATAAAACCAACAAAATCCCTGCACCCATGCAGTTTATGCTATGGTATGAAGACACTGATAAAGAAGGAGGCAGGAGAGTACCCTGTGAGGTTTCATAAGCCACAGTAGGGAATGCATACAATTTGATTCTATGTGCAATGACAAGTCACTAGCTGTTTTAAGCAGGGAAGCGACACAATCTTGTTTATATTTTTAGAAAACCACTCTGGCCATGGTGTGGAGAATGGAATGTTGGCAGGCAAGAATAGAAACAGAGAGGCCAGGTAAGAGACAATGGCAAGGCTATGTGATATGGGGGATGAGTTAATAGACTCAGAGCCTCTTCGAATCTTGGCTTTTTCATATATCAGCTATGCGGCCTGCAGCAAGTGGGTTAAGCTCCCTAAACCCCTCTTTCCTCATTTGTAAGACAGCAGTAATAATAATGCTCACTTTACAGAGTTGCTAGGAGGTTCTTAGGATGCTGGCACATCACAATTGCTCTACGCATGTTTTGGTTTGCAACATAACAGTCTTGGGTTAGAGATGTACTAGTGAATATGAGGAAAAGCAGTAGAATCTGGGTAGGTTTGAAGGTAATGTTGTTGGACATGCCAACATTTTTATATCAAATGTATGCAAATTGGTGAGTCAAATGTTTTTGCCTAATCATTTACAGCTTATTATAATTCTTTTGGATTAAGATGAGTCATAAAAGAGCAGCATTAATCTGTCATACAGTCAGGGAATTTTAAATTTAGAAAAAAACTCAGAGTAAACTCAGCTCTGTGGTTTTCAAAGAGAGCTCCACAGGGCTAGCCCCAAGGGCTCTCAAATGTCCACAGCAGTGGCATGTACAACTGGAGGCGCATCCCCATGACAAGTCATTTTGAGAATGGTGATATGTCTTCCTCCCAGCAGGTATTTTTGGTTAAGTATTGCATTCTGTAAAATAGTACCAAAAAAAAAAAAAGGATGGAAACAAGAAAGCAAGAAAAGAAACAAAGCAATTCTAATGTTCATTTATAGATTTTCTAATAACACTTAAAATAAGTAACTAAACTTCCTCCCAGAAAGTTATTTAATTACTCCAAATTTTATTTTCTATATTTTGAATATTATAGGAAGTAATTAAAAATAAAATGTCAAACATTCCTGTTCTTAAAATCCATTTTCCCATTTCTTGCCATCAAGAAATGTGCTTAATTATCCATTTTCCTTAGACTCCAGTCTGTAGCAATGTTTCTAAACTCTCTCTTCTTCAACTTTCTCCAGAACTTATCTACCCTTAATACCCATTTCTTATGAAAAAGAGTACAGTTCTTTGTCATTCCTAGCTCACACTTTCAGGCTCTAAACTTTATCTTTCCACATCTAAAATTGCACATGAAGATTTTTATAAATAGACACATTCCTCTTAAGATAAATTTTAGTTGCCCCCATAAAAAAATTAATATTTTCTATCTATTATCCGTAGAGGCATGGGAGTAGGGAAGGAAAAAGTGAACCAGATTCTAGGGCTAACTTTCAAAACAGGGATGACACATAATTAACCTATGACATCCATCATGGCGTGACCATCTCTGGTACTGTCCAGGTTAGCACTGAACCCGGGGTTCAATCTGATGGGTCATGCAGAATTTGTCAATGTCAGCCAACAGATAGGCTCATTGATCTGGGTGACAGAACTAGTTTGAAGCAAGGCCCTAACATGTAGCATGGTGGGTATGGAGAAAGATTTGATCCCTCACAGGGAGGGTGTTGACAAGGACCAAGACAAATAGAATTGGATTGCATGCTTAGGAGCCTCTAGGAATTGGAGAACCAATATGAACACCAGCTCAGAAGAACTGTCCTCTGTGCTCTGCACCAACAATGATTAGATGAAGAGGTGTTAGGATTCTGTGCAGTAGGGAGGGCCCTTGCACTCTGCACAAGGATCACCAAGTTCATGGCAGCAAAAGTTCTAGTTGCCCAGTAAAAAGATCCTGAGATACATACAGCCTTCTTTGGCAAGAACTGCCAGTAAAATGAGTAGAGTTAGCCCTGAGAGTTGAGGACATCAGTTTCTGTGGCTGAAAAATTCTGGAAACATGAAACCTGACAAGTTGGAAGACTTTGTTTATACACAGAAAGAAGGGAGAGGCACTTACTTTATTTAGTGGCTGCTTTGGAATTAACTAAAAAATACAAAATGGTGATATGGAATGCCCAGGTTCCTTGTGTCCATGAGCAATCTACTATTCCTTAAAGTGAATTTACTATGATTTTCAAATATTCTAGATTCTGAATTCTGATAAATTATTATTAATTGAGGAATAGGTGTGTGTAGACTTTATATCTCTGTTGTTTTGTTGCATTTAATATGTGATGTATCTGTGCAGCTAGAGCAGGAAATTTTCAATGATGAGAGAAGCAATAGCTTCACAAATTCTGTTATGACAGGTCATCCTTATGAATGAGTGTCTTTGTTGGTATATGTGTATGAATGAATCCATACATGTAAAATAAACAAATGTGCATTGTACATATTTGTTTCAGAATGTGATAAGCAAAGGCAAAAAGGTATACACGTTGGTCCCAGCCTACACCCCTATAACCCAGGGCACCCATGTTCTGCTTTGATGTGGCAAATTGTAGCCTTGGGGCACACTCCAAGGGCAAAGACAAAGCGATAAAGGTGAGCAGGGTGAGAGTAGGCTGGTGTAGAGAAAGGTACAGACCAGGAGACTGCCTTCGCCACGACACACTATCAACAGATGATCCAATTTTCAGGCAGAGTTATACCTCCCTCCAAATGGAGACTTTTGATAAATACAGTGTTCATATGAAATATCACCAACATTGAATGGCTCGAGAGAAAGAAAGGAAAAGAAACAAAAGCAATGCATACTACTTATAATTATACTTAGAGTGGGTAGACTACAGATGTCTCATTCTTCAGTAAATTGTTGAATTACTCCCAATCTTATTTTTCTCTATTTTTCATTTTTTTGTTCTCTTCCTCCAAAGATTACTGAAAGCTATAAACTTTCCTAGTGTTTGACCAGTAATAATGAAACTAAGATAATCTATATTTTTTTCTTTTTCCATTTGATCTCAAGAATTTATAACCCTGTCTATTAGGTTAAGCTATCTAGTTATCCTTATGACATTGGATTGTCATGTTTAGTATAGCCATTAATGTTTAATAATCTGTGAATTTGCATTCACTCTTTGATGTCAGCCAGGCTAACCTGTTTCTGGTCATGCTGATCCTTCTAGAACTGCTCTGAGTCATGTTCACAACTCCTCCAAGTCTCAGCCTCCATGGATTGTGCTGCCTACACTGTGTCATTTATGAAATGCCAAAAGAATTATCTAATCACTTCATGTAAACAGTTATTATCAATGAAAATATTTTCCCACAGAATTGCATATAGCCTAAAATTCCTCCCATTAATATCATTTTATAAGGACAAATTTGATACATAATTATTTCAACTGGACATAACGTTGTTTAAAAGAGAAAAGTAGTATTAACACATTATCTCAATGGGTTTATCTATTTTATTAATTCATTATTAATTAGCACTGCCTGTGACAATTAGAATTCAAGTAAAGGATGAATAAGTTTTGGTGGAGACACAAGAAGAAAGACCAAAGAAACACACTGGGCTCCTGAGTGCAGCTGACAGTCAGTCAACACACATCCTGACCTTCTTTGGACCAAATACTCTTGGGCAAATGGAATGGTTTCTAAAAAAAATAGACTAGATTCTGACCTCATGAGACTACTGAAAATAATTGGGAGGTCACTAAGGGAAGGGTTGGAGAGAAATGAAGGCAACTTACTTTCCTTTTAGACGATTTCATGAAAACCTCTGATCAACTCTCCCAGAACCTCAGCACTCTTTGGTCTGTTAAGGATCCCAGTGAAAATTTTCCATCTAAATCTATTGTCTAATAATGATATTGGCCTTTCTAATAAGTGGTAAAGACTGTCATTACCACTAACATATTACTTTCATTATTGTAATACTTGTGTTGTTACAATAATATACTAATGCATCATGCAAGGAGAACAAAATCTCAATGGTATCTATCACATGGAGGAAAAACGACATTCCATTGATTGTGCCTGGAAAGAATCAAGTGCTCTGTGTTCTAAATGGTTTTGAGCTTGTATAGTAATTTACAGGAAACTAAAGTTGTGTACTCAGGTTAGAGTTGAGAGCTAATTCTGTAACACTGAAGTGTTTTGTAAGATATCAGTGAGGTCAACTCATTTTAAGATAAGCCACAAGTCAAAACAGCCAATATAGCAAATGGTTTTTAATAGGAAGTGTATTCCCAGCATCACATTAAAGCTATTACTAATAAGACCAATTTAGGAAATTTTTAAAGCAGGTACCACTTTCCAGGTTTTCAGTTCACTTTTCTTAGTTTTAAATCCTGATTAAATACTCAGAGGAATGGAGTCCACCTGCTGGAGGTTGTGGAGCCACAGTCTGGAGAATGGTTTTACAGACTGCTCTCCCAGTTCTCACTTCTCCCTTTTCATCATTTTCTTTGTTATGGCTGATCAAAAACTACAAGTGGCCGAGATCTCAGAAGGGTCACCTGCCCCTGCACTGAGAATCTGGATTTCTAGTTACCTTCCTTCTTATCTAAAGTCATTCTGATTATAAACAAAGGAGAGAAAGGAGCACAAAGAAGGAGAAAAAAGAATGCTTACAGCAAATAAAGGCATCAAAACAGCATAGCCCCACCCAGAGCAGAGAAAGGGAGAGGAAATTACATTTATGGATGACTGTCTTATTTTTTAATTACCAAAAACGGGAATAATTGTCACTAAAAGTATTTTCAAATGATGTGTCAAAAACTTCAAGTAAATCAAATTTGAAATTTGTCACTTGCTGATAATTTCAGCTAGAAAGTACATAGCAGTTTTTATCTTGGTTTCCTTCTTACAGTTAAATAGTTTCCTAGAATAGTTCATGTCAGCCATGTCCCATGTTACCGGTAGGACTCCCAACCATCTCTAAGACCTATCTTCTACCCACCTTCTTGGGCAGCCCTCCCTTAACCACTTGACTCCTGAGCTCTCCAGCACTCTATCTCTGTCACATGCATTTGACACTCACCATAGACTACTCTGGTACTTCTTCTATGTGTTGAGTGTTTGTCTCCCCAGCTATACTGACATCTCTTTAAGGAGAGAGTACCTAACTTCCTCTGTATAGTCTGTAATCCTTATCACAAAGAACCCTTATCACAATTCATTCACTAGGCATTGTACCCTCATCATTGCCATTATAGTAATGAAACGAAACAAAGCTAAGAGTTTTTATGAAGAATATCAACACAAACTTGGAACAATCTTTCAAGGAAACTGGCAGAGAAGTTATGCAACTCACTCAATATTAAATATTAGTACATAACAATTATCTACTCATTTATTCAATTGCTACCAACAAAGCAGTGATTCTTAATCTTTACCACATCACAGCACACATAGAAAATATGTTTGGGAGACACACTGGGTAAAATGGGCTGTTGGTGGGTGAAGATGACTGTCCCAGGCTGATGAAATCCATTTCTCAGCAAGTATAACCATGAGCTATTCATAGAATACCAGTATAGCATGGTAACAGAGTAGTTCTGCTTTAAAGGATTTATATGCTGTAAGACAGTAACTTTCATACGAAGACGGATACAAGAGTCAATAAGCCTTGATCCTTGCCATTGGAAAGTAGGGACTGGGAAATGGTGAGTAAAATAAATACACAAATACCTGTAACCCAAGGCCAGAGAATAGGCAATGAACAGGTGAAAGAACAGAGAAAGTTTCATGCAAAAGGTAGGATTACATTTACAGAGTCATTGAGAAATGCCAATTGCTATCTACCGTACACCTAGCACTGTGTGAGACACTGGGGAAACAGTTTCAGTCCCCAAGGAACTAACATACAGACCAATGGGAAAACCACACCAAAGATACATTTTTATATGAGAGGAAAGTAGTTGCAGTGATGGAGGTATACATGGGGTTGTGGGGAAGCACAACCAAGTTGAGCATTAAAGAAGCTGAATTTTAACAAGCAGAAATCTAGGCTATGAGAAATAAGATTAATCTACATGAAAGGCATAGCAGAAATAAAGAGAATGATGAGTCATCATGGACAGATAACTCCTGGAGAAATATGAAGAGAAATAACAGTGGGAAGCAAAGTCCAAGCTCAGTTCGTCCTGCGTATAGAGGAAAGCTGAGGTCCAAGCACATTTATAGGCTAACAGCAAGCAGTTGTTTTCTAACAGCCATCAGAGACAAAAAAAAAAAGAAGTGAAACAGAGCCTTGGATAGAGTCAGAAGTAGGGTCTCATGTTTAGCAAGTAAAACTATAGGATGTTGTGATGAATAATACTTGAGTGTCAACTTGATTGAATTGAGGGACTTAAGTATTAACGCTGGGTGTGTCTGTGTGGGTTTTGCCAAAAGAGATTAAAATTTGAATCCATGGGCTGGAGAAGCCAGATCCACCCTTAATCTGGTAGGCACAATCTAATCAGCTTCCAGCGAATATAAAGCAGGCAAAAAAGCGTGAAAGGGAGAGATGGGTCTAGCTTCCCAGCCTGCATCTTTCTCCCATGCTGGACGCTTCCTGCCATCGAATATGGGACTCCAGGTTCTTCAGTTTGGGGATTCGGACTGGTTCTCCTTGCTCTCAGCTTTCAGACAGCCTATTGTGGGGCCAGGTGTTCATGTAAGTTAATACTTAATAAACTCTCCTTTACATAATTTTTAGCATAATCATATCTCTTGCAATGTTTGGGACATAGGTTAAAAATTATTTGTTGTTTACCTGAAATTGAAATTTAACTTAATGTTCCAGCTTATCTCAATTCTAGTAGAAGAGACAAGATTCAGAGGACGAGCAAAAGTGAGCCTTGGCCCTGAAGCAGTTTTTCTCAGAGTGAGCCTATGGCCCTTCTGCAACAGAACTCCTTGGAGTAGTCATGCAATTTCAGATTCTTGGGCCCCACTACAAACCTGCTTAAGCGTTGTCTGTAAGGTAAATGCAGGAAACCTCCATTGTTAAGGTCTTCAAATGGTTCTGTGATTTACTAGAGTCTGAGAACCATTGCAGTAAGGACGCTTTTCTCAAATATATAAAATAAAGAAGCAGGCGGGAGGAATCATAGTGCAAAAGGACAGAGTGACAGAACTGACGTTAGATGCCTCCTGTCTCCTGATTAGTTTAGAAGGTATCTGTTCAGAACTGGGGGATTGGAGTCAAGTTAGTAACCTGAAAAGAGCTCAAAATAATTGCTGCATTCATTGCAGATACGGGGAATAGGGATACTGAGCAGCAATGACAGCCCCAATGGGGCTAAGTAGCATGGATGTGTAATAGATTTGCTCAGCAACATACCTTTATCAACTCTTGACAGCTCAGGAGTAGAAAGAGTAGCAGTGGAAATTAGAATCTGGGGATTAATTTAGATTAAATTAATTAAGATAATAGAAGACAGGAATGGTAGGAAGTCAAAGAAATAAAGCATTCAACAAGTTCAGGTTGGAAAGAGAGGCCCTAATACCCAGGAAAGTGACAGTGGACATGAAAAATGCCAAGCTAGGTCAGGAAAAGATGGCACAATGAACACAATGGCTTGTCTCGAAGAGAATGGAAACTATTAAATAATAGGAGAGAAATTTTTGTATCTCTGATGTTAGAGGTAGAGTAAGTCAAAGAGATCAATGGAATGTCCAGTATTGACTAAAACTACATGAATATGGAAGTTCTGCAAATGTGATGTTATGAAACTAGAGTTTTAAAAGGGTCATCAAGATAGGTGACAAAGTTGCCCTAGAAGGCCTGAAGTCATTGAGATGTTGGTAATTTTATGGGGTTATTTATGTATGGAAAGTAAATCATAGATTTTAATGAACAAATTATTAGATCCTCACCTTTTGTGTAAAAATATTCTCCAAATATCTCTGAGGGTTATGACAGCTCAGTCTGCATAGCAACAACCAAAATTTACCCTTCTGTTTACAACTTTCCCATTCTGTTATAATGCAAATATGTATGTTTCCTATTGAAGAAAAGCAGCATTTTCTTTCCAATGATAAAGAGTCTTAGTTTATGGCAATCTGTGAAATGCATTAGGTGAAATGAGATTTTTTTTTTTTGCTTTTTCTCATCTTTTATGAAAAAATTCAATAGCTTCACATTATATGTGAACATTTTCTCACAACTTTCCTATTTAGAAGCTATTATAGCATAGTCAAATGGAAAGTAAATGCTCTCCTTATTTCACAAACCACTTACAGGAAAGCAAAAATGTACAGATAACAGATTCAAGAAAGTGTAGAATGAAATTCTAAGCATGCCAAGAATAGAAGAACCATTAGTAATGAATAGTCTCATCAAGATTTATACAACAGTATTTAATTCCATTTAAAATGTGCTTTCCCAGTTCACCTGTCTGTAGAAGATTATTATCTAGAAGGGTCACCTTAGTTCTCATATCTGTTGTCATCAGCACGGGAAAAGGTTGGCAGCATTAGACCACCTGAGAAAAAGACTAAAGAGTGCAAATTTTGCAGAGAGAAAGGTTTGGGATATTGCTGGAGAGACAGTTCATGATGAAATCCAGCTGCAATGCAGTGTACCATTAAGATAAATTGTTGAAGGTGATATTGTCAAAGATATAATGCATATTTCAACACTATTGGTTCTTGGCTGCTCAATTCCAAGGCCACGCTGCCTAATAAAATTTTATTAATAGTAATTTCATTTGTTATGTAACTAGGTGCAATTCAAATTTACACCAACAACCACCCCGTAACTTGTGTAAAAATTACATGATTGTAGTCCTGAATGCTCAACAATATGTAATTGTTATCCCATAATACATACACACAACACAATACAGTGAGGCTAATAAAAAATCACATTTTAGAATAATATTTAATAATATTAAAATGTTCACATTATATAGTTAAGTAAAAAAGAGGAGGTTACAATGGTTTGAATATTTGGTTTGAATCAAACTGATAAATAAAATATGTATGTGTGTGTGCCCATATAAAGACAGAGAAATTGGACAGTAAGAAAATTCATTAAAATATTAATGGTTCTCTCACCTTGTGGAATTAGAGATGATTTTTATTATATTTTTCATGTTTTCCAAATACTTTGTAGTAAAAGCTTATTAATCTTCCTTACTAATCATCCAATATGATAAAGCATTTCATCTGTGCTTTTAAAAACATATTTGCCGAGCTCAAGTCTGGAGCTAAACTACATGTTTGGAAGCTGACAGCCAGGAGGAGTTAGTGGTTGAAACCACTAACTGTGCTGGATGAGACCGATTGCCTGGGGAATGCACATTTCTAAAAATCCACTATTAAATTACAGCATCCAATTATCCTGGGTAAATCCCCATTAAAAATTGAATAAAGACAGCAAAGAAATGAATAATACAGTAAATGCACCACAATTAGATATACATCAAACTCTGTACACCCCTATTAGGAATTACATCTCCTTGAAAGGCACTGTAATTTAGTAAAAAGGGCAGGAACCTTTGGCATCACACACACCCTACTCTGAGTTCCAGCATGACCAGGTACTCAAGATGTAATTGGGCAAGTCACTTAACTGTATATCTATTTTTCAAATGAAAAAAAAAGTGTAGATAATAACTCTTACCTCACTGTGTTGTTGTGGGGGTTAAATGAGATAAATACTGAAAGCCTTTTTATACGGTGTGTACTTAAAAATCATTAACTCTCTTCTCCTCCCACTCCTTTCCAACTCACAAGTGTCCACAGAAAATTCACAAACACTGATATTATACTATGCCAAGAACAAAAAAGCGGTAGATTTAAAACACCAAAAATTGTATAGATTCTTTTCTCAAGATCCAACACAATAAAATCAGATACTTTACATGTCAGAAAATATGAAAAGTTATAGACACACTTCCCACAATAGTAATTATGTCAGAGAAAAATGCAAGATCACTATTATAGAACATTTAGAAATTCATATAGATAAAAACACTACAGATTTTGTCATATTAGATGCAGATAAAAAAATTTGGAAATATATTTCTACATATTGCGGTATGAGTCCAGTCACTTTTTCACACAAAAAGGTTTCTTAAGTATGTTACCTGTGAAATAATGATACCTATTCTTTAACATGTCAATGTGTTTGTGAAGTTGCTCCTTAAAATTTGGAAATTTGGGCTGACTATTGAAACATAATAAAAAGTTCCAGCAATCTGTATAATATCTGGACACCATTATTTCTAGAAATGCTGATGTTTACACAAGGAGATGTTTTAGACAGTAGAAAAATAATAGATCAATGACAAATCTAAAAGCTAATTTTGCTGGTAAACCAATAATATAAGATTTAAAATTCCAGGCAAGCCAAAGATGATAAAAGACAAACAAAAATTGAAATGAGAATGGAGAAAGAAATTTTTATTTATTTATTTATTTATTTTGAGACGGAGTCTCGCTCTGTCACCAAGGCTGGAGTGCAGTGGCGTGATCTTGGCTCACTGCAAGCTCCGCCTCCTGGGTTCACGCCATTCTCCTGCCTCAGCCTCCCGAGTAGCTGGGACTACAGGCGCCCGCCACCATGCCCGGCTAATTTTTTGTATTTTTTTTAGTAGAGACGGGGTTTCACCGTGTCAGCCAGGATGGTCTCGATCTCCTGACCTCGTGATCCGCCCGCCTTGGCCTCCCAAAGTGCTGAGATTACAGGCATGAGCCACGGCACCTGGCCAAATTTTTTAAGTATTATGATTTACTACTCATAATTGATTTTAATTGCTCGAGCAAATGACAGAATGTCAACAAAAAATTTTTAAATATAAAAGTTGGCACAAGTTGAAAAAGCTATACAGGCTATATATATATATATATATATATATATATATATATATATGATATTGAAAAACATGTATTAAAAGCCACTCTCTAAAATATGTCAAATGCTGAGAGATTTACTAATTAAGTACTTCAAATACCACAGAATAGATTGTTTTCATGTTAGATATTTTATTTCAGAAAACAGAAAAATTGTGGGAAGCTACTTGATTTATTCAATGAATAAAATATGAAAATCTTAAGCTTGATAAAAATGTCCAACTGGCATATATGTATGAAATATCAATTAAAATTGATAATATAATAAATAGATAAATCTAGATACAAATATGTTAAATTTTTAAAAGTCAAAGGCAATTGTTCAAAATCTATTTGGTTATGACAATTAATTGTTTGAAAATGAATATGTATAGCAGGTGGTGCTGGTAACTGGTGCACCTGGGGGAATTTTTTCAAAATTGTTCTGAGTCTATTTTGTCTGTGTTTAAATGTTGGAAGGTTTTGTTTGTTTTTACAGTTGAAAATGCATTTCCTTTTTATTTACAACCAATTTTTACAATTCATTTTTGCTTTGTGCTGTTAATAATAATGAAATGTTAGAAAAAATAACACTGCCCAATAATAGGCAACTAAGTAAATGATAGTCCAATAAAATAGAGTATATGAGTGAAATTGTATATAATCATTAATTATGACCTTGGAGAAATTACCTATGACCTTGGAGAAATTACCCATTGCCTTGGAAAGATATTCATGAAAATAAACCAGATTATATGTATGATATTTATTCTATCTTTGTAATTATTTAAAATTTAGTATATGTGTTGGGAAAAAAGATCTGGAGAAATGTGCAAGAATATATTAATAATGATAGGCTCAGAGTGGGTTATGTCATGGGTATTCTTTTGTGTGTGAGTTTTGATTACTTCTTCCTTTCTACATTGAGAAAAGGAGATTAAAAGCTATGAAAAGAAAACTGTCATTCCAAGCTTTAAGACTTCTTAAGTATTTTAAAATTCAATTAATTTGTAATGAATTATACCTCTTCCCTTTTAGAAATGTTTCCATTAATTTATCAACAATTTCTTCTTTTAATCACTCTCCACTAAAAATATACTAAATATTTTATCACTTCATGTCAAACCAGTGCCATTTTTTAAAAATAATTGACTGATATTGATCCAGAGTTGACCACTGACACTAGTAAGAAATCCTGCTTAAAACAAGAGTAATAGATAGTGTTTATTTGGGGGCCAATTTTTTAAAAGAAAATTTTATTATGAACAATTTGTTTCTCATGAAGTTGTTTTAAACTCAGTGCTACACCATGCCGTGATCAAGAAAGTTCAATCTGGGAATGTAAGGATGCTGCAGTATTTAGCAAGCTATTAAAATAGTTACCACAAATGCATGATAAACTAAAAATTAACATTCTATATCTTGATAATAACTTTAGTACATACTGTAAATTGTTAAAATTTTAATGAGAATAGAAGGATTTTTAAATAAGGAAAATCTATTTTAAATAAAAAATTCAGCATTAAGAACTCAAGTCATTTTCTTTTTAAAAAAAATTTATTTAGGTTTGGAGATACATGTGAAGGTTTGTTCAAGGGTAAATGTGTGTCATGGGGGTTTGTTGTACATATTATTTCATCACCCAGGTATTAATCCCAGTACCCAATAGTTCTCTTTTCTGCTCCTCTCTCACCTCCCACCCTCCCACCTCAATTAGACCCCAGTGTCTGTTGTTCCTTTCTTTGTGCTCATAAGTTCATATCATTAAGCTCCCACTTATAAGTGAGAACATGTGATATTTGGTTTTCTGTTCCTGCATTAGTGTGCTAAGGATGATAGCCTCCAGCTCCATTCATGTTTCTGCAAAAGACATAATCTCATTCTTTTTTATGGCTGCATAATATTGCATGGTGTATATGTACCACATTTTCTTTATCCAATCTGTCATTGATGGACATTTAGGTTGATTCCATGTCTTTGCTATTGTGAATAGTGCTGTAATGAACATTTGTGTGCATTTGTCTTTATGGTAGAACACTTTATATTCCTCTGGGTTTATATCTCGTAATGGGATTTCTGGGTCGAATCGTAGTTCTGCTTTTAGCTCTTTTAGGAATTGCCATACTGCTTTCCACAATGGTTGGACTAATTTACACCGCCAGCAACAGTGGATAAATGTTTCCTTTTCTCCACAACCTTGTGAGCATCTGTTATTTGTTTTAATAATAGCCATTCTGACTGGTGTGAGATGGTATCTTATTGTGTTTTGATTTGCATTTCTCTAATGATCAGTGATACTGAGCTTTTTTTCATATGCTCGTTGGCCACATGTGTATCTTCTTTTGAAAATTGTCTACTCATGTCCTTTGCCCATTTGTTAATGCATTTATTTGTTTTTTTTCTTGTAAATTTCTTTAAGTTCCTATAGATTCTGGATATTATACCTTGTCAGATGCAAAGTTTGCAAATGTTTTCTCCCATTCTGTAGGTTGTCTGTTTATTGATAGTTTCTTTTGATATGCAGAAGGTCTTAAATTTAATGAGCTCCCACTTGTCAATTTTTGCTTTTGTTGTACTTGCTTTTGGTGCCTTTGTTGTGAAATCTTTGCCCATTCCTAAATCCAGGACCTTTGGTTTATAGGATATTTATTACCGATTCAACTTTGGAGCTTATCATTGGTCTGTTCAGGGAATCAGTTTCTTCTTGTCTTAGTTTTGGGAGGGTGTATGTGTCCAGGAATTTATCCATCTCTTCTAGGTTTTCTAGTTTGTGTGTATAGAGGTGTTCACAGTAGTTTCTGATGGTTCTTTGGGGTCAGTAGTAGCATTCCCTTCATCATTTCTAATTGTATTTATTTACATCTTCTCTCCTTTCTTCTTTATTACTCTAGCTAGTTGCCTATTTTATTAATTTTTTCCAAAAACCAACTCCTGGATTTGTTGATCTTTTGAATGGTTTTTCATGTTGATTTCCTTCAGTTCAGCTCAGATTTTTGTTATTTATTGTCTTCTGCTAGCTTTGGGGTTGATTTGTTCTTGGTTCTCTAATTCTTTCAGTTGTGAAGTTAGATTGTTAATTTGAAATCTTTCTAACTTTTTGATGTAGGCATTTAGTGCTATGAATTTCCTTCTTAACATTGCCTTAGTTATATCCCAGAGATTCTGGTATATTGTATCTTTGTTTTCATTATTTTCAAATAACTTCTTGATTTCTGTCTTAATTTCATTATTTACCCAAAAGTTATTCAGGAGCATGTTGTTTAATTTCTATGTAATTGCATGGTTTTGAGCAACTTTCATTGTCTTGACTTCTATTTTTATTGTACTGTGGTCCCAGAACATATTTAGTATGATTTCAGTTATTTTACATTTGTTGAGGATTGTTTTGTGTCCAATTATGTGATCAGTTTTAGAATATGTGCCATGTGTCATTGATAAGAATATATATTACATTGTTTTGGGGTGGAGAGTTCTGTAAAGTTCGATCAGATCCATTTGGCCCAATGCTGACTTTACGTCCTGAATACCTTTGTTAATTTTATGCTTCAGTGATCTGTCTAATACTGTCAGTGGAGTGTTTAAGTCTCCTGCTATTACTGTATGTAAGCCTATGTCTCTTTGTAGGTGCCTAAGAACTTGCTTTGTGAATCCAGGTGCTCCTGTATTGGGTGCATATATACTTAGAATAGTTAGGTCTTGTTGAATTATACCCTTTACTATTATGTAACACCCTTCTTTGTGTTTTTTGGACCTTATAAGTTTGACATCTGTTTTTTCTGAAATCAGGATTGCAACCCCTGCTTTTTCTGTTTTCCATTTACTTGGTAGATTTTCCTCCATACCTTTATTTTAAGCCCATAAATGTCATTACATGTGAGATGGATCTCTTGAAGACAGCACACTATTGGGTCTTGCTTTTTTATCTAGCTTGCAATGCTGTGCCTTTTAAATGGGACATTTAGCCTGTTTACATTCAAGATTAGTATTAATATGTGTGGATTTGATCCCGTCATTGTGCTGTTAGCTGGTTATTTTGTTGGTTTGTTCGTGTGGTTGCTTTACAGTGACACTGGTCTGTGTATTTAAGTGCACTTTTGTATTAGCTGGTAGTGGACTTTCCTTTCAAGATCTCTTATAAGGCAGGTCCGGTGGCAATAAATTCCCACATTTGTTTATTTTTCCTTCACTTAGGAAGCTTAGTTTGGCTGGATATAAAATGTTTCACTGAAGTTTTCTTTCTTTAAGAATGTTGAATATAGGCCCCCCAACCTCTTCTGGATTGTAGGGTTTCAGCTAAGAGATCTGCTGTTAGCCTAATGGAGTTCCCTTTGTAGGTGACCTGCCCTTTTTCTCTAGCTGCTTTTAACATTCTTTCATTTGACCTTGGAAAATCTGATGATTAAATGTCTTTGGAATGATCTTCTTGTATAGAATCTTGCAGGAGTTCTCTGTATTTCCTGAATTTGACTGTTGGCCTCTAACAAGATTGAGGAAGGTTTCATGGACAATATCCTGAAATATGTTTTCCAAGTTGTGTGTTTCCTCCCCTTCCCTTTCAGGGATGCCAATGACTCACAGATTTGGTCTTTTTACATAATCCCATATTTCCTGGAGGTTTTGTTCACTACTTCTTATTCTTTTTTCTTTATTTTTGTCTGACAATCTTATTTTAGAGAACTAGTCTTCAAGTGCTGAGATTCTTTCCTCAGTTTGGCTTACTCAACTGTTGATACTTGTGATTGCATTGTGAAATTCTTGTGTTATTCACCTTTGCCAGACATGTTAGGTTGTTAGGTTCTTTTTCATATAGGCTATTTTGTCCTTCACCTCCTGTATCACTTTATTGTGATTCTTATTTCCCTTGGATTGAGTTTTGCCATCCTCCTGAGTCTCAATGATCTCTGTTCCTCTCCATATTCCGAATTCTATTTGTCATTCTAGCCAGTATGACCTGATTAAGAACTCTCGTTGGAGAACTGGTGCAGTCATTTGTAGGCCATATGACCCTCTGGTCATTTGTGTTACTGGAGTTCTTGCGTTTGTTCTTTCTTAATCTCTGTATGTGAGTGTTCCTTTAACTACTGTGTAGATTGAATACACTGTAGTCAATAGACTTATTCTCTGGATGTTATAACCAGGCCAATGCTTTGTGTAGTGTCTTTATTTGAAGCTGACCTCTTGTCTCTGGTTTCAGAGGGAGGTATGTTAGTTAGGTATTCTTGGTGTTGAAGCTTTGGGGTGTGATCAAGCAGGTGGCACTCAGGCTTACTGGTCAGTTGGTAGACTCTTGCTTGGTTGTGTGGTTCTCCTATATTTCCTCATAATTGAAGCCATGTTCTCTCTCAACGCTCTGAAAGTGTGGGTTTCTTTCCCCCTTGAGTGCTGGCTATAGATCACAACTTGGCATTCCTTGGCTGCCCAGCAGCTCTGGGGCAATCTCAGTGTTTATGTTCCTTCCCCAGCTTAGAGACAGCAGAGGAGAGGATCTCAGTAGTGGGTGTGGTCAAGGGTCATTTGTTTGTCTCCTGGAGTAATCAGCTCGCTCAGTGTAATCAGCCCAGGATGGAGGGCCTGTGCTGTGAGTCTAAGCCAGGGGTTCGCTTTCTGGTGATGAGCAGTGGAGGGTGTGTGGGACCCGTGGGAGACAGACTGGCCTCCTCTCCTTGGGTCAGCTTGTTGAAGGTGTGGATAAGGCACTTAGGGTCTTTGCTCCTTGTTAGTCCGAGGGTGGCAAAGGCTGTTCCACTGCAGAAGAGTGGGAGAGAGGCTTTCAATTGTCCCAGAGGCTCTATCTAGAGAGTTGCTGAGTTGCTACTGGCTCAATAGCTCTGGCAGGGAGTGGCTGGAGGCCCAGGCCTGCAGGACCTGCCTGGTGAGGAGATATGGGAATGGGCATCCCAGTAACACTCTGGCCACTTTTCTGTAGGGCTGCTGCAGTATACTTGGGGTCCACTGCAGTCTTTAGTTGCCTCAGATTTTCCAGTACCTAGAGGTATCACCAGTGAAGGCTGTGAAACAACAAAGATGGCAGCCTGTCCCTCCCTCTTAGAGCTTTTTCCCAGGGAGATAAGGGCCTGTTGCCAACCCAAAGGCACCTGTAGGAAGTGGCTGGAGATGCCCACCAAGTGAGGAGAAATGGGATCAGGGATCCACTTTAAAAAGCAGTCTGGTCACATTTTGATAGAGCAGCTGTGCTATGCTGGGGGTCCACTTCAGGCCCCAGTTGGCTCAGATACTCTGAAGCTCAAAGGCCAGAATGGCTAAGTCATTCAAGTAACAAAGATGGCAGCCTACCCCTCCCTCTGGGAGCTTTGTCCCAGGGAGGTTAAAAATCTCTGTCGACCAGGGAACACCCACAGGGTTTTTTGGAGGCCCCATTTGGGAGGTCCTGCCAGTGAGGAGGAGTGGGACCAGGACCTGCTTGCTTGAAGAAGCAGTCTGGCCACATTTTGGTACAGCAGCTGTGCTATGCTGAGGGATCCCTTCTGCCCCTGATTGGCTCAGACTCTCCAAAGCCTGAAGGCTGGATCAGCTAAGTCAGCCAAACAGCAAAGATGGTGGCCTGCCCCTCCCTCTTGGAGCACCATCCCCAGGGGAATTCAGATCTCTATCAACTGGAGAACACAGGTTGGGGGGCTGGAGGCCCCAGTTGGGAGGTCACACCCAGTGAGGAGGAACAAGAGCAGGCACCTGCTTAAATCAGCAGTCTGGCCAGGCTTTGGTAGCTGTGCTGTGCTGTGCTGGGTGATCCCTTCCACCCCCGACTGGCTCAGACTCTCCAAAGCCTGATGGCTGAAACAGCTAAGGTGCCTGAACAGCAAAGATGGCAGCACACCCCTCCCTCTAGGAACTTTTTCTTAGGGAAGTGCAATGCCACTACCGTGGGTGGCTGGAATGCCAAGCCAGTGGGTCTTATCATTTTGAGGTGCCCTGGAAGTGGGGCCTGCAGGCTGTTACTGGATTCAGCATCTTTCCTAGAGGTATGTATGGGTGTCTAGCCTCCCACCTTGCCAGAGCTGCAGCTACTTTTGCCAGAAAGCCCAAGTATCTAAGGTTCCAGGGTCTCTATGCATGCCTGGACAGCTGTTCTGCCAAGACTCCGCATAGTTCTGTCAGACTGAAGGCCCATGGTGGAGTGGGTTCACAAGGAGATCTCCTGACCCAAGGGTTGCAAAGATCTGTAGGAGAAGCGTGGTTTCCTGGGTTGCTCATTCACTCACCATTTCCTGGGCAGCAGAGGTTCCCTTGGCTCCATGTTGTCCCAGGTGGACCATTGCCCTGCCTTGCTTTTCTTCATTCTTCATGGGTCAAGTTGTTTCCTTGATTAGTCCCAATATGAGTACCTGGATGTTTCAGTTGAAGGTGTTGTATTTACTCGCCCCTTCTTTCTTCTCTGTGAGTCATGCACACTGTTTATAGTTAGCCATCTTGGCCACTTCCCTCTAAAGTCATTTCCAACAAATTCAAAAACAACAACAAAAAAAGGGCACACTCTTTAAAATCTCACAAATCTGGAAAAAAATAGAATATCAAATTCTGGAAAATAAGAAACAGATTCATTAATAGATGACATAAATGTATATCAAGAGTACCATAGGAATTATTTTCAAAACAAAACAATGTATTATAGCAGCATGTGGACTCCTAGTTAGTCCTTGTGGGTTGGGAATATATAGCTATAATATAGCTATGTTAAAAATAAGTACACAAAAGTCAATATATTCTTCAATTTCTATACACTTGGCTGAAATATATACTGGAAACAAAAAGACCCAACTCATGGTAATAGAAAAATAGAAAAAATATTTTAGAAATCAATTTCAGTAATTCATGTGCAATAGGAAAGTAACCCACAATATATTTAAGATAAATAATTTTTGCCAAATGGGAAATAGAATCATTAATGGTATGCTTTTTTAAATAATTAAAATACACAAAAATTTTTATCTGTAGCTAGTTTCCTAAGATTGTTAACTCTGTGACTTATACTAATTTTTATCCCAAGGAGTATAGTTTTCAATGATACCTCCAGTTTTTATATATTCTCCACATGTATTAATAACATCTATCAATGAGTGCTTACTCTTTTTTCTTTTCTTTTCTTTTTCTCTTTTTTTTTTTTTTTTTTTGGAGATGGAGTCTCACTCTGTCACCTGGCCAGACTGGAGTGCAGTGGCACGATCTTGGCTCACTGAAACCTCTACCTCCCGGGTTCAAGCAATTCTCCTGCCTCAGCCTCCCAAGTAGCTGGGACTACAGGCACACGCTGCCACGCCTGGCTAATTTTTGTATTTTTAGTAGAGACAAGGTTTCGCCATGTTGGCCTGGCTGGTCTCGAACTCCTGACCTCAGGTGATCTGCCCTCCTTGGCCTCCCAAAGTGCTAGGATTACAGGCATGAGCCACTGCACCCGGCCAATAAGTGCTTATTCTTCTTGTAAATATTTTGCTAGAGTCAACACTGTACATTGCTCAAAAATGCTGAGAAAATGTTGAAGACCTTATTCACACAACTTGAGAATGTCTCCCAATGGACAAGGATAATACTGACCATTTTCCAAATATCCAAAAGCTATCTTTCTAAGTTGTATAACCATAGATGATATGACAAAGAAAAACATCTTCAGAAAGGGAGGAAAAAGGGAAGGAGGTGTGGAGGGAGGAATGGAAAGTAAACCAGAGAAATATCAATACTATAGTCCCAGCAAAAGAAAGGGGACCAGATGAAAGTGATATGATGAAAAACAAGAGAGAAGAAGAAAATATAAACTGTTGAATATTTCATGAATGAGGGAAAATAGATAATTTAAGAAGAATGAGAGCATGAATGGAGGTTTTACTTTATCTAGAAAACATGTCGCTTGAATTCTCTAGGAGCTCAACACAAATCTTTTTTTTTTTTTTTTGAAACAGGATCTGACTGTGTTACCCAATACAGTGGCTATTCACAGGCTCAATCATGGCACAATACAGCCTCAAACTCCTCCTGCCTCAACCTCCCGAGTAGTTGGGACTATAGACACACACCACCGTGTCTGCCTTCCCAATACAAATCTTAACTTCAGTTGAAAGTGAAGAGGTTGAAATAGTCAGGCTGAGGTTACAATCACTTTGCAGTTTACTACTCAACTTATTAATAAAACTTAATTTATATAAAGGCTCTAAATATTCAAATTCCTACTTCATCTATCAATCCATTTGTCAGCTTACAGATATATAAAGTCACCAAATTATAGAGTTAGAAATATGTACACCATCTAGTCAGTCTTTCAAGTATTACAGATTAGGATACTAAACCTCTGTTGTTATCTAGATCAAATACCCTGTTTCAATTACACCAATGTTTTATGCCATTATTTGCAGTCCTACGAGTGATATTTTGAAAGCTCCTTTTTTGTTTGTTTTTTTGACACAGAATCTTGCTCTGTCACCCAGGCTAGAGTACAGTAGCGTGATCTTGGCTCACTGCAACCTCCACCTCCCAGGTTCAGCAATTCTCCTGCCTCAGCCTCCCAAGTAGCAGGGATTATTGACAGCTGCCACCACACCTGGGTAATTTTTGTATTTTTAGTAGAGACAGGGTTTTCACCATGTTGGCCAGGCTGTCTCAAACTCCTGACCTCAGGTGATCTGCCCGCCTCAGCCTCCCAAAGAGCTGGGATTACAGGTGTGAGTCACCATGCCTGGCCGAAACCTCTTTCTAAAAAGATCCGTGGAAATTATCCGGAGGCGATATTATCTATTCTAGTGAGCTTCAGATTATTCCTAACAGCATTCCAACAAACTGTCAAGGAGCCCAAAGGTAGTAAAATGCACTGGAAAAGTGGAAAACATCCTCCCAAAGCAGGGTGACATTTCCCTCCTTTCCTTCTCTTGTCTTGATTTAGCTTATGCCAAACCGCCTAACATTTCACTAGAGTTATGATTTGGGACTGCTTTCTTGATATATGCAGAAAAACAATCTTTGGACTCACTGATTTTCTCCATGTTTGTCTATTTTCTATTTCATTGATTCCTGCTCTCATCATTAATATGCCCTTCCTTTTAATTATTTGGGTTCGATGTGATCTTTTTCTAGACTCAAGTTGAAAGCTGATATAATTGATTTCCATACATCTTCCTTTTCTAATATAAACATTTGAAGTGATAAATTTTACACTAAATTTTGCTTTAGCAGCATGTTCCACAAATTGAAATCTTTTGAATTTTTAGTTTTAGTGAGTTGAATTTTTTCTTTGACCCATGGGTCATTTAGAAATGTGCTGTTTAATTTGTAAATACTAAGAAATGTTGCAGATCGATGTGTTATTGATTTCTATCTTAATTTTACTGTGGTCACAATACATACCTTTATTATTTAAACATTTAAAAATGTATTTAGGCTAGTTTTATGGTATGGCCTGGAACATGGTCTATCTGAATGTTTTTCATGCTTGTTCTCTGTTGTGGCTGGGAGCATTCTATAAATATCAATTATGTTAAGTTCCTTGATAGTGTTGTTCAGGTCTTCTATATCCTTTTTGATATTCTATATGTCCTATTACTTACTGAAAGAATTATTAAAATCTTCAACTATAAATGTAGACTTAACCATGTCTCTTTAACAACTGTCAGTTTTTGCTTCAGGTATTTAGAAGCTCTATTATTAGGTATATATATATATATTAAGGATTATTATATTTTATTGATAAATTGACCCTTTTTAGCAGTGAAATATCTCTCTATCCCTAGTAATATTCTTTGTTCTGAAGTGGATTTTAGCTATGTTATACCTTCTCTAGTTTTCTTATAAGTTTGTCATAATAAAGCTTATTTCATCTTTCACCTTTAATCTACAGTTTTTTTAAATTTAAAATGGTTTTGCTTTAAAAAGCATATATTTGTCTTGATTTTCTATCCCACCTCTCAGTCTTTTAATTAGAATTTAATTTAATGTAATTATTCATGTATTTGGGTTTAAATTTACCTTCTTGCTCTTTGTCTTCTCTTTATCACATTTATTCTTCTTTTTTCCTTTTCTCTTTTTCTTCCTTCTTTTGTATTATTAGTTTGTATTGCATTTTATCTCCACTGTTGGTTTATTATCTGTGTGTTGCTTTATTTATTTTTTGTGTGATGGTTCTAGGATCTACAGGATGCACCTTACACTTAATTTAGTCTACCTTCAACTAATATTATATTTCACATAAAATGTAATAAAATTAAAACAGTATATTTCCATTTCCTCCTCCAATTACTTTGTTATTTTTGTCATACATTTCACTTCTACATATTCTATAAACTTCACAATGCATTGTCGCTATTTCTGGATATTATTTTTGGATCAATTTTTTTAAAAATCCTAAAAACTAAGAAAAACTTATTTTATTTTTACTCATGTAATTATGTTTTCTGATTCTTTTGATTCCTTTGTGTAGATCTACATGTTCATCTGCCAATTTCAGCCTCATGAGCTACATTTAACATCTCTTATAGTTCAGGTCTAATGGTCATGAATTCTCTCACATTTGCTTGTCTACAAAAGGTCTTTACCTTGCTTTTATATTTAAAATCAAATGTTCACTGGATAAAGAATTCTTGATTGACAAGTTGGTTTTTATCCTGATAGCACTTTCAAGATGTTCATTGAATGTCTTCTGGTTTTCATAATCTCTGACAAGTAGTCTGTTGTCATTCTTTTTATATAACATTTATTTTTTTTTTCAGCTGCCTTTAAGTCTTAGTCTTTACCCATTTTGCGAAATAATTTGTTGCAATGTGCTTGGTGTTAGAAATTTGGAAATTGTTTATTTCTTTAATTTTTTTCTTTGAGTCTTTCTCATCCTTTTGGAACTCAAATAGCACACTTGATAGACCACTTGATGTTGTCCCATAGTTCCCTGAGGATCTATTCCTTTTACTAAGTTTTGTTTTTTCTTTTCTGCTTCATTTCAATCATTATGGCTTTAAGTTCATTTATCTTTTTATTTTTTTTGCTTGTGTCTACTCTGCTATAAATCTCATCTAGTGTTTTTCTCATTTTAGTATTTCTCATCTCCAGTTCTATTTGGTTTTTTAAAAAAATCTTTCATTTTTCATCTCATGATGTTCATGTTTTCCTTTAAATCCCTGCTGATATACAGAATAAAATAGTTCTTTTGAAGTCCTTTTCTGCCAATTCCATCACCTTTATTATTTCCCGGCCTGTTTCTCATGGCTGTTTTTTCTTTTAGTCATGGAGGCATTTTCTAGCTTTTGTCATATCCTAAAATTCCTGACCAGATGCTAGATATTGTGTTGTTACATACTTGAGTTCTGGATTTTGTTGTACTTGTTCTAGCAGGCTTTGTTTCTCATAATAAGCTTGATCCTCATGAGGCTATTGTTTAACCTTTGTTAGGGTGAGTCTAGAGTAGCCTTTATCCTAAGTATTATTTAACCATAATATTAAATTAAGAACATTTTGACATTTCTACCAAATTCCCTGAGTGACCTAAAATAACTTTACTGTAGCTGATGAAAGCTTGACTATCTCTCTATCCTGTGTGATCTGTGGAAATTATTTCATTTACAGCTCCCTGATATTTCTTCACTAGTTTCATGTATTATCACTCTATGTGGACCAATTAAGAATTAAGAAAATACTCTAGGTGACTCTCAAATTGTTTCCTAAAGCTTATTTTTCTATGTAGTATCCCCCTCTCTGCCCCATAACCTCTAGACTCCTCAGTTTTCTTAAAGTCCAATTTCTCTCTTCTCTACTTAAGATCCCTCTCCCTGAACCAAAAACTGAAATGAGCCCCCAAGAAAAAGCCAGAGCAATTCTAGGGCTCATTTCATTTGTATTCTTCCCAAAGATCAGAATTCTGTGCTGCCTGTTGTTTAATGCACAAAAAATTGTTATATATGCTTTCTCTAGTTTTCTAGTTGTTTATAGTAGCAGGAAGAACCTGCCCCATGTTACTCTGAGAGTCTGAAAATCTTTTGGAAAAAACCTTTGGAAAAGGTTTAAAAAAGATTGATCCATCAAAAACAAAAAGAAAATTGTAAATTCTAATAAAACAATTAGCTTAGTGTTATTTAAATATATCAATATAAAAAATTATCAATGTTCATTATTATACTACAATAATTTTACATTTAAATTTTGTAAGTACATTTTTAATAATCAATCTTTGAAGTATGTCTACTTTTTAGAAATTAGACTTCAATTTAGTGCTTTATATTAACAGTTTAAATAATATTTACAATATACATATAGTAGTATCCCTTTATTCACTGTTTTACTTCCTGTGTTTCAGTTACCCATGGTCAACTGTAGTCTGAGAAATATTAAATGGAAAATTTTAGAAATAAACTATTTATATATTTTAAATTGCACACTTTTCTGAGTAGCATGATGAAATCTTGCATCATTCTGCAGAGGATGTGACTCCTCCCTCTGTCCGGTGTATCCACGCTGCCTGTTCTACCAGCCTATAAGTCACTCAATAGCCTTCTCAGTTATCAGATCAACTGTCAGTGCTTGGATCCAAATACCCTTACTTGATTCCCAAAGTACAAGAGTATTCATGCTGGCAATTTGGATAGCCAAAGAGAAGCCATAAAGAGCTTAAGTGGAAAGGTAAAATTTCTCTATTTAATAAGAAGACATAAAAATTTTATGCTGAGGTTGCTAAGATCTACAGTAAGAATGAATCTTTTTTATCCATGAAATTGTGAAGAAGGAAAAAGAAATTTGTGATAGTTTTGCGATCACACCTCAGACTGCAAAAATTATGGCCACAGTACATGATAAGTGCAAAGTTAAGGTGGAAAAAGCATTGAATTTTTTAGCAGGCGATATGAACAGAAATGTGTTTCAATTGACAACATCTGTGTTGCCCCGGAAAACACTGAGCCCATAGGAAGCCATTTTTTATTGATACATAAGAGATGTACATATTTTAGGGTACATGTGATACTTTGATACAATAATATAATGTATAAAGATCAAATCAGGTTAATTGGGATATGCAAAGCATTTTATCATATCACACCATCAAAAGAGGATGGGTAAGTACAATATAATAAGATATTTAGAGAGAGAAAAAGAGGCCACTTCATGCAATTTTCTTACAGTATTTGTCATAATTGTTATATTTTATTATTAGTTATTATTTATATACATATATATATGAAAAAGCATGGTGTATATAGAGTTCAGTAGTATCCACAATTTTAGGCATTCACTGGGATCCTGGAACATAGCCCTTGCAGATCATAGAAGACTACTGTCACTGAATTTCACACATCACTTTCTTAGTACATTAATATGTTCTGAATTGGGCTGACGTGTTTCTCTGCTAAAGTCTGATGTTGGTAATCTATTCCCGTTCAAAACATATACAACAATGTGTGTCTGCTCATGTATGTATGTGTGTGTGTGTGATTAACAAACCCTCAATAATAGATTCCTCCATATGTTTTCCTTAAACTTTTGTCAAATGCCTATTTGTCTGCTTGTGCATTTTAGCAGGTGACTAAACTGATCAATACATGAAAGAATATAAAAGGAAAAACAAATGCTATTTCTAAAAACAGTTAAGATATAATATTATTTTGAAAGACCAACATATACATAATAGAGTAATATTTTATGTTAAGACAATTGTACTTTGATCACACGATGGTATTACATATATTTGGTGCAGCATTTTTCACAAGAATTGTCAGATTAAAAATTTGAGAATCATTTATGAATTCGGTGTTAATTCTATATCAGAAAGACGACTTCTGATTTTAGGAGCATTCTAAAGAGAAAAATTTGATATTTTTATAAAAATGTAGTTTATGATAAGGCTAACTGAAGTGTATGTTATTGAAAATAGGAACTGTGATTATATTTTAATGGCTTACTTTCCTTTTTAATTAGCAGAAGGTGAAAGTTTATTACATTTAGGGAAAAAACAATTTAAGTTCTACCTAATACTAATTTAACCCTCTGTTGACATAATTTCAATTATGAGAATTAATTAAAAGCCTATGGGTAATGAAATATCATTTTCAAAAAAGGAAAATGTATGTTGCTCTTCTAAAAGCAAAAGCTGAAGATGAAATAGAATGACAGGTGGGAAAGAGAAAAACAGTCATGCTCTCTTTTCCTCTTTTCACCTAAGACAAAGCTTATGAAGGGAAGGGCTTTCCTTTGGGTACCCTTGGTCTCTTTGCAGAAAAGCTTGACTTTAAGAAAATGAACAAAAGGGGAAGATTTCTATTCTCAGAACAGCATTTTAGGAAAACTAAGATGCTGCAATAGACCATAGAATGGTTGAACAGGAATGGTATAAAATTATTAATAATAATACTGGAAAGAGCCAGATGGCCAACTGGATGCAACCAGGAAATGCTTCTCCACAGAGAGAAACCAAAATCTCAAGTAAACCATCACACTTTGAACAGATTTTTTTTTTTTTCTAGACAGAATCTTGCTCTGTCACCCAGGCTGGAGTGTGCAGTGGCGTGATCTTGGCTCACTGCAACTTCTGCCTCCCAGGTTCAAGTGATTCTCCTGCCTCAGCCTCCCAAGTAACTGGGATTACAGGCGTGCACCACCATGCCTGGCTAATTTTTGTATTTTCTGTAAAGACGAGGTTTCGCCATGTTGCCCAGGCTTGTCTCAAACTCCTGACCTCAAGTAATCCACCCACCTCAGCCTCCCAAAGTGCTGGGATTACAGGCATGAGCCACGGCTCCTGGCCAGAACAGATTTTTTGAGAGAAAACACTGAAAGTCAATAGAAAGGTGACAAAAACACCAAAGTTGAAGAGGGAAGAGGCTGGGAAGCCTGCACAGAGTTACTGCGTGCCAGGATCACCTCCTGGTTCTGAACAGGTCCTAGAGTGAAGGAACTGCAGAGCACTACTCTCCTGCCGTGGACCCCTGGGATCCTAATTGCAAGAGATCCCAGGACTCCCAGATATTTATACTGTCAGGGGGAAATGGTTCAGAGAGTAGGCAGAGGCAGAGCTCAAACCTGTGCAGAGTCCAGAAGGTTTTGCACCTGGGACAGCTGGAACAAAATGCAACCATAGGTGCTCATGCCCCCAGGCTCTCTAGCTTGCTATGAGTGGCTCTAGTTCCTGCTGAGCCAAGAGAGAGCAGGGCTGTCTTTGCCACAGGACTAGGCACATCTGATCTGCGTGTCTTCTTGTCTGCTGGTCCTTCCCAAGGACCCTGCCTGGTCACTCCACAAGAGGATTCACACAGCATAGCCTCTATTGCCCCACCTGAGTGTTTTGTTGTCGGCCAAAGAGCAGTTCAGCAACCCCGCGCAGACATTACTCCACCTTGAGGGGCCAGAGGAAAAGCCACAGGCTCAGTCTCAACCACACAGGCTCAGGTGCATTGAGCTGAGATCTGGGGCCTGGCTCAAGCCAGGGAGGAGCCCCACTCTCAGAACACCAAGAAGAGTGAGAGGTGGTTGGTGTACCCGTGCAGGAGCTAGGCATTCTTCTCTCCATAAGACCAGTCCAAGAAGGGCGTAGCCTGTTTGCCAGCCACAGCCTCTACCCATGAGAGTCCCATGGCCTGGAACATCCAACAGCCCAGCAATCTGGGTGCAGAAGGATTGGGACAAATCTAGCTTCTTGGGCTGGTGTCTGGGGCAGACACTGGAGGGAGACCTGGTCATGGGGAGCATGAGTTGGGTGGTCCCTACAGAGGTCTGCTGGGCAAAAATCCCTGGGCTAGGGGAACCATATGTGATGCACACCCACAGCACCATTGGCTGGACCAAGGATCCTCTGCCCTTGAACCACTTCATCACCAGAGCACCTGCAGACATACAATACAACTTGCCCTGACTCTGCCAAGCTCAGAGGACCAGTGGGTGCCTGGGTGGTTATGGGTCTCCTGGCAACATAATCTTCCTCTTGGGCTGCTCCTAAAAGGGGTGGAGAATGCAACCCGCCAGGGCCATCCTTGGGGTAAGGAAACACAGAAACAATGTCAGTGATTGGAGGGGGCTTCCCCAAGGCTCAGGAATGGACCTGGTGAAGGGGGTCATCTCTTACCACTTATTTCCCCCTCCCCAGACTGCTGCTGCAAACACATGAAAATACAAAAGAGGCATGTGTCCAACAACCCATCTGCCAGCCCTTACTCTTAAGTGCCATCTGCTGCATTGAAGCCTGAATTACACCACCAAACAAAAATAAATTCCTTCAGCACACCTTGCCTATGAAACCCAGTATAGGAATCTAGCCACAACTAAGGAACTAGTACAGAGCCTTGGCCCTCCGAAAGCACCCAGAAATGATGCACATTTGTACTGTGTAGTCCATATGCATCATAAACTACAGTCAAACACGCAAGGGGAAAAAAGGAATATAAAAACAAAAAGCCCCATCCAAACAACAGCAACTTTAAAAAGATTTTTAAAAACCACTCCTTTCAGATGAAAATCAGTGCAATAACTCTGCCAATTCAAACAGAGTGTGGCCTAACCTCCAAAGGATCTCACTAGCTCCCCAGCAATGGATCCTAACCAGACTGAAATGGTGGAAATGGCAGACATAGAATTCAGAATATGGATGACAAGGAAGCTCAATTAGATTCAAGAGAAAGTTGACACTTCGGGAGGCTGAGATGGGCGGATCACCTGAGGTCAGGAGTTCAAGACCAGCCTGGCCAACATGGCAAAACCCTGTCTATACTAAAAATACAAAAAATTAGCTGGACGTGGAGGCGCGTGCCTGTAGTCCCACCTACTCAGGAGGCTGAGGCAGGAGAACCTCTTGAACCCTGGAGGCGGAGGTTTCAGTGAGCCAAGATCGCACCACTACACTCCAGCCTGGGAGACAGAGTGAGACTCTGTCTCCAAAAAAAAAAGAAAGAAAGAAAGTTGAAACCCAATCCAAGGAAGCCAGTAAAACAATCCAACAGTAGAAAGATGATATAGCCATTTTAAGAAAGAACCAAATTGAACTTCTGGAATTGAAAAATTTACTACAGGAATTTCAAACTACAGTTAGAAGCCTTAACAACAGACTAGTATAAGCTGAGGAAAGAATTTCAGAACTAAAATCAACTCAATCAGTGAAAAATTAAGAAAGAAAGAAATTTTTTAAAACAAACAAAACCTACAAGAAACATGGGATTATGTAAATAGACCAAACCTGCAACCCAATGACATTCTTGAGAGAGAAGGAGAGTAACTTGGAACATATAACTGAGAATATAGGTCACGAAAATTTCCATCATCTTACTAGACAGTTCAACATGCAAATTAAAGAAATTCAGAGAACTCCAGCAAGACTTTATACAAAACAACCATCCTTAAGACACATAGTCATTAGATTTTCAAAGGTCAACATGAAAGAAAAAAATTTTAAAGCCACCTGCAGAAAAGAGTCAGATCACTTACAAAAGGAACCCCATCAGGCTAGCAGCAGACTTCTCAGAAGTAAGCTTACAAGCCAGAAAATATTGGGGGCCTATTTTCAGCATCTTTAGAGAAAATAAGTTCTAACCAAGAATTTCATACCCCATCAAATTAAGATTCATAAACAAATGAAAAATAAAATCTTTTCCATACAAGCAAATGCTGAGGGAATTAATTACCACTAGACTAGCTTAACAATAAGTTCTTTTCTTTTAACATAAATTACGCACAATAGAGCCGCAAATAGCTCAGATTTGTTTTCTTCTTCTTCTTGTTTTTCTTCTTCTAGTTAATTTTTTTCTCCAACTTTAATTTTAAGTTCAGGGGTACATGTGCAGGATGTACAGGTTTGTTACATAGGTAAACATGTGCCATGGTGGTTTGCTGCACAGAACATCCTATCATCTAAGTGTTAAACCCAGCATCCAATAACTGTTCTTTCAGATGCTCTCCCTCCTCCTACCCCCAATCTTCTGACAGGCCCCAGTGTGTGTTATTCCTTTCCACCTGCCATGTGTCCGTGTGTTCTCATCATTCAGCTCCTACTTATAAGGGAGAACATGCAGTATTTGATTTTCTGTGTTCCTGCATGTTTGCTGAGGATAATGGCTTCCAGCCCCATGAATGTCACTGCAAAGGACATAATCTCTTTCTTTTTAATGGCTGCATAGTATTCCATGGTGAATATGTACCACATTTTCTTTATCCAGTCTGTCATTGATGGGCATTTAGGTGGATTCCTTGTCTTTGCTATTGTGAATAATGCTGCAATGAACATACACATGCATGTATCTTTATAATAGAATGATTTATTTTCCTTTGGGTATATACCCAATAATGGGATTGCTGGCTCAAGTGGTATTTCTGCCTCTAGGCCTTTGAGGAATCGCCACACTGTCTTCCACAATGGTTGAACTAACTTATACTCCCACCAACCATGTAAAAGCATTCCTTTTTCCACAAGAGGTCCTTAATGAAGCTCTAAACATGGAAACAAAACAATACCTGCCACCACAGAAACACACTTAAGTACATAGCCCACAGATCCTCTAAAGCATCTACACAATCAAGAGTACAAACCAACCAGCTAACATCACCACAATGGTATTAAAACCTCTTATATAAATGCTAACCTTGGATGTAAATGGCCTAAATGCCCCCATTTAAAAGTCACAGAGTTGCAAAGTTTATAGAAAAATAAGATCCAGCTGCATATTGTCTTCAAGAGACCCATCTCAAATATAACACCCACAAGCTCAAAGTAAACAGATGGAGTAGGATCTATCAAGTGAATGAAAAACATGAAAGAGCAGGGGTCACTATTCATATATCAAGTAAAAAAGACTTTAAACAAGAAACAGTTAAAAAGGACAAAGAAGGACATTATATAATGATAAATGGTTCAATTCAACAAGAAGGTTTAACTACCCTCAATATATACATACACAACATTGGAGCATCCAGATTCATAAAACAAGTATTTCTAGATCTAAGAAAAGACTTAGCCACACAATAATAGTGGGGAATATCAGCACCTCATTGACAGCATTAGACAGATCATTGAGGCAGAAAACTAACAATGAAATTCAGCACTTGACCAATTGGACCTAATAGACATCTAGAAAATATTCTACCCGTCAACCACATAATATACATAATTATCATGTGCACACAGAACATACACAAAGATCAACCACATGCTCAGCCATAAAGCAAGTCTCAATGAACTTTAAAAAACTGAAATCATACCAGCCATACTCTCAAACCACCATAGAATAAAAATAGACATCAAAACCAAAATATCTCTTGAAAACACACAATTATGTAGAAATTAAACAATTGTTCCTGAATGATTTTTGTGGATACAATAAAATTAAGGCAGTAAGTTTTTTAAAATCTTTGAAATAAATGAAGAGAGAAACACAACATACCAAAATCTCTGAGATGCAGTAAAAGCAGTGTTAAGAGGAAAGTTTATCTCTCTAAATGCCTATCTTAAAAATTTAAAAAGCTCTCAAATTAATGATCTAACATAACAACTAAAGGAACTAGAAAAACAAAAACAAACTAATTCAAAAGATAGCAAAAGAAATAACTAAATCAGAGCAGAACTGAATGAAATTGAGACATGAAAATCCATACAAAGGATCAGTAAATCCAAAAGTTAGTTATTTGAAAGGATAAACAAGATTGACAGACTGCTAACTAGATCAACAAAGGAAAAAAGTGAAATGATCCAAATAAGCACAATCAGAAATGACAAAGATGACATTACAACCAATCTCACAGAAACACAAAAGGACCTCAAAGACTGCTATAAATACCTCTATTAGCACAAACTAGAAAATCTCGAGGAAATGAATAAATTGTGGAAACACACAGCCTCCCAAGATTGAAACAGGAAGAAATTTAAACCATCAACAGACAAATAATGAGTTCTGAAATTGAATCAGTAATAAAAACCCAGCAACCAAAAAAAGTTCTGGACCAGATGGATTCACAACCAAATTATACCAGACATACAAAGAAGAGCTGGTACGAATCCTACTGAAGTTATTCCAAAAAATCAAGGAAGATGAACTCCTCCCTAACACATTCCATGAATCCAGCATTATCCTGATGCCAAAATCTGGCAAAGACACAATGAAAAAGGAAAACTGCAGGCCAATATCCCTGATGAACATAGGCACAAAAATCTTCAACAAAATACTGGCAAACTGAATCCAGCAGCACATCAAAAAGTTAATTCATCACAATCAAGTAAGCTTTATTGCTGTGAAGCAAGGTTGGTTCAACATATGCAAAGCAGTACATATGATTCACCACATACCCAGAATTAAAAACAAAAACCAAATGATGATCTTAAAGACACCGAAAAAGCTTTTGACAAAATCCAACATCCCTTTATGATAAAAACTCTCAACAAACTAAGCATCAAAGGAACATACTTCAAAATAATTAGAGCCATCTATGACAATTCCATAGCCAACATCATACTTAATGAGCAAAAGCTGGAAGCATTCCCCCTGAGAACTGGAACAAAACAAGGATGCCCAATCTCACCACTCCTATTCAGCATAGTACTGGAAGTCCTAGCCAGAGAAATCAGGCAGGAGAAAGAAATAAAAGGCATCCAAATAGTAAAGAAGAAGCCAAACTATCTCTCTTCACCGACTGTATGATTCTATACCTAGAAAACCATAAATATTCTGCCAAAAGGTTTCTAGAACAACCAGTAAAGTTTCAGGATACAAATTCAATGTACCAAAATTAGTAGCACTTCTATACATCAATAATGTTCCAGCTGAGAGCCAAATCAAGAATTCAGTCCCATTTATAATAGCCACAAAAAATAAAATACCTAGGAATATAGCTAACCAAGACAGTGAAAGATTTCTACAAGGAAAATTACAAAACACTGCTGAAAAAATCAGAGATGACATAAACAAATGGAAAAACATTCCATGCTCATGGATTGGAAGAATCAGTATCATTTAAATAGCCATACTGCCCAAAGCAACCTACAGATTTCATGCTATTCCTATCAAACTACCAACTTTATTTTTCACAGAATTAGGAAAAAAAATTCTAAAATTCATATGGAAAGAAAAAAAGAGCCCAAATAGCCAAAACAATCCTAAGCAAATAGAACAAAGTGGGAGGCATCACATTACCAGATTTCAAACTGTACTACAAGTCTACAGTAACCAAAAATAGTATGGCACTGGTACAAAGAAGACTCATAGACAAATGGAACAGGATAGAAAACCCAGAAATAAATCTGCACACATAAAACTATATGATCTCCCCACCAAAAAATATTTGTGGCTAAGTCCTCAGAAGCAATTGCAACAAAAACAAAAATTGGCAAGTGGGACGTAATTAAACTAAAGAGTTTCCACAGAGCAAAAGAAATTATCAACAGAGTAAACAGCCAACCTACAAAATGGAAGAAAATATTTGCAAATTATGCATCTGACAAAGGTATTATGGAACTTTTCAACAAAACAACAAGCAAAAAACAAGTAACTCAATTAAAACATGGGTAAAGGATATGAAACATTAACTTCTCAGAAGAAGACATACAAGAGGCAAACAAACTTATGAAAAAATGCTCATCATCACTAACCATCAGAGAAATGCAAATCAAAACCACAGTGAGATGCTATCTCACACCAGTCAGAATGGCTACTATTAAAGTCAAAAAACAACAGATGTTGGCAGGACTGCAGAGAAAAGGGAACACTAATATGATGTTGGTGGAAATGTAAATAAGTAGTGGAAAGCAGTTTGGAGATTTCCCAAAAAACTAAACATGGAACTACCTTTCAACCCAGCAATACTTTTATTGGGTATATACCCAAAGGAAAATAAATTGTTCTACCAAAAAGTCACATGTACCTGTATGTTCATCACAGCAACAATTCACACTAGCAAAGATATGGAATCAATCTAGGTGCCTATCAGTGGTGGATTAAAGAAAATGTGGTACATACACACCATGGAACACCATGCAGCCATAAAAAAGAATGAAATTATGTCATTTGTGGCAACATGGATGCAGCTAAAGGCCATTACCCCAAGACAACTAACGCAGAAAATGAAACTCAAACACTGTATGTTCTCACTTATAGTTGGAAGCTAAACACTGAGTACACAGGGACATAAAAATGGAAACAATAGACACTGAGGACTACTGGAGGGTGGAAGGAGGGAGGGGAAGGTTGAAAACTACCTGTTGGGTACCATGCTCACTACCTGAGTGATAAGTTCAATTGTATTCCAGACTTCAGCATCCTACAGTATACCTTTGTAACAAACCTGCATGTGCAGCCCCTGGATCTAAAATAAAAGATGAAAAAAAAATTATGTTGGTACTTTATCCATTTGGAACATTGCTGTTTGCTGATTTCTCAAGAGGTAAGTTTGTCACCCAGGATAGAAGTCTGTCTTCATGGGAAAGTAGTATCACCTATTCTGTTGTTTACCCAGAGCTAGACATGTAGTAAGATTTTAATTTTTTTTTTTTTGAGATGGAATTCCTCTCTGTTGCCCAGGCTGGAGTGCAGTGGTGTGATCTTGGCTCACTGCAGCATCCACCTCCAGGGTTCAAGCGATTCTCCAGCCTCGGCTTCCCAAGTAGCTGGGACTACAGACATGCAGCACCACAACCAGCTAATTTTCGTATTTTTTAGTAGAGATGGGGTTTCACCATGTTGCCCAGGTTGGCCTTGAACTCCTGACCTCAGGTGATCCACCCACCTCGGACTTCCAGAATGTTGGGATTACAGGCGTAAGCCCCCACTCCCAGCCTGTAGTAGGACTTCAAATACTAGTTTAATTTATTTTCTCAGCCTGTTTGTTCTTTTCATTAAATTTATTTGCTCCTGAATTTTTATCTTGTAGGGATCCTTGTTTTTCATCTGCTATCTACAAGGGGAAATGATCAAGAGAACTTAAACAGGCCTTATGACTCAGACCCTTAAGAGAAAATCTTAGTAAAAAGTTTAGAACTTTGTGCTCTAGCAGAAATATGTTTGTTTCTTTTCCCCTTTCATTGGTTGCATATGGGAGAAATAACGGCAATGGCCTGATTGCTTGCCCTGACAACAGTGAATCAGGAATCACACAATTGTTGTTTTTCAGGGCAGGAGCGGTACCTTTATCATCTAGCCCTTTTGAATGACCCTTAAGAGCAAGGACAGAGCTGACTACGTTTTCTGAGAAGATTAAAAATGAAATCTATTGTGGGTAAGGGCAGTCAATGCCACACAGATTCCCTGTTTCATCAAATGGTTAATAGTTGAGATTTATTACAGATAGAATTAAGACCACCTGCTACTCCACCTTGTACCATTTCACTGCTAATAATAATAGCAACGAATTTGGAAGTGGGAATTGTTAAAAGCTCCCTTTTGTTTATAGTAAACACTTCCTATATCTCAAATCTTTAAAACTTAAGATTTAAAAATATTTTCTTCTTAAATTCTGTATGACTAATCTTTCTGCCTACTCTGAAAACACCTTTTCCTTCTGTGTTTTTTTTTTTTTTTGATTCCTTGGGACCTATTGCAACAATTGACTCTTTTTAATACAATGCCTCCAATGTATTTAAGCCTCTTTCACATAAGGATACTGAGTTTCCATTTATTTATTCATATAATAAATATTTACTGAGTCTCTCTTCTGTGGCAGCCACTCTTCAAGGTGCTAGAGACAGAGCATTGATCAAAACAGGCAAGGTCCTCCTTCTCATAGAGTTTGCATGAGTAAATGAGTAAACAAATAAATAAAATAGATCATTTATAGTATAATAAGGGATATAAAAATAATAAAAGATGGTAATATTATAGAGATTGACCAGAGAGCCACTTTAGATTGAGTAGGTAGAATATGAATCTTATGACAAAGACCTGAAAGAGATTCAGAAGTTAACCATGAGAAGATTTCAGGAGAAGGTGCAAGTATAAATGCCCTAAACTGAGGATGGACTTGGATAAATGCAGGAACAGAACTAAGGCTTATTCATAGAGGGTGGCTTTATTTCTAGCTCATGTGAGAAATAAAGGCTGTGTACTTCTAATGTTCAGTAAAATAACAATTTTTCAAAGATAGTACTTTCAACTGGAAAGTCTCTTATTTAAAACCACATTATGAAACATCACACAAAATGCTAGAAAATTATTCACTGACAATATCTTTATCTTCTGGGAGTGGTTGTGTTTGTGGAGGGGTAACGAAAAGTTAGAAAGGAGTGCAATAGCGGAAAGTGCTTAGGTAACTTTACTGTGTTACTAACATATTTCAGGCCGCTGTAGGTGTTTGAAGAGTGGCTACACCCAAGCAGCTTGTTAGACCTAAAAACATCCAGAATGCTTTAATCAGAAACTTCTTCTATTTTCAATATTGACAAAAATGATTAATACTGGTAGATATTTTGGAAGTAGAGGCAAGAAATAAAATGCTCTGGACTGGATTTCACCCTGTAAGTATCAGTTCTGAGGCCAGATTATCAACCTTTTGAACAAATGAGCATCAGACTAGCCTGGTTTTTTTTTTTTTTTTTTTTTGGCCAAAATTACAAATATTGTTATAAAGTAAAGAAGTAATTACAGTAATTAGTTATTTGCTTATTTTTGCAATTCTATTCAAAGTACAACAAATGTTTCATTAAAATTTTTTTAAATGGCAAAAAACATGTCATGCCTTTGCAAATAATTTTTAGCAGCTGTTGGATTCATATTGGGGTCTAGAATAGTTCTTAAATGTAACAAACATTAAAAGTAAGTAAAACTTCAAATACATTATTATATTCTGGAAGTAAGATTGGGCAGGAGAAGGAATGCTGGTTGGGAGGGGGATCGGAAGTTGGCATTGTGTTCTAGCTCAGAGGTAGTTCTCAAGTCATGTCTTTATTCATTCATGTCTGAGTCATAGAAAGGGCTGTCAGCAGAAACAAACAAATAATATTTACAAAAAAAGTGATATTTTATGAATTAAGTCTCCTTAATTATCTCTAAGCAAGCTTGCCTCTACGTAATCTCCTTAGAGATAATCATGCTGGATTGAAACAGTGATAGGGGCTAAATGCAGGGGTTTTTCTTTTCTTCCTCAGCATGGCTACAGAGAAGTATCACAATGAGATAAAATGCACTGGGATCATCACAAGAAGTAAGAGCAATCTGGGGAAGCAGCTCAGGGATGGGGCACTGGTGAGCCCTTTGCAGCTAGATATTGGAGAGACATCACTATACCAACTGGTGGATGAGAAATGGTAGCTGAGAACAAGTTTGGAAACATTTATCATATACTATCTAGGCAAGGGCAGAAATAGTTAACAATATTGAGGGTGTGGGAGGGAGAAACTACAAGGCACAATAGAATTAGCCAGAAAATCCTAAATTAGTTATAGTTACTTGTTACAGTGAGAATCAATCAAAACAGTATCCTTAAGACTTTGTAGAGGATTGTTTTCAAATAAGTGATTAAAGTTACGAACCTGAGCTAGAATTTTAACATCTTCCATACAAGGAAAGAATGAATTATTCAATAAATGATAAGCAATTGTTTGCATTAGTAATGATGAAATTAGCTGCAATCCAGACTTTGCCATAATATATATAATAATATCTATTCCAGAGGAGTCACTGTGGACACAGACTTTGAAGCACACTAAAACAATCTGGAAACTCTCCTAAATCATTGTTCATTCAACTGGGAAGCTTCCCTTTGTATCCTGAGAGAAAATGCAGGAGCAAGGGAAAGAAATACAAGACAACTAATTATCTTATGATAATTTGAAATGGGAGACGAAAAGTAGAAAATATTTAGCCCACAAAGGTCTCAACTTGATGGAGGACAGATAAATGAGTCTAACAATCACTTAGGCAGTTTTTCAAATGATACTACTCCCAAGTCCCTACCCAGAAAGGTTCTACTATAGATTCTGATATGCTCTTATTCAAAGCCCCTGTTAAGCAGGTGCAAATGATTATCCTTGACAAATAATAAATGTCTAAATGTTATTATGACCTCCTGTATAGATTTAAGTTGCTCGTGATAGAACAAGTCTACTACTAAGAACATCTAAAAACTAAATACACTATAAAATAATTTGTTTAAAGGCATCAGAGTCCTACTAAGGCAAGGATAATTAGACAGAGCAAGAGCCATAGAGAGCTGAACTGATTATCTGCAGTTTCTTTTGCTCTGAAAAGACTTGTTGATTCTGTGTGCAAGAGGAGAGACTGATCATTTGGGTGGCATCCCAGCAGGAAGACCAACTCTTGGAGAAAGAGAAATATCTGTGCTTTTGGCAGCCCTGTGAGGCTAGAGGTATAAAACTGGACATTTTAGAGGCATCAAATAATAGCCATTTTGCCTTCAAGGCATTTGCAGAATTGTTAAGAAGTGCAGGTAGAAGGCAAAATAGCTAAGCAAACTGAGGAATAAAATGGAAGACTCATAATGGGAGGGACTCCTTGCTTGTACCACTTAGACAGTGAACAGAAGTATACAGCCTAGAATCACAGGATGAAGTAGAAGTACAATGAGCCTTATCAAAACTTTAATCCTGACTGGACTCACTCTGTTTCTGATTGGATTAAGATAATCATCTAAAAACAGCAAGAGGTTTTCCTTATTATCTTGATCCTCTGCAATTTTATGTGCCAAAAGACAAGACCAAAATAACAAAAACCAACAATAACCAAAATAGGCAATAGAAACAGACGTACAGGTGATTTAGATATTGAGGTTAGCAGATAAGAATATTAAAGTAATTACATTTAACATATCAAATAAAATTTGGGAACATGTAAAGAAAATAAGTAAAAAGATGGAGAAGTTCATCAGAAAATTAGAATACAAGAGAAATAAATGGAGATTCAAAAACTAAAATGGACAATGTCTAAAAATTGATTTAATAGTAGATTGAAGGAGACATAATGGCAGAGAATTTTTCTGAACTGATGAAGGTTGTCAACCCCAGGTTCCTCTGTAAACCTCAGAAGGACAAGTACAACAAATCCTACTTGACATCATAATAAATCTGATAAGAGATGAGAGTGGAGTTGGGAGGAAAGCAGAGACAGAGACAGACGGACATACATGCAGACAGAAAGAGATATTTTAAAAGTCGAAAGAGAAAAATGATATATTACTTTCAAAGAGTAAACAGTTAAGACTGGGAGCAGAGTTTTCAATAGAAATATGGAAGCCAAGATACAATGAAATATTGTGAATATAATGTTTAATGTGCTACAAAATATAGAAAGCACAGCTTAGAATTTTATAACCAACAAAAACATTCTTCAAAAACAAATGAAACAAAGATATTTTTAGACAACTAAAATAGAAGACATTTTGTCTAAGAAAAAACTGAACTGAAAGAAAAAATTATGATTCAGATAAAAAATTTAAAAACTAAAATATGTTTAAAATAAAAAATACTTGCCACTTAAAAGAGATGCATTTTTAATATAAAAAAATGAAATATTTAAAAGTATAATAAAAGAATGAAAAATATCTACCATGATAATATTAACCAAAACATATTTTTATACTAATATCAAAGAATATTTTAATGCAGAGAGCATTTGTAGACACAAAAAGAATTATTTCATAATGATGTAAGCATCAATCCACTAGGAAATTATAACAATTCAATATCAATATGCACTCAATAACATAATGAAAAAATTGATAAATTTTGAAAGAGTAGACAAATTTATGATCATAGTTACTTTGGCACACATTCTCAATAGGTGACAGAACAAGATTATAAAAAGATATAAATTGAAAGAAAACAATTACCAAGTTTAAGTTACTTCAAATATATAGAATATTGCTTTCACTGACAACAAAACATACTTTTTCCATCTACATGTGGAATATTTACAAAAATTAACCATATGCTACGTTATAAAAAAGCCTTTAAAAATTTCAAAGGATTGCTCTCACTCAGAGTATATACTCTGCCAATATTGGAATTAAACTAGAAATGCATGAGTAAAGATGACTAGAAAATCATCAACTGTTAGCAATCACACAGCTAATTTCTAAATAGCATACTAGTCAAAGAAGAAATCACAAGAAAGTTAGGAAATATTGTTAACTGAATGAAAATGAAGATACCACATATCAACACTTACAGAATACAGCTACAATTCTTAGATTAAAATTTATAGCTTTTTATGTATGCATTGAGAAAGAAAAAGACTGAAAACCAGTCAACTCATATTTCACATTAATAAAAGAAAAGCAAAAGAAAGTAGAAAGGAAAAAAAAATAAAAAAATAATAATAGGAGTCAGGGGCAGTGGCTCATGCCTGTCATCTCAGCATTTTGGGAGGCCAATGTGGGAGGATTGCTAGAGGCCAGAGTGTTAGATCAGACTGAGAAACACAGTGAGACCTCATCGCTAGGAAAAAAAAAATACAAAAATTAGCCAAGTATGGTGGTGCACACCTGTATTCTCAGCAACTCAGGAAGCTGAGGTGGGAGGCTCAGTTGAGCCCAGGAGGTCAAGGCTGCAGTGAGCTGTGACCATGCCACTGCACTCCAGCCTGGGTAATAAAGCGAGACCCTGTCCCTAAATAATATAGGAAAAATCAATGAAATCAAATAACTAAAATACAATATAAAAACCAACAAAGCCAAAAGTTATTTATTTGAAAAAAATAATTAAGGTAATAGTATTATTTTGTCTTCATTTATACCCACATATTGTCAACGTTCAGGACAATCTTGGTTAAATAAATAAATAATTTAATGAATAAAAAGTACTGTTTGGTATAATGCAATGTAAATGACATTCATGTGTGACATCATACAAAACAGTATCTTAGAAGCTGGATTTGCACTAATAATATGTTTTGGAAGGAGAGACGCATGATGTTGCAGGAAGTCAGGGACCCCAAACGGAGGCACTGGCTGAAGCCATGGCAGAAGAATGTGGATTGTGAAGATTTCATGGACATTTATTAGTTCCCCAAATTAATACTTTTATAATTTCTTATGCCTGTCTTTACCGCAATCTCTAAACATAAACTGTAAAGATTTCATGGACACTTATCCCTTCCCCAATCAATACCCTTGTGATTTCCTGTGCCTGTCTTTACTTTAATCTCTTAATCCTGTCAACTGAGGAGGATGTATGTCGCCTCAGGACCCTGTAATAACTGCATTAACTGCACAAATTGTACAGCATGTGTGTTTGAACAATATGAAATCTGGGCACCTTGAAAAAAGAACAGGATAACAGCAATTGTTCAGGGAATAAGAGAGATAACCTTAAACTCTGACCACCGGTGAGCCGGGCAGAACAGAGCCATATTTCTCTTCTTTCAAAAGCAAATGGGAGAAATATCGCTGAATTCTTTTTCTCAGCAAGGAACATCCCTGGGAAAGAGAATACTCGCCTGGAGGTATAGGCCTATAAACGGCCCCCCCAGGTGTGTCCATATTTTATGGTCTGTAGACTGGCAGGGGTGAAATAGACCCCAGTCGCCCATAGTGCTCCCAGGCTTATTAGGAAGAGAAAATTCCCGTCTAATAATTTTGGTCAGACCGGTTGCTCTCAAAACCCTGTCTCCTGATAAGATGTTATCAGTGACAATGGTGCCAGAAACTTCATTAGCAATTTTAATTTCGCCCCGGTCCTGTGGTCCTGTGATCTCGCCCTGCCTCCACTTGCCTTGTGATATTCTATTACCTTGTGAAGTACTTGATGTCTGTGACCCACACCTATTCGCACACTCCCTCCCCTTTTGAAACTCCCTAATAAAAACTTGCTGCTTTTTGCAGCTTGTGGGGCATCACAGAACCTACCAACACGTGATGTCTCCCCTGGACACCCAGCTTTAAAATTTCTCTCTTTTGTACTCTGTCCCTTTATTTCTCAAGCCAGCCAATGCTTATGGAAAATAGAAAAGAACCTACATGACTATCGGGGCAGGTTCCGCAATAGCATGAGCCATACAAACATGTAAAATTGTAAACATTTCTGTTTTTCTCTACTTTTCGTGCCTGAATAGCCAAGTAGTAATAAGAAAATTATCAGTTATACTGATTGAATTATCTTTTAACTAATAATGCTTAGATTCAACTTGATCCATATTATTGTTTAGAAATCTTGTCATTCATATTCAGTAGATTTCATTTAAGTTTTTCAAAACTATCCCTAGAGTACAGAGCTCCCCAAACCCACATGCAGATATAGACATTTATAAGATTATCTTGAATTCTAATTTCCTAAGATTTATATCATTTAACATTGATGTCTAACATTTTCTTATCACTTTGTTTAGTTTTTAAATCTTTAATCTTTGTTAACCATATATGAGCTCCTTGAAAACAGATTATTTTTAGCTTATTTATTGCCATCTATTCAGCTCCTAAAGCAGTATCAGGAACAAAATAAGCAATTAAATATTTACTAAAAGAATAATTTGGGGCTTTGATTATCATTAATTTGGGACCAGGTTATTCAAGCCATTGCTTGCTCTCAAAACTAAAGTACAAAATAAAATATTAAAAATATTTTTGTAAAAACAAGAACCAACTAACAAAAGAGTAAAGTACTGCCAGGCCAAAATATAAGAGAAATCAGAAACATAGAAAGGGAAGCAGATGACCAAAACACTAATGCCACTTTTGTTCTGAAGTATTTGCCAATCCCTGAAAACATAGGCTTCAGTATGACAAACTCATCAGATGAGACAGATGGAAGATAAGGCTCAGTGGCCACCCAAAATAAGGAATCTAATAGGAGAACCTCTTTACATTAAGAAGAATTTTCAAAGTGCTAAATGCTTAAGATTAAAGATAAACCAGAAGTAAATCCACCCAATTACATAACTTAATGGATTGGCACTAAACAGAGCATGGTGCAAAAGAAAGAGAAATAACAATTTGAGAAGTCATGGGTGAATTTACTGCCTAGGTTCACATTACCTGGATGATCCAGGCAAACTCAAAAGATGAACTGTATAAAAGTGTTCTGAGAATAGTCCAGGAAAAACAATAATCTTCTCTAAATGAAGACACTTTAATTGTAGTCTTTAAGGAATCTCTTCCCCACAAATAACTTTTTTAAAAATAACAACAAATAGTCAGCAGTCAGAAAAAAATATATAAGCATACAAAGAAGGCACTATATAAAAAAAAGTTAAAAAACAGACAGCAGAAATAGATTCACACTATTTTATTAGCTATTAGAATTTTCAAAATGTTATTAAATAAGTATATTTACTATTTTTAATAAATTGTATATAAGCATAACTATATCCACAATAAGCTAAAAATTATTAATAATGGCACATTTTTAAAAGATGCAAAAGGAAAGGGAATTTCTAGTAATAAAAAATGCTAAAGCCAAAATTAGAAGCTAATAGCATTTTACATAGAGTTGAAGAGAGAATTCGTGAATTGGAATGTAGATTATAATAATCAACCAGAATATAATGGGGGAGGCATGGAAAACAGGTAAAGAGATCAAGAACATAGATTGAGAAAGCCTAATGTACTTATTTTTCAATAAAAATAGTAAAACTTATTTATTCTAGAAGAGTTTCCAATTTAACAAAAAAAGATAGTGGAGAGTTCTCATATACTCCACACTCAGTTTTCTCTGTTATTAACACCCTATATTAATATGGCACATTTGTTCTTATTAATGAACCAATTAATATTGATGTATTATCATTAATTAAACTCTATACCTTACTCAGATTTGCTAAGTTTTTAACTAATGTCTTTTTTTTTTATTGCCAGGATCTCATTACAGATAACATATTACATTTAGTAGTTTTATCTTTTTAGGCTTCACTTGGCCATGACAAGTTTTTAGACCTTTCTATTCATAACACTTTAACACTAATCTTTAAATTCTAAAAGCTAAGTTTGTGTGAATCTATTTCTATTGTTTGTTTTTCTACTTGTTTTGTGTTATAGTGCCTTGTTTCTTTGTGTGCTTGTTTTTTTGACTGCTTACTGTTTGCTGGCATTCTTGAAAAATTGATGATCTCGACAGATTTGGAGAGTACAGGTCAGGCATTTTGTAGACTGTCCCTCTATTAAAATGTGTCTGACACTTTTTATTAGACTAGCATTATGATTTGGGGGAGGAGTACCACAGAAATACAGTGCCACTCATCACATTGTATCAAGTGTACACATTCAACATAACCTATAATTGTTGATGTTGTCCTTGATCACCTGGTTTAAGGAAATGTTTTTCAGGTTTATCCACTGTAAAGCTATTTTTTCTTTTTCCTTCTCCATACTGTATCTTTGGAAGGAAATCACTATATACAGCCCACATTCAGGCAGTGGGGAGTTAAGCTCTACTTCCTTAAGGGTGAAGTGTCTATGTAAATTATTTGGAATTCTCCATGAGAGATTGGCTCTTTTTTCTCATTAGTTAATTAATTGCATTATTTCTTCTTATGAAAGCAGACTCATAAATATTTGCTTTATGCTTTAGGTTATAATATTACTTAATTTATTTTATTGCTCAGTTTGTTCCAGATTTAACCATTTGGGGCTCCTTCAGGTGGTTCACAGGAAAACCCTTTTGATGTTTCCCCATTAATGTAGGGTTTTTTCAAGTTTTTTGAGTACTTTCTTACTTTCTGGCACTACAAGAGGCTTCAAGCTCATCTTGTATATTTCCTGCCCCAGGCCTGGAATCATTCATTACTCCAGCAGGTTTTTTAGTTGGAAAATGGTTTAAGAAACCAAGATCTGGGCACTAGATGTGCTTGTTGCTAGTGGGTGCCACTTCTTCCAGGCTTTCTTGACAGACAGTAATGAAATATATGTGTGTGTGTGTGTGTGTGTGTGTGTGCTAACCTGTGTATTATACACATATTCATAAATATTTCTTTGTGTAATCTCTACACCTACACTAACCTAAACATGAGTTCATATGATGTCTCCAACTTTAATCCTTTGTCACGTGGATATTTCTAGCCCCGTCCCTTTGTTTATCTTTAATTCTCACTCCAACACTGAGAAACCTGGTTCCTACCATCTGCCATCTGTTTACTTAATTCTTCAATTCCAGTGCACATATATTGCAATTTTAGAAATGTTAACCTGTACCATCATAGGAAGCAACTTTATCAACTAGAGTACACTGCTTAGACACAGTTTCTTTTGCATTCAGTCTTATAAACTGTGCTTATTTTCAGTTACTTTGGTCAGCACATTTCCCCATCAACCTTTGCTGGGTTGTTTCATATATTTTGTCACATTCTGTATTTCATACTGGGGTTTCTGACTTTCTAAATTATTTTTTTAAAATTTGTGAGCAATAAGATTTATTGTTTGTGCCATAACGTTCAATAGGTTTTGACAAATGCATAGTGTCATTTATCCAACATTATAGTATCATATAGAGTAGCTTTCTCACCCTAAAATCATCCCTATTTAACCTTCACCATCTTCTCCAAAATCCTGTCAACCATTGCTCTTTTTATGATTGCTGCAGTTTTGCCTTTTCCAGAATTTCATGTAATTAAAATCACACTGTATGTAGCCTTTCGGACTGGCTCCATTTATTTAGCAACATGAATTTAAGATTTATTTGTGCTTTATTTGGCTTGATGGCTTATTTCTTTTTATTACCAAACAATATTTCATTGTTCAAATGCATTAAAGTGAGTTTATCAATTCACCTATTTAAGGACATCTTGGTTACTTTCAGTTTGGGGCAATTATGAATAAAACTGCTATAAAAATTTACATGCAGGTTTTTTTGTGTGGGCATAAGTTTTTAGGTCAGTTGAGTAAATAACTAGAAGCTTAATTACTGGGTCATAGGATAAGATTTTGCACTGAGCTTTGTAACAACTGCCAAAGTGTTTTCTAAAGTGGCTGAACTGTTTTGGATTTTCAGCAGCAATGAATGAGGGTTCCTGTTGCTTTGCATCCTCACCAGCAACTGGTATTATCAGCTTTAAAAAAATCAGAATTGTCCTTTATTTTTGCTTAGCACTTGGTAACTTTCAATTCTTCATGTGTGTTGCTTCTTAAAAAATTATCCTCCAAGACAGTTTTCTGAATGAGGAATAAATGTCTGCCCTCTTTACAGGTCAGGAAACTGAGGCATAGTGAGGTTATGCTCATATTCAAAGTTACCTAGTGACAGCATGAATCAGAATCCAAATGTCCCAACCCGTGGAGCTGTTTAGCCCATTGTATTTACTCTCCCAGGAAATACTGATTGAGCATGTACTCTGTGCCAGGCATTGGGGCCCACACTGGAAAAGGGTCAAATAGATAGGAGAAATAGGATGTGCAAAGGCCCTGGAGTGGGAAGGAAAGGGAGTAAAAAGTGGGATGAATAGCATGGTACAAAGGACACAACCACACAGGGTTTTAAGGCCACATTAATAATTTGGAACTCTCCCTTGAGGTCAAAGAAAAACCAGTGAATAGTTTTGAGCAGTGGAGTGACAATAATCAGATTTGCATCTTCTCCTTCTGTCCATATGCCCAAAATCTCTCCAGGACTTAGGCACAGCCTAAGGTGTGATAGATGGTAAAATGCCGGGCACCATCAGCCATGGCCCTAAATTTGACTCACTGGGGCAAAGTGATAGCTAAGAGCACACACTGGATTCAATCTCAGCTGTATAATCTGTGGCACTGTCTCAACATTTCTGGAGCCTCAGTTTCTGTCTCTGTAAAATGAATGTTTGTAGTTCTACCAGCTAGGGTTTGTGTGAGAATTAAATATGCCTAAGGTGCTTAGTAGAGTGCTTGATAACAAGTAGCTACTCTAGTGCAACTTGGTCATTATCAATGCTGATGCACTTTCTGATTGGCTTGTCAATTATTATCCTGATACTAGAATGAGGCTTTGGTAGTCTTCAAAGGGCTGGTGTTTTTTTAATTTTAGAATTGGGGGTGCACCAGCAGGTTTGTTACATGGCTATATTGTGTGATGCTGAGGTTTGGGCTTTTAATGATCCTATCACAAATAAGTAGTGAACATAATACCCAATAGGTAGTTTTTCAGTCCTTGCCCCCTCCCTTACTACCCCCTTTTGGATTCCCCGGTATTTATTTTTTCCATCTTTGTGTGTGTGTGTAATAGTCCATTTTCACATTGCTATGAAGACATGTCCAAGGCCAGATGCAGTGGCTCACACCTATAATCGCAGCACTTTGGGAGGCCCAGGCAGGCAGATCGCCTGAGGCTGGGAGTTCAAGACCAGCCTGGCCAGCATGGTGAAACCCTGTCTCTACTAAAAATACAGAAATTAGCCAGGCATGGTGGCAAACACCTGTAATTCCAGCTACTCGGGAAGCTGAGGCAGGAGAATCATTCGAACCCAGGTGGCAGAGGTTGCAGTGAGCCGAGATTGTGCTATTGCACTCCAACCTGGGCAACAGAGCAAGACTCTGTAAAAAAATAAAGAAAGAAAGAAAAAATAAGGACATAACCAAGACTAGGTAATTTGTGGAGGAAAGATGTTTCATTGACTCTGCATGGCTGCAGAGGCCTCAGGAAACTTACAATCATGGCAGCAGGTGAGAGAGAAGCAAAGGCACATCTTACATGGCAGCAGGTAAGAGAGAGTGAACGAGCGAAAGGGGACAATCCTCTTATAAAATCATCAGATCTCATGATAACTCATTCACTATCACAAGATCAGCATGGAGGAAACTGCCCCCATGATCGATTCACCTCTCACCAGGTCCCACCCTTGACTTGTGGGAATCATAGAAATTACAATTTGAGATGAGATTTGGGTGGGGACATAGAGTCAAACCATAACACCGTCTGTACCCAGTGTTTAGCGCCCACTTATAAGTGACAACATGCAGTATTTGGTTTTCTGTTTCTGTGTGAATTCGCTTAGGATCCTGGCTTCCAGCTGCATCCATGTTGCTGAAAAAGACATGAATGAGTTCCTTTTTATGGCTATGTATCACATTTTTTAAAAATTTGTTATTTCCTAATGACAATTGATGTTGAGCATCTTTTCATATGCTTGTTTACCATATGTACATCTTCTTTGGTGAAGTGCCTATTCAGATCTTTTGCCCATTTTTAATTTGGTTGCTTATTTTACTATTTTTGAGTTTTATGAGGTCTTTGTATACATTTGATACAAGGCCTTTGGCGCATATTTGTTTTGCAAATATTTCTCCTAATCCGTGATTTAGTTTTGGATTTTCTTAATCATGTCTTTAACCAAGCAGAACTTTTTACTTTTAATAAAGACCAGCTTATCAACGTAACCTTTATAGGTCATGTTTGTCATGCTATAGCTAAAAACTCATCATTGAATCAAGAGTCACTCAATTTTCTCCTACTTTTCTTTCCTAGAAGTTTATAGTCTTTCACTTTACATTTTCATCTATCATCCATTTTGAGTTAATTTTTGTGAAATGTTAAGATCTAGACTCATTGTCATCACATATGAACTTACAATTGTCCCAACACTATCATAAACAACTGTCCTTTCTCCATCTAAGTACCTTTGCTCCTTTGTCAAAGATCAGTGGCTGTATTTATGCAGGCCTATTTCTGTGGTTTACATTTTGTTCCATCAATCTAGAGCCAATTGTTTTGGCAATAAAATCCTGTCTTGATTGCTGCAGCTTGAGAAGATTAAAATTGAGTACTTTTTTTTTAGTATTTTGTTAGCTATTCTTGGTCTTTTTGCATTTCTATGTAAACTTCAGAATCAGTTTGCCGATTTTAAAACAATATATTTCTGGAATATTGATTGGGATTGTATTGAATCTATAGGTCAATTTGGAAATCATTGACATTTTAACAATATTGAATCTTTCAATCCATAAACATAGAATACTTCTCATCTAACATACTTTTACTTGCAGCTCCACAAAGAAACAACAACAAAGGTGGAGTAGGGAGGGAGGAGAAATGTTAGGGCAATAGTTTTTAAAAGGTATGTGATGAGAATTTTTCATAATAGATTGAAAATAGCAATCCACAAATTCTTATACTAAACAAACCCTAGCAGGATGAAAGAGAGAGAGGGGAAAGTAAGCTAATCTTACACACATAATGGTGAAGTTGCCAAACACCAAGTAATATGCAAATTTTTAAATAACCTGGCAATAAAATGATTGCATTAAAATAGTGACAACTAAGCCACAAATAAGTAGAACCAAATTTTCAACAGAATGAAAGAATTCTAGACCCAGTGAAAATACTTTTAAAGAATATATGTGAAATAAAGACATTTTATCATGAAATGAACTGAGTTGTCACATGAAGGTTAAATATCTTTCCATGATGATTACCAAGCCCACAATCTTAGTGTCAGGGTCTTATCTAAAGGTGATAAAAGACAGGTCAAGAAAGAGAGAAGAGGGGTCTATAGAGCTTCAATCTTTTTTCATTTATATTTCATCTAGAGGACCCAGCACAATATCTTTCATACAGGTAGCACCAAATAATCTATGAATAAAATTTGCCAAACATCACAAGGATAAAAACGTATTATTTATCCAATCAGCTATTACTTAGTAAACATTTATTAAATAACCACTACATGCCAGATTCTTAGTCTTTTAAAGGATACTATTTCATATGAAATGTGACTGTTAGGAAACATTATATCCTGTAAAAGGAGAAAATGATAACTGGTCAGGAATGAACTTTTGGTAAATATAAAGAAGGGCCAATGAAAATTTTGCCATCTGCTGGAAGTACTTCTTACCATGCGATGAAAAAAGTTGAAATACTGTTCACTTTTCTACTTTTTATGACTTCAAGTAACTTCGATTTGTATAACTTTACATGCCTCTTTTTAAGGTCTTAAACAGGTTTCCAGCAGAGCCTGTTGGGTGGAGCTATTAAACCTATAATAAAGGCAACAGCATTTGGTGCAGATTGGCACCCAGTGTAGAGTGAGTGCTGGCCTTTCTCACTCAGAAGGAGATAGTTACACGTAGCACTGTTCACTTCTAGGTAAGGAAAAACATCTCCTGCCACTCATGGATGACATACAGTGCAAGCTTGAGGGTGATGGGATCCTTCTCAGAGCCTAAGTATATACGTCAAAGATTTGCAATTGCTGTGAAACGTAACTGAGGTAAATGAGAAGTGAGAGCAAAGAAGTTTTCTCAGCAAATTCCAAATGAAGGGCCTCCCACAAAACCTGCCTGAGACACAATCGTACTGTCAAGGTCATCAATAAACAGGAGTCTGAAACTCACTGCCAAGGAGAGCCTAAGGGGTCAAAATGACTAAGTCGAGTGTGGGATCCTACATGGGATGTTAGAACAGAAAAAGGACATTAAGTAAAGACTATCTGAATAAACAATGGACTTTAATCATAGTAGTGTATCAATATTGATTCATTAATAGTTACAAATTGCCATATTAATATATTGATAAGAAAAGAAACTGAGTGATGGGTATATGGGAACTCTTGGGACTATCTTCTTAACTTTTCGATAAATCTAAACTTCTAAAGATTAAAGTCTTTTTTAAAAAGATTACTGGTACTGAATTTATACTGAGGTGTGATCAAGAGCATGGGGATCCTTTCGTAAGTCTAAAAATTACACCATAGTTAAAATTAACATTTTTAGAAATATTAAAATCAGGTAAGAAAAAGATACCTAGAGGTATCAGAGACAGATGTTTTGGTTTACCAGTAGTCCTGAAGATTATAATTTGATTGAAAGCTACTTTTACAAATCATAACTTATTGTTAAGTAAAATACAGGTTTGAGGAGCAAGAGAGTTATTTACTATTTAGGACTATATTTGCACCACTACTCTATTCCATTTATAGGAAAATCATAAGTATTAAAAACAAAGCCCTTTTCTACCCAGTCAATTGCTTCTAAATTACATGAGTTATTATTTAAAATGGACTTCATCTTTTATCATCCATTTGAGATATTACTATCCATTTGAGACTGCAGGAGTTATCACATATCTAAAGTGACATTTTTATCTTCAATAAATTCTAATTCAGTTCATACATTAACTGGAGAAACACAATTTTAGGGTGCTTAATCAAAATGCTTTATGGATTCTTCATTCCATACTAGTAATAGCATGATGCTTTAACAAAAATAGTAATTAAAATAATTGATCTAAATAACCACAAGGAGGCTTTCTCTCCTGTCCCTTTAAGGGGACTCTCAAATGGACCAATCTTGTTCAGCAATTCATACTTTTCACAGGTGTCATTATAATCCAATGATTTGATTATTTTCTTAATTTTTTATTTACTTAAGGACTTCTCTAAAGATATCATTTGGTGATTTCACTTTAAATAACTCAGTATTTTAACACATGAATATACTTTTTATTGTCACCCCTATAAAAAAAATCATTTTATTTTCAGAGACAGGGGCTTGCTCTGTCACCCAGGCTGAAGTGTAGTAACACAATCATAGCTCACTATAACCTCAAACTCCTGGACTCAAGAGACCTTCCCACCTCAGCCTTCTGAGTAGCTAGGACAACAGTCATGTGCCACCATGCCTAGCTCATTAAAAAAAATTTTTTTACAGACAAGATCTCACTATGTTGCCCAGGCTAGTCTCAAAATCCTGGCCTCAAGTGATCCTCTTGCCTCAGTCTCCCAAAGTTCTGGGATTGCAGGTGTGAGCCACCATGCCCAGCCAAAAATATCTTGTTTTAACCCAACATTCGTTTGCTTTTAACATAACTGACAAACTTATGAGTAATTCTAATTGGCATATTATGTTATACAATGAAGAGCTGAAAAGAAGAGGTTACAATATTCCATAATTATAATGCCATTTGCACAATGGTGTACTCTAAATGTCTCTGTCTTTTTGTTTGTTTTGAGACAAGGCCTCACTTTGTCTCTGTCACCGGGGCTGGAGTGCAGTGGTGCAGTCTCTGCTCACTGCATCCTCAACCTTCCAGGCTCAAGGGATCCTCCTGCCTCAGCCTCCTGAGTAGTTGGGACTACAGGCATGCATCACCATACCCAGGTAATTTTTGTTTTGTTTTGTTTTGTTTTGTTTTTTGTTTTGAGACGGAGTCTTGTTCTGTCACCCAGGCTGGAGTGCAGTGGCGCGATCTCGGCTCACTGCAAGCTCCGCCTCCTGGGTTCACGCCATTCTGCTGCCTCAGCCTCCCGAGTAGCTGGGACTACAGGCGCCCACTACCACGCCCGGCTAATTTTTTGTATTTTTAGTAAAGATGGGGTTCCACCGTGTTAGCCAGGATGGTCTCAATCTCCTGACCTCGTGATCCACCCACCTCGGCCTCCCAAAGTGCTGGGATTACAGGCGTGAGCCTCGGCGCCCGGCCTATAATTTTTGTATTGTTTGTAGAGATGGGGTTTCTTGATATTGCCCAAGATGGTCTTGAATTCCTGGGCTTAAGCAACCCACCTGCCTTGGCCTCCCAAAGTGCTGGGATTAAAGGCATGAGCCACCACACCGGCCCCTCTAAATTTTTTTGTATGGAAGTAAAATACCATATTGGATGTATTCATATAACCTTCATATGCTGTATTGGTGCATAAGATTTATTTCCATCTTATGGTACATTTTTGGCTTAAATTCTTATAATTAATATTCTTTCATCCAAGATTTATACCCTTTTGAATATCATTGACTGGAGTTTAATGAACTTACATTACTGTGTATATTTTTAATCTAATCTTCTAATTTTTCAATATTTTTACCTTCATGATCATATGGTCATTAAGAGGTTTTTGTCTCTAAATTAATATACCCCTTTAATCAAATTTTTAAAGATTTATTTCAATGAAAGCCTTTATCTACAGGTGTGTGCTTACATAATTCTTCAAATTCTTCACACACACACACACACACACACACACACACACAAAGTTTATCTTAACCTCCTCAAAAGTTTTACTATTTCTGCATTTTTCTCTTGAAAACAACTTTTACTCCGTGAATGGAAACTATATATTTAACTTTTATTCTAGCCCCAATAGAGAAGCCATTCTCTCTTCCCCACAACCCAAGTCCTTTGAGTAATCTTTGAGCCACCTCCTAACCAGTATAAATCATTATAATAATGAACTTGGAAAAAATTCTTTCATTTTTCTCAATTATTTTTGTCTTTTGGCATAAACCAAATAAGGTTAATTTTCATGTTAGTACACAAACATACTGCTAGCTTTTTATTATATTAATTATATACATCCATTTTAACACGATCTCTTTTTGACTTATTAACATCATTTAGGGATACAAATTAGACTTCAAAAGGAATAAGGCTTAAATAATTTAGCCATACCTTAAGGCAATTATTTTCAGAGTTTTCACAGAGCATTTCAGGTTACACAGATGGAATATTTACTTTTAAAACACATTTTGAATATCCCTATGCAGAGCTGTAAGCTTGATTTTGACAAATACTAGTTCTTAAATAATTTCAGTGTTCATGTCTAGCCACTTTCCTTCAATTTTTTAATACTCTCAGGATGTTAGGCTCAATAATCTTTTAAACTTTAAATATGAGTATTAGCTACTGTCCATTGCATTAATCAATCATTTGAAGTATTTTAACAAGGCAGAAAATAAATCAGCATGAAGTGGGATAAGCTAAAACCTTGCTACAGAGTTAATAGAAACTTGAATGCAATTTGGGGAAAATCTACACAGACCCAAATTTGTTAACTGTAGGGGAAATTAGAACCTGAATAAAAAGCACATCAGTAAGAGAGAGGAAAATATATAAAAGCAAAATGTGGAATTTTTTGTTTCTTTTTTACTTAGTTTTATAACATTTCATGAAACACTAATTGAGCTAAAATGTGATATTCTAACACCGACAGTACTAATCCCCATCTGCCTCATACACAAATGTGATTTATCAGTGGTATGTGTAATAAATGAAACTGCATGTATTTAGAATGGAAACTGTCTGTTCCTTATAAGCTTGACACCCATTGCTGTGACTACTGTTCTGCCATTGGCATTGCCATTCTTCCATGACCTTGAGAGGGACTAAAAAGTAACAAACATTTATAAAACCAATTTCACTCTTAAAGAAGATTTGAGTTACACTTTTTAGAATGGATCATCCTTTCCCTCAGTACTCAGTACATAACAACAGTATTACAAATTGTATTCTCATTGTATAAACTAAAGGGCTTTGGAGATGAAATTCACATTTTTATATTGATGAGAAATCATAGTAGAATGCTAACAGAATTATCTCTAAATCTGCATCTGATTTGTAGTGATGATTTATAAGCTAAATAAATTTTTCTGGCTCAATTACTTTTGTGAGCAGTAAAAATAAAATTCTAGCCAATGACACAAGTTGAAATTAAGAAATGAGAAAAAGCAAAAAACTCTATGTATGATTAGTTGCCTACTTGGGGATTTCTGAAGGAACAAATTTATGGAGTTAATGTAATGAGCTACTCTGAGATCTCTTCCAAGAACATCAGCTTGTCTAATTAGGTTTTTGTACAATTTGCCAACCATAAATAAATTACAGGAAAAGTTCATAGTTTCTATGAGCAATATATTTTCCTAATCACTCCATTTCACTAAATTTGGCCTTTTCTCAAACCTCTCATTTATTCTGTAATATTCGTAACTGGTGGTTACTCTTTTATTGGTCATAGAATCATCCTTTTATTTCCAAATAAATTGCCAGTTGACTGATACCTTCAGAGAAACTCTCTCTTTTAAATGGTTCTGGGTTCAGCATACATATATATATATATATATGGGCTTTCTAGTAGCCAGTAAAATCTAATCATGTGGGTCATTATAATGACTCAAATTTTCATAAACCGTAAGAACCTGTGTTTGCATTAATGGTTCACAAGTAGTCAAAAATATAGCAGAAAATGAGTGACCATTATGTGACGCACCTTACCTCAGCTTATAACATTCTTACAGTTTAATTATGCACTGTACAGTTCCAATATGCTTCCCAAATGGCCAAGAAGCAGTAAACATATGGTGAACTACAAACGCAAATTTGTCCCTTTATTTTGACATTAAGGATATAAAATATAACTTATAATGGAAAATGAGCACTGTGTATTCATGCTGAGTAGCCTTGGCAGAGGTTTGGCTTTTAAAGACCTACTTTCATGGCTGTGGTCATTCTGTCTGCCTGCATTTGAAGAAAGAGTCTTACAGTTTATCTGAATCATATCTGATATGTGGCATCAAGCGCAGCACTACCCAGATCTCCTAGTTTTTAATTTCCAGGTAATAGACAAACCTTGGCAAAGTGACTTTATTTTTAACTTCATGAGGTGATAGGAGTGTGGTGGCATAAGTCTTTGTGAAGTGGCAGTTAACCCACACCACAAGCCGTTTCACCTGCTGAGCCACACAGCCGACGTGGGTGCAGGAAGAGAAAGCGTGGGCTTCTCAGACTGATCGTTGCTAATGAAGGCGAAAAATGCCAGTCCACAGCAGGCTTCGGGGTGGCCAGCTCAGCTCCAGCCCGCTTGAAGAAAAGCTGGGAAATCTTAAGATTTTTATTTATTGTTTTTAGAAATAAACTTAATGTCGAGGCTATGCAGATTACAATCAACAAGTGGCAGCTCCAGCTTGAAAGTTGGTCATCATTGGATGAGCTAGACTGAGATCTCTTCACAGGACCCTTCTAGTGTAGGAGCACAGAAGGTAATAATATTTTGTTTTGTTCTTTTTATAAGACAGGGTAGCTTGAGCAAATAGCAACATTCTCTCTCTCTCTCTTTCTCTTACTTTTTCTCCCTCATCTATTTATCGGTTTTCTTTGAATTAGGCTTCTTCCAATAAATTTAAGTGGACAAGGTATTTATTTATGGGGAAAAAAAATAAGAGGTTGAATTTCTGGAACCCAGAACTGTGTTTTCTAAGCATCTCCACTGAAGGCCTTTCTCATGGATGGCTCTGTTGTCTTCTCAGTGTCGTTAAATGACACAAGTCAAAGCTGTTCATCGATTTACCCACTTCCCCATCCCAGTCTCTCGCTCACTCTCTTGCCACATTAATCGTTCCCCTGAAATCCTATCACTTTGCTGGAGGATTGATGTAAGTCTCCAGCAATTAACATAATTACAAGCCTGATTATCTTCTAATTGCATTATGAGTATTTGGTTATTCACTACACAAATTAGAGGAAATTAAAGAGGAGCAAGATCCTGCAGTGTGGGCGTCAAGCTTTCTACAACAGTTATGAGCATTCGAATGCAAAGTGATCACTGGAAGGTGAAGACCATTTTAGATTTCAGTGAGCAAACAATGGATACGTTTCATTTTGGAGACAGGTACTTCTTTTTTACTTTTTCTATTTTTCTTTTCGGTTAATGGCACACAAAATTCTCCCTGAATTGTTTATAAATTCTCTTCACAACACCAAAGCCATCAAATAAGTTGCGGCAATTCCCTATTAGTCTGTGTTGGTTCATGTATTAATAATAAGATCAGTGATCAAAAATAAATGAATAAATGGCAATTGAAAATACCCTAAGTTAGACACAGAAGTTATCACTTTGAACATCCATAATTTCTGGCCAGGGGCGGCGGCTCACGCCTGTAATCCCAGCACTTCCGGAGGCTGAGGCGGGCGGATCCCGAGGTCAGGAGATTGAGACCATCCTGGCTAACACGGTGAAACCCCGTCTCTACTAAAAATACAAAAAATTAGCCGGGCATGCTGGCACGCGCTTGTAGTCCCAGCTACTCGGGAGGCTGAGGCAAGAGAATCGCTTGAACGGGGGAGGTGGAGGTTGCAGTGAGCCGAGATTGTGCCGCTGCGCTCCAGCCTGGGCGACAGAGAGAGACTCCGTCTTAAAAAAAAAAAAAAAAAATCCATAATTTCTAAAATAACAGTAATGATGATAATTCCAGGATAAAATTCACTCTAGTAAAGAAAATGAGGCATTAAACTCTGAAGTGCATGGTCTTTATAGACTATGCTGCCATATCAGATTCAAAAAGATTAACTTTCTTTCTAAATAGAAGGCAGACACTGACACTGAATTAAGATGAGGTCAAAGACCAAACATGAACCAGAGCATTCAGTGAATTTCAAGTCACATAAATGTTTTGAATGTTGTCCTAAGCACAATGGAAAGTTATCTAAAGGATTTGAACATGACAAAAGCATTATCTCATTTGAATTTTGGAAATACCATTGATTTATTCCTTTAATAACTAGTGGTTGAGTTCCAGGCGATTCTGTTGTGTAACCTTAGAGCAATGGGGCAACATAATCAGAATTTTTGAAATTATCATGAACTGTAGTGTAGATAATAAGATTAGGGTTGGGGAACAGGGTGGATGTGGAAAGGATAGTTAGAGATTGTTAGAGTTTCCAGGCAAATTAGGGTTATATTCTGGACTTGCATGGTGGCAATGATGTGGGGAAGCTTTGAGGTTGAGACATCCAAGCAGAAATATTTAGGAAGTGGTTGAATAGAAGGTTCTCGGTCATATTAAAAAAAAAAGTCTAGATTAGAGGTAAAAGTTTTTAAATGATTGGTTTATAGATCCTGAACTAAAGAGAGGGTACAAATGTGATTCACTTGGAAGTGAAAAAAACATGAAAACAGAATTTTTAAACTCCCCTCTTTCTTATTCAGAGGAGGAAGATGAGCATGTAAAAAGGAAAAAGGAGAATGGCCAGAAAAAAGTGGCCATTCTCACCTCTACTAGAGTAGAGGTAATTCTGTGGATGGATTAGAGAAAAACTAACATCTGGGAGCCAAGTGAGGCCTCAGTTCGGTAAACCAGGTAAAATACAAGGTGACTTCAGCTAAGGTTAAGTGCATGGGAGTAAAATAATTGGATGGTGCCAGAGATTCCTAGTAAATAGCATTGCCTGGTCTTGGTGATGGAATGGATGTGGGAGATGAGAATAAAACAATACTTAACAAGATCTGAAATCTTCGGTTTGGGTAACTGGGTACATTCATCCAAAAAGGACAGAGAAAGAGGAGGAGCCTTTATTGAGGGAGAGGCAAAATATTAATTCCCTTTAATATTTAGGGAAATACATGTTGCTCAAAATCTTGTCAAGAAGAGTTTGGGTGAGGCAGTAAGAATAATAGCCTGACGAAAGGTTAACGTTTTAATGTACGTTAGTTATTTGAGTACCTTCACTTACTGTTCCTACTAGATTTTAAGTCCTACAGAGCAGGAAACATATGGGGCAAGACAACAGAATGGAAAGAGGAAGGAAGAGAACATGAGCTAATAATTTGCACCCACAGGGAAATAATAATAATGAAAATGAAATCTAATAACAAAGAGATGTAAGTTAAACCAGTGCCATACCTATTTCTAGCAGAAATTTAAAACAAAGCAAAGCTATTGAAGCTTGTATACTCATATCCTGCATTATAATTCATATTTCAAACTCCACTTTTAATGCAATAGTACAAAATAAAAATGTTCACACCTATATGTATAATATAAATTATAACATATAACTTAGATGTCTCCTAAATGGCCAAAAGTAGTAAAACATGCAGCAATATATCTTCTGTAATATAATGAAATCATTAGAAATAATTATAAAATTATTCACAATTTTAAATCTAGTTATTATCTAAAGTGAAGCAAAGTAAAAGCAAAAAAAAGAAATGACTTTTATTCTGTGGTTATAAAAATTATAATGCGCACAACTGAACATTTTTACTTTTGAATTTCTACTTTTGAGTTCTACTTTGGGCACCCTGGGCAGGCATAATTTCCCTGCTACTAGTGAAAAACAAGAAGAACCATCTAATGAACAGACTTGTTTAGTTTCTCCAATACTAGTTGCCAACACTTACTGTTCCGAGTTTCCTTCCAGACAGCCACAGTGACAGAATAGGAGACAGAGCATGGACATGCAGCCCCATGACTTAGAACCAGCAGTGCCTCCCATCAAAATCAGTGGAAAAGGGCTGGGCGCAGTGGCTCACACCTGTAATCTTAGGACTTTGGGAGGCTCAGGCAGGATCACTTGAGGCCAGGATTTCAAGACGAGCCTGGGCAACATAGGGAGACCCCCATGTCTACATACAATTTTTTAAAAATTCGCTGGGTATGGTGGCGTGTGACTGCGGTCCCAGCTACTCAGGAGGCTGAGGAAGGAGGATCACTTGAGCCCGGGAGGTGGAGGCTACAGTGAACCATGTGAGCCACTGTGCTCCAGCCTCCATGACAGAACAAGATGTTGTCTCAAAAGAAAAAAAAATCACTGGAGAAACCACTTTGGTCCTCAGAAGCTTTGTTACACCCTTACCTCAAAGCCCATTCTTCATGACCTCAACCTTCAAGTGCAGTATCAACTCGCTTACAGTCCTCTCCTGACTTTCTTCAAGACAGAACTAACTAGATACAAGTTCTTCCTCCTCTTTTTCCTATTTACTTCTTTTGTAAGGTAGACTTTTTTAAAGGAGGGGGTGGGAGGGGGACTAACAAAGCGGAAGGGACTTCTCTCCAGGGTAATAAAAGTGGGGCATCCAGAGTTCAACCTTTCAAAATCTTTAACTCTATCTGGTCATTTTAACAACCGTATTCTCAATACAGTTGTTGAGGGGAGTTGTCCCCTCATTCTTGCATCAAAAAAATAAAATGAAACATTTCTTAGTTCTACCAGGTCCACCACTCCTGTGCTCTGTTTCCCGACAGGGTGGTGCCAGTCACTCATCTTTTCCCAAATGTATTAGTGACATATTTTACTTTGACTTCCTCACTGCCATAACTTTTTCTACTTTTCTAAATAAGCAGTTTCTCTGAATATCCCTTCAAACCCAATAATGATTACTATTCAAACATGAACAGTCTAAAAGATAAAATGTTAAAAATTAAACTTATTTTATTAAGATAGTTGGGTATATGTGATTTTTTGTTTTAAAATTCTATTTTGTTTTAATGTTATTACTGTACAAAAATACAATTTTTAGATAAATAATAATGTCTCAGGTGGAAGTTTAAAGACCTTCTCTGCCAACTGCCCAGGCTTGTGAGGAACAGTGAGAAAATATATGTGTACATGCTCTGAAAATGGCAAGCCACCTCTCAAGTGAAACAGATTCCTATAAAAATCTCTACATTTGTTAGAACACTTAGCATTGTACCTTGGGGGAATTGAGACGCTAAATTATTGTTTATGGAATAAACTGTTTAATTAAGAGCTGAACTTATGTAACCAAAAAAGTCCTATAGTTTCATATATCATTTTATGCAGTTATTATAAAATGAAACATAATTTCTGAGAAAGCAAAAGTAATAGATTTTTCCATTGTCATTGAAATGAGTAAGCCCCAATACCAAGCAGGTAAAGAAAAAAAAAAAACCTTGTTTATTAATTTTCCAGGGGAAGTGGTTTTATTTTATAATGTTTAGGGGAAGGCTTATCATGAGGTTACAATTTAGCCTAACTTTTTTTCATAAATTTAATTTTTTAGAGCAGTTTTAGGTTCATAGCAAAGTTATGTGAAAGGTACAAAGATTTCCTATATAACCCTTGCCCCCACACAGGCACTGCTTCCCCAGTGTCCACATCCAACCACAGTGGTACATTTGTTAACCATTTGTTACAATTCATGAACCCACATTGACACAGCATTATCACCGGAAGTTCACAGTTCACATTAGTGTTCACTCTTGATGTACCCTCTATGGGTTTTGACAAATGAATAATGCCATGCAGCCACCATTATAGCATCCTACAGAGTAGTTTCACTGCCCTGAAATCCCCTATGCTCTATTCATCCCTCCCAGCCCACTAGCCCCTGGCAGCTTCTGCCTCTTAGCCTAATTTTTATAACAGTAACATCAGTTCTTCAGATGTTTTAAAATGCCTTTTTATACTTTCTCTATTGGTTACATAGAGGTGTATTGCTGCCTGTCACCCACTACCATGTCCCCTACCTATTTGCTTCAAACATTATCTGTTGTACAACACCGTCATCTGAAATGAAAACCTACAACATTACTGCAGGAAAATTCATTAACAGTTACAATTTAAACACCAGTGATGTAACCATTCACTGGAAAAATATGAATTGACGACCTACTATGGGCCAAGCTTTAGGGATCCAGCAATGAACAAGCAGATAGTGTCCATGCTCTTGGGTTACTTACATTCCACCTATAATATCTAACACATCAGTGGTCTGGATGCTGAGTGAGCGGGTACATATTTCTGGCTCTTGATCTTGTTTCTTATGCTTACCTTTTGAGAAAACAGCAAGATATGGAGATAAATATATTATCCAAAAACTTTACCTCAGAATTAGTGTCCTGAAGAGATTAGAGCTAAAGTCTAATGTGATTTTGTCTCTCTTAAATTATTTATCTACAAGTCCTAAGTAGAAATTTTGAAGTTAGGTGACAGCAAAAGCAGAAAACATTTTTTCTTCTTGCAGTCACCACGGCAGTGGTAGTAAAAGTAACAATTAGCATATGTGGGGTATAGGCTAAGTGCTTCATATATATATGTATATATACATATACACAAATATATGTATACACACACATACACACACACAATCTCATCAGTCCTATAAAAATATGTACTATTGCCCAAACTTTACCCCAAAAATTGCCTTGCTGAAAGCATATTTATTTAGCATCTCATTGGCCAAAATGTGACAAATTCTGTAAGAGATACCAAAAAATTATGAGATGCTACTATTTTCAAATGTAACAATGATTAAGATATCAGCAGTAGATACACATGCACAAATTAGAAGCACATTTACTAGTTCCTCTCTCACTCCTTCATTCCATTCTTTAGCAAAGACATATCCAATGACCACTTTATGCCAGGCCCTCTGCTAATTTTAAGAGCTGTCCTGGTTAATAAGACATAATCCCTTCCTTCCAAGAGTCCTATCTAGTACTGAAAGGCAGCAAGTAAAGAGACAATTAAAATAATGTTTACTAATCGCTAAGCTATGGGTATTTACAGAGTGACCAGAGAACAATATGCATACTAAACAGATATTTTCCATATATTCCCCTCCAATCTCCAAACAAATTGTTAAATTCCCCTATGGCCTTCTGAGTATGATGTTGGAAGTCATTATAACAATCTGATAGCAATTTTACTACTTCTGCTATTGCTGGCTGAATCTAAAGCAAACAGACATTATCAAAGTTATTGATTTAGTAATGACAAGTATCAACATGAGAAAATACTCTAGAAAAACATGGAGAAAAGAAAGTTTTGGGTGGGGAATGAAATAAACACAAGACTACTTGTCATAGGTACTTTGTGGCCTCATTCATCATTTTCAAGAAAATGTCTGCCAAATACCCAAGTTTGAAAAAACAGTTTATCTGTAACGCTATTTCAAGTAAAAACTGGTGTTACTTGCAAAAAGTGGTTAGCTCCAGTTGCACCTAAAATAATCACAAAAGTGTTTTTTCCTTGAAGCAACCATAAATACCTCAGAATGCAACAGGAACACTTTATGTATACTTCCCACTTCATCATGCAGAATAGAAAAAAGGTGTATTCTCAAGGATTGATAGTTCATAAAAATAATTATTTTTACTGCTTAGTCAAGGTCATTCTTAAGCAAAACTGGCTTTTTTTTTTCTTCTGCAAGTGCCTGGTGGGAAATAATATAATGATTTCTTGTATGGTTTGGTACCACTGCCTTGATTCATACTAAATTTCCAGCAGTTTTAACCACAATCGTTTCTGCACCAACCATTGCTTTTACACCATCAGTGCAAATGTCAACAAAGTGCAAAAGACAAATGACACCTCGGGCCCCTCAGGAGCCCACAGGCTTTACTTTGCAAACTGCTACTGTAGGGCATATTATGCCATTCCCCTCTTACTCCTCTTGTTCCTTCACAATCTACACCTTTTTCAAATTCCTTTTTATTCTCTACTTCCTGGCCCCTCAAAACACAGTAAATATTCCTCCACATGCTCCTACATAACGTGTTGAAAAATGTGAGAGATATCAAATAATTATGAGCTGATACTATTTTCACATCTAACAATGGTCAGGATATCAGGAGTAGACATCATAAAGTTAGAAGTAAATTTGCTAGTTTCTTTATCATTTAATTCATTTTATTCTTTCAGCAAAGAAACATCAAATGTCTACTATGTGCCATATCCAATGTTAATTTTAGGAGATGTCATGAAGAAATGGACCTCATTAAAAAAAAATACTAGCAAACTTACCTCTATGAAAGACCTTGTAAATATGAAAAGACAAGCTACAGACTGAGAGAAAATATTTGCAACCAAATATATAACAAAGAACTAGTATCCAGAATGTAAGAAGAATTTTCAAAACTCAACAGTTAAAAGCAAAAGCAAATAAGAACTAAAAGTCAAAACGAGCCAAAAACATTAAGAGACATTTCACCAAAGAGGATATGCAGCTGGCCAATAAACACATGAAAAGATATTCAACATCATTAGCCTTAGGAAAATGCAAACTAAAATTACAATGAGATATCACTACACACTTGTCAGACTGGCTAAAATAAAAAGTAGTGACAACACCAAATGATCATGAGGATGTGAAGATACTGAATCATGCACATGCTGCTGGTGAGAATGAAAATGGTGCAATCAACACCAGGAAAAACTTTGGCAGTTTCTTACAAATCCGAACATGCAACTCCCCTATAGCCCAGCAATTTCACTCCTGGCCATTTATTCCAGAGAAATTAAAACTTAGGTTCACACAAAAACCTGTACATAAATGTCCATAGAAGCTAACTTATAATAGCCAAAAACTGGAAATGCCTTTCAATAGATGAATAGTTAAACTTTGGTGCGTCCTTATCATAAAATATTGCTCAGCAATAAATAGAAATGAACTATTAATACATGTAAGAACTTGGATGAATCCCTCCAAGAAATAATGCTGAGTGAAAAAAGCCCATCCTAAAAGGTTACATCTGTATGATTCCAGTTATACATTGTTGCTGAAATGACAAAATTACAAAGACAGAGAACACATTAGTGGTTGCTAAGGGTTAGGAAGAGAGGAAGGAGGTGGGTGTGGTTTATAAAATGACAATACAAGGAATCCTTGTGGTGAAGGAATGGTTCTGTATCTTTACTATCATGATAGATACATGATCCTACGTATGTGATAGAATTGCATAGAATCACACACACACATATGAAACAAGTGAAATCTGAGTAAGTGGATTTCACCATAGTCAAACTTCTGGTTATGATATTGTACTAAGATTCACAAAATGCTACCATTGGAGAAAACTGGGTGAATGGTACATGAAATCTCTATTATTTCTTAAAACAGCATGTGAATATACAACTATGTCAAGATAAAAAGTTAAATTTAAAAAATACATTAAGAAAAGTTTCAGGATACAAAATCAAAATTTAAAAATTAATTGTATTTATATAAACTAAAAATGTGTTAATAATACAAAAAAGAAATATGAAACAATTCAATTTACAATAGCATCAAAAAGAATAGAATATTAATACTTAGGAATACACTTAACAAATAGGTGAAAAACTTATACACTGTAAGCTATAAAACACTGCTGAAAGACTGTAAAGAGTACATAAATAAATGGAAAGACATCCATGTTCATGGATAGAAAGACATCATATTGTTGAGATGTCAGTTTTACCTAAGGTAATCTAGAGCTTCAATCCCAATGACATATTTTGCAGAAATAGAAAAATTCACCACAGAATATATATGGAATCTCATGGATCCCAAATAGTCAAAGCAATCTTGAAAAAGAACAAAGGAAGGACTAACACTTCCTGATTTCAAAACTTACTACAAAGTTACAGTAATCAAAACTGTGTGGCACCAACATTAAGACAGATATAGAGATCAAAGAATAGAAAGCCCAGAAATAAACCATCATATATATGGTCAAAAGATTTTTGATAAGAGTGCCAAAACCATTAAAAGGGAAAGGACAGGTTTTTCAACAAATGGTGCTGGAAAAATAGATAGTCACATCCAAAGAATAAAGTTGGACTCTTACTTTACACTATATATAAAAATTAACTCAAATTGTTTCAAAAATCTAAACATGAGTATGAAAACTACAAAATTTTAGAACAAAACACAGGAGAAAAGATTCATGACATTGGATTTAGCAATTATTTCTTGGATATGACACCAAAAGTACAGGCAACAAAAGAAATACAGATACATTAGACTTCATCAAAACTGTGTACGACAGGACACCATTAACGAGTGAAAAGAAAACACAGAGAGGAAATATTTACAAATCATATATCTAATAAAGTATAAATATCCAAAATATATTTTTTAAAACCTCTTATAGCTCAAGAACAAAAAAATCAAAAAATACAATTTTAAAATGGTCAAATAACGAATAGACATGTCTCCAAAGAAGAAATACAGGTGGCCAGTAAGTACTTGAAAAGATGCTCAACATCACTAATCAATAAGGAAATGCACATCAAAACCACAATGAGTTCATCTCACACATGTTAGGATGGCTATTATAAACAAACAAGCAAACAGAAAAGTATTAACGTTATGCTAAGTGAAATAAGCCAGCCACAAAAAAAGAAATATTAGATGAGTCCACTCATATGAGGTACCCAAAGTAGTCAAATTCATAGAGACAGACAGTAGAATGGGGATTTGTAGGGGTTGGAGGCAGAGGAGAATGGGAAGTTATTATTTAATAGTATGGAGTTTCAGTCTGGGAAGACGAAACGTTTTGGAAAAGGATGGTGGTGATGACTACACAACAATATGAATGTACTTACTGCCACTGAACTGTACCCTTAAAAATGGTTTAGATGGTAAATTTTGTTATGGTTATTTTATTAGAATAAACATATAAAGAAACATTAAATAACAACAACAAAAAACACAGACAGGTATAATAACGTAAAAAAAAAAAAAAAAGCAAATAGGCCAGGCATGGTGGCTTACGTCTGTAATCCCAGCACTTTGGGAGGCCAAGGCAAGCAGATCACTTGAGGTCAGGAGTTCAAGACCAGCCTGGCCAACATGGTGAAGCCCTGTGTCTACTAATAATACAAAAATTAGCCAAACGTGGTGGCACACACCTGTAGTCCCAGCTACTTGGGAGGCTGAGGCGTGAGAATCACTTGAACCCGGGAGGTGGAGGTTGCAGTGAGCTGAGATTGAGCCATTGCACTCCAGCCTGGGCGACAGAGAGACTCTGTCTCAAATAAATAAATAAATAATAAAGTAAAAATGCTTTATTTTTCTAAAACTGTACTTTTTGCTAGGCTTGCACAGATATGCATAATGTAAATATTTTGTGTCTTTAAAAAATAACCGATCTTTAGATTCATATAATTTGGTAATAAAAACTTGTAATTTGGTATTAAAGCATCTTTTAATATATAGAATATTTTATTTTAGAATTAATGGAATTATTGCAGAATGAATATATGAATTAAAATGCAAGCAATGATATTGTTATATTTTCTGTAATTCCAGAGAGGAGAGCTGACTTGCCTTGAGATATGATCTTTCCAGACTAAAGGTGAAAAGCAAATAAAGTATTGCTCTGTTGCTTCATTACCTTATTAAGGAAGGTTGACTCTGTTCTTGGCCAGCAAGAAATAATTTATTTCACTGTCACTTTATTTATTCACCTGCAGCAAGGTAAAGGTGTTACTTGTAATTTATTTAGCTTATATCGGACACCTACCCATCACAGGAAACATACCCTATTATTAGGAAAGCAATTCTCTTCTCTTATTTTGGTAATATGTATAACCAAATTATTTATAATAAAAGTTTTCTACACGTAAAATGTTCACAATTCTTAAAAAAGTATTTAAAAACTTTAAAAAAATCCATTTGCAGTAGTACATTATTTTAGTTAACAAATTATAACAAAATCAAAACTAAAATCATCTTGATACTTATGGTAATATATGACTATGTATCTCAATTATACATGGTTTTAGAAGTGGCAATTATATTGAGTTAAATTGACTCTTACATGGATAAATGCAGATTAAACTTTGTAAAAATCTTTCAAAGACTGTTAACTTTAATAGCTAAGTAGTAGTTATAACCAAAATTGAGTGACAGTTGGGGCAGAAAAAAAAACCTGAACATTTTTCACCTGGTATAGCCTATGTAAACTGAGGTGACCTGGAAGCTACAAGGTGCCTAATCCTAACAACCCTGTGGAAGAGTCTTCCAAATCCTACTAAACTCCTTCTTTGTCTCATGCAAAGGGAGGCTCGGGGCAAGACCATCATAAGTGTGCCTCAATAGGAGGGAAATCCTTTAGTCTTATTTATCATACAATCAGAAGAAAGTGAAAAGTGTTCCAGAAATTAATCTTCAGGCCTTCTTTGACCTTCCTTCCAAGAAATCATGACTACCTGAGTGTTCCCTTAACATATTAAAAGTGTTACAGCGTAGGACACTTTCAAGGTGAGGCACCTCCCACCATCATCTTTCTCTTCTTTCACTCCAGCCTGTTCACAGAGATTGATTGTGATCAGTTACAGATAAGAGAGGCCAAGAATTTCAAATCATGCATTTCTTCATAAAGAAAATGGATACTTCCATATATAAAAACAATTCTTCTATTGGTAAACCTGAACTGGACTTGCTATGACCGTAGAGAGCGGAGGGAGATTTCTTCTCCTTGGTTTTCTGCATTAGATGCCCAGTGGTCCTGTAGGTCTTTACTAGGTGGCTGTTTTTAAAATATTTAAAAGTGCCTAAAAACTATATAAAACCACAAAGCACTCTGGGATGGAGAGAGAGGGAGAAATAAACTAAGTAAAGAAAAAGCCATATTTAGAGTCATTAACTCACTTGTTCAGTTGGCTCCCCAAAATATAGCCGGGTAATAAAATCAAAATGGCCAAAGAAGCATAGCTGTACTCAAGCACATATCTATTTAAGGGTCTGATCCACAAGGGGTGAAAGTCCTTGTTAATACTGCCAGTTCTGAATAATATTTACATAACTTTCCTGGGATGTCCTGCCAACTTAGAACTGGGTAAGACAAAATGGGCTTCAGACCTTGGGGAGAAGTTAGCAAGAACAAATCAGGTGATCAAGGCCGTAGACAAGTAGTCTGGGATACAAAATTAGTCCAGTCCTAGAGATAAAGAGATACATATATTCCAAGAATTGTCCAGTGGACACCAAATCCTAAAGCTTGCGCACGCAGGAGGGTTACAGATGGTAAAGCTAAAGGTCCAGAGATACACAGCTTCCTAAATTCAACACAGGATATAGATACAATTAATTACATATGTCTGGTATAGATAGAATTCTTAGCACATTTCCTAACCCATATATACATAGGCCTGACCCAAAAGAATGAGAGCTGAAATTACACTTGAAGGAAGACACGCAACCTTCCTTAGTCAGGAAGTAGACTAACTTCTCATTAGTCTTGTTATATCTGATCTTTATTTATTCTAAGTGCAGAAGTAGAATTAATAGCCAACTAAAATATTTTTGAAAATCAGGAAATATGACAGAAAAAATATATAAATTATATGATTGTATCATTATATAAACAGCATTCCACTAAATTCAACACTTATTCATTATTTAAAAAAAAACTCTTAAAAAACTAGAAAAACTAATTTTAATCTGGCAAAGAATTATCTTTAAAAATTATGCCTATAGCATGCAATATATTCAATGAGGAAATCTTGAAAACATTCTCTGAGCTTGAAAAGGAAACAATGATCATCATTATAAACCCTTTTATTTACCACAAATTTTAACAAATTTCAATTTACCAGAAATTTTAACAAATTTCAATTTACCAGAAATTTTAGCAAAATGAGGCAAAGAAAATAAATAAAAGGCATAATTAAACTGCCATTAAGACAACATGAGGGGAGGAGCCAAGATGGCCGAATAGGAACAGCTCCGGTCTACAGCTCCCAGCGTGAGTGACGGAGAAGACGGGTGATTTCTGCATTTCCAACTGAGGTACCAGGTTCATCTCACTAGGGAGTGCCAGACAGTGGGCGCAGGTCGGTGGGTGCGCGCACCGTGCGCGAGCCGAAGCAGGGCGAGGCATTGCCTTACTTGGGAAGCTCAAGGGGTCAGGGAGTTCCCTTTCCGAGTCAAAGAAAGGGGTGACTGAGGGCACCTGGAAAATCGGGTCACTCCCACCCGAATACTGCGCTTTTCCGACGGGCTTAAAAAACAGCGCACCACGAGAGTGTATCCCGCACCTGGCTCGGAGGGTCCTACGCCCATGGAGTCTCGCTGATTGCTAGCACAGCAGTCTGAGATCAAACTGCAAGGCGGCAGCGAGGCTGGGGGATGGGCGCCCGCCATTGCCCAGGCTTGATTAGGTAAACAAAGCAGCCGGGAAGTTCGAACTGGGTGGAGCCCACCACAGCTCAAGGAGGCCTGCCTGCCTCTGTAGGCTCCACCTCTGGGGGCAGGGCTCAGACAAACAAAAAGACAGCAGTAACCTCTGCAGACTTAAATGTCCCTGTCTGACAGCTTTGAAGAGAGCAGTGGTTCTCTCAGCACGCAGCTGGAGATCTGAGAACGGGCAGACTGCCTCCTCAAGTGGGTCCCTGACCCCCGAGCAGCCTAACTGGGAGGCATCCCCCAGCAGGAGCACACTGACACCTCACACAGCAGGGTATTCCAACAGACCTGCAGCTGAGGGTCCTGTCTGTTAGAAGGAAAACTAACAAACAGAAAGGACATCCACACCAAAAACCCATCTGTACATCACCATCATCAAAGACCAAAAGTAGATAAAACCACAAAGATGGGGAAAAAACAGAACAGAAAAACTGGAAACTCTAAAAAGCAGAGTGCCTCTCCTCCTCCAAAGGAACACAGTTCCCCACCAGCAACAGAACAAAGCTGGATGGAGAATGACTTTCACGAGCTGAGAGAAGAAGGCTTCAGACGATCAAATTACTCTGAGCTACAGGAGGACATTCAAACCAAAGGCAAAGAAGTTGAAAACTTTGAAAAAAATTTAGAGGAATGTATAACTAGAATAACCAATACAGAGAAGTGTTTAAAGGAGCTGATGGAGCTGAAAACCAAGGCTCGAGAACTACGTGAAGAATGCAGAAGCCTCAGGAGCCGATGCGATCAACTGGAAGAAAGGGTATCAGTGATGGAAGATGAAATGAATGAAATGAAGCGAGAAGGGAAGTTTAGAGAAAGAAGAATAAAAAGAAATGAGCAAAGCCTCCAAGAAATATGGGACTATGTGAAAAGACCAAATCTACGTCTGATTGGTGTACCTGAAAGTGATGGGGACAATGGAACCAAGTTGGAAAACACTCTGCAGGATATTATCCAGGAGAACTTCCCCAATCTAGCAAGGCAGGCCAATGTTCAGATTCAGGAAATACAGAGAACGCCACAAAGATACTCCTCGAGAAGAGCAACTCCAAGACACATAATTGTCAGATTCACCAAAGTTGAAATGAAGGAAAAAATGTTAAGGGCAGCCAGAGAGAAAGGTCGGGTTACCCTCAAAGGGAAGCCCATCAGACTAACAGCAGATCTCTCGGCAGAAACCCTACAAGCCAGAAGAGAGTGGGGGCCAATATTCAACATTATTAAAGAAAAGAATTTTCAATCCAGAATTTCATATCCAGCCAAACTAAGCTTCATAAGTGAAGGAGAAATAAAATCCTTTACAGACAAGCAAATGCTGAGAGATTTTGTCACCACCAGGCCTGCCCTAAAAGAGCTCCTGAAGGAAGCGCTAAACATGGAAAGGAACAACCGGTACCAGCCGCTGCAAAATCATGCCAAAATGTAAAGACCATCGAGACTAGGAAGAAACTGCATCAACTAAAGAGCAAAATAACCAGCTAACATCATAATGACAGGATCAAATTCACACATAACAATATTAACTTTAAATGTAAATGGACTAAATGCTCCAATTGAAAGGCGCAGACTGGCAAATTGGATAAAGAGTCAAGAGCCATCAGTGTGCTGTATTCAGGAAACCCATCTCACGTGCTGAGACACACATAGGCTCAAGATAAAAGGATGGAGGAAGATCTACCAAGCAAATGGAAAACAAAAAAAGGCAGGGGTTGCAATCCTAGTCTCTGATAAAACAGACTTGAAACCAATAAAGATCAAAAGAGACAAAGAAGGCCATTACATAATGGTAAAGGGATCAATTCAACAAGAAGAGCTAACTATCCTAAATATATATGCACCCAATACAGGAGCACCCAGATTCATAAAGCAAGTCCTGAGTGACCTACAAAGAGACTTAGACTCCCACACATTAATAATGGGAGACTTAAACACCCCACTGTCAACATTAGACAGATCAACGAGACAGAAAGTCAACAAGGATACCCAGGAATTGAACTCAGCTCTGCACCAAGCGGACCTAATAGACATCTACAGAACTCTCCACCCAAAATCAACAGAATATACATTTTTTTCAGCACCACACCACACCTATTCCAAAATTGACCACATACTTGGAAGTAAAGCTCTCCTCAGCAAGTGTAAAAGAACAGAAATTATAACAAACTATCTCTCAGACCACAGTGCAATCAAACTAGAACTCAGGATTAAGAATCTCACTCAAAACCGCTCAACTACATGGAAACTGAACAACATGCTCCTGAATGACTACTGGGTACATAACGAAATGAAGGCAGAAATAAAGATGTTCTTTGAAACCAACGAGAACAAAGACACAACATACCAGAATCTCTGGGACGCATTCAAAGCAGTGTGTAGAGGGAAATTTATAGCACTAAATGCCCACAAGAGAAAGCAGGAAAGATCCAAAATTGACACCCTAACATCACAATTAAAAGAACTAGAAAAGCAAGAGCAAACACATTCAAAAGCTAGCAGAAGGCAAGAAATAACTAAAATCAGAGCAGAACTGAAGGAAATAGAGACACAAAAAACCCTTCAAAAAATTAATGAATCCAGGAGCTGGTTTTTTGAAAGGATTGACAAAATTGATAGACCGCTAGCAAGACTAATAAAGAAAAAAAAGAGAGAAGAATCAAATAGACGCAATAAAAAATGATAAGGGGGATATCACCACCGATCCCGCAGAAATACAAACTACCGTCAGAGAATACTACAAACACCTCTGCGCAAATAAACTAGAAAATCTAGAAGAAATGGATAAATTCCTCGACACATACACTCTCCCAAGACTAAACCAGGAAGAAGTTGAATCTCTGAATAGACCAATAACAGGATCTGAAATTGTGGCAATAATCAATAGCTTACCAACCAAAAAGAGTCCAGGACCAGATGGATTCACAGCTGAATTCTACCAGAGGTACAAGGAGGAACTGGTACCATTCCTTCTGAAACTATTCCAATCAATAGAAAAAGAGGGAATCCTCCCTAACTCATTTTATGAGGCCAGCATCATTCTGATACCAAAGCCTGGTAGAGACACAACCAAAAAAGAGAATTTTAGACCAATATCCTTGATGAACATTGATGCAAAAATCCTCAATAAAATACTGGCAAAACGAGTCCAGCAGCACATCCAAAAGCTTATCCACCATGATCAAGTGGGCTTCATCCCTGGGATGCAAGGCTGGTTCAACAGATGCAAATCAATAAATGTAATCCAGCATATAAACAGAGCCAAAGACAAAAACCACATGATTATCTCAATAGATGCAGAAAAAGCCTTTGACAAAATTCAACAACCCTTCATGCTAAAAACTCTCAATAAATTAGGTATTGATGGGACGTATTTCAAAATAATAAGAGCTATCTATGACAAATCCACAGCCAATATCATACTGAATGGGCAAAAACTGGAAGCATTCCCTTTGAAAACTGGCACAAGACAGGGATGCCCTCTCGCACCACTCCTATTCAACATAGTGTTGGAAGTTCTGGCCAGGGCAATTAGGCAGGAGGAGGAAATCAAGGGTATTCAATTAGGAAAAGAGGAAGTCAAATTGTCCCTGTTTGCAGACGACATGATTGTATATCTAGAAAACCCCATTGTCTCAGCCCAAAATCTCCTTAAGCTGATAAGCAACTTCAGCAAAGTCTCAGGATACAAAATCAATGTACAAAAATCACAAGCATTCTTACACACCAACAACAGACAAACAGAGCCAAATCATGAGTGAACTCCCATTCACAATTGCTTCAAAGAGAATAAAATACCTAGGAATCCAACTTACAAGGGATGTGAAGGACCTCTTCAAGGAGAACTACAAACCACTGCTCAAGGAAATAAAAGAGGATACAAACAAATGGAAGAACATTCCACACTCATGGGTAGGAAGAATCAATATCGTGAAAATGGCCATACTGCCCAAGGTAATTTACAGATTCAATGCCATCCCCATCAAGCTACCAATGACTTTCTTCACAGAATTGGAAAAAACTACTTTAAAGTTCATATGGAACCAAAAAAGAGCCCACATCGCCAAGTCAATCCTAAGCCAAAAGAACAAAGCTGGAGGCATCACACTACCTGACTTCAAACTATACTACAAGGCTACAGTAACCAAAACAGCATGGTACTGGTACCAAAACAGAGATATAGATCAATGGAACAGAACAGAGCCCTCAGAAATAACGCCGCATATCTACAACTATCTGATCTTTGAAAAACCTGAGAAAAACAAGCAATGGGGAAAGGATTCCCTATTTACTAAATGGTGCTGGGAAAACTGGCTAGCCATATGTAGAAAGCTGAAACTGGATCCCTTCCTTACACCTTATACAAAAATCAATTCAAGATAGATTAAAGATTTAAATGTTAGACCTAAAACCATAAAAACCCTAGAAGAAAACCTAGGCATTACCATTCAGGACATAGGCATGGGCAAGGACTTCATGTCTAAAACACCAAAAGCAATGGCAACAAAAGCCAAAATTGACAAATGGGATCTAATTAAACTAAAGAGCTTCTGCACAGCAAAAGAAACTACCATCAGAGTGAACAGGCAACCTACAAAATGGGAGAAAATTTTCGCAACCTACTCTTCTGACAAAGGGCTAATATCCAGAATCTACAATGAACTCAAACAAATTTACAAGAAAAAAACAAACAACCCCATCAAAAAGTGGGCAAAGGACATGAACAGACACTTCTCAAAAGAAGACATTTATGCAGCCAAAAAACACATGAAAAAATGCTCATCATCACTGGCCATCAGAGAAATGCAAATCAAAACCACAATGAGATACCATCTCACACCAGTTAGAATGGCAATCATTAAAAAGTCAGGAAACAACAGGTGCTGGAGAGGATGTGGAGAAATAGGAACACTTTTACACTGTTGGTGGGACTGTAAATTAGTTCAACCATTGTGGAAGTCAGTGTGGCGATTCCTCCGGGATCTAGAACTGGAAATATCATTTGACCCAGCCATCCCATTACTGGGTATATACCCAAAGGACTATAAATCATGCTGCTATAAAGACACATGCACACGTATGTTTATTGCGGCATTATTCACAATAGCAAAGACTTGGAACTAACCCAAATGTCCAACAATGATAGACTGGATTAAGAAAATGTGGCACATATACACCATGGAATACTATGCAGCCATAAAAAATGATGAGTTCATGTCTTTTGTAGGGACATGGATGAAATTGGAAATCATCATTCTCAGTAAACTATTGCAAGAACAAAAAACCAAACACTGCATATTCTCACTCATAGGTGGGAATTGAACAATGAGAACACATGGACACAGGAAGGGGAACATCACACTCTGGGGACTGTTGTGGGGTCGGGGGAGGCAGGAGGGATAGCATCGGGAGATATACCTAATGCTAGATGACGAGTTAGTGGGTGCAGCGCACCAGCATGGCACATGTATACATATGTAACTAACCTGCACAATGTGCACATGTACCCTAAAACTTAAAGTATAATAATAAAAAAAGAAAGACATTTTGATATGTAAACTGAAGGTTAACATGGAAAAAAAAAAGACAACATAGTTGTGTAAATTGAAAATCTACATGAATCTACACACTATTAGAATTAAAAAGTAAATTTAGCAAGATTTCTTAATAGAAAGTCAATAGAAAAACATCAATTATATTCCTGTTTATCACTGAAAAAGAAAAAATGAAAATTTAAAAATAATATTATTTATAATGCCATTAAAATAATCTGTTAGCACCAAATCTAAACAGAACTGTGCAACATGCCTACACTAATATGGATAAAATATCATTGAAAAGAATTAGAGATCTTTAAAAACTTCAGGGTTATGCCATTTTCACACATTAGGAAACTGAATATTGTAAAGCTAATGTTTCTTCTCAAATTAATCTATAGATTCAATGAAATCCTAAGTAAAATATCATCTGGTTTTATGTGTGGCAGGGAGCAGTGAAAAAATTGTGAAAATTTATAAAGAAAGGCAAAGGGCCAAAAATAGCCAAGACAATCTTAAGATGAGTAAAATTGGTAGATTACACTATAAAATAGTTAGAACTATTATCAATCTACAGTAATTACAACACTATAACATTGGCTCAAAAGTAGACAAATTGGACAATAGGGCAAAATAGAGTTCAAAAGCAGACCCACACATATGCAGTCACCTTATAACAAAGCTGACTAAATTGCAGGGGGAGAAGTTACTGTGAGAATTAGGTATATATAAGAACAACAAAAATATACAGATATAAAGTAAAAATATAGATGTAGATACTTTGACACTTTAACATAACCAAAAGTCCATTCCAAATAGATTGAAGATCTGAATATTAAAGGTAAACACTAATAATGATAAAACAAAATTAACATTTTTAGAAGAAAATCTAATAGAACATTTTCATAATTTTGGAGTAATCAAAAATGTCTATTAAAAAATGAAAAGGCCAAGAAACATGAAAAAATTCTCAACATCATCATTCAGAGAAATGCAAACTAAAACCACAATAAGCTATCACCTTACCCCCATTCGGATGGCTACTATCTAAAAACAAAACAAAACAAAACAGAAAATAAGTGTTGGTAAGGATGTGAAGCAATTGTAAACCTTGGGCATGGTGGGATTGCAAAATAGAGCAACCCCTGTGGAAACAGTATGGAAGCTTCTCAAAATATTAAAAATGAAACTACTATATGACCCAACAATCCCACTTTTGGATATACAGCCAAAAGAATTGAAAACAGAACCTTGAAGAGATATGTGTGAACCCATGTTCAAGATAGGAGCAACCTAAGTGTCCATGAATGGATGAATGCATGAAGAAACTATGGTAGATACATAGATATACAATGAAATATTACTCAGCCTTGAAAAGGAAGAAAATCCTGTCATACGCTACCACATGGATGAACCTTAAGGGCACTGTGTTAAGTGAAGTAAGCCAGTCACAAAAAGATAGATAGTACATGATTCCATTTATATGAGATATCTGAAGTAGTCAAATTCATAGAAACAATGTAGAATGTTAGTTACCAGGGGCTAAAGGGTGTGGGGATATAGGAGTTGTTGTTTAATGGCTATGGAATTTTAGATTTGCAAGATTATAAACTTCTGGAGGCCTGTTTCACAACAGTGTGAATTTACTTAACACTAGTGAACTGCACATTTTAAAAAAATGGTTAAGATGGTGTATGTATAAAAAAAAATGAAAGCACTAAATTAGACTATATTAAAATAAAGATTTTTATCAAGTTACTTGATAAGGCAATTGATAGAATGAGATGAAATATCCACAATACATGTGTTAGCAAAAAAAATGTATATCTAGGATGTGTTTTTTAATTGTAAGAATCAGTAAAAACAAAAAGACATATAACTTAGTAGAAAATGGGCAAAAGTTTCAACAGACACTTGAAACAAATGATATTCAAATAGCAGATAAACATATGAACATCATTAGTATCAGGGAAATACTAAAACTTAAAACAACAATTGAAATAAAATACTATTATACACCTACTAGAATGTCTAGATGAAAAAGATAGATAATGTCAAGTGTTGGTGAGGGTGTGGGGCAACTACGAACTCTTCTCATTCCTAGCAGAAGAGTACATTGATATAACTACCTTGGAAAACTTTTTGCTGGTATCTTCTAAGCTAAATACATGAATATTCTATGATCCAGCAATTCTACTCCGAGGTATATTCCCACATAACTGTCCACATTTGTTCACCAAGAGACAACTACTAGTACTAGTAGACAAGTACTAGAAATTCATAACAGATGTACTAGATTACTACCAGCAGTACTACTCAACCAAATGGTCAGCTGAGGTAGAATGACAAATACATTGTGGTACTTTCACAGCACAGACAAGACAATACAACAGTGAGAACCAACGGTATTCAACAATGAGAATCAACAAATGCAACTGCTCCATAAAAAGAGGTTCCAGTCATATAATTGACTCCACCTATACAATTAATTGCCACATTAGAAGTCAGCTGGTTAGATGTCATGTATTCCTGATCCGAGCACTGATTACATAGCTGTCTTCAGTATGTGAAAATCTATGTTGATATATACTTACATATGTACTTTTCTCTAGTTATAATTTATTTTAGTAAATTTACGTAATTCATATGGAAGAGGTTTGGCATCATCCTCTGTCCCTTCATTTTTCTTACCTCCTTCATCCAACTGGTCACAAAGTTCCATGAATACCACATGCTAAACATTCTCACATTTTCCCCAATGTCTATGTCCCCGGTGCCACTTTCTGCCTTCCATCCTCTTACTCTTATTTATTCATTCAGTAAAATGTTTGAAAACATGCATACTATGTACCTGGCACTCTGCTTGAACTGCGAATTCACGATGAACAGAATGCTATAGTGGCCCCTACCTGGTGGATGTGTTAATCTCCCATGCGCCATCTGGCACAGTGATGATTCCCAATGCCAGTCTGACCCAAGTCAGAATAATCAGGATCTTCCCTAGGATTTTGGTGGTGAGGGCATGAGTTGTTGCAAACTTTGGGGAAAGTATTTTGGAAATATTTGTTAAAATAAACTACACAATGCTCTTTGACCTTTCCACTCACTTGTATAAATCTGTTCTACAGAAGTAATGGCACAAATGTATTTGCCTGTTTATTGCAGCATTTTGTATTGTAACAAAACTTTCCACATGAGAGTACAAAACCTGAAAAATCTCCCAAAAGTCCGTCAATGCAACAATCTTTCTTTCCTTTTACATTTTTCCTCCCTCTGTTTCTGGGGTTTTGCCTTCTTTTTCTCCTTTTGATCACTCTCCTTTACCACCCCGACTCACACCATCCTCTCCTGATTGGCCTCCACTTGTCTCCCAGGACCAGCTGGCCCATTCCTCCATCTAGAATGTTCCTGGTCCCTGAGGCACTGTGGAACGTGCTGATCCTTTGCTTCAATTATACTCTATGATGCTCACTCTGCATCCTCTAATAAATACTAAAAAGGATTAATTATTACCTGCATGATTCAGTTCTAAAGCAGTACAATGGTTAAAAAACACACAAATTCCCCCCCAAAAATTCAAGATAAATCAGCATTTTTGTTTTCTCTAACACCTTAAAGAAACCTATAATCCCCCAGCAACACTTATAAAAAAATCTTCTTTCTCCTTATCCCTAATGTATTGCCTTTTTTCCTCAAAATTTTCCCTCCCAAATGTAAATTAGTACAACCACTATAGAGAATAATTTGGAGGTTCCTCGAAAAAACTAAAAATAGAGCTACAATATGACCCAGCAATCCTACTGCTGGTTATATACCCAAAAGAAATGAAATCAGTATATCAAAGAGATATCTGCATGCCCATGTTTATTGCAGCGCTGTTCACAATAGTCAAGATTTTGAACCAACCCAAGTGGCCATCAACAGATAAATGGATAAAGAAAATGTGGTACATATACACAATGAAGTACTATTCGGCGATAAAAAAGAATGAGATCCAGTCATTTGCAACAACATGGATGGAACTAGAGATCATTACATTAAGTATAATAAGCCACGCACAGAAAGACAAACATCACATGTTCTCACTTATTGGTGGGATCTAAAACTAACAACAATTGAACTCAGGGAGACAGAGAATAGAAGGATGGTTGCCAGAGGCTGAGAAGGGTAGTGGTGGGTGGGAGGGAGGTGGTGATGGTTAACAGGTACAAAGAAAAATAGTTAGAAAGAATGAATAAGACCTAGTATGTGATAGCACAAGAGGGAGACCATAGTCAATAATAATTTAATTGTACAATTTAAAATAACTAAGAGGATATAATTGGATTGTTTTTAACAGAAATAAGTGCTTTGAGGGGATGGATACCCAATTTTCCATGATATGGTTATTACACATTACATGCCTGTACCAGAATACTTCATGTACTCATAAATATATATACCTACTATGTATAATACACAATTTATTTCCCAAAATAATTTATTTTGTCATCTTTTTTGGTATACATTTTCTTGTCCTTCTCCTGTCTTCTTTTGCTCAAAATATTTCATCTCAAACACCCCAGAGCTCATTCGGCAAGGCCCCTTCTTAGGGAGGACAGAAAGAAAGGGAATGAAGTGGATAGAGCCAGAACCCTCTTTAGTATTTGGGGATCGGGAAGGGTAGGACTATTCCTATGTTCATTGTTAGCCCATCACACATCTGTTCTAACCATTATGACTACATTGGATAATTGGTATTTAAGCAGTTCTCCCTAGAATGTAAGCTCCTTGAGGATAAGGATTTTATTTCATTCACCATTCTTTTGAACACTTGTACACTTAATGAATGTATTGAATGACTGATAAAATGTATTATTTAAATATATTGTGAATCTAACTTCATACCTTAAAAATACCCTGTCAGTCCCATGGTATTTTCATTGAGATTTTCGAGACTGGATAACATACATTTTGATCAAAATACACTATGTCATTCTAAGTGTATCTGTGGAGAAGATGTCTGTGAGGCTCTTTTTTATTTATGAAAAGCATAATATCTTGGACTGTACTTATTTTCTTGAGCAGTCAAGAGTGTTATAAAATCCATTCTTTATCAAGAGAACACAGACTATATGACTCAACAAACCATGATCTCATATACAAGGAAGTGTATTCCTTTGATCTTAGTACACAGCACAGTGCAGTTTGACACTACCTCTATGTTCCAAATTGGAAATTCTAGGTAAGAAAAACTTTACATGTGAATGAGTTCAGCAAGAACTAGGAAAGTTTCCTCAAGGCTTAACTAAGTGCTGGATTAAGGATGCTCCATTTAGTAATCTTGCAGCTTTGTGAGCCACAGCAGATCACAGGAATTCCAGGATAGGGACATAAACTGAAAAATATAAATATCAAATCATATTGCTATAGCTGAAGTAATCTTTAACACGATATGTGTGAAGAAGGAATTCCTGAAATTATGGAACTTTAATGATTTGTTCTGTTTATATCCATCCTCGACAGTTTCATTAACCACTACCTTACTATTTGTATAGTTTGGATTTTCTTTGTTTTTGGTTTGGTTTGATTTGGTTCCTGGGAAAAAGTTAAAGATCATACACTGATGTAGCTGAGTTGTCTCATCAACTTTTACTGCTTTCCTGGAATTGTGCTCAATTAGTTCTTTGAATTTGTTTACTCAGACTATCATGGTCTTTTAGCAATAAAGGTTGTTTGGTTTGATGTGGTGTACCAATTATTGCTTTGTTCTTAACAATAACAATTTTTTAAAAAAGAAATAACTAGTCTTTTCTCACACTGTTCTGCCTCATAATTCTAGCATTTCCATTTTAAGCTAGTATAAACTATGATTTATAAGATTATGTTAATTTCTGAGTTCACACAAGGATGTCTAGACTGAAATTTAGGTTACTAAATGCCTCACAAAGTCATAGAACTCTATTGCTGGACAAAATTTGGAGAATATCTATTCACAACTTTGAGTGTGACCTTGGATGAGGTACTTAGTTTCTCTGTACCTTGGTGTCCCCATTTGCAAAATGCGGATGCTAACCGTTGAATAATAAGTTTAGAAACTCGTATCTCCTTTTTAGATAATACAGGCTTAGAGCAACCTACAGGGAAAAAGATTAAAGAAACAAACGAACTTGTGGAGTTTGTTTGAAGCTTTGAGCCTGCCAGAAAGTTATAGAAATATATGAATTATAGAAATTCAGAGGAAAATATGCTATCTCACAGAGACTTTCTAAAATATGGATTTGGGGAGATCTGGTATCCAAGGGAAAACATACACACACAGGAGAGTAGAAATGATTTGTCATTAACTACTCAATAGAGGGAATAAATGTGAGTTAAACAAGTTAAACAAACTAGGCAAGAATGTTAATAGTCCATGTGAAACACTACAGTTATTATGTAGAATTGTATTATCTGTGTTCCTTGCAACAATGTAATTATATATGTACCAAAATCTCTTTCAGCATCAGCTCCAAGAATGCAACCTTTTGTGGAATGCCTCCATTGCAAAGGATTGTGTTTTTGTCAATATACTGGATTTTCACATTCTCTATATCCGACATACGCTGAGTCTAAGCAGATAAGCCCAAGACAGGAATCTTTTTTTAGGTTGTCCCTCATGCTGTCCACACCATGAGCCCAACAATAAAGACATTGTGTATGAATCCAGCAGCCATTTGTAAAGTGGACATTACCAACAGGTTTAAGTGTTTCACTGGGCCTTATTTTATTAAACTAAAAATTCAGTCAAACTGTAAAGGCTCTCTTTATTATTTTAATTTTCAGAATTCATTAACTTTAATGAGATTTAGAAATGCAGAATGACCATAGGATTGGAGCATCCATTCTTCTGAAATATGAATTTTCAAAATTAGCATTTGAGGAGGAAACAATCATTATCACACTGAAACCCTTATTTTGAGTTCTTTAGGTTGCCGAAGCAAAATCTGACTTGTTTTTACAGTGTTATAAAGAGCTGTGGGAAAGTTATCCCTAGAAGGATTCATGGCTAATTAAAAATTTCAAATGGTATAATCTGAAAAGTAGTGTTTGCAACAAAATCAGCTACTCAACCTTGAATGTGGCATTCTGTGTGCTCAGCTATAATGAGCTGCTTTCGTGAGGTCTGCAGTCCTTGACATTTGTCATAATCCTCAGACCACCCAAATATAGCAATCTGCTATTTGGAAAAGACACCCTACGAGTTTCTCTCTTTCTCTTCTTAAGGCCATATTTTTAAAGAGCCATCACTTATCCATAGAATTCACTCATCATGCTAATGGCTTCTATAAATACCCTGACAGAACATTCTTCTCAAAGTTGTCTAGCAAAGAAAGGATATAAGAAATGTGTCCTCAGAGGCTGTGACCAGGGCCATGCATGAGTCGACTTTCCGCCTCTGGTAAGTAATCATGAATGAGTATTGAAGGTCCTACCTTCTAGACTATTCTATGTGCAACAAAGCACAGGCAGCCCCAGGTAGAAAGTGTGTTAAAATATGAGGTGACAATAATTCTACTGATATTTGTAAACTTTTCACGTTATAATGTCTAAATGGTGGATTACATTTTATTTATCTTAAGGCTTTCTTTCAAGAACTCTTTACAGGGAAACAAGATATCTATTTTATCACCCTTAGCTCAGATTGCTATAAGAAAATACCAGAGACAGGGTAGTTTAAACAACAGACACTTATTTCTCCCAGCCTCTTAGTTCTGGAAGCTAGAAGTCCAATATCAAAGTGCTAGCATAGTTGGCTTAGGGTGAGGGCTTTCTGGTTCGTTTATGGTGAGGGCTTTCTTTCTGGCTTGTAGATAGCTGCCTTCTCTCCATGTGCTCACATGGTCATTTCTCTCTTCCTTCTCTTGTTAAGCCACTAATCTCATCATGAAGTTGCTACCCTAATGGCTTCATTTCACCTAATTACCTCCCAAAGGCCCCATCTCCAAATGCCATCACATTAGAGATTGACAGTCCATATAACACATCCCCTTGAATAAAGCCAACGTCTGGAATAGGATCTTCAATTGGCACTTTAATCATTGAATAGACTTTACAATTCCATGTTACAGCAATGTTCTCAACAATAAGCAACAGGAAAATGGAGCACAGAAACTAACATTTGATGATGATTAGAGTGAACATATAATTTGTCATGTAAACTTCTGAGATTAAGAGGGAGAGCACTTAATAATTAGTATAATCACTAATACCATTATAAGTATCAATTAATCTAATTATGAATAATTGTTCCAAGAGAACAGGTGCAAACCAGGACTGCCCCTTCTGATATCCAACCAGGCGCTATGCTCACTCTATGACATGCTCTGCTTTATTAGTTCACAACATAGATGGATAGAGCCCTATATGACAGATAAAAAACTAAGCCCCAGAAAACTTAAGTAACTTAGTAAATCAAGGAACTGGGATTTGAACACAACTGCCTATCTGGCTAAAAGCCTGGGCTTTTATTGCCATGTTGCTGCTACTATGGGTTAGAGAAATAATGGCAATCTTTTCTCTTAAAAATTGACAATGAAGGAGCATAATCACTTGTTCTCACCCTCTGTCTCTCTGTATGTGAATATAAGCATAGTTACAAAAGACACCCATGTTGGTTAGAAGTCAAAGAGATGGAATACAATTCTGCCTCTAGCAAAAAAAATAAATTTGGTTTCACAAATCTTTCTACATCAGGTGGCAGTACTGACTTGCCATTCAATAGAATCTTTGTTGCATCCCCTATGGAAGCATTCCTCTTTGGAACTAAGACCACTAGCCCAGGCCAGCCTTAAGTAGCAGGAAACGGGAGCGAAACTTTGCTAGTGGATATTAAGGATTATAGGCAGTGATGTTACTTTCATTTCAACCCCCTTGATTTCTGGAATCATGAATCTTGGCCATGGGAGATACAGCCCCATACGTTGGATGCTGATTTAGAGCATATACAGCCTTCTGGAGGACATTGCCTCGGCCCTCAGGTGTTGTCACCTAACCGATGCCTTAACTGGGTTTTCAAAAGGCCACTCCACAATTCTATCAAGCCAGCCACTTCAGGATGGCGAGGAACATGGTGAGACCAGTGAAGTCCATGAACAGGAGACCATTGCCATGCTTCTTTTGCTATGAATAAGTTCCTAGGTGGGAAACGATAATGTGTGGAATACCATGACGGTGAAAAAACTATTTTGTAAGCTCACAAATGGTGGTTTTTGCAGCCTATTACAGGCAGAGAAAGCAAATTCATATCTGCAGTAGAATCTCTTCCAGTAAAAACAAAATGCTGTCCTTGCCTTGATGAAAGTGGTGCAATGTAATCAGCTGCCACAGGTAGCTGGCTGATCACCCCAGGGAAAGATGACATATCAGCAGCTCAATGTTGGTCTCTGTTTCTGGAAGATTGGGCACTCAGTAGTGGCTGTAGCAAGGCTGGCCTTGGTGAATGGATGTCCGTGTTTCTGTGCCCACCAACAACCTCTTTCCTTGCCACCATGGCTGATTTGTTCATGAGCCCATGAGGCAATAACAGGGGCAGCTATGAAAAGAGGCTGATTGGTATGAATGGAACAAATCATACTATCCTTTTCATTTTTAAACTCCTCCTTTGCCAAGACCACCCATCAGTGAGCTTTCACATGGAACACAGATATTGTCCCATTCTGTGACCATTTGGAGAGATCTAGGCACATAGCTCTTCCCCAGAACTCCATGTCACCAATGTTCCCATCATGTTCCTTCCACATCCCTTGTTCTGAGATGGGGCAAGGCAGCCAGGCCCTTATACACCCACATTGATCAGTCATTGAAAGGAGATAAGCTTTCTGGTGAGGCAACCATCTTCATGGAAGACAGACCCATAGAGGAGCTACAGCTGAGCACCATCTTCCAGCAGCCCTCCTAGTGGCTCAGGGGATAAATTATTTATTGATAAAGAGGTTCCTGGCAACATGTAACAGGTTATCCCAGCATCTACCACATGGCTCCTTCTGTTCTCCACTCTGCTGAGCCATTTGCATCAAAATTTGAAGCAGAATAAATAAATGAGTTTAAATGAAACTTGAATTATTAGGTTACTACAGACATTAGCAATGTTAACATTAGAGATTTGAATTACAAAAATATTTAAAACTTTAAGTATTAATTTACTACTGAGTCCTTAGCCTTCTATTATTCTCAGTTTCAGAGGGGTAGTTTCCCAATGCAGATAATATTTGGAATGCTGGCCTGAGATTTTCATGCCTCTGCCTGCTTTGAGGAATTTTTTTTTTTTTTTTTTTTTTTTTGCCAAAGGAAAAGACCTACGTGCACCATTTTCTGTAATGTGGAGTTCCTGCAGATATTGATGATGAGTTTTCATTATGAAAATCACTCCTGAGTTTCTTAAAGAGTCTACAAATTCCTCAACCCTCTCAATATTTAAAATATATTGTATATAATTGTTCTGCATTTTTTCTGCAATATGTACTAAATCTGTATGGTAGAATGATTTGTAATGCTGTTCTCATCTGGAAATGATATACACATCCAAAAGATGTCTTTATTAACTAGATTAAATCTTAGTGTGAAATTGAAAGCTTCTGAGATTCTCTGTCAGCTCAGTCGTGCTCTCCTGGGCTCTGTGACCAAGAGCAATTCACTTCCTGCTCTCAATTCTTCATTGGAAAGGAGGTAGAACTGTCTATGCATAGAATGCAATAGAGTATCCACCTGCCACAGCCTACGTTTTGATGTCCACTGAGGATGACTAAACTGCTACCAAGTGAACCCAATATAGCTTACCTAAATGCTTCTTAAGGTGCAATTTTGAAAATAAATTGGGTTTAAAATATGTTATTTTACAAAACAATTTTCAAATGGTTGCTCCCAAAAATCAATTATTTACTTTAAAATCATTGTTTTTATAGAATTTACCTTACAAAATCAGCTAAAATGTCACTGTGAGTATATTCTTTTGTACTCAAATTTAATTATTGACTCTACAAATCATTACACAGTGAATGTCCTGGGCATTTATATAGTTGTATTTGCAATTTATTTTGTTTTCAAAACATAATTTTCTCTGGTTTTGTTTTTTAAACCAGGAAGGAAATGTAAGAGTGTTACAGCAACCATAGGTACATTAGATGAGAGAGAAAACCCAGGTCACTGTCTCAGTCCCAGCATTTTCTCAAACAGAGGCACATTTTCCACAGGGTCACTGGGTCTCTACAAGGAGCACTCTTTCTGCCAGGCACTTTGTAATGTGCAATGAACGGTGTCATTTATTTTCATTTCCTCACACTTAATTGCATGCTTCTTGCTTCCAACATTAAGCCAGAAGGCAGGTGGCAGAAGCAACGAACTGAGCAGGGACTGTCATGTTATAGGCCATGCTCCTTCCCTTAAATACAAGCGGACTGTTTACAACCCAGCAGAAGCCACTGGGCTAGAAAAATATCTCTTCCATTGCAAGTTCTGACGCTGCAGAAGCTACTATAAAGACTAACGCCCAATGAAGAGAAGGCACTCAATTGACTGTACTCTTCAGCAACATCAACCTAAAAGTGATGAAGATATTAATCCAATAATAGATATCAAAATCTAGTAGGTATCCTGACAAACTATATAAATCAACTGCTAGATGTTATGATGGGAGGACAATTGGTCAGTGCACAGCTCTTGTTCAAACTATGTGCCTTACTTCTAAATACTCTCTATAAATTTCAAACAAATCTGTTTAAAATTGATTACCTAAAGGAACAGTGTAACTTAGTTAAACAAATTAAATATCAAATAGATGTAATTATTATGTACATATATAATTATTTATAAGTCATTTAATAACATATTCAAGATAGAAGATCATTTTCATACTCTTGGGGATATCTCAATATGATACAGTTTTGTGGCCCAAAATAAAATTGTTTAATGTTGAGACAAAATAAATTTAGTTGACATCTTCCCCAAAATAACATACCCTTTTTTTCCGTATTACTGTCTTTAAAGAAATATTTCACGCCACATAAGTTTGGCTTCTTCAGTAATGTCACACATGTGTTGCTAATCAGTTGTCCTTTGGAATCAGAGAATGAACACTGCATTGCAATGGTAAAGAGGAACAAATGTCACAAGAATCTAATTTCCTGAGGCAATTCATTCTTTTGTTAGGAAAGAAAAGCAGCCATATTGTATGAAATGTGCATTTTGTTCACTCTTGATAATTTTTATGGAAATGTGGCTTGAAATAATGGAAGTGAGGAACAGAGCAGGAGCCCCCACTCTTTTTCACTTCCAATGGGACATAGGCACCGAGGCTTTTCCAAGTTTTTAATCTTTTGCCCCAAATCTGGATTCTGGCTGCATATCAGGGCTTGAAAATGTTAAGCATGCTTTTTCTCAACCCTCTCTCCATCCTTTCTGCTGTCTCTATTTCTTCTCAGCTTACCGTTTTCTCTTCAAATTTCGGCTGTTGTTATGCCCCAGACCCCCTCTACATTAGTGTTTGATAAATGTCTAACTTCCACCTAGTTTTTATATGTCTTCTATCCAGGAATCTGCAAAGCTTTTTTTTTTTTTTTTTTTTTTTTTTGTAGGACTCATGTAACTGATGTCCCGCAAAGTACTATCACTTGGTAATCATTTGAGAGGAAGTAAATACAATCACAAATGTATTCACCATGTGTGTGGTAAATATAACAGAAATGTCATACTAGATCATAGTTTTACCTGGGTATGGATAGCACTGTTTCCCAGAATATTGATGGTCTTTGAATAAAAAGGTTCTGTGATCAAATAAATGTGGGAAATGCTGCCCACCAAATTTCTTCTAGAAAAATTCAAAGGTACATGCAGTCCCGTAGTGAAGAAATTTAACTTGGTGTTTTCCAAACTTACCTGAGCTTAGACTCTCCTTTTTCATAAACTGTCTGTTAACATTTCTTGGAACACATTTTGAGAAACATTGGTTTAGAAGCTACAAGGATAAGTAATTTTTAGACAATAATTTAAAAGCAATCAATAGTTACATTTATGAAATCGCAGAGCTAATAGAGCAAATCAAGAATATATTCACAAGTAAGATTTATGATATTAACATAAATAATGTATTTTAATAACCACACAAAGACTTAACTTTTTCCTATTCTGCACTGTAAATTTAATTAGGCTGAAATATTGTCTTTCATTAATGCACCAGTATCAAAGATCTTCTGTTATTGGTAAAGTTTCTTTGATGCTGTTTGGAAAAACAATGCTGGCTGTTTACAATTTTATTGCCAGTCTACATATTTCATGTTTTTGTGAATCTTTCCATGGCCTGTTGGATAATTTTTTAATATAAACAAATCAGAGTCACTAATTTGTAACAGAAATTATATTTCTGGTATCTTTGATGATGATTTTGACTTTCTCTGGTGGGAGATTTATTTATTCTCTATTCAATAAACACATATTGAGCATGTATTATGTGCCAGGCATTGTGCATGGGCCTTGAATTCATCAGTGAACAAAAAGATTAAGATTTCTTCTCTTGTGTAAATTATAGTCTAGTAGGATTAGAAGTGGTGGCAGTTGATAAATAATACACATAATAAATGGGTAAGTTATATAATGTATTATAAATTATGTGCAAAGCAAAACAAATAAAGAGCAAGGTTAACAAATTAGGAGAGAGGGAACACGGTAAAGGGTGGCTTAATTTTAAGTAGAGTAGTCAACAGAGGCCTCTTTGGAAAGTTGACATTTAAGTTCAAACTTGAATATGAGAAAGTTTCAAACTGAGACCAGTGTTCTTTTCAGAGGATGCAGGCAGCACACAGGCTAGGAGAGGATCTGGCATGTCTAAGGAGAAGCAAGGGAGGCAAATTGGATAGAACAGAGTGAGCAAGAGGAAGAAACATAGGAAAATGGGCCATTTTAAGGACTTTGGTCTCTAATAAAATGAGGAGCCACTTGCAGCATTTGAAGAAAGAAGTATCGTGATTAACTCACACTTTATAAAAAAATAATTTCCCTAATATATTGAGACTAGACTGTAGAAACACAAAAATACAAACAGGGAGGCCAGTTAAGTGACATAGAAGGAAAACCTAAAGAGGATGATGGCCTTAAAGCTACATGAAGAAATTATGCCGATATGGAAGGTGAAATCAAAGGAAAGAGAACTGACCAACTGACCACTGAATTTAGCAACATGGAGGTCCTTGATACTCTTGATGAGAGTGGCTCCATTGGGTGGTCTAGTGCATAAGACATTCCTAAAGGACTAAAAATGCCATCTGAACATTGGTTTCCAGGCATCTTTTTCAGGTGTTAAAAAGCCCAAAATAACCAGCACAATATTGAAGGAGAAGAACAAAGTGAGAGGACTGACAATATCTGAATTTAAGACTTATTATAAAGCTACAGTACTCAAGACTGTGTAGTATTGGCAACAAAACAGACAAATAGATGAATGGAACAGAAGAGAAAGCCCAGAAATAGACCCACAGAAATATTGTCAACTTATCTTTGACAAAACAATAGCAAGGGCAATACTATGGAGCAAATATAGTATTCCAACAGATACTGCTGGCACAGCTGGAAATTCACACACAAAAAGAAGAATCTAGACACAGACCTTATACCTTTCACAAAAATTAACTCAAAATGGATCACAGATCTAAATGTAAAATGCAAAACTATAAAACTCTTAAAAGATACCATAGGGGAGGATCTAAATGACCTTTGGTTGATGATGGATCTTTAGATAAAACACTAAAAACACAATCTATATTTTTAAAAATTGATAAGTTGCCCTTCATTAAAATTAAAATTTTCTGCTCTACAAAAGACACTGTCAAGAGAATAAAAAGACAAGCAACAGACTGGGATAATATACTTACAAAAGACATATCTGATTAAAGACTATTATCCAAAATATAAAAAGAACACTTAAAACTCAACAATAAAAAACAAACAATCAAAAAATGGGCACAATTCTTAATAGACACCTCACCAAAGAAGAGGTACAGATGGTAAATAAGCATATGAAAAGATGCTGCACATCATATGTCATTGGAGAAATGCAAATCAAATTAAAAAAAAACAATGAAATAGCACTACACACCTATTAGAACAGCCAAAATCCAGAACACTGACAATACCAAATGCTGGTGAGGATGGAAAGCAACAAAAACTCCAATTCACTGACAATGGAATGCAAAATGGTACAGCCACTTTGGAAGACAGTTTGGAGGTTTTTTATAAAACTTAATATACTTTTACCATACAATTCAGCAATTGTGCTCCTTGGCATTTACTCAAAGGAGTTAAAGATATATCCACACAAAAACCTGCCCATGGATGTTTATAGAAGCTTTAGTCGTAATTGCCAAAACTTGGAAGCAACCAGGTTGTCCTTCAGTAGGTAAACAGATAATCTCTGACACATCAGACAGTGGAATATTATTCAGCACTAAAAGGTGAGCTATCAAGCCATGAAAAGACCTGGAGGAGCCAAAAATGCATATGATTAGTGTGAAAGAAGCCAAACTGAAAAGGCTACATACTATGTGATTCCAACTATATGACATTCTGAAAATGGCAAAACTATAAAAAGATCGGTGGCTTCTAGGGGTTGGAGGGGAGAAAGGGAAATATAGGCCGAGCACAGAGGATTTTTAGAGCAGTGACAATATTCTGTATGGTACTATAGCAGTGAAAATATTCTGTATGATACTATAACGGTGGATATATGTCATTATACATTTTTCCAAACCCACAGAAAATACACCAAAAGTGAACCCTAATGTGAACTATGGACTTGGGGTAATGACGTGTCAATGTAGGCTCATCAGTGATAACAAATGTGCCACTCTGGTGAGGATGTTCTTAATGGGAGAGACTATGCACATGTCATGGCAGGGGATGTATGGGAAATCTCTATACCTTCCTTTCAGTTTTGCTGTGAACCTAAAAGTGCTCTAAAAAAATAAAATCTTAATTAAAAAGAAAGAAAGAAAGAAAAGAAAAGAAAGAAAGGAAGAGGGAGGGAGAGAGAAAGAAAGAGATATGTAACAAACCTGTACGTTGTGCACATGTACCCTAGAACTTAAAGTATAATAAAAATATACATATATATATAAAAAGAAAGAAAGAGAGAGAGAAAGAAAGAAAGGAAGGAAAGAAGGAAGGAAGGAAGGAAAAAGAGAGAGAGAGAAAGAAAGAGAAAGAAGAAAGAAAAAGAAAGAAAGAAAGAAAAAGAAAGAAAAGAAAGAAAGAAAGAAAGAAAGAAAGAAAGAAAGAAAGAAAGAAAGGAAAGAAAGAGAAAGAAAGAAAAAGAAGAAATTGAGTCTTGGCATCTACAGAGAAGTCAGGGTAAAATTAATGAACACAAATGTTGTTTATGACATTTTCTGTACTATTTACAAGGTGAAAACTACGTAGAAAATGCACCCTTCCTATATGGAATTTGGGGGTTAATTCCACATAAAATTAAGAATAAATAAATATTTATGGCTTTAACTCATGTAAGAGTTACCAAAAGTATAAGAGATGTGAATCACGGTCATTTGGTACTCTTCAGAACCATAGATTATATGCCCAAATACATAATAATTATGGGAGCATCTGGATAAACAATAAACCATCTATTATTCTGAGTCGGCTAATGGCTGAAAATAACAGCCTTGGTGTATTTCAATGTGGGTATATGAGGGGTGGAGGATGGGTTGTCCAATCCACCCTGTTTCATGTTGCATCTCCACCATCTCCAGTACGTAGTTTAAGGGTTGCACTCTCATCAGCTGAAAGGTAGCTAATGCTAGTGTGAAAGTAAAATGTTGCAGGTGCTTTGGAAAATATTCTGGCAGTTCCCCAAAATATTAAACATAACATTTCCCTTTGACACAACAATTCTATTCCCAGATACATACCCAAGAGAATGAAAACACATGTTCACACAACTTGTGTATGAATGTACATAGGCATGTTATTCATAATAGCCAAATGACAGAAACACCACAAATGTCCATCAACTGATGAATGAATAAACAAAATACGGTATATCCATACAATGGAATAATATTCAGTCATGAATATAAATCATACCATGCTACAACATGGATAAACCTTGAAAACATTGTGCTAAGTGAAGGAAACTAGTCACAAAAGACTATATATTCTATTATTCCAATTATATGAAATGTCCAGAAGACAAATCCATAGAGACAGAAAGTAGGTTAGTGGCTGGGGTGGACTAGGGAAGAGAAAGAAGGAATTGGGGTTAAAAGCTAAAGAATATAGAAATTCCTTTTAGAGCAATGATAATGTTCTAAACTTGATAGTGATAATAGTTGCACAACACTATGAATATAATACTAAAAACTATTGAATTATACATTTTGAGTTAATTTTAGTTAATTGTATGATATGTAAATTATATCTCAATAAAGCTGTTATCAAAAAAACCAGGAGTGACTATTTAATAGCTGATAAAGCAGAATTCAGAACAAAGAAAATTACCAGAGACAGAGGAACATTGCGCAATGATAAAAGAATCAGTCCACCAGGAAAACATAATATGTACACATTCAACAACAGAGCCTCAAAATACATGAAGCAAAAACAAATAGAACTGAAAAGAGAAAGAGACAAACCAACAATTACAGTTGGGGACTTTCTATCCCACTGAGCTACTGATAGAACTACCAGACGAAAATTAGCAAGGATACAAAAAACATGAACAATGCAATCAACCAACAGCAACTAGTTGAAACATATAGAACACTGCAAACAATAATAACAGAGTGCACTTTTTTTTCAAAAGCCCATGAAACATTCACCAAGATAACATATTCTGGACCATAAAATGAACCTCAATAAAGGTAAATACAGCCAGACACCGTGGAATGCACCTGCAATCCAAGCTACTGAGGAGGCTGACGTGGGAGCATTGCTTGAGCCCAGGAGTTAAAGAGCAGCCTGGACAAAACAACCAGATCCCATCTCTAAAATAAATAAATAAATAAATAAATATTGAAATTATACAGCGTATGTACTCGGATCATGGTAGGATGGAACTAGAAAGCAATAACTAGAAAGACAACAGAAAAATGTCTACGCACATGTGTCTTAGTCCATTTGTGTTGCTATAAGGAATACCTGAGGCTGAGTAATTCATAAAGAAAAGAGGTTTATTTGGCTCATGGTTCTGCAGGCTGTACAGGAAGCATGCCACCAGCACCTGCTTCTGGTGAGGCCTCAGGAAGCTTCCACTCATGGCATAAGGCAAAGGCGAGCAGAGAGGAGCAGGTATCACAGGATGAAAGAGGAAGGAACAGAGAGGGGAGGGAGGTACCAGGCTCTTTTTAATGGTCAATGTTCAAGAAATTTAATAGATGTGACAGCTCACTCATGAGGACAGCATCAAGCCATTCATGTGGGTTCCACCAGCATGACCCAAACAACTCCCAATTAGCCCCACTGTCAACATTAGGGATCAAATGTCTTTTTTTTTTTTTTGGATACAGGATCTTGCTCTGTTGCCCAGGCTGGAGTGCAGTGGCATGATCATGGCTCACTGCAGCCTCGACCTCCTGAGTAGCTGGGACTACAGGCACATGCCACTATGCCTGGCTAGTTTTTGTGTTTTTTGTAGAAATGTGGTCTTGCTATGTTGCCCAGGCTGATCTCAAACTCCTGGGCTCAAGTGACCCATCCCCTCGGCATCCCAAAGTGCTGGAATTACAGGCATGAGTCACCATGCCTAGCCAGGTATCATATTTCAACATGAGATTTGGAGGAGACGAATACCCAAACTATATCAACGTAGAAATTAAAGACACACTTCCAAATACTCTATGTCCAAAGAGGAAGTCTCAAAAGAAATTTAAAAATACATAGTAATGAAAATGAACACAAAATTATTAAAAAATGTGGGATGAAACTTAAGTGATGCTGGGAGGCAAATTTAGAGCAGTAAATATTTACATTCCAAAAAAGAAAAGGTCTCAAATTAATACCCAGGTTCCTACTAAGATACTAGAAAAAGAGCAAAATAAACCCAACGCAAGCAGAAGGGAGGAAATAATACATATAAGAGCAAAAATCAATGCAATTGAATCTAAGGGCACAATAGAGAAAATTAATGAAATAAAAATCTGGCCTTAAAAAAATTAATCAAAATCTCTAGCATGACTGACAAGTCTAAAAACAGAGAAGGCACAAATCTTAATATCAGGAATAAAATAGAAGCTATCACTACAGATTGTGCAGCCATTGAAAGATTCATAAGGGACATTGTTCTCATACTGATAGAACTCCTATTCTTGTATGTATGTGTATCACACAGTAAACGAGAAAGGTTAAGAACAAGTCAGTTAGCAACATGGCTGTGATGAAAATATCTCAGAGCGCTGTGGTAGAATGACCATGGAGTGATGTAAGTTGGAGTGATCAGGGAAAACCTCTACAGGGTTGATAATTAAGCTAAGAGCAGGATGACGAGAAAGAGGAGGCCCTGAGAAGACTTGGTGACAGCTAGTGCAAAGGCCCTGAGGCATGGAAGAGTTTAGTTTGTTTGAGAATTAAAAAAGAGAAATGTGACTGGAATCTAGTGAGTGGAAAGACAGTAGTAGGAAGAAAGCTCAACAAGGGCCTCATCAGGTGAAGCCAGGGGCAGGGATTTCAGTCTGTCTCTCCTGTAAAGGGAACATTCTGGGGAGTTTTAAATAGGAGAATGACTTGTTCTGAACCATGTTTTGAAAAGATCCACTATGGTTGCTCTTCGAGAAAGGATGGTGGAGAGACAAGAGTGAGAAAGAGCTGAGCGAGGGGGCTATTGCCATCGAGGTGGGAATGGCTTGGATGAGGCTTTTGGTCATGGAAATAGAATTAGACAGATTCAAATACATTTCGGTAAGTAGTAACCTTTCCCCCCAACATTAAAATTTAAAATAAGGAATTCCACCACTAAAATTTTTTCTCAGTATAGACTTACTAACAATATAGTGAGTGCTTTCACTTTTTTCTTGCCTGCGATTATTATGTATTTTCTTGACTTCATCATGATCCATACTGATACAATGCTGAAAGAGAGGCTCTGTAATAGGGACCACATTTATTATTAGAAAACATTCTAAAATATTTGAAAGAACATTTCACTTCTGTGTTAATTTCAGCACCCAATCTAAGTTAAAATTTTTTTTACCAAGTTTATACATTTTTTCAAAACATCTGCTTTTCCACAATTGGTTTGATTTTCATTTTTATTCTTAGCAAGCACTTTATATAATAAGACCAGCATCACAATCATGAAAGTGTTTTTCATATCTAAAATTTTGTTTGTTTTAGTATCATTTTCAACTAAGGTTCATTTAATATTTACTTGTATGACATGAATGCATGTATTAAAAGAATAAATAAAAATGTACATTTTTTAAATGTATCAAAAATACATGCTTTTCTGAGCAGACTTCCAGTTAATATTAGTGCTGAAAATAATACTACAAACCTTTCAAATGGCAGTCATTAATGGAATTTTCATTTTTGTTTTTGACAGCATATGATTTTGTAAGTGATCTGGCTAAAGGCAGAAATGCTAAAAATGTACAAGCGTTATCTTACTGAACAACAATGTAAGTGTTTCTTAGTGGTTCAGACATGTAACTCTTCTGTCATTTAGATCAAGAGTGAAGATCTTACTTATCCTTATCTTGACTTCCTTGGATGTCACATGCAGGCATATAGCCTAAGACAACAGAGAGCTGAGTATTTATAGCTATTCTTGAAAATGATCATCTCCTACCCCTAAAAGTACTAAAATTGGATGTAGTTACTGGCTTTCACCAAAGCATGACACAGACTTTTTCATGCATCACCAGTTCTGTCAGTTTCAGTTCTTTTGTCCATGAAGATAGAGAACGACTTCTCTGGGCTGCATATCAGAGCCAAAAGCTTAATAAACAACCAAATGACATTCTTATTATGTTTTAAGTGCTTTCCTTACATTTGCTAATTCAATCATGCTTAACAGGAGGAAAATGACTTCCTCAGTTGGAAGTTTTAATTAATAATTATACTAAAGCAAAAACTTAGACTTTGATACATTTCAACACACACACAAACAAATGTCTTGAGGTTGATTTTTTTTCAGATTTTCACTATTACTAAAAGAAAATTCTCTTGAAAAGTATCTCAACAAAAAGGCTTTTTGTTCAACTGACACTGATAAGATATGACTGGTTAGAAAGAAACATTTGGCTGTGTTTTGTGTACATATTGGCAATCTGGAACCATGTAGCTAAATTAAAGAAGGATCTCCATTTCAAAAGTGATGTTAACTCTTGTAGTCCCAGTCCACGTTACTAATAGGAAAAATCAGGGACCCTTTCTATATTATTCTTTTATTCATTAATTTGATACAGATTTATTGATATTTATTTATTGAAATATTAAATCAGGTACAATTCCAGGCATTGACGATACAGCTCTGAATGAAGCAAAGTCCTGCCTTCAAAAGTATATATTCTAGAACAGAAAATATGTCAATATACAAGAGAAAAATCATATTCAACATTAAGTGACGAAGTTCACAAAGGGCTTTGACTCCAATCTGACCCTGGCTGGACTGCCCTAAGAATCTGCATAGAACTCTTGCCTCCTGGCAGACAGGCACACTCAGGAGGACGGGGGCTGCTGGCATCTCCCTTCCCCATGAGTGCCTGATGATGGCTGCTGCCACCTCCTATCTCAGCTGCAGGTGCCCCTTCAGAGCTGTCCTCAGACCATTTGCTGGGCCACCACAATCCCCAGCTCCACTTCCAACTGCTGCCGATGGAGGAGGAGCCATGCTGCTGTAGCTCTTCACCATGGGCCACAAAGCTGTAGAAGTTCTAGCCCCTGCCCACCTAACCAGCCTCATCTGCCCACAATCTCCCACCTGCACAGCCAACTTCAGCACACTTTCCTTGCTTTACTTTAAACTTCCTTAGCTCATTCCAAAATCACATCCCTTTCTCTCAGATTCTTACATGGCTAGCTTTTTTTCATTAACCAAACCTCAGCTCAAATATCACCTCTTCACAGAGGGCTTCTTTGACCACATTATTAAAATGTGTGTCCCCTCTCATATCACATTTTCAAGTTCCATTTTCCTTACTTGTCATTATCTGAAATTACTGTGTGTCATTGTTAGTTGATTACTGTGTGTCTTCCTGACTATAATGCAAGCTCTGTAACAGAAAGGACTCTGTCTATGGTGGTCACTGTTGCATCCCCAGCACTTGGAGCAGAGTCTGGGACATGTAGGCCCTCAGTATCTGTTTGTTGAATGAGTGAAATGAATGTTACTGCACTCATTCTCATCCAAATTGAGTGTGAATCATCTATCATTCCAGAAGAACAAAGTTGAAAAGAATCATACACATCAAAGAGGAAAACTTTCATTGCTTCACTCAAGTACGCACTCAAATAAGATGACCTTCCAAAGTTTGTTGACATTGCCAAATATTTTTTACCTTAAATTTTGTTTTTGTTTTGTTTTGTTTTGAGACAGAGTCTCACTCTGTCACCAGGCTGGAGTACAGTGGCACAATCTTGGCTCACTGCAACCTCCACCTCCTGGGTTCAAGTGATTCTCCTGCCTCAGCCTCCTGAGCAGCTGGGACTACAGGTGCCTGCCACCATGCCCAGCTAATTTTTGTATTTTTAGTAGAGATGGGGTTTCACCATGTTGGCCAGGATGTTCTCGATCTCTTGACTTCGTGATCTGCCCGCCTTGGCCTGCCAAAGTGCTGGGATTACAGGCATGAGCCACCATGCCTGGCAACCTTAAAATTTTAATTCATTTTATTACAAAATGAATTAAAATTTTAATTCATTTTCCTAGGCAGAATAATGTATTTCTTCTTTGACATCCCATAGAACATTGTATATATGTCTGCAGAGTAAAGCATAGGTGATAGTGACAATGAACTGAGAAAAGAATAATTTCTAACTCATTGCTTCCAGGGGAATGCATAATACGTTAACTAGAAAGAGCCATTAAACTGCACAGTGGAACATCTGTTTTCAGGTTTGTCACCAAAAGGAAGTGACTGTTTCCATCAAAGGGAATCACAAATTCCATTATCTTTAACTCAATGCACAGATCACTTAGCTCAAAGAAAAATTACTGCCTCTAGCGTATTAAGTTCAAAAGACAGAGTCACAGCATCATTTCTAGGGTTTAAAAATGAGGCTAGCTAGAGTTGACACACACACAACCAAAAAATAAAATAAAGCGAACATCATCAAAGCTTAAAATTTTGTGTATCAAAAGACATTATGAAGAAAGTTAAAAGACATACTACAAAATGGGGAAAAAAAAATTGTGTCTTAAATCTGCCAAGGGTCTAGTATCCAGAATTTATAAAGAATTCTTACAACTCAATAACAAATAGGAAAATAATCCAATTTTAAAATTGTGCAATAGACTCAGATAGCCATTTCCCCAAAGAAGATATACAAATGGCCAATAAGCATATAAAAAGCTATTCAACATCATTAGTCTTTAAGGATTGCAAATCAAAGCCACAGTGAGGTAATACTTCACACCCACTAGGTGTCTTTTTTATTTTTTTAATGGAAAATAAGTGTTGGTGAAGAGCTAGAGAAATTGGAACCCTTGTGTATTGCTGCTGGTAATGTAAATTGGCACTGCCACTGTGGAAAACAGTTTGGCAGTTCCTCAAAATGTTAAATAGAATTACCATATGACTTCCAACTATACTCCTAAGTATAGGCCCAAAAGAATTGAAACAGGGCCTCAAACTAGTACTTGTGCACACATGTTCACAGCAGCACCAGTCACATTAACCTAAATGTGGAAACAGCCCCAATGTCCATCCGTGGATGAATGAATCAACAAATATGATGACATATGCCACTCCACTTCATCCTGGGCAACAGAGTGATACCTTAGCTCAAAAAAAAGACAAAAAATTAGTCTATGATGCTTATCAGAGATATGCCTTAGACAAATGATATAAAGAGAATAAGGTATATGTAAACATAAAAGAAAGCTAATGACATTATTAATTTCAGACAAATCATAATTCACAACTAAAATTATCAAAGCAGCAAGAGGTATATAATTATCAAATAATGTGTAACAATTATACACAAGATATACTGTATACTGAATAACATACTGTCATGGTATTTAAGACTCTCGTCTTAGAAAAAGAAACTAGAAAACCAAATTTTGTAGGAGACTTTAACATGGTTCTCTTGACCTTTGTTAGATCAAAAAGGTAAACAGTGCAGACAGAATTTGGCTTTGTAATTTATGTCTGTATTGAATTTTATACTCTGCTAACCTCATACAGTTTTGCAGCTAGCAGCACATAGCCTATACACATAGCTACAAACCTGCATAGCATGTTACTGTACTGAATACTGTAGGCAATTGTAACACGATCATAAGTATTTGTGTATATAAACATATTTAAACAGAAAAGTACAGTAAAGATACAGTATCGTAATCTCATGGGACCACCATTGTATATGTCATCCATAGTTGACCTAAACAGTATTATGCAGCACATGATTATATTTTGTTTTCAAAAGTACATAGAACATTTACAAAAATTTAGGTAGCAAACAAAATTTTCAAATTTCAATTCATTCCACAGTGATTTAAATGGACAGTTGTGATTATTTCTTTTACATGTCAATTTCACTGGGTTAAGGGATACCCAGGAAGCTAGTAAAACATTATTTCTGGGAGGGTCTGTGAGAGTGTTTCCAGAGGAGAATGGTATTTGCCTCAGTAGACTGAGTATAGATAATGTACTCTCATCAATGTAGGTGGGCATCATCCAATCCATTAAATGTCAGAATAGAACAAAAATGTGAAAGAAGGGTAAATTCTCTCTCCCTTCTTGAGTTGGAACACCCATCATCTCCTGCCCTGGAACATGGAAGCTCCCAGTTCTCGGATCTTCAGACTCTGGGACTTATACCTGAGGCCTATCACTGCCACCACCCTGCCCCCACCACCATTCGCAGGCCTTCGGCTTCCAGCTGAATTACACCAGGGAGTTTCCTGGTACTTCAACTTGCAGAAGGCAGATGGTGGGACTTCTTGCCCTCCATAGTCACATGAGCCAATCACATGAGCCAATTCCTGTAACAATTTATGTAATAAATAGCAGAGCAGAGGGAAAAAGTGAAGAACAGATCGAGCTGAGAGCAGATCAACAGTTTCTTGGCACTGTTGGACATTCCTGCTACATATTTTTCATCCTTCTTCGTCCTTACGTTTCAGGTGTTCTACTTTATCACAGTTTACTTTATTGCCTATCACTTTGTTTAAAGTCTGACAGTTTCTGGATAAATATTTGTATTTTTTAAAAATTTTTCATGGAGTTATTTTAGATGTATTAAGTATTTTGTGGCTTCTTTCCTCATCCTATATGTTTGCTCTGTTAATTCAGGAAAATACCTCCTTTTATCTCATCATCCTTCTGAGATCATTTTCCTTCTACCTGAAATATATGATTTTTCTTTCTGGTTTATTCTTGTTAGCAATAAAACCTTTTCATTTTTATTGGCCTAAAATGTCTTTTAAAAAAAAACCTTCATTCTTAAAAGATAATTCAGGATTATCTTGAAAGATAATTCAGGATTATCTTGAAAGATAATTCAGGATTGACAGTTTATTTTATTGGAGTGTCTCCTTCTGTCTTACAAGTCTCTTAACCTCCCATTTTTTCAGATGGCTCTTCCAGATTGCTACTTCTTTTTACAACTGCTTTAAATTTACTGTTTAACCAGTCTATTAGTCTCTAATTTCATTCATAGTCTCAAATTTCATCTCTATTTTTAAATCAAATCTTTCTAGTCAATTTTTGTAGTCTCATTTTTTTTGGTCATGCTTTTAATATTATCTTTTAAAAAAGATATCTTAAACATATTTTTCAATATTTTTATCAGATAATTCTAACAACTAGTGATTAAAGATCTGATTCGGTAGTTTTATGCTTAGTGTGACTCACTCAGGCAGCTTGGTTTTTAATATGTCTGGAGATGTTTCTTAGAATTTCAGCTGTGGGAATTCCTTGAGGGTACTTTTGAAATGCATCTCTTCAGAGGGGTTTTGCTCTTGCTTCTTCTGAATGTGGTGTAAGGCAGCAGTCTCCAACCTTTTTCCATGAAGTTGGTGGCTGGTGGGTTTGGGGGACGCGGGGGTGGTTTCAGGATGAAACTGTTCCACCTCAGATCATCAGACATTAGTTAGATTCTCATAAAAAGCGTGCAGCCTAGATCCCTCGCATGCACAACAGGGTTCACGCTCCTATCAGAATCACGCTCCTATCTATCATGCTCCTATCAGAAGGCCACCGCTGATCTGACAAGAGGCGGAGCCCAGGCAGTAATGCTGGCTGGCCGCTGCTCACCTCCTGTTGTGCAGCAGGTTCCTAACCAGCCGACAGAAGGGTACCGGTCCGCGGCCCGGGAGTTCCAGACCCCTGCTCTAAGACCTGAAATTAAGATTCTGTATTACGTGCTGCCTTGTCACCTGAAACTTGGAGGACCACAGATGGCCAAACTGTAACACTCCCTTCCCAATTCTACTCCTATGGATAATATGGATAAGGTCCCCTAGCCAAAAAAAAAACAAAACAAAACAAAAAAAAAAACTGTACTTCTCATAGAGACCAAGCACAAGGCCCGCTTACCCCTGAATGGCAGGCTTCAGTTTCCTGCCAGTCTGCGGAATGATTCAAACCAACCAACCACAATCTCTCACATGAAGCAGGGGTCACCTCATCCTCTTAATACTACAAAGACTGCCTCCCGTAGCCACTCTGTGTTCACTCTGCAAGGACAACCCCCTTGTGACCCTGCATGGCACGAGGTCTTCCTCCCCCAGGCTGTGCGTGTGTGTGATTAATAAACTGCTATCGATCTCTTCTGTCCAGGGTGGAGTGTGGTGTGTTCAGCCGTCTTCATAACCCTAGGTTGGGAAACCCTCCCTCAGGACAGAGTGAAGAGACAGCAAATAAAACATTGGCCTTTAAGGGCATTACCAACCTATAACACTTCAACTAAATTTCTATCTTGGGAATTTGGAGACTCATTTACATGTAATATAAACACAGGCCTCAACTCCAGATAAGCGTAAGCAAAGTTTATACCTTCACCTGGGAAAAGAGTTTTTTTTCTTCCAGTTTTCTTCTTCTTTACTCAAACTCAACATAAGATAAACATAAACTGTACCATCTCTCTCTGAAGTGTTTTCTCTATCTACTACCTACGGTAGGTGTTGCCCTGTAGCACTTCCACTCTTTCTATGAGGGTCTCTGATTTGACTTTTAGCCCTAACAGCACCATGGTTTATTTCCTATCCCCTACGCAGGACTTATTAAACCCACTCAAGGCATCCCCCAGGTAAAATACTAACCCCTGTGCCTACTTGCCGCATAATTTCTGCTTTTCTTGCCCTTTTAGACTTCTAAGGTTTTCTTTTTCCTTGTCAGAAGCTCCATCATGCATTACAAATATTTCTGGTTATATATTTTATACAGCTTCCTTTTTTTTTCTATACCAGGAGGAGTTTTCTAAGCATTTCTCTCTCTCTCTCTCTCTCTCTCACATACACACAACCAGAATACAAAACCGAACTTGAACCTTTCTGCAGGTGATTAAATGTTCTTCAAACGTGATTATTATTGGTGTCACAGCATTTAATCATAGCCCTTTAATCATAGAAATGCAACAATTCTATTTTCAGACATTGTTTCAAAATCGTAATATCTTTACAATTATAAATAGTGCTACAGCTACAAGACGATGTACAAAAATCTTTGTGTCGCTGATTATTTCCTTAGAATAGATTCTTGGATGTGTTATTATCCTGACAAAGGGTATGAACTCTTTTGAGCTCTTGATATATTTTGCCAAATTGCTTTCTAGAAAGGTTGTAGCAATTTACAATTCACTGCAGTGTGTGTTAGGTGAAAAGTGATGTATCATAGATGATTTAATGTGCATTTCCTGATTACCCATGAAGTTGAACATTAACTGAGTGTGTTTTGTGTTTAACCAATTCCCTTGTAAGAATACAAGGTGATTTTAATCATCCAATTTGGAGCTTTATTCATTTCTTCACTCAAAATATTTGTGAATCTTACTCTAAGCATAATACTGCATTAAACCGAAGGATTAGCTCACCACCTTGGTGTACTTCAATACGTGTGGAATAACTGGCATACAAGGCAACAATTATGTACTGAGGCAGAGAAATGTAGCGGAAAATGAAGGCTTGTACTCAGCAAACACACTGCTGTACAAAAGAAGAGATCCTTATTTCTCTGTTTTGAGTAATCAACATGAGCCTTAATGTAATTTCATGCTTTCTCTTGAAAAAGAAAATACCATATTGAAATCTAACTTTCAATGATTTTTAATTTGGCTATTTTACAGTTAATAGTGTTCTTCCACCCCAGGGCTGTTTTGGAACCATTCAGCACTTACTATTTGCTATGCCTACGTCTTGCTCAACAGCAGTCTTGTTTCCATTGTTGTTGGGAGGGGATCAGCTAATTGGCACCTAAAGCAATTCTGAGATATTATTTAATGAACTATTACAATTTAATACAACTGATAAAATCGTCAGCTTTTCTCTTAGTTTTATTTATAACATTCATATGATGCGTTCTTAAAAAAGTCTTCCTGTGTGATGCCTCCCTTGGAACAGCCATTCATCTTCCTGTTGCACTGTCATAATTATTCATGAGAATTTCTCATCCTAGCAAAGGCCGCTCATGGGAAAATGTGGCCATCTCAATGAAATTGGGTGATACCCCCACCAGGATGGCCCTTCAAACCCTAGATAAACAGCTTTATGCCTCTTCATTCCCTTTACTTCCACAGACAGAGGGCCTGTATGCTGCAGGCAAGGATAAAAACATATGTACACATCTCATTTGTCTGAGTAACCAGTATCAGAGGGCTAATAGGAAAGAATATATATATTTATGTTATATAGTATATATTTATATTTTAATATGTAGTATATATAAATTCGTAGATGTATTCAGTTGATGTAAAAGTAATTGCAGTTTTTTTGACATTAAAACTAATGGCAGAAACCACAATTACATTTTTACCACCCTAATAATATACATACATTTACATTACATGATTTTATGTATAATGTAAACATATGTAAAAATATAAGTTTGTATAATATAGAAGTATATAAAAAATAAGAAAATATAAGTATACGTAACATAATGTAAAACATAAATATATAATATATCAAAATGTAAGTGTATATAGACATATATAATATATACTATATATTATATAAGAATATAATACATAACATATTTTATGTATGAACATTATATATGTACTATATATGTATATATAAAATACAATATAAAATATAGGGGTGTTGTGAGGGGGTTTGTATACACACATACATACATACATACATATATTTCCACTTAAAAAATAGAAGTAGGTAACATTTAATGCAGGAAAAAAGCAGACTATATATTAAGAAACAGTTTTATTAAGGGAATAATTTTGTTCTGTAATGATAATTTTTGCACTACCCTCCCAGTGCACTGGCTGTATGAAGGCTCCATTTACTATGTAGGTTGCCAGAGCTAAGAAGTGTCTTTCTTAATCTCAATCACTACAGGCCTAATATGGTAGATGTGATGGTCTATTAGAGTACCCTACACCGCTAAGTCTTAGATTTACTGAAAGAGTGGGAGGAAAAAGCCAAAAAGGAAGGAGGGAAGGAAGGAGGGAAGAAGACAGAGAAGGATGGAAGGTAGGAATGGTTTGCAGGATGGCAGCCCTTCTGATCTCAGCTGGGGTTGCTCGTGTATCCATAGACAACTTTGCTGAACTTGGCTGGTCTCTTCCATTATGCTAGCATATGCTTGCTCTCATAGTGGTGGCATAATTTAGTTAGCTTAGTTTTAAGCCTAGAACTCAAGAGCCTAGGCATCTTGAGTTCTAGGCTTAAAACTAGCATAGTTTCCATCATTTTCTATTGTCAAAAGCAAATGCCAATATGAATCTAGACTTAAGAACTAGGAGAACAGACTCTACTTCTTGCTAGAAGAAATTGCAAAGTTGTATTGCAAGGAACATAAATAAAAAGAGGTGAAGAATTGGAGCTATTTTTGAAATCCATCTACCTAATGTTATTATTTAAAATAAAGTTGTGTACATTATTCTCCCTAATTTTTCTTAAGTTTATTCACATTTATACATCTACCTTTTATAAAAACAAATGATGCTATAGATATTTACCTCCAGGTTTGTTGTGAAAATAACTTGATGTGATCAGTATCTTTCCAGTTAGTACATACAGCTAGATTTTTCTTTTTGATGGCTGCATAGGGTTTAATAAATCATGATGCCATAATTTTTTGAACCATTTACCTATGGATGAAAATATAGTTCACTTTTTTTCCTATTGCAAGCATATCATTACAAGCACATGTTTGTATACTCATGGTTTTAATTGTAAAGCTTTGTTTCCTAGAAGAGTAATTTCTAGTTGGAAGCGTGTGTACATATTTCATTTTAATGGATGATATTTACCTTATAGAAAAGAGCTAGTATTGGTTATATATTTGTCATAGTAATTAATGTTAGTTGCTGGAACAGATAACCATAAAACACAGTGACTTAACACAAAGTCAGATATAAATCAGGCTATCTTGGATCTACTCCATGTGGTGACTCAGGAACTCCAGCTTCTTCCTCTACCACACGCCTCTGTCACCTCAGAGAATGGGCTCAGAGTTCCCTCACTAGATACTCTGATTCAATAAGCTATCAAGAAGATAGGGAGCAAACTAAGGAAGATAACAAGAGATGTTTTAAGGCCAAGACTTGAAGTGGCTTATTTTCTTCCACCTATGTTACTTTGGTCAAAATTCAGTCAAATCATCCAATCTAACTAACTACAAGGAAGGCTGGGAAATGTAGCTTTCCTGTTTGCCCAAGAGTAGGAGTAGTATTGGCTAGCGTCTGGGCAGTGTGTGCCTCTGATGATGATATTGTTTCTGTACACGATATTTCTATTATCTTTATTATTGTTATTATCATTTGAAAATCCTGAAAAGCTCAAAAAGGAACAAGGAACAAATAATAATACCAGAACAGCCTCCTGGTGTTTAACACAGCTGTGTTCTTATACTGACTGTGTAGAAAGAGAAGGAAATAAACCTTACCCCATATGCATTTCATCCCCGGACCCTGCACCTCGTCTATATTGTGAATAGGGAAATATGGAAGACCATCGTTCCAGACCTTTTACAATTGGAAAATGAATCAAATATTCTCTATCCATTCCATCCCAACCCTAGAGGTAAACATTGCTAATAATTTGGAGTTTATCCTACTTGGTTTGTTTCTGTAACATGCACCTACCTGTTTAGTAAGTATGTGTTTACCTATGTATACCCCTATATGTTATGAGCTGAATTATGTCTTCCCAAACTTTGTATGTTGAAGTTCTAACCCCCACTACCTCAAAATATAACCATATCTGTAAACAAGATCTTTAAAGGGATACAGAAATTAAAATGTGTTTGTTGGTGTGGGCCCTAATCCAATATAACTGGTGTCTTTCTAAGAACAGATTAGGACACAGGCATAAAGGGAAGACCATGTGAAGACACAGAGAGAAGAAAGCCATCTACCAGCCAAGGAGAGAGGCCTCAGAGGAAACCAGCCCTGCAGACACCTTGATATCCGACTTTTGGTCTCCAGAGCTGTGAGAAAATACATTTATGTTGTTAAAGTCACTAAGTCAATGGTACTTTGTTATGGCAGCCCTAGTAGACTAATACACTACACATAATTACACATAAAATATGTGATTTCAAACTCTTTCACACCCTTTCATAACTACCCATTGTACATAAATGTTTTTCCTCCCTCCTCATTTCTTTTCTTTTTTTTTCTTTTCTTTTTTTCTTTTCTAGAAGTAAATCTTTTTTAAGTTTTTGCCTATATGTTTAAAATTTGGAGGGCAGTGATTTCACTTACACTTTCTCAATTTCTAATGAGTATTAGAATTTTTCCACATTACTGACCATTTATTTGCATTTCACCTTTGGTAAAATAACTGTCATTTATCCATTTTTTAAATAATTTTTTTAATTTAAAGAAATTATTTATATATTATGAATCACAATACACTGTTATATAAGTTGCAAAGGTTTTCTCCCAATCTGTCATTTGTATTTTGACTTGACTTCGTTTATGGAATGGTTTGATTTATAGATGTTTCACATTTTTCTATTTCATAATGAGCTTCTACTTTTTAGATGATAAGCTGTGTGCTGTAGGTCATACCGTGATCCAAAAGTCAAAATGCTTATTCTCTGAGGCCAGTGGTGATGGCTCATGCCTGCAATCCCAACACTTTAGGAGGGTGAGGCAGGAAGATCCTTAAGCCCAGAAGTTCAAGACCAGCCTGGGCAACATAGTGAGACCCCATCTCTATAAAACATAAAAAAATTAGCCGGGCATGGTGGACATCTGTAGTTCCAGCTACTTGGGTGGTTGAGGTGGGAGGATCACTTTAGCTCAGGAGTTCAAGTCTGTAGTGAGCTATGATTAAGGCAAGGCACTGTGCTACATCCTGGATAACAGTGAGACCCTGTTTCAAAAAAAAGAAAAATAAAAGAATCCCTGTTCTCAAGAAGATTATATACTCCTGGTTGGTTGAGAAGGATGCATATGGAAGACATCATAAAAGAAGAACAAACACTACATCTGGGGCAAAGAGGTGAAGAAAGTCTTCACAAAAAAAGGAGAGGTTATGGAGCATCTTAAAACATGAAGTCGGCCAAAAAAAATGTCTAGTATTCTAGACATGTTTATTAGGCCTCCCAGCCCCACAGGATCTTAAATGGCAGCCTCAGAAGTATTCTTTTATTTATTTGACTGCTGATGTTTATGGATAGTATGGTGGGGGGATGAGGCGCAAAAATATCAGACAAAGAGGAAAGGGAAAGTTGATCTACCCTTAGGCTTTCAAGAAAAGCTCAGAGCAGAGCAGTCTCAGCACGGTGGCAGGAGCCCAATTCTGGCTGGCCTCTTGATCACACTTACTCCCAAATGCAAACACCCTAATCCCAGGTAGGTGATGAACCTCAGCCGTCACCAATCCTGCTAGACTTCTTGGGCCTTGTCACATCACTCAGAAGCACTCAGCATACTACATGCACATGTTGCTGTGTGCTCTGAAATCACCCTGAGTCACTTCAGCCGTGCTTGTGAAAAAGCAGCTTTGCATAGTGGAGAAGCAGGCACCTGCAGAAGCAGCCAGGGCTAGAATTACTGCCAGCACTTACCTGCTGTGGGACTAAACCACTTCTGTGCCCCAAGTTCTCCAAGGAACTGAGATTAATAATAGAGTCCACCTCATGGAGTAATGGGATAATACTTTTTTTTTTTTGAGACAGAGTCTCGCCCTGTTGCCCAGGCTGGAGTGAAATGGCGTGATCTCCGCTCACTGCAACCTCTGCCTCCCAGGTTCAAACGATTCTCCTGCCTCAGCCACCTGAGTAGCTGGGATTACAGGCACGCATCACCACGCCCAGCTAATCTTTGTATTTTTAGTAGAGACAGGTTTTACCATGTTGGTCAGGCTGGTCTCAAACTCCTGACCTCATGATCCATCTGCCTCAGCCTCCCAAAGTGCTGGGATTACAGGCGTGAGCCACTGTGCCCGGCCGGGATAATACATTTAAGGAGCTTAAACCAGTGCCTACTATTAGTGCTCAATAAATATTAGAATTATTTGCCTTTGTGGGTCTCCCTACCATAAGGTATGCATTGCACTCTTAATAGGATCCTTAGCATCCATATCTTTTTTTTTTTTTTTTTTGAAGACAAGGTATCACTGTATTGCCCAAGCTGGAGTGCAGTGGTGCACTCATAGCTCACGGCAACCTGAAACTTCTGGGCTCAAGTGATCCTCCTGCCTTGGCCTCCTGAGTAGCTGGGATTACAAGCACATGCCACCATGCCCAGCTAGTTTTATTTTTATTTTTTTGGTAGAGACAGAGTCTTGCTATCATGTTGAGGCTAGCCTTGATCTCCTGGGATCAAGCAATCCTTCTGCCTTGGCCTCTCAAAGTGCTGAGATTACAGGCATGAGCCACCATGCCAGCCTGCTATCCTTGTCTTATAATGAGGAAATTAAGAATCACCCAGATGGATTCACTCCCCAAAGCCTGGTCAGTAGCAAAACCTGTTTTTAGACCCAAGTTAGAACTCAGAGCCTGACTTTTAATCCTACACTGTTCTCTCCCACCCAGAAAGCACACACAACTAGCCAACACTATGTGCATGGTTTTTCTACTTCCCTGGCAGAAATTGTTGGTTGTATTGAGGTAGTTTCAAGATAAGCAGAGCAAAGCTAGACAGAGCCATCTAAAAAAGGGAGAAAAATATTTTTCTGAATATATTCTTCCAAGTTTATTTAATTATACTGATAAATGAAATCTTAGACCTACCTTTATTGGAAAATACCCATAAATCAAAATAAGGGCAAACTATCCTGCTGAAAGTTTGGTGGAATGGGGTCTGAGATCATTCTCCTCCTGGAGCAGGAGGCCCACATTCTTCCAGCCAGCCAGGGAGCCAGTGCATTGGCCTTGGAGCAGCCCATGAAGCATCACAAAGCTGGTTGGTATTTTTCAATTTCTGTGCAATTCTTTGTGTCTGATCACTTGGCAATGAGCATTATTGTTTCTCATTTGTAGTCTCTGGATCTTTCCAGAACCTCAAATTCTCAAAATATTTTAGAAAAGAAACTGTACACTGGTTTGTAAAGTAAAAGACCTACTTAAGGTGTTCTTAACAGAGAGATGTGGAGCTGGAAGGGGGTTCTTGATCAAGATGATGGTGGAGATCGGCACGTTGACTGGAAATACCAAATGGTAAAAACAGTAAACTCATCTGCACATAAGGAAAAATCACAGATAATTCAGGAAAATTTTGATCCTGCTATTAAAGGACAATGTAAAAGAGATTTTCTACTTTCTTTCCTCCAGAAAAACCCCAGACACTACTTAAAAATAGGTTCAGATATATCCCAAAATGCAAATGGAAAATTCTTTGCTACATCATTGGTTCACTCAGTTCTTTCTCATATTCTATAAATGAATAAACATAATGCTTCCAGTTAGAACAAGTGGTTACTTTACGTGGGGACCAATGAAGTTAACATTATTTTCACACTCCCTTAATGGATTTCAAGTCCCAACACTGAACAATGTTTTGCTATGACCTTACTTCCTCCTGCTTGTTGAAGCCCAAAGGCCCAGAATAAGGATCTGATCACCAAACCAAGCTTATTTCAAATCCTACATCTTTGGCTTTTAATACAGTACATTCTTGCCACCTTTGAGCCTCTTGTGGATCTTCCTATCGTAAGTTATGCATTGCACTCCTAATAGCATCCTTATCTTATAGATCAGGAAATTGAGGATTAGAAAGGCAGATTCCCTCCCCAAAGCCTGACCAAAAGCACAACTTGTATTTATGCCCAGGTTGGGTAGATTTCAGAGCAATTGTCTAGGTCTTCAAATTGGGAACACTCACTCTGATAGCAAATAGTGAGTTTGACTATGTCTACATATTTATAAGTTTGTATCTATACATCCTGAAAGAATTAAACTAGAAAATAGATGATAAGGTTATCATAAATTCATGAAAGGAATGCTCTTATATGTGTTCCTACTCCTTGAAACTAATGTCTCAATAAAAACTTTTTTTTTTCTCTCACACACTGTCAGGGAGAAAATGTTAGGTCTCTTCAGGACACTTTTTATGTTTTTGCAATTAGAGCGAAGCTCCATAGCTGGACCAACAAGTTTGCAACACATATTCTAACTGCTGTCAAGGCAACCAAATCCAAGAGTTTAAAGCATAGCAAACTGTCTGTATTCAAATCCTGGCTCGACTGCTTATTGTGATTATGTATGTCTTTGTTATGATTATTTTGTTAACATGTAGTGACGAGAAAGCTGTTTGAATTTATTTTAACTAAACTCAACTAAACAAATAATTATTGAGTACTTGTTATTTTCAAGTTGTTCTGGGCATTGTGGGAGCCTCAGAGATGAACTGGACACAGTAATACTTCCCCTAAAACTTGTTGTCTAGTTGAAAAAGGAGGCCGGGTGCAGTGACTCATGCCTGTAATTCCAGCACTTTGGGAGGCCAAGGTGGGATCCCTTGAACCTAGGAGTTCGCGACCAGCTTGGGCAACATAAGGAGAACCCCCATCTCTACAAAATATGAAAAAAAAAATAGCTGGGCATGGTGGTGCACACCTGTGGTCTCAGCTTCTCGAAAGGCCGAGGTGGGAGGATGGCTTGGGCCCAAAAGGCCAAATTGCAGTGAGCTATGACCTAGCCACTGTACTCCAGCCTGGGTGACAGAGTAAGATCCTGCCTCTAAAATAAAAGAAAGAAAGGGAAAATATATATATATATACACACACACATTATATATACGCTAATAATATATATGTTATATATAATGCATATATTATATTTTTTCATATATATATATATAACTGTAGGGCAGGGTGAAATATGAGAAATTCCATCAAAGGATCACCAGCAAGCACTCCAGTGAATAAGAAAGGTGAGAACTCAGGTTGGAGCCAGAGAGATTTCAGAAAGGCAATGGCAGTTAAGATGGGAAGAGAGGCTAGAGGATGACAGGAGGAAGTGGCAGGCAGGCAGAGCACTGCCCCTGAACAAACACATAGAAGCCATAAAAATTCAGGGAGTGTTAAAATAATACGAAGTGATCTGCTTTAATAGAAACACAAACTTGAGAGAAATAAGCCTAGAGATCTAAGTTGGGATCTGGAACACTGGGTGTGGAGTCCTTACCTAACTCTGAAAGCAGTAAAAATGGGCAACATTCACTGATAAGCACCAAGTGCCTCTGGAAGCTTCTAGAAAGAGATTAAATTCTAGTTTAAACTCTAGATGCAAAATACTAAGTCAATAGGAAGCAATCTTATGAGTTTTCATATGTGAAAATAGCAGATTAAACTTTGAATGGAAGTTTATAAATTAATTTACAATTTTTAAGAATGTGTTGAAACTTTATCACATTTTACCAAGCGGCAGCTTCTCTGAAAGACCTTTTTGCTGGAATTGAAATAATTAAATTGGAGATTTGGTGTACCTTTTCAATCATTTTATTAAAAACTCATTCTGGTTTTCTCTGAGGGAGAGATAAACCACTACTAAGGAAGTGGCTAAATCTTTTTTAAAGTACTGTATTCACCATAAAATATATGACACTATTCCCAAATAACACCTAATAGAAACTGGTCACATCAAAATCAGAGAATAGCTGCCTTTTCAAAACTAGTTTTTGTACTCGTTTCTATTCCAGATGTTAGGAGTATAATGATGATTTAGATAATCTAGAATGGAAGAAGAGCTTATAAGCAAATCTTTACAACACCATGATGAAAGAATACACAGTACATACTGGGGGAGGGGAGTTAGCAAGACTTTACCAAAGTTGTATTTGATTGAGTCTTGAAGGTGATAAAAGTCATTATGGGAATATAGGGTATTGAGGACTTTTTTCATACACAGAGGAGGCAGTAAGAGCAGATGCTTGGAATGAAGCCAAATAAATGTGGCTATTTGCAGGACAACAAATGGTTTGGGGTGCTTGAGTATCAGAAAGTTGTTGGAGGTGTTTAAGCAGGGCAATGGTGTGCTCAAATTGTCTTTTAGTTAGACAGTCATAGGGGGTTTGTAGATTCTGAATTATATTCAAGGAGACCCAATGGAAGACTCCAGCAATAGTCCAGCTGAGAGTCAAGAAATGGGAACCATGGTTAATTATCATGGCAGGGTATTGAGTATTACTATTAAATGAGATATGTATTCCAGGAGGAAATGCTTAATACATGTATTATATTTATCAGAATTGTATGTGCCAGGGAATAAATGAGAAATTGCCTAACGGGTACAATGTACATTATTAAGGTGGTGGATACTCTAAAGTCCTTGACCAGCATGTAATCTATGCACGTAACACAATTGCACTTGTACCTCATAAACTTATAGAAAAAAACTCATAAATTTATAGAAAAAATGCATGTGTCTATGCTGAGTTTGAGTGTCTCCAGAGATACAGCCAGATATACCTGGTAGACAGTTGGAAATATGTACCTGGGAATCAGAAAATAGGAAAGAGACATAAAGTTGGAAGGGATTGGCAAATGAGTTGGAGTTGGATTTACGGAAGCAAATGGTCATACAGGAGAGGGTATAGAAAAGCATTTGTGGACTTGGAGTCTAACACTGTGTCTGGCATAAAGTGAACACTCAAGTAGTGTTTGTCGAATGGATGGCTAACTGAGTGAGGGAACAGATGAATGTCTGCCATTCCCTCCTGGAAGGTACCCTATGACTCCCTGCTCCCTGGAGTTCTCTCATTTCTCTGTTTTTTTTTTTTTTTTTTTTTTTTTTTTTTTTTTTGTCATGCAGCTTTCTCTACCTGTTTGTTCTCTTTGTATGGATGTGCTCCAGCTCTTTATCCACCAAGACAAATAAAGCAGGACCCCTTAGCTCAAAGCCTTCACAATGTAATAGGGAGCTAATTAATAAAGCTCCAAGGAAGTCAAGTAAGGTGAGGAATAAAGAGTGCTCAGTGAAATTGACAGTTAGAAATTCAATGGAAGTCTTAGAACAGTTTCAATAGAAAGTAGTTCAGGAGCAGAAAACCAAACTGCAAACTGCTGTGGGTTGAAGAAAAAATGGGTGCAGTGAAGAAGAACAGATAGGAATGAATTCAGGAAGTTTAGCAGCAATAAGATGGAAGGATATAGAGCTTTATCTGGAAGGGGAGGCAGTATTAAAAATTGTTTTACTTGAGAGAGGACAGAGTGGGGGATAGGGATATGGAAAAGGTGAGTGCTCTTCAGTCCAAGAACCCAGGAAAGCATGAACAACACTCTCTTTTCCCTCAATGAACTAACTGTTTATTATAGAAAACACACGCAAATTGATCAGAAAAGTACAGTCTGATGGATGCCAAGAGCAGCCTAGAACATGAAGAGCTGGAGGGTCTGGGAAGCCTTCCTGAACAAAATGATCTAATATCCAAGTTTATCCATTCTCCAAGAGAAATAAGAGCTCTTCATGCCAAGACCAGGGAAAAGGGCACACCAGGTAAAGGAAATAACAGAAACCAGGCAGAGAAATATTGCAAACATGAGCATTGCAAGACATTTGTCAGATGTTTTCTCCCAGTCTGTAGAATGAATTTTCATCTAATTAACAGTGTCTTCTGAAAAGCAAGTTCTTAATTTTTCTACAATCCAATTTAATAAATTTCATTTTCTTTCCTAAGGAAGCTTTGTTTAACACAGGTCCTGTGTTTTCTTCTATTAGTTTTATGGTTTTTGCTTAAATGCAGATCTGTGCTCTGCTAATTTTTGTATGCAGTATGAAGTAAGGGTTTACTTTGCAAATGGATATCCAATAGTTCTAGCAGAATACATTGAAAAACTATCATGTTCCCACTGAATTACCTTGGCATCTTTATTGAAAATCAATTGACCATGTATATTTGGGTTTATTTCTGGACTTCAGTTTGATTGGTCTATAAATCCTTACATCAATAGCATGTGGTTTTCTTTATTGTAGCTTTAGAGTAAGTCTTAAAATCAAATGGTATAATTCTTCCAACTTTATTCTTTTCCAAAGTGTTTTGGTCCTTTGCATTTTCATAAAAACTTTTAAAATAAACTTTTTTTATTTTCAACAAGAAAGCCTAAGATTTTTATTGACATTTCATTGACTCAGTAGATCATTGTGGGCAAAATGACATCTTAATTATAGAGGCCCCCATACAATGAACACGGCATGTCTGTATTTATCTTGGTCTTCTTCAGTTTCTTTCAGCATTGTTTTGTAATTTTTAGTGCACAAGTCTTGTATATATTCTGTGGAATTTATTCCTGTTTCATATTGTTGATGTTATTATAAATGATGTATTTTTCAATATCTAATTGTCATAGTATATAGAAATGTAATTATTTTTGTATACTGACCTTATATTCTATAGTCTCTCTTAACTAATTTATTAGCCCTAGTAGCTTTCTCCCCCTAGACTCTGAAAAAGAACTTACATTCAGAATATATTAAGAACTTATATAACTCAGTAATACGTGGACAAACAACCCAATTTTTAAAAGGTAAGGGTTTTAAAAGACTTTTCCTAATATTAAATGACTTGTCATTATACATCCACTAGGATGCCTGAACTTGACAAAACTGGTAGTGCCAAGTGTTGACAAGGATTTGGAGCAACCAAAACTCTCATACATTCTTAGTGGGAATGAAAGATGGCACAGTCACTTCTGAAATCAACTTGGCAGTTTCTGGTCAATTTAACATGCATTTACCATACAATCTAGCAGTCACATTCCTAGATATTTACTCAAAAGAAATGGAAACATATGTCCATACAAGTGTTTGTACTTGGATTTTTATAGCTGCTTTATTCATAATAATTGAAACAGGAAAGAGCTTACATGCTCTTCAACCAGTGAATGAATAAACAACATTGTGTTATACTGATAGTCTAATAACACTTAGTAACAAAAAGGAGCAAACTACCAATGGATATGACAGTATGGATGAATTTCAAACACATTATTCTAAGGAAAAGAAATCAGACATAAAAATTCATATATTGAATGATTACATTTATAGAACATTTTGGAAAAGACAAAACTAGAGTGACAAAAATCAGGTCAGTGGTTTCTGGGGATTGAAGACTGGGGGAGGATTGACTGCAAAGGGGTTCAGGAAAACTTTGTAAAAAGATGCAGTTTTTCTGCACTGTCATTGTAGCAGTGGTCCACAAATGCATCCATTTCTTAAAACTTATCAAATGTGTACATTTAATATCAGTGGTTTTATTGTAGGCAAATTATTCCTCTGTTTCAAAATAAGTCACAGTGAGTTTAGCTTACTACAAGTACAGGTCCATCATCTCTTATCTGACACCCTACAGACAATTGCGTTTTGAAATAAACATTTTTTTTAACTTTTGAAAAGTTTTACAGAATATTACATAAACCACATTTAATGTGAGATTTGAGGTAGTACCACATAATGGAACGGTAATATTTCTGCAATAAAACATATGAACATACATTGAGTAGGATCAATGAACTCTAAAGAGGCTTTTGTCAGTTCAGATTAGATGATGCCTCTAGGTTTTGCTGCCAATGTGTCATGACACAACTACACAACTTTAAGTTTTCAGAACTTTTTGAATTTAGAGTTGCAATTTAGGGGCTGTGGTCCTGTTTAAGTAGTTTGCTATATTTTAAGATACTGAGGTTGGGGCTGAGAGGAAGGGGATTGTGAGGCTGGAAAAATATGAAGCTAAAGAGATAGGTATGGCCGGGCGCGGTGGCTCACGCCTGTAATCCCAGCACTTTGGGAGGCCGAGGCGGGTGGATCATGAGGTCAGGAGATCGAGACCATCCTGGCTAACAAGGTGAAACCCCGTCTCTACTAAAAATACAAAAAATTAGCTGGGCGCGGTGGCGGGCGCCTGTAGTCCCAGCTACTCGGGAGGCTGAGGCAGGAGAATGGCGTGAACCCGAGAAGCGGAGTTTGCAGTGAGCCGAGATTGCGCCACCGCAGTCCACAGTCCGGCCTGGGCGACAGAGCGAGACTCCGTCTCAAAAAAAAAAAAAAAAAAAAAAAAAAAAAAAAAAAAAAAGAGATAGGTATATTACAGAGGGTAACAATACTCAATATTTTTCTAGGTATATTTACATTCAATAGCTACTAAAACAGATTTATAGAATTTTGGAAAAAGTAGTATCTGCTCTCTCTTTCTGTAGTAAGTAGTTCCTGCAATTGCTTATGGAATCCTTACTGTAACGAAAATAGTGTGTGAAAAATCCCATTGTTCATAAAATATTATAATCCAAATATATCAAAGTTAGATCCTATATTAAAGCTCTTCAAGACTCCCCAACAGAGAGTTCCAGCTCTTCAGTTAGAAGGACAACATTGCAACTATCAGAACCTCCTCCGTCTCCTCTCATGGTTCTCTTGCATCTGTCCTTTTCCTACTTCCACCTCAACACCTTAAAAATTATAGCAAATACTCAATTGATCTGGTTGTTTCCAAACTTTTCTTTGTTTTTGAAGCCTCTCCGACTCGGTTCATGCTCTTCTCTTGGCTTAAGTGTTATTTTCTCTGTTCATTCTCTGACTAATTTCTAATCTAGAGATTACAAATGTGTATACAGGCGACACAGAAAACATAAATGGGTAAGGCAGCCAAGAGCAGAAAAGGGAAGGGGAAGAAAAGGAGGATCAACAGCAACTAACATATACTGTTAGTCACAGCACCTGACACACAGAGGACTCTTAATAATGGTTTCTTTAACTAAAGGTGATATTGAACTATAACAATACAGATGAGGCAACATAGAGAATATAAGACTACTGTAACTCTTCCTAAGCTGTCTTAATGCAGTGGAAGTGATTATATACTGTTATACCTTGAATCTGCATCAGTAGCATCCTAAATTAACTCTGGCTGAGACCAAGAAAAAGATTGCTAAGTTGTTGTCTTAGCTTGGGCTGTTATAACAAAATACCATAGACTGGGCAAATTTATTTTTCTCATAGTCCTGGAGGCTGGAAGTCACAGGAATTTATTTTCCTACAGTCCTGGAGCCTGAAAATCCAAGATCAAGGTGTCAGCATCACATGTTTCTGGGGTGGGCCCTCTTCGTAACTTGTAGACAGCCACCTTCTGTGTTTTCACATATCAGGGAGGGAGACAGCAATCTCTCTGGTATCTTTTCTTATAAGGGCACTAATTCCAGCCTGGCGGCCTCATCTTCATGACCTCGTCTATACCTAATTATCAAAGACCCGTCTCCAGATACTATCACGTCAGAGTTGGAGCCTCAACAGGTGAATTGAATTTGGGAGAGACACAATTCAGAAGAGGTCATCTTCTTGCAAAGAGTAATATTTAAGGAACTGATGATACATGGGGTCATATATCCTATTGAAGAGATTCAAAGTCAGGTTCAAAGAGATTCTGCCCCTTCTCTCTAGGAGCCTATAATCAGTATCAAACACATTAATAGAGACAGGCATATTCAAAAGCCATTAGGAATAAAATGGAAACATTAAAACAATACATGGGTAGATAGCTAATCACATTATGTAAAGGTCAAGCATAAGTGGATTTTTAGTGGAAGGAAACAGTACCTATTCCTGGGGGAGATCGGGTAGGGGGAGGGTGCAAAGTCACATTTACCCACACAACCCTGGAAGATTTCATGGGAGAATTCGGAATTCAGCAACGGCCATCAGCCTGATTGGGAATCTGGGGTATTTCTTATCTGAAAAATGTGTGAATTTTGACTTAGTGAATGCCATGCCTTAAAATATATGATAGTAAGGCAGGAGGACTCCTTTTGTTTTTGGCTCTGAGGTCATCCTAAAAGACCATCCCTATCATGTGAGACTATCCTTTTACTAATGTAACACTCTAGAAATGTGTTATTTTGATTTTTAGTTTTATGTCATATCTTAAATTTTGCCTGCAAAATCAGATGTGTTATTTTTCTGTGTAACGAAAGTCCTTGAAAATATTCATCAACAAGTCATAATATAAAGGGAAGCATTTATTGACTTCAAAGAACTGTAAGAGATTATTTAGCTCACATCTGGCTGAACTTCCCTATATGTTATCCAAAATTTATGAGTATATGTCTTTTAGATAATCAGAGCTAAGTTCAAACTATCAGCCCACTCGATCTTATATAAGGAAAGCATACTCAAGAAGGGTGTCAGTGGATGTGCAGGTGAATTCACAAACTTTGGTTTGCAGAGATTTTTAAATCAGTCCTACTGAGAGCCGACACCTCTCCTTTGGCAATACATTTAAGCTTACGCTAGGAAAAATTCTTTTCGTGTGGGCTTAGTCCTCCATGTTCTAGTATTAAAATCCAATTCCTCATGTCATATCTTCCGTGGAGGTGTTCTTTCCCTGTTGCTTGTGAACGAGCTCTGGATATATACGATTTGAAGACATTACATTGCCTCTCAGTATTGTTCTCCCTAGACAGGTCCTTTAATCTTTCTTAAAGGTCTTATTTTCTGATCCTTTAATCATCTCTGTGGTAAGAAATTTAAGTTCCCATTCCTCTTTGTCTCATTCTCGATGTGGGCACTGACTAATATAGGTCCTGTGAGCTCTCTTTATATTTTTCCACCACAGTATTACCTTTGCTGTTTAAATTGAAATGTTGCTGTTCACTCATCATACCATTTTGAAAAACAATATCAAAATATGGCTGTGAATCCATTTCAAAATAAGATGTAGAGTGTACAAATAAACCAGAATTATCTTTCCTTTGTATTACTCTGGTTTTCTTTTGGGCCCCACTTCACAGGAAAATATGAGCCTTGATTATCCATTCTTACCAAAATATCATTTACTAAGGCAGGAATATTAACTCAGGTAAGCAAAATGATTGTTTCTTTCATCTCAGCAATTCCACACTTACTCCCCTACCAATTGACTTTTTATAGAATATTAGTTTGCATTAAAAAATCCATTTAATTGCATTGGAAAAACACTTCACTGCCATGCTCCAGGCCGATACCATGTTGCAGCTGCTCCTATTTAAGGGATAATTGTAGCCTCACTCTTCTACAAGGAACTAATTCTGATTTTGAAAGGATTTGTCCTCATAGTTTATCCTGATGAGAGAGGACTGGATTATTGCCGTGTAAAATAGCTGAATAGTCCTATTATAGCTATTATGTCACAAATGTTGTGTATTGTTGAAGATCAAAGTACTGTACCACACTCAATGGTGAGATGTACAAGCATGGCACACTTCCCAAATTATGTAAAAAATACTGCATTTTATGAGTCATTTAGTACCATGTGAGCTATCTGTGGACCTGTTTCATTTCCCTCAAACTTTCCTCATCATTCTGAAATCCTTTATTTTCTGGTAGAAAGACTTACAATCTAGTCATTTCTCACTAGTCTCCCCAGGAAATAAACTTCAGTACTCTGCATTCTTCCATTGAAAGATATTACTTATTGCATATCATTCCATTTTACATTTAAATTACTTTAGAAAAATGTTAAATAACCCTGGACAACAGTAAATGCTAACTGGTAAATTGAGAACATGTAAACATTTCCCATGAAAACCATTAATGATGTCCTTTTGAATTTAAAATGTATAGCACTCAGGATTGGCTAGATTCTAAGGAAACAAATAGCTACTTCACCATGTAACCTCATTGGGTATACACATGTCCAATGAGGGCTTAAAATCCTAGGTGGGCCATATGAGGTATAAAATGAATGGTATTTTAAAAGAATGAGGCTTTCTTTTCCCTAGAAATATTGCGACATCAGCTGTCACTGGAAAACTAGCCCATAAATCAGAAAGGCCAGTGAAGGGCTAAATATTAATTTAGTTATACAATACGGCAGGCTTTGATTTTAGTTTTAATATCTGGCATTTCAAAATCAACCCCTCTATATGACATTTCATTCTCATGTGCATCTATAGAGGGCTTCAACCCTTGAAGAAAAACTAACTCCAAAATCTAGCAAAGAATGCCTGCCAGGAAGTACCATGGTTTGTTGAATAATTTTTATAAGACTCTTGTAAATCACAGATAGGATTAACTGTCTAAAAGCTATTTTCCCCAAAGTAACACATTCTGTATGTGATTTGGAGACATTACTACAAGATTTAGGACTTAACCTACATAATACAAAGAATCAGTAGACATAAAATGTGGTCACTGAAAACAAGTATAAATTTGAAAACGTAACAATTTGTGAAACTATAATTAAAGTGAAGATGGGCAATGTTGAGGGAACAAAATCAAATGCTCCGTGTGGTTTGTAATTACTGATGAGGCTTTCCAAAGTAATCTGGAAAATTAAATAAGACTGCGAAATTCAATGTAAAGAAATTAGGACCAGGTCCACGATATAGTAGGCATTTCACAAGTAGGTACTGATAGCATTACATCAGCACTGGTAAAGACACGTTTTGTTTACAGGCACTCATTTTCTGGTAACTAGAGTACATAAAGTTCCTAGGTCAGGTGAATAAACTGTAACCTGGACCTTTACAAGTCATGCAAGTTTACTGACAGTAAATGGGCAAATTGCCAACTCCATCTCTAAAAGGCAGCGTAGGTGATGAGGTTTTGGGAGTGGTGATCCTCAATGTCCTCTTATGGGGATCAACACAAAATGACAATCCAGCCTATCTACTAAAATTTCATACTTTTAACATTTCCTTTGTTAAGGACTCTTTCCTTCTAGACTACCTTATCTTTCCTTTTAGGCCAGTGGTTCTCAATCTTTTCTGAAAATTAAAGCCACTGGAGAGCTTTTAAAAATTCCTGTGCTCAGGCCCTACCTGAAAAGAACTGAATCAGAATCTGTGCGTGTGGGGCTCTGGCATGAGTATTTTTCTAAACTGCTAAGATGACTTCACTGACCAGACTAGTTTGGAAAATACTACTCTGAAAGACTACATCTAGAGCAGGAACCATTTTAAGTAATTTGTTTTGTATTTTAAACCTATAAATAATACAAAGCATTAGTGTTTTTCACCACTCTCTCTGTTGATTAATGTACAAATGAATGAGTGAATGGACAAATAACTATTTTATTTATCCATGATGTGGAGTTGAATGTCCAGGAAACTGAAAAGTATTACAATGATGCTCTATTTTATTTTCTAAATTAAGAAAGATTTGCTCAGAGGTTTAGATATTCAACTTTCCCCAACTTTTAGTACAAATACATCCATTTAGTTTTTGATGGGCCTTGGATACAGCATTATAAAGTGAGCATTTTTTCAGATTACACTGAGATGGCCTCTCTTTGTATAAGTGGCTAGAAGTAAGAACTTTTTCCCCCAGTAGCTCATATTCCCACCTATCACACCATGCCATGTACAGTATACCACTTTAACTCCATACACTCCGATGGAAGAAACCAGACTCTTGATTATGTAGAAGAATGCACAGGTCTCATGCATTTGGATTTTCCCTTAAAGCAGAGAAAACTGGTAGGTCTGTAGAGGAAAGCAGGAGATATCATTATCTCCCAGGAGTCAAGATGCAGATAATGGTATTGTTCCAGTCTTGAACCATTTCATTTCATCTTCCTGATGTTCACGAGGCCATCAAACAGACATCAATGATGAATTCCAAGAAAGTTTTATTTTTAAAAATCAAGTTTTGATATAATAAATGTTGGATTGAGGATAGAAATTTAAGCTGAGAAATGTTTAATTTGGACCTAAAAAAGTTTATTATTACTATTATTATTGTGGAAGGAAATACATACAGGCACATTTTAGTATCTACAACAGTATTTGGGAAGCTGTTATGAAACACAAAACTTCATTTAAATTTTATTATAAAGACCTTTATTAGGAGAAAGGACATATTTTCTATTTCTTACTTTTATTTTGTGCCTTGAAGGACTTGTGAATGTATAGAATAATTATTTTTTCTTACTGCTTCCTCTTTGCAACCCAACCTCCACCAAGTCAATCGTGAAGGTAGGAAGAAAGCTGTATTTCTGTTACTTTTAAAAATGATAACGAGAAGAAATTAAAACAATGGCTTAAGAGAAAGAGGATGTAAGGAGTACAAAGCAAAACTTAACAAAGAGTTAGTAAAGGAACTTGCATTGACAATTCACTCAGCCATGTTAATTTTATCATTAATACTGTCTTCATCATTTTTTTTTCCAGGTCTCTCTGCTCGTATTTGCTTGGTGCTCCGAAATGCACGGGAACAGACAGCTATGGGAAAGCTGCACAGAGCAGTTGGCAATCAACATGTCCTAGAAGGGTGTGTGGAGTAGCAAAACAAGTGGAACGGATGAAGAACTTCCAAGCTCCTTCGCAGAGTTTTGGGCCCTAGTGTGCAGGGCTGCTCCCTCATGAGATGGAGGACAATGTCGCCCACACCTACTTGGACCTCTCACCAAGGACACTGCCCTCAGAGATAAATCTGTTGGACGGCAGCCAAGAGACCCCAAATTGTCTCAACCTCCAGGACACGGCAAGTTGCAAGTTTCCGAGTTGGGGAGGCAAAGCGGGAAAACATGTTTGGCGATTTCCTCCTGCCACTCACCGACCGGAGAAATGGGGAGGCGGACTCCAGGTCTTTCGTGGACTGCCAAGAGCCCTATAGGGCGTCCAGCTATAAAAAGAGAAGAATCCCATGAAGGACAACAAGCAAACTCATATGTTATCCCTTTAGCCGGATTGTGTGCTGATGATTGTTTCCCTATTTACACTTCGAATCACCCCTGTGGTCTTTTGTGAGTCCCCAAGGCAGCCTCAGCCTTCGCAAACCGTCCAGTGGGGCACGAATCTCGGAGGGGTGCGGGCTGCAGGCGGCAGAGGGAAGCCAAAGAGGGGCGGCTTTTCCAGGCCGTCCACCCCCAGGCGAGCTGGTCCTCACCCTTCGATCGGCTCGAGTCCCTCGGACAGTTGCCCACTCACAGCGTGCAAAGGGGTCGCACTCCCTGTGGGTTCTCCGCCCTCAGAAGCGGCGCTGCGCAGGAAAGTCACCTCCACTACGGGCCGGGAGTAGGGAGGGGAGCACAGTGACAGGGTTGGGGAACAGCCGAGGAGGAGTGGGGGTCGCGGAGATAGGGGTGGGGACGGCCGCGGAGAGGGCGGTGGGAGTGGGGTGGGGCCGGGGAGGGCCGGGGGCGGGGCTGCGGGGCGGGGTGCGCCACAGCGCCCCCTAGCTGCGCGCTCCCCACGGTGCCCTGAGGCCGCTGGTGGCTCTGGCTCGGCAGCCCCTTTGTGTGCGACGCGCTGGTCCCGAGGAGCGCGGCACGGGCACAGCGGAGGCCTCCCAGGGTCCCACCGCTTCTGTCCCAGCCAGGCCGTGCTCTCCTCCTTCTCCTTCTCCGCTCCTCCTTTCTCCGGTCCCCGGCCTCTGGTTCCGAACAGCAGCCATTGGGCCTTGACGAGCCCGCGTCCGGCCGCGCTCCCTACCCCGCCCGGCCCGGGACGCTCGCCCCCCTCCCGCCCTGTCCCTTCTGGATCCCCGCCCCACCCCCCCACCCCCCACATCCCGGGCCTCCAAGGTGGAGAAAATAAACTACAAGCAGAACAACTCAGAATCTCCAATAAAACGCCCAGTACCTAGAGCCCGAGCGCGTGTGCCGGGCTGCGAGGGGCGCGGGAGGCGGGGATGGGGGGGCGGGCGGGGGGGACAATGAGCGCATGAAGTTACCTGCCCGGCGGCGGCGGCAGCGGCGGCGGCGGGACCAAGAGGCGGCGGTGGAGCAGGCTGCGCGCTCGGCGCCGACGGGTGCGCGCCGCGGCTTGGGGGAGAGTTGAGCGCTTTTCCCCCCTCTTTTTTTTTTTTTTCCTCTTCTTCTTAAACAAACCACAAACGGATGTGAGGGAAGGAAGGTGTTTCTTTTACTCCTGAGCCCAGACACCTCACTCTGTTCCGTCTAAGCTTGTTTTGCTGAACACTTTTTTTTAAAAAAGGAAAAAGAAAAGGAGTTGCTTGATGTGAGAGTGAAATGGACGTAAGATTTTATCCACCTCCAGCCCAGCCCGCCGCTGCGCCCGACGCTCCCTGTCTGGGACCTTCTCCCTGCCTGGACCCCTACTATTGCAACAAGGTGAACGCTCTGCTTTTGTTTCCACCGTGTTCTTGCTGCTTGATCCTGGGAGGGGAGCGGCGGTGGCCGGGCCGCGGCGGGGCCGGCTTGGCGGAGGCCGGTCCCGGGCGCGCTCGGCTCGCAGCCCGCTGCAGCCTGCGTGCGCTTGGGTAGTAAATATTGTGGAGTAGCTCCGGGGGCTTGCCAAACACCGCGATTGTGCGGAAAGTGACACGATTTGCTCGGATTCTTTCCTTCCTGCTGTTCGCGGCTAAGGATCCCTGCCTAGGTTTGCCGGGGGGCGTTTAAAAAAATAATAAGAGAAAACCGTGGAATACTTTGGGGGTGTGTCTGGGGTCCAGGAACGGAGGCAGAGTAAGAGAATTCAGTTTATTTCCCAGTTCCCCCTTCTCTCTCCCTCCCTCCCCGGGCAGTGGGGGCTCGTGGCACCACTTCCCTTCTCCGGATTAGTTGCCAGGGGAGCAGCCGGGAGTCGGGGTGCAGGGACCTGGGAGGCGCCCCTGCCCCCCACAGGGAAAACTGCCCCACAACTCTTTTGTTTTCTCAAACCGGTTCCGGCAGCCGAGCCCGGGTTCGGACACAGGTCCGCGGGCCAGAGCACAGCGGGGTAGCTGGGTCAAGGTTTGGGGAACAGTTCCTGTTTAAGGGGTGCGCGCGGAAATTGCAAGTTTGTTGGGAGCCGGGCGAGCACGTCGCGTTCAAGTCCAAAGCTCCCGCACTCGCGGAGCAGGGTCCGCGGCTGAGCTGTACCCACGGCCCGCTGACCTCGGGTGCCAGGGCCGCGGGGGCCCGGGGAGAGGCGGATCATGCCGGTGACCCGGAGGTGGGGCGCTGGCCTGGGCTGCTGCGGAGTTCGGCTGGGTCCACCTATAGGACAGTCAGGGGGTACGAGGGAGGGGGTTACTCTCCCGGCTTCTCGAACTCTCTCATCCCAGAGAGGGAGGACACGCAGGGACCGGTCCCCCAGAGTGGTCGCAGGGGCACGACTGCCCACGCCTAGGGCTAGTTGGACGTGTCTAAGCAGTCCCGTTGGATGAACGTTGGCAGAGAGAATTGAGTTCTCTAAAACGCTGGGCGGGCCTTTTAGACGCCCAACTCTCGCTTGGTGATAAATCTGCCTGATACTCACAGCCCCTGCAGGCACATCCATGGCGACCCTCGGTGCATTCCACGGGAAAAATCGTTGGGACTCCCAACATTTGCCTGGTGGCGAGTCATCACCAAACGGCTTTTTTACCTGATACAGAGATATTTAGTGCGCTGCCTTCTCAGCCCTGGACTCCGCACCACGCGACCGAGTCGCAGCTCCGAGTCTTGGACAGTGTTGACACACAGGCAGGCTCTCACACACACACTTCCCCGTGGAGAAGCTCCTCGATGCTGTGTCCAGTGTGAGACCCACTCAAAGGACTGTGCTGTGTGCCGATGGTGTTTAGGCAAGTTAGAAAAGAGGGACATCCAGTCTTGAGCAAGGCAGAAGGGCTTCCATTGTACAGGGAGCCCTTCAGCTACGGGCAAGTTGAAAGGTACGGGGAACTTTGGCAAGCGCATAGGAGTTTGTGTGATGAAGTTTCATTATTTGCTGGTGACATAGTTCTTTTAGTCTAAAATCTGTTTTGTCTGTACACTCAAGTATTGTGTTACGTTTTATTTTGCTTATGACACCAATACTATTGCTAATAAAAAATAATAAAGTTGCAGCCCTATCTTGGAGAGTAAAGACTTATTCCACTGTAGTTACCGGAACCAAAAGCTCAGAACTATTTTGGCAATGAGACTGGACAAATCTTATTAAGTTTATCAGTGATTTTAGGCCCCAAAAAGAAGTTAATGACTTGGATACACATTTCACTCCTCGTTCTTGTGATAAGTAGGGTCAGATTTAATTTAAAAGTTAAATGCTTTGGAAAATCAGGAATTACTTCAATATATTAAATCATTTTCCAATTAAGTGCTTTAAATAATTTTAGTGGGTTGTGCTGTGAATTGAATAAATTAATTTAGAAAGTATTCAGAATTTCTTTACTAGCTCATTGAAGTTCCTTTTAAGTCACCCCGTGTATAAGAAGCAAACTGTTCTTTTTAAATGCAAATTAGGCACCCTTTCTGTAGACTAGTTGCGAGTCTTCTATTTAACTTATCCAGAGAATAATAGATTTTTTAAAATCCAAAGTCATAAGACATGTTTCTAATAGTGGAAGAAGACTTCATGGAAATGTTTCTCCAGGGACATCTCTGGCCCATCTCTGTGTAGCAGTCCATCAGATATATTTGTCACTGGTCCCGATTATATTAAATGTACTGGATAGTTTTCTAGGCCCCACAAATCCCAGGCACTTGAGTTTTTTCACTCCACCATGATTAGCATTGGTACAAAATTTCTGTCCAGCTCCACAATTGTAGTTGTGCATAATGCAGTCAACTAGCATTTGTTTTTGCAATGACATGAGTGGATTTGCAGGGAAATGGAAGAAGGACAGAAGTTTGGAAAAGGTGAAGTAAGAAATCTGTGCCTACATTTATTAAAACAAGTTGGATCAGACATCCCCAAAAGAACAATACTGCAAAGTAAATCTTGCTTCCTTCGGAGGCGTAATGAATATGTAGCTTACTACAAATAGCAGTCAGTTTGTCAGGTGATTTGTTTTTAATAGGGTGATAAGATCATAAATTACTAATTATCTTTATTTTAAACCTGTCAACACTTTGCTTATTTAAAGTTGGTGTGCTAAATCCCAGCGGAACCAGTATCTATCTGTGCTTTAGAATCCTACAACTGTAGCTACAGTTTCCCGGTGACATTTTTTTCAATGTCAGAAGAGACTCTAATGGAGAAAATGAATATTCTCTTCCTGAAGCTTTCTAAACTAAAATGTGATTGTTTTACTCTGCTGACACTTTCCGGCACTGCTGCTCTATAGATTGCCAAAATGCTACTTACATTTTTCAGTTAATAAACTCTGGAGGAGGCATTTTTGGAAACGGTTTAATCTAGTATTGCTCTACTGTAAGACTAATACACGTTATGAACATATCACTATGCAAAGTAGCCTCCATTTTCACATAGCCCATTGTGGGAACAATGCGAATGATGTTGGTTAAGGCAAGTGTGTGAGGCATCTCTTACACAAACAGCCAGAACGGATGGCATGTTGCTGTATATAGGTCAGTGTTGGAAATAGCAGTGTAGCTCATAGACTGGACAGACACATGGAGGCTGGAGTTAACAGTATTCACCTCTTGCAGCCTAATGCATGGTTATATTTCAGACATTGAAAGATGAGTACCATAGTGGAGTTTCATCTAATTAGACTATTTTAAGTAACATTGTATCCCTTAATTGAGCTGAATGCTACCAAAATAAATTGGATTAAATGAGCTTACAATTGGAGTTCTGTAGTGATATAGTCTTGTTTTCTATTCTAGTTAAAGATGTCAGATCATCAGTTTAAATATATACCTACAGAGTAATAACAGTTCTTTTCAGTTTCTTAGTGCAGCGTCATTTCCAAAGATTGTTTTCACTGGTTTTATGCTAAGATAGGACAAAGAAGTGGTACTTTTTCATTTTTACAACGATGTGATGTGTTCAGTTATTGCTCAGTATCTGCCCACATAAGGAGTAGTAATACAATTATGTTATGACATGGCTAATGACAGGGATGGTGACCTCGGCCTGCAGTGGGAGGAGAAATAATGGGCTTCACTGTTCTCAGTGGTTGCCTTTATGGAATCATGTCCTGAATCTTTCTTTGGTTGATTTAGAAACAGGGAAGTCCAAAACACAAACCCATGCTTCATGCTGGTGATATACAGAGTGAAGAATAGTGGGCATTTGGAATATTCAGCTTTTATCATTGAAATGAGGAAGGACAGTGTATATGTTCTTTTTCGTAAAAACGCACAAGGAAGGACCCATTTGTGATGAACTCTGCTTGAAAATGTCAGGACAAACATTAGACATTTGATAACTTTTAAGAATAACGAGATTCATTACAGTCTCTGCAAAATCTCCTTTGAGCTTATTTTCTATTTAAAATGTATTATGTATTATACTTTAATGTGGCAATACTCATCAAAAATACAGGATTTGTAAGCACATTAAGAAGGAGTCATTATTCCTATTTTGAACAGTAAATGTAAGAAAAAGGAAAAGATGGGAGGAAGAGTAGGTCAAGGAGGAGTATGGGAAGAAAGAAGGTAAAGAAGGGAGGGTTATAAGCAGTTTAGAGCATCATGCTTGATTAGTTCTTCATCCACCTCCATAACTTCTAGGACTTTGGGAAATTCATAGTTGATAATTCATACATCACATATATATAATTAAAATTCCCCTGGGAGTTTTATCAGCTGGCACTTTTCAGAAGTTTTCAGGTTGTTAAATATGTTTTAAATAAATGCCTATGTAAGAAAGAGCATAAACCAAGCAATCATGGTTTTTTGGCCACTAAATCAGATATTATAGAAAAGTTTCAAATGTAGCTATCTTGACTGTGTGGGTTATTTCAGTATTGCAAATTCAATTTTAAATGTCTATGCAAACAAAGTTATAAGTATGAGCTATAGAGGGATCTGATGTTATTTTTAACATTGCATAGGTAGTTTAGTATTCTCACAGTTTATCATATATTTTAAAAGTTAGTAAATGATATTAAGGAGAATTTTGGTATTTTGCTTAGTTACAAAAACTAAACTAATATGTAAATATCTAATTGAATGATTATTGTGGATTTTGTTTAAATGATGTGATTGCAAGGGAATTAAGAACAGTGGAACAGGAAGAAGTAGGGAAATTTCCAGTTTTAGGGGTGGTTTCCTGGGTACCAACCTGGTTCTCAAATGTTGGTTTTGGTATGTGAGACTATTTCTAGTGGTCATACGTTTTTTGTGATGGGCTCCATTCAAGAGGGTTGGCCTAGAAAATGACGAAGGTAGTGGGGAGCACAGTGATTTTATTTAGCTGTGAAGGGTGATTTATTATAATGCTTTCTAAACTTTTGCTAGGACATTAGAAACTTCAAAAGACCCTGCGGGTGTTTCTCAAATACTGATGATTCTTCCTATTCTGTTTTAAAGCCAGCCCTCAGTCGCAGGTCTACCAGTATGCCCAGCGCCTCTTACCTCCCACCTCTCCATCTCCTTCCCAGTTACCCATTTCCCAGCCACTCCAACTCCTGGGACCACCCTTGCTTTTGCTAGTCTCCTCCCCAATCTTAATTTGAACCTAGGAGGTCTGTACTTCTAATCTGAACTCTCTTCTCCACTGGATACTAATCACCATTGTGGTTGCCTCGGCTGCCTGGCTCCCTCTTCAGCTTACCTTCCTTCATCATCACCATAATCATGCGAACATATCCATTCTTGCAGTAACCTGATTCCATTTTCTATTTGGAATCTACCAGCCCTCAGGCTTGTATCTGCTTTTTGAAATCCCAAATTATGCTGTTTTCCTTTCCCCATCCCCCCTACCTGAATGGATGATGTGGAGTTATACAATATTGTACTAGAGTAAGACAACCTTCATGTGATGCTGAGAGGAAAAATAACTATGACTGATATTTCTAAGCTATCATAGTGTCCCTTCCACACCCCCTACCATTTTATGCAGTGTATTTAGAGCTCAGAGATAAGCCCCTTAAACATCCTTCCTCAGTGAGAAGGCTATGTTTAGATTCCAAAATAGTATGAAGATGGGACTGTGATCTTCAGTTGGAATACAGTAAATTAGGTTGGGTTACACTTGAGGTAAGTAACAGGGGTTAGCATGTGGATGTATTCTCATCAGAATATACATAGATAACTAGAACAGGAATGTTTGGCCATGTAGAACTGAATCAATTAATCAAATTTAGATCACTTACCACCCTACATTTTAGCTATCTGAGTGTGAATCTCAAGATTTCTGAGAAGTCATAGGTAGGATAGTTATCTTACATGTCAATAAAAATGTAATTATCATGAGTTGATTGTATGCTATTAACAATTACATTGTAAAAATATGATCACTTGTTGTTTAGAATAAAACATATTGTGTACATCCAAATACAAGAATATAAAATTCATACTTTTATCAGAAAACAAGATTGTAGCACATCATAGTTATTAGACACTGTGGCTCTCATGATCCTAACTGTAGTTCTTGCCCTCAAGAAGCTTCTGTTTGAGACATCTTAGAAGCTGGAACGCTCCCTTATTTGTTTAAATTGCATGTTTACCCAAGGTATTAATTTTACCAATTTTAGACATGCTTTTTTCCCTTTTCATTTACTTCCACCTCAGAGTTATTGATGTATTTTCAATTCATCTTTTTCTTTGAATATGCACTTTTCAGAACTAGATAGGCTGGTCTCCCCTGATTGATAACGAATTGTGTTAAATGGGCTGTCCACTAGGAAACTACAGTGCCAAGATGATACCGCTTACATATGCCCTAATGAATTTGAGAATTTTTTGTTTTAAACCTTGCATGCCAAGTTTCATCCCAAAGAGCAATTTCTGATTAAAAACAGTTGAGTTATAAACTGCTTAGAAATGTGGTTTATAATGGAAGTGCCAACAGACTGTTAATTATAGCAGTTCTTCCATAATACTTTGAGACATGGAATTCACATTAACCTGAATGAGCTTTTCCTGGTTATAACATGTTTCTCCCTACAGCATTCATTTTGAAAATGGGAACATTATATTACTCTGTGCTTCGATGTTGACGGTGCAGCAGAAAAGACGAGAAGGGAGGGTAATTCCAGAAACTCCTTGCTCTTTCCTGATGGGAGGTATCACTATTTCCCACACTTCTTTAGTTTGATCTATGGCAAGTTTGCCTCACTTGATAAAAATTTTAAAGTTAAATTTTAAAAGCTATTTTCAGATTTCCATGTTACTCATGAAAAAATCATCACTGATATATATTTATAATATCAAAGGTCATGAAACCAGGGTCACTATTAATGCTTTTTTCTGTTTGTTTGTTTTTTGCTTGGGAGATTTAAATGGTTCTGCTTTAGCCAAGTATTTATCGTTTTTCATTCCTGAATTATGTGCTTTTATGAAACTGTCTGGAAAGGACTCCTAATTAAAGGAGGCCATGGTTGGTTGATAAGAAGCTTTGCCAGTGGCCAAGAAAATAGAATGTATTTTGGGTGCCATGTGGTCTTACACGTTATTTGTCTGATCCACAGTAGTGATGATACTAGCTTTTGGCTAAAATGCCTTTTGATTGAAGTCTTTGATGCCACTTTGGGGTTGGGGTTACCGAGCTAGAAACATTGGTGTGTGTATGGGTATGTGCATGTGTATGGGTGTGTGGGGGTGGATTTGTGTGTGCATGTGTATTTGCATGTGTGTGTGTGTTTGTGTTTCTCATGGTTCTGGAATATTTCTGGCCATAAATGCATGAAGATTTATCCTAAATGGCAGACTTCCTCAATGTGTATAACAGCAGCAACAAAGGAAAAACATCATGACTACTGGGAATGCCTGGTTACCACTCCCTTTTAAGATACTCAGCAATATTTCACAGGAGAAGATGCTGTTGAGAATCTTAGGGCTTTAAACAGACATGTTATATCCTAATAAGACTAAAGAACCAGGTCTTTTTAAGGAAAACCATAGGCCTTTCTCAGGGAAAGACTCCATTATGTTGAATATTTGAGATAAAAACCAAGTGCCGTTAAGTCTATGTTGACTTACTCCCTAGGCAAAATAAACCTAACCATAAGAGGATGTGATTCCCTCCCACTCTGTTTCCCATTCTCTTGAGAAGCCTGACTTTGTTCTGTGTCTGGTAAAAGTTCTGACACTAAAACCTTTAATCCATCTGTGTTCCAGTCTTCCATATATCCAGTAGAGAAAATATATTTGTATCAAAGAAGACTTATGAGAATTAAGTAGGTAGATTATTTCAAATCTTGTGGTGAAAGATGTTCAAAAATTCAAAGAATTCAGCAAAATACTGCATTCTCAGCCCATTTCTTCCATTTCTGCTGCCCTAGTGGAATAAAAGTGTTTTGGAAAGTTGTAGACTAGTGGTTCTTTCAGGAAGAGAGTCAAAGAGATAACCTTTCCGGAGAGTCAAAGGTGAATTGGGAAAATGGGGTCTCTGTAGGTACAGTGTGTAATCTCCCTCCCTCAGATATTGATAGGCCCCCCGGGGGGCCTCTTTTTCCCTCTCCACATTAAGAGTCAGTGCACCTAAGGAGAGATGCTATTATGAGGGCTGTTGTCTGTTTTGCACTGTAAGAAGATAAAAGTGGAGAATAACTGTGAAAGAGGGAAATGCCCTCTTGTTCCTGACTTCAGAGAAGCAAGTTTACCTCTCTATACCTTCCTCTGATATATGGGTCAGAGATGTGAAATATAATGTGCAAGATTAATTAACGAATGGGCCAACTGGGCCTAAAGCACTGCCTGATTTCCTTAAGTCTGTTAACTCAATTAAATGGTTAATTTAAAAAATGATGGGTAAAGTGTTATACGCATTAGTGTTTTCATACCATTGAAAAACACCGATGCTTCCTTTCTATACCAATACACCTCAGCCTAAAATGCCAGTAACAATTGTATTAAGAGAAATGTTAATAATAAAGAGGCAGGATAACCTTTCAACAAAAAGTGTATTTTATCATTTGGCAGATGCAGTCATGAACATTAATCATAGAAACCTGCAGATAGTAGAAGCTTAATATCAAAGCTAATGATTTATTTTATGTTAATGACTTCCTGCCAGGGCATAAAAGACTGTTCATAATGGACTCTCAGAGCTATGTTCAGTTACTAAGGCTAATGGGATAATCTTTCCTCTCCCAAAATTAAGCTTTTTGAAATAAATTATGCTGTTATTTTTCAAGGTAACTCTCAAAAATTTACTGCAAAACTAATCTTTTAAGAACTACTTAAAGAAATGAAAAGAAAGAAAAATCCCAAAGCAGGTTTTCTAGTTCATGAACACTTTTACTTAATTAGGGAGAGAAAGTTTGCATGTATGCTAATATCCCTGAACTTGTAATGCTAAATAATTTTAAAGGCAGCCTTCTGTGACACAATCTGCCTTTTGAGATTCAGCTCCTGTAAGTACGTCCCACAAAATAGACCATGTTTTCGTCGGCGATTACCAGCCAATAATGAGCTGAATGGTAGTAAAACATTTGAATTTTTCACTGCGAAGTTTTAAAAATCATGTTTACAATTAGTTATAACCAACATTATATTTCAATAAGAGATAATTTGCCTAGTAAAGTTCACATAATGTGCTAATCATGTCTAGTGGTTAATAAAGGCCTCCTACCTCACTCCCCTGATGGCTATAAAAGGCTATTATATTCATGGCAGCAGTTCAGGTACAGCTGCTGTGTGTTAATAATGCATCATTGTCCCACTAATCAACATAGCAAAGGTCAGCACCCCTAAGCACCTAAACCACCTATTCTCTTTCCAAAATATTTATTAACACCTTAAAAACATATCTGTTCATTTTCCTTAGCCTCGAGTCAGTTAATTCCACTCCAAGCTACTTGTGTGATAAAGGTTTTGTAACCTAAGCTAGGTCGTAGAAGAGATTAATATATATTCATAGTAATCTTCTCCCATAAACATGTTTCCATTTCCACAGTCATTGACTGAATTAGTGTCGGGTTGTTATAGCCGTGAGCTCCTTTATAATTAAGTAGGTGTGTACCAAAATGAGAATATTTTCAGATTTTACATGTTATTTAAAGAGATGTTTAGAAGAAAAACAACTTTTCAATAACCAGAGACCCATTTAAAGCAAACAGAGCTAATCAGGAAATGGGAAGGGATATTTAAAATCTAAGAAATTAATCAGTGTTAGTTTGTAGACCTGATATGGTGGTGAGATATTATTTTCTTAATTGTTCTTTTGGCATAAGAAAGCAATAATAGTAAAAGCTTCTTAAGCCATATTTTCTGCACACAAAGAACATATTCACGTGGGATTTCCATTTTGCTGGAAAATTGTGCAAATCAATAAGCCAGCACTTATCTGCATTAAAATTAGGTAGACAACAATTTATAGGCATAGTGTTGGTGTAGTTCTCTTCATACCCTCAGTTTGTATTGAAGGTAATCCTTGCTTTTGTGTCCTCAGAGAGAAGCCAAAATGTTAAGTGAACAAGATCTCATTTTCTCATCTTGTATTATTGCCTTCTATTTTCTGTTACTCTTTTGATAACCTTGTGTGTGTATGTGTGTGTGTGTGTGTGTGTGTGTGTGTGTTTCCTTTATGATTTAGGAATCTTCAGTGTTTTAAGAGAAGAGAAAAAAATGAAACTCAACTATGTTTCCATCATCAAGAGAAATGCAAAAGGCGAATGAGTGGGAGGAGCTTCTATTTGTGCAGCACATAATGTACAATGGTACATTTGTCATGCTTTAAATATATAATGCCTACAATAAAATATGTACAGGCGCAGTTGTGAACTATGAAGTCCGTGGCTCCAGTGCCATTGTTTGTAGTCTCTACGGTTGTCATACATTGTTCTTTGCACATCATACCCTTACAGCAGAATTTGACACAATTTCTAGCTTTCAGCCCTGCACCATTTTCATTGCACAATATACGTGAATTTGACAGGGTGTGTTGAGGACAACTCTGGCAAGCAATTGATATTTTGAAGTGGCAAGCGTTTCAGCAGCTGCCTGCTTGTGAAAAAGGAATGATAAGATATACTGTATTGTTAGTTTCAGGGAAAGCATTAAGGTTTAAGCTCTGTAAAAGTGTACACATTATTCGTCAGTGGTGAAGCAAGTCTTTTATGTTTTTTAGAGCTTAGCTCTCTGGCTGATGTGAACTAGAATGACATTGGTCAGTAAATGAATAGGAGTACTTTGAATTTGAACTGCTGCCAATTTTGCACCAACAAAAGAACTGACAAAAGATTATGTGAGATGCAAAGCACACGCAATGTTTTGGGGGCGGGGAAAGGGAAGGAGAGAGCGAGAGAAACCCACATCAGAGAATATTCTTTAGCACATACTTGCAAGGATACCAAATAGTTAAACACATCTATTTTTCATGGCTCATCAGCTACAACCTAAGCTGTTTTATCTAATATGCTTTAAAAACCTGTTGTATACACATAGGCTTTCAGAATACGTTCATATGGAATTTAGAATGTTTTTCTAAATATCGCACTGTGCCCTAAAGGCCTGTTGGCAGAATATCAGAATATCAGAGTCACCCACTGCTGGAGTCCCCAACTCTCTCTCTATCTGGTAGTGGGAAATTGTAGTTTAATCAGTTATGGCACTTTCAGTGTGTAACATTCATTAGCAAGGCAATTTGTCATGACTGTTAATGGTCAGGATGCATCTGCTCTCTCAGTTACAGAGCATGATAAGTAAGAAGACAAATATTTCAACATCTGATAGTATTAACTTGTTTCAAATTTGTAATCCAAGGTTAGTTGCTTAAAACAGACACAGTACCAGATTAACAAGCATCCTGTATTCAATTTTACTGGGTCCTGTTTTTATGGATTTATGGCTTTAAAGCACACTAATATGCTATTATGAAGGGCACAGTCTTTGATTAGATGTTCAACAGAAACTAAGTTATGAGCAGAGTACCTTCTGGGTTCATCTGGAAAGAATTTATGTGCATAATATTTTCTACAGAGCTTCATAAATTGAAAGGTTTGATGCATGCAATATTTCTAACATGCTACATATTCTTTTCATGATTAAAAAAGTCACTTACCCACTGGTTTATAGATTGGTTGGTCACTTTTCAAGTGAGTTTAGAGCCTTGATCTATTTTAAAAGTTTAAAAATTCTACTGAAAAACTTCAGAATGAATTAGAAATGTCACGTTCCCCCCCCCCCCAGCAAACTGCTTTATAAGATCATTGTTCATTGTTCTCAATGGGGAAAAAAAGTTTAAAAGATTCACCCAGTTGAAAAGGTTAGGATTTTTTACATATCTTGTATTTTCTAGTTATGACATCACATAGCTTGCCATACAAAATCTTTTTGACACATTTTCATTTTTAATGAAAGGCCCTAAAATTCAGGGCATAATGATTTCTTAGAAACTGAACCCAATCTTGGTGAAAAATTCGTTCTTGCTAGTAACAAAAGCTGTTACTGTTTAAGTTCCTGTTGAGCGGTTAGTTGGTACGCTTCGCTGAATGTTGTCAAAAAGGCTTTCCTCATGATTGACAACCCGGCAGGAATGTGAATGGAGATTTTAATTGCGTATCATGTGTGCATATCAGAGTGAGTGAATTCATGACTCTGCTTAGCTCCATATCTCTGCAGGTCAGCCGTGCCAAAAAATGCTCTTTTATGTGCAATTTTTCCAAAAAGAGAAAGGTGTATGTGTACTGAAGTCATTTGTTATTCATTTCTTAAGTGAAACACTTGTGTTCCCTGAGCCTTGGAGTTTGAAAGTAGAACAAAAATCTATTTTGAGATTTCTTTCTTTTACTCTCTGTACTTATAATATACTTGGATGATGTAAATTCTTTTCAGTTACAAGTTGGGAAAAGTCTGCCAGAACATATTTTTCTTATGGCACTTGCTATACGAAGTGTGTTTATCTTTCTTTCTTTTTTTTTCCCCCCTAAAGAGTACTTAGAAAAGAAAGAAAAAATGTAAGCCAGTGGAAAAATTTACTGAGGTCAATTGCCTTTCTATAACTTGCAATCTTGAGAAAAGATCTGGCCTGGGGTGGGGGAGGGAAGGAAGGATATATTTCTGAGAGGTGGAAGGTTCATACAGTTGTTTCTGAATTTTGGAGAAAATAGCAAGAATATAATGCTTATTGTAAAATGACATTATTAAACATATGAATGTTCATTTCTTAGAAAAATGGCTCTTTGGTTGAAGATTCATTTCTGCTATCACTGCTTGGTCAAGATACAGTGGTGGTGATAAGCCATTTATCTTACTGAAATGCCTAAAACCCAATATGGTACATGTGAGATTTTAAAGTGGAGTGAAACTTACTTTGTAAGGTAACTTTGGCTACAATACCCCAGACTAATCAAGAACTTAATAATGTAAAAACAGGAAAAAAATAAAAACAATTATGCCATACATAAGCTTTCATTTTATGTAACAGGAAACTTTGGGATTTGGGCTGTAAATTTAGTGCATAATTACTTTTTAATGTCATTTTGAATAGGTGAGAAAAAGATTAGCACCAGGGTCATTTTAAATATAACTAGAGTAATAAGTAGGGTAATGTTGAAAGGATGGTGACTTTATGGACTTAGGATATCCCATAGGGACTTATAACTTTGTTCTAGGCTCTAATATATTATCTCAACTCATTTTAGAACATAACAAATTGCAGGCTGACGATCCAGCCTTCATATAGTATGCAGTACCGATGATCACTATATGAAGGCACTGCTGTACCTTTAAAATGCTAAAGAAGAAAAATCTATTTTATTTTAAAAATTCAGCTCTATGTGCGGGGTGACATTTTTCTAATGTTATGGAAGACTATTTTGTGCTTTATACTGAGAGCTTAGGCAAGGAAAAAATCTATTTACAAAATGAAAAAAAAGTGCTCAGCTGAATGCATTTCACTTTTAAAGATGATATTCTGGTAATGAACTTTATCAAGCAGAGAACATTTCAGTAAAAGTATTAAAGTAGTTCCTATTTCGGTTGCCTCACTTAAGGCTGTGTCACTGTTTCCATTATAACTTCTTATTTTCAGATAGCTCTAATGTGGTCCCTATACAAATATTTGCATAGGGATGAAATGAGAATATTTGAGCCTAAGAAGTCAACTTCTTAAAAAAAATTTGGAATGCGCTTGTTAAAAAGCTTTGGGGTTGTTAATAAGGGACACTTAATTCATTTTCAGAAATTGAAAAGCATTTTTTGAACACAGAGTGCAGAACTTTAAGTGTTAAGGGGGTCAGGGAGGGACACAGAGATGAATAAGTCGTGAACCCTCCCTCCATATGGCTAATAAGAGAGGAATACAGATAACTATCATGGAACCACAGTATAATTGATGTGATATGAAGTCTGTGGTCAAAGTGCTGGCAGTATAAAAGGAAAAGTTGAAGTTGGAGGAATCCCTGTTGCTTCCTGGAGGAGATGGCATTTCAATTGGCCTCAAAAATCCAGCAGTGAAGAAGGGGAAAGTTACTCCTAATTTTTTGAATTATTTTTTAGACTTCTCACCTTTTATAAAATGATCTATGATAACTCAAAATAAAAGCCACACATACAATAGGGCTATTTGAATTAACATAGAACGTTATCTCCCGGAAGTGGAGATGCAAGCATACTTCTTGACCTACATATTAAGCTATAATTCAACATTTAAATTGGCCTCTTGCTCTTCATCTGAGCAAAACTGGAAATACATGAGTGACAGAGTTCTGATTATCAGAGAGAGTATCAACACTAATTAGTCATGTGTAATAAGTTTTCCTCTAGTGAAAAGTTGCAAAAACTCGAGTGAAAGGCTGCAAAAGAGAGAAAACGAGGCAACGCATGGAGGGGCGACATCCTTGGCTCTCCGAGGGGGAGTCTACTGGGAGTTGCCTGGGGTTTCGGTAGTGGGAGATGGGGCATGGCAAACCGGGAGGGGCCTGCAGGAATAAGCAATAGGGAGAGCCAGGTACAGTTTAGGATTAAGGGGCGTGAAAAGATTAGAACTGTGTTTGAGGAAGATACTGCTGCCAATGTAGAGATAATGTGCTGGGGAAAGTTGGGGTGGAATTCAAATTGCTGTTGTCAGTGGGCTAATGTTCATTTCTAGTAACAATGTGCCAGAGAGGACTTCCCTGGGCGGACTCACATGTTGAAATGAATGACCAGCAATTGATCTATCTTTTGATGGCTTTTCAATGAAAGATAACCTTTTAGAGGTTTTATACTTTAGCCAAAAGTTGGAGTTATGTTAAAATCTAACTTCTTAAAGCACATATGAAGTTGTAGTCTACATGCAGATTAATTTTTTAATTGATAAGCCCAGACATTAGCATGAATATTAATGCTTTATGTGTAGTCTTAGAAGAACACCTGCTGAGTTAACTTCCAATCTGTTCTAATTGTGGAGTAATATTTACTCAAGTTATTAGTAATTGCTTTCCTGAAATAGCTTGCTTAGTGGTAAATACACATATTATTAGTAAATTTGGAGAGTATATTAAAGTGTCCAAACATATTCAGAAATCTCTGTTGGCGTTTTTGAAGGTATCTCATAATCTTCCAGTATCCACATAGCAAAGCTTTCCAACTTTTCCACTGGAGTGCCCTAATGAATGGGAGGGAATTTATATCTCAGGGGGCTAGACGAAGATCCCTGGAACTGCCTCTGCAATCTACATAGGTCTTAGAAGGCTAAGGTTTCATCTTTAAGCAATATGTGGATCTTATATTCTACAACACACTCATGTCTATTTTAATGTGAATATGATACTTTGAAGCACTTACAATTAAGTCAACTCTGTTCTAGGAAAATAGTCTTTGCTGTTCTATAGTTCTACTGCTTTGGGATATAGTTCTTTGCTCCTAGGAGACGCATGACACAACATAATACTCTTTTGTCCTTATTATTAAAAAATAGAGTTGAGGCCTTGAAAAACTTCCTTTTATTAGGTCATCTTTACCACAGAGAATGGAATGATTTGTTTCCCCTGATTCTTTCCCTGACTTTCACTAATTCTCTACTTTTGATAAGAAAGCTTGACAAAGTATTTTATCTTAGTCTAAACTGGATGACTTCAGTTAGGGTTCAATAGTTGCTGGTGCCCCAGGCCGACCTACGTTATGCTTTGTAGGGAGAAAATGGAAAAGAGGGAGGAAGTCAAATATCCTATGTGTAGGTGGAAGAGAAAAATCCCTCTGTTATTTGCAGAAACTGATGATGTTTAGTGATGGCAGGAGATAGTCAAGTGTGGTATTATATTGTTAGGCATTAATAGAAAACCTAACATGAAGCGAATTTGGAAAATTCAAGAAAAGGATCAGCAAGAAATTGAACAACTATGATGATAGTTTGGGGGTGAAGTGGGGGCAGGTATAGGGCTGAGAGAGGCCTGTAACATAATAAATGGCATGAGGCATGGATTCCTTTCTCCCATACTTCCTTCTTTCCTCCCTTCTTCTCTTCCTTCCACCACAGGCAGACATAATTTGTAAGATGATTGATACTATTTTCAAGATTCTTCTGAATTACTTTCTTAGATGCTGATATGGTTTGGCTCTGTGTCCCCACCCAAATCTCATCTTGTAGCTCCCATAATTCCCTTGTCTTGTGGGAGAGACCTGGTGGGAGATGATTGAATCATGGGGGTGGGTCTTTGCTGTGCTGTTCTTGTGATAGTGAACGGGTCTCACGAGTTCTGATGGTTTTAAAAACGGGAGTTTCGACTGGGCACAATGGCTCACACCTGTAATCCTGGTATTTTTGGGAGGCCGAGGAAGGTGGATCACCTGAGGTCAGGAGCTTGAGATCAGCCTGGCCAACATGGTGAAACTTCATCTCTACTAAAAACACAAAAATCAGCCAGGTGTGGTGGCATGTGCCTGTAATCCCAGCTACTCGGGAGGCTGAGGTGTGAGAATTGCTTGAACCCAGGAGGTAGAGGTTGCAGTGAGTGGAGATAGCCCCACTGTACTGCAGGCTGGGGGACAAAGCAAGACTCCATCTGAAAACAAACAAACAAACACAAAACGGGAGTTTTTCTGTACAAGCTCTCTTTTGTTACCTGCCGCCATCCACATAAGATGTGACTTGCTCCTCCTTGCTTTCTGCCATGATTATGAGACCTCCCCAGCCACATGGAACTGTAAGTCCAATAAACCTCTTTCTTTTGCAAATTTGCTCAGTCTTGGGTGTGTCTTTATCAGCAGCATGAAAACAAACTGATATGGATGCCCTTTCACTACCACTCTCCCACCTGCATCCTCACCTGCCCACAGTGGGCTTCTGTTTCTGGGCAGCCAGGCTCTCCCATCTTCCCCATTATTGTTAGGGGACACCCAGTAGCTTTGGTTTGGCAGGGTGGCATGCATAGATTTTAGGTGTGTGCATAGAAGACTTCTCAACAAATGTCAAACTACACGATGTCCATAGAACACCATAAAAATAAAAGGTTTTGTTTGTTTGTTTTTTGGATTTTTCCCCCTTTTCCTCATTTTAGCCTTAATCTGGTTTTGGAAGTTTTTGTTAAATGGACATGTGTAAATAATGGATATTTGCTCTTATTGACAAGAATATGTTTTTCCTTCTAAAAACTCAGTTTAGGCATATAAAAATAAGCGTTTTAGATTTTGCCTTTGTCCAAATCAAGGTAATTTCCTCATATTTAACACATTTTGAAGTTTCATCTGCAACAGCAGTCTAGGAGAATGAATACTATGTGTCTGCAGTTTATGTACATTTATTCTCAAGGTCTCATTAAAATAAAATGAAAAATTAATGACTAAGAGATGTAGATTCCTTATACCTGATCCCATATCCCAATTTTATAGGGGTTTTAGAACATTTGCCATAGGGTTGGTACAGAGAAGGCTTCCAGGAGCATGACATTTGTGATATTGGTTAATTTATTCATTAAATATTTTCCGAATGGTTATTTTGTGCCAGGAACTGTGCTAAAATGGTGAGGATAGAAAAAGAAAAAAAATCTGTGTACTTACAGAGGTAATAATCTTAGATGTGATACACATAACCCTATTAACAGAAGATGAGTCAGCTGAGAATTAAATGGACAACTTTAATATTTGACCTAAATACTATTACTATTGAGCTCTGAATACCCCTGCATTCACTTGTGCATTTACCCTCTCTGCGCTTTTCCTTTCCTTTCCTTTAGTCTAGATGAGATGACCGAGAGTAGAACCAGCATTCCTTGCCCTGTCTCAAGTCTTGCTGTGACAGCAACTGATAGCATGTGGGATGCAGTAACTTGGTAACTTAAGCCAATAGTGATTGTTTATGAAGTAGCTAAAGGAATGAATTTTTAAAAATTGAAATTCTAATCGTGCAAATATTTAAATCTTTGGAAATTTGAACTAGGTATCATTCAAAAATAAAAAATGGGAGTTCATGCTCAACTCTTTTTTTTAATGCCTTAATGGGCTGAAATCACTTGTTTAACATTACTCAATACTATTTTTATGTATGAAGTGTTCATAAGCTCAGGATATTTTTAGAATAGTCAAATAATCCGTGTTCATTTTGTTCCGATTCATCATAATGGGTTTCAAAAGGTAAACATCGTTGTGCATTTTAAAATTGCTTTTCTGACAAATTCTACTTATTCTGTGAGAGTCATTGCAGAAATTGCTTACAAAATAATTCCGTGAATCTCATATTTTCTTACCATCTCATTTCTTCCCCTAATATGGTATGGAACCAGACTGCAATTATACTTTCACAATTACTTTATTATATGGGCTGAAATATACTCCTGAAGCTCTTATTACCTTTTCCATACACCATTTACACAGACCTGCTGATGGCTGTCAGCGGTGCTTCCTTGGGACAATCAGCCATTCTTAGCAGGTTGTGTTTAAATTCAGAACACCACAAATAGAAAGCACCTCTCTCTCCTTGCTGATGAATTTTTAATGTTCCAGCATTTATAATAATTCAAAGGACTTCATTATAACAGCTTGCAGAATTAGGCCATGTGTTTTAGAATGTTGGATATTTACTTGTGATCTTTGTCAAAGAGAAAAAAATGAAAACAACACATTATTAATAGTGTGTTTGTGTCTGTAGCAACCTGAGAATTATGATGTTACCCAGTGTAGAGCTCCTTTTCCCTGAAAGAGGTTGATTAAGATTTTCTACTTCAAATAATTCACTCAGAAGCTCTTCTTTTCTCCGTAATTGCATTTTATGGGAAAAAAAAAAAGATGCAATTCTACTCCATGTCTTTAAATGGAAACTGGAATGCCTTATATTCAAATATTGAGTACATTTACATTTAATGACAAAATCAGGAACCTTTCTTTTACATTACAAAGTGAAATATTCTTTTAAAATAGCCAGTTCTTAGGGTCTTTGAGAGTCGTCCAAAAAGAGATTTGGTTGACTTTGAGAGCCATATGGTACAGTCAGTCTCTTTAATGTATTTTTTCTTTATCATTTCATTTCACTCCCAAACTGTAATTACATTACAACAACTTACATATTTGGCCATCTCTTATAAACTAATGACATTTGAAATATAAATAATAGGACATAGTTAAAATATAATCACCTTATGTGTTTCCTGCTGTCAAATGCCAACATGGAGTGATTGCTTCTCCTTTGAAATATTAGAGAGATTTGAGCCAAGTGCTAATACCCAATGGGTACTGTACTCCTACAAGTCTATAATGTCAAATGTTCAGAAATTTCCAGATAATTGATTGCATACCTCAGGTTTTTTTCACAGTGCTTAAATGTATCAGTATACTTTTTTAAACAACGTAATTATTCATTTATTTGGTATTAAGCCATTTAGTGTCTGTCTTTCAGGTAATTCCTTTTACACTGCTGATGATTAGTGATAGCAATGAAATCAATTCATGAAATGGTCCTGTTTGTAGCTTGGTATGGTAGAAAGAAGATGGAGATGGAATATCAGGCCCTGGATGTTAATTACAGAACTAACCAAATGATGTGGGGCAAGTTACTTAATTCTCATCTTTCTCTTCTCTAAAAAGAGGGGCTTGATCACCTCTAAGATTTTTTCCAGCCCAAGAAGTCAGAGAAATCCATTGGCTTGTTAAATAGTAAACTCCACAATATCAAGAGGTTCTGAGATTAAAAGCAAGCGGAGTGTCATCTCTATTACAGACACCAAGTTTAAAAATCTAATGCTGTTGTCTTTTAAGGCACCATGGCATTCATCATAACAACTAAAAAGTACAGCAAGGTAGGTTTCCAAAGAGTGAAATTTAATCGAGAGTAGACATTGAACATGATTGCAGCTAGTTCCATCATAACATGTTGGCAGAAAACTTCACTCTTTTTAATTCACATCGGAACCATTTTTGGCTAAAGGGCAACTGGAGCATATTAAAGTAGCAAAGGATAAAGCATTTCTCCAATGTTTCCCTGTACTCATAGGGCAAGTCATGGATCATAAATTAGAAAAAGAATTTGGGAATCAGAAGTCAAGGAGGATGCTACAGGAGGACAGGTCTCAGAGAGCTGGGAAGAATCCAGGGATTTAGCAAGGCCTGAAGGAGCAAGCCAAACAGCTGTATCCAGGCATCTTGATTAAAACAGTTTCCTGTCCTGTTCACAGATTTATCATCATTATTAGGATTCTTTCACAGCTGTAACAAATCCTAGCCTTTCTGATTCAGGCAACTTGAAAGGCCCTATTTTAAGTGGAGAGTGTGCAGGCTTTCAAAAATGGACCTGCCTTCTGTCAGCCGGCTCCATCTTTCACACATATAATACCAGCAGGATTCAAGGAAGCAGAGTTCCTGACTTCCAGAAGGTTTTGGTTTGGAAAAAAAAAAAAAAGAAGTTTATTCTTGAAAACCAAAAAATGCAGAGAGAATAGCATGAAAGACAAAATATATTCTTAGTGCTAGATTGTCAGTCGTTCTTAACCTTTTTGGTTCACACATAGAAGTGAATATTCTAGAATTTCTGACACTGTACTTAAAAGGAATTCATAGGTCAATGCTTTAAAAACAAAGTTTCAGAAAACTGAAAAAGGAATCCTCCACAGCTCTCTTACTGTTCTGGCGTTCACTCTCTGTGCTGTTGAACCTGGCTGCTGGCGCTCCGGCAGGTACCTGTGAGGCCACCTTTTTGGCTGTTCCTGTAGGTGCCCTTTTTCTTTGACTTCAGCTCATTGTCACTCTTGGATTTTTTTTTTTAACATGAGTTGCAACAAGATCATATTTGTGCTGGTTACTCCAAATGATGGATTTCCCTCCGTGATTCCCCCAGCCAATAGCGCCGTAAGTAATTTATCTCAGTTAAAGCAAAGATAAATGTTATGCTTTGATCAAAATTTAGGGGCCCACCATGAAAAATTGAAAAACAAAAATATGCTTTGACACACTAGTTGACAACCACTTGTTAAAGTAGTACCAGAGATAATCTTTATGCTTACAGGATGCATGAAAACAAAATATTAAAACTGTATGTTCATAAAACATAATGTTTACATATCATAAAACTCTAAAATTATCTTTAATTCCTCAAGAAACCATGGAGACTTTCTATACCATCCTGTACAACTATCAGTCAAGGCCATAGCAGAAATCACTTGAGTGTTAACTGTTGAGTTATTTGAGTTATACAGATGGATTTTTCCACTAACTCTGGTGTAGAATGTGCCACAGATGAGAAAGGATCCTAGGTACGAAGGAAATAGAGGCATCATGGGAAACTTTACGTGAGTTTTATTTCTTTTCTGTACCACAGTTTTCCCATCTGCAAAATGAAATTAACGGCAGTATTTTATTGGTAGAATTTATAATGAGGATTAAATGATAAAAATTGTGTAAAGCACCACCTAGACTTCCTGGATGAGAAGTGTTCAGAAACATTAGTTGCTGTTGTTGCTGCTGAAAACCTCACTCCGGTGGCGTAGACCCTGCCGGAGGAGCTCACACTGTCTATAAACTCCAACACTTCTGAAACTCATTAACTTGTGTTCCTTGGGGTTTCTCAGACAGGTATGGAAGTTGGTGGCATTGTTTGTAAGCTCACACCAGCGCAGACACAAACTTGTTAAGGTTATCATCTTGGAACTGTGGTCAGAACCTTCCCGGGGATGGTGTCACTTCAGGGATATCTGACCTGAAGGTGCTAGCAGACTTCCTGATCACGTGTTCCCCCACATCGGGCTGTGAGTACCTCCAGTCACCAATGAGTCCCAAAACAAAAGCCAGAGCATTGTTTATAGTTGGCTCCAGTAAAATATGCATCTCACCTGGGATTGCCCTCTATCCTGTTTCCAGCAATGCACTTAGATGAATTCATCACATTAATAAACTGACACCCTAGGCCCCAAGAGATGCCAGATGAAGAAGTCTCTACCCAAGATGCCTGTAGATTTGTGTGTGTAGGTCACACCATTTGGTTACAGAATCGGAAAGAACAGGAGATTTTTTTCACAGAAAGAGATGATGGGAGGACGCCAGCAACACTCATCACCTGGTTCTTAGCTATGCTTCCCCCACACTTGCTCCTGGAGGTGTTCACAAATCTGGAGGAATCATAGGCGAGTCTCTCCTCCTATGAAACTCTGTGCCTCTAGTGATCTTTTTCATTTTCTCTAAAATTACCAGAAATAGTATTATGATCATTATCTGTTAAGCAGGAGTCAAATTACCTTTGTTGTGGATTTCTGGGTTGAGTTTTAGTCTTTTAACTAAATTATAGACCATAATTTTTGTATGTGTCACCAAATTTTAAGAATTGTTTCTAAAATTCTACAGGGCAATCTGGATTTTATTGAATACAGTTTCATTAACATGTATCCCATAAAAGGGGAGAGGAATTCATTTCCAATTTGGAGGTATGCACTGTCTGTATTGGTTACCATTGTTAGCACTGGTTTGAGGTTAGTAAAAGATAAATTGCCACAGTGCAAAGAAGTTAAGATGGGTTACTGATTCTCTGCATAATAAGGATTCAGCAAAAGCTCCTCAAATGGCCACTAATACTATTAGGAGTGTTAATGGGTGTTGGAAAATTAAACTAATTAAAGTCATTTTTGAAGCAATGTTAGTCTGTTTCATCAGGTGATAATAAAAGTGTAAAAGAGACATTATCATTTCCATTTATACTTTTAGTAGTAATTTGATAAGAAGCAATTATCCTTTAATTGGTATTACCTCTTGTAGTTTTCAGGGCATTTGTAAATATATTTGAAATGAATAACAACACTGTTGGGGAGAGGTGGGGAGTTGGACATTTGGATTTCCATTTCACGGCTAAGGAAACTGAGGTTCAGAAAGTTTAAGTAAATTATTTAAAAGTGTGTGATCAGTAAATGACAGAATGGGGATGTGTTAAATGAATGACTGATTCAAATACCTCTCTACACATCTATTCTACAACACATCAGTTCTGCTGAATTCCGGAAACCACTGGAGTGCTAGCATGCCTACCTAAACACTTAAATCATTGGCTAGGTGAAAACTGCCACAGAAATGCAAACCTGTTTCACCTTATTTTTAAAGAAATGTGCAGGAATCTGCATCTTTTTAAAATTATTTTTAATATTGTCTGGGCGCAGTGGCTCACGCCTGTAATCCCAGCACTTTGGGAGGCTGAGGCAGGTGGATCACTTGATGTCAGGAGTTCAAGACCAGCCTGGCCAACATGGTGAAAGCCCATCTCTACAAAAAAATTAGCCGGGCATGGTGGTGCACGCCTGTAATCCCAGCTACTTGGGAGGCTGAGACAGGAGAATTGCTTGAACCCAGGAGGCAGAGGCTGCAGTGAGCCGAGATCATGCCATTGCACTCCAGCCTGGGCGACAGAGCGAGACTTCATCTCAAAAAAAAGATTATTTTTAATATTCATCTTTCAGGATATTCTTGAGAAAATGAATGCACATAAGGTCAATGTTGACAAGAAAGCTTCCTGAGATGAATGTTAGAAGTCCTAGTCGTAAATTGTTTTAATGTGTTGGAATATAGGCAGAATGTATCTCTGAAATTCCTATGGAAAAAAAAAACAACTCTTTTAGAGCGAATATTACCTTTATGTATATAGTTGCAAGGTCAAGTTAGATCCTAAAACAAGTGACCTCAATTACATAATTCAACAAAATTAACAAAATCATGAATGATACGAATATGATCACAGTCCTTGTCCCTTATGCTTAGAACATAATAGGGTTTATAAGACATCTGTAAATGATGATATAAGACAGTGAAGTGCTGTAAAAGAAATGCAAATGACAGTGAACTTTGAATAACAGCATCCAATACTATTCTTCGTTTTTATATCATTATTTTTGGATCCAGTGTAGCAATGGCTTTCTGTGCCACTACCAAATGTAGTGACATCAGTAAGACCAAAAGGCTATTTGAGTGTCCTCTCTTTAGAAACCAGGATAAAAGGTGACTAAAATATGTGTTTCTCTTAGGGTTGCATATGGAAATGTAAACCTCCTTGGGGGCTTAGATAACTTTAAGGAACACTACTCATTCTTCAGAAATGTCAAACCCATTAACAGTGCGGTCTGCGGGTTTGCTTCCAAACTCTGGGCTGCTTCAGAGGTCCTTCTGCACTGTGTCTCAGGACAATTACTGCTTTACATTTTAAAAATATTTGAATTACGAAGTCTTTCAAACCCAATTATTATCATTACTTATAATTATTATATAATAATTAAATATAATAATGAAAACCCCAAGTATTATTCTAAATCTTTCAAAAACAGTAATTATGTAATACCTATATGCGTGTGCCACTACACCTGGCTAGTTTTTGTATTTTTAGTGGAGACAGGGTTTCACTACGTTGGCCAGGCTGGTCTCAAACTCCTGACCTCAGGTAATCTGCCTGGCTTGGCCTCCCAGAGTGCTGGGACTACAGATGTGAGCCACTGTGCCAGTCCCACTATATGCTAATTTAATATTGTAGTTATGTAATACTCATACTAATTTTTACATTTATTATGTTTTCACTCATACAGAAATAAAATAAAAAGTCAAAACATTCCTACTTTCTCCTCTAGTTCCACTTCTAGTAATAACATCCACCAATAGTTTAGTGTGTATCTTTCCATTTTTTTACTATTTTTATTTAAGCATAAATATTTATCTTATTAAAGATACTGATACTTAATATATAATGAATATTACAAAATCTGTAAAACATGTAATTTTTAACCAAATTAGAATCATGGTCTGTCATATTCTTTTTATTTTGTTTATTATAATTTTCAGTAAATAATAATTGAAAGTCCTTAGTTTGCTGGCTTACATTAATACAGCCATCACTCTTGATATTTCGATGTTGTAGGCAAATACTTGTCTTGTTTAGTGTGACAAGCTGGCAGGTAAATGCAAATGATGTGACATTTTCTGCAGGAAATTGTTATTGTCATTTACCAACATGCCAGTAAAAGTTGATCAAGTCTGTAATTGAATCCTCCTGGATCATTTTTTAAAGGTTGGATTATTAGGGGAAAACATTAGGATTTATAGCTCAACAATCAAGTTATCAAATAACTCTACTATTTAACTGAGGCCATATATGTAGAAGCAAGAATGTATTTTCAAGCAAACAGCTTCTAGGTGCAGGAGAACCCACACAGAAAAACTTATACTTTGCAGGAGAAAGAAAGGACTTCAGGTACATTTTCTACACAGGTATTCCCCCATTATAAACTTGTAACAATAGCTGTAAATATTTAATTATTTTACCAGGCTTAAGGGAAATATTTGTTGAAGAAACAACATTCATAAGACTTGGTTCAAAAGCTTTTCTAGTACTTAGCAGTTAGGCCATGTCAGATAAAACACATAACAAAGTACATTAATAATCATTCAGTGGATGTTAACTGAGCACCTACCACCACCTGTGCTTGGCTCTACTGGGAATTAAAATAAGAACAAGACACAGTTTGCTTGAGGACTTCACAGTTCTGTAGATGCATTCACTGTTATTTGTCAGTGGTACTTATGAAAGTGGATGCTGTTATGGAGAGATGAAACTTGGGCATAACAAAGAACTCACAACCAGTAAGTGATGAAGCTGGAACTGGAAGCAGGATCTCACCTCAGAGCCTACTATAGGAAGAACAGAAAGGATTAAAAAGGCGTGAGCTGCAGAAGTTCTACCATGACCCCATCCTGTGTCCCTGAAGAAAGTGCTCATACATCTTGTGACGTTTTCTTGCTGAGTTCAGATATAGCCTCATATTCCACTTCCCGACAATACTCACTTACTTGTTGGTGTTGGGATCCCCCTTGCCACCTGTTTGCCAGTCCTGTCCAATGCTCTTTCCACTATGCCTCACTGCTTCTAAAGAAAACAATAGTTTATGTCAGAGTGGTGAATATTTACTGGGCACTTACTCTGTTCTAGGCACGGGGAGGTAAAGGTGGTTAGGATATAGACACTGTCTAGAAAGAGAGACGCACAAATAGGTCATTATAATATATCATGGAAGATGCTAAGATGGAACAACACACAGCACAAAAAGAGGCTGTAACCTGGCCTGGATCTCAAAGAAAACTTCCTGGAAGAGAGGATGATGGAAAGAGAAGAAACAGTAAGAATTAACCAGGACAAAGGTGGGAAGTGTTTCCCAGCTGAAGAGACCAGCACAGGATGAGAGTGAAGGGTGGGGCTAGACTCCTTCCTCTTGAGTTACGTTAAAGAGCTTGGCATTTGTTTGCTGATGCTTGTGAGAAGCCATTTAAAGATTTTATTAAAGAAGTGAGATATCAGATGTAGATTTTAGAGAGATTACTCTGGCTTCCGTACAGTGAATGCATTTATGAGGACAGGATGGAAACCAGGAATACCAATTAGGAATCTATCAGACTGATAATTTTCCAACTTTTTTTATACCAGCAAGAGCTTTTTATTTTTTATTATATATATATAATATATATAATGTATATATAATATATAATATATATATGTATATATAATATATAATATATATAATGTATATATAATATATATATATATATAAAATATATATATATGAGATGGAGTCTTGCTCTTTCGCCCAGGCTGGAGTGCAGTGGCGCGATCTCGACTCACTGCAACCTCTACCTCCTGGGTTCAAGTGATTCTCCTGCCTCTGCCTCCCGAGTAGCTGGGATTACAGGTGCCCACCACCATTCCCAGCTAATTTTTTTGTATTTTTAGTAGAGACAGGACTTCACCATGTTGGTCAGGCTGGTCTGGAACTCCTGACCTCAGGCAATCCACATGCCCCAGCCTCCCAAAGTGCTGGGATTACAGGCGTGAGCCACCACGCCCGGCCACAAGAGCTTTTTATTAAAAACAAATCTTACACTGAAATTTAATAAATACGGGAGATGGAAAAAGAGGATTCCTAAAGCTTCTTAGAAGAAGTTTGAAAACCATTGATCTAGATGAAGGTGACTGGAGAATGGAGTGGCAGCACTGACCTAGCATGGTGAAATCAGTGGAAAGATTTGGGATGTAGGTAGAAAGGAAAATCAGATGTAGATGCTTGGTTGGATGCCAGTCACTGAGAAAGAAAGTCATTTATAACATGATACAAATACTTATTGATACCACCATACCAAACATGGATGAAGCCCTGCACTGAGGGCTCTGTGTATTATTTAATTCTTATAATAACCTAATGAGAGATATGCTGTTATGAAACCCATTTTACAGATGAGGTAACAGTTTTGTGCTTAGGAAGTTAAAAACAAAAGTGAGCTAAGACTAACAACTAGATCTGTCTGTCTATATTGTCCAAGAAGAGCATATTGGTAATAAAGGAAAAGAATCATGAGATAACCCAAGTTTTAAGGGGTGAATAGAGGAAGAGACCCCTGAAAAGAAGGAACAATCAGAACCAGGATAGAGTGGTGTGTCATGGAAGCCAGGAGAATAGAGCGTTCCAGGGAGTGTCTCAGAGAGAGTTCTGGGGAGTGTCATCTCAACAGTGATGTTATAAGAGAAAGACTAAAACATAGCCATAGAATTTGTCACTATGGACATTATTGGCAACTTGGTGAAGGTAGTTTGAATAGAGTGCTGAGGCTGGGAGTCAGGCAGTGGTGGACGGAGGAATGAGAAGGAATTGAGGCTTTGAGGCTGGCAGTATGGAGGGCTCTTTCACTGCATTTACCTGAGAAGGTAAGGGAAGAGAGAGAGCAATAGTTGAGGGAGACAGAGCCCAAGGGGTTATTTTTGGATAGGAGAGGCTTCGGTATATTTATATGTGAGAGGACAACGCCGCTGGAGAAGGAGCACATGGGAAAACCTGCTGGAGTCACAGCTGGTGGAGATGGCATAGGGACCTACTGAGGCTGGGGTGGGACTGCCTTTGATAGAATAAAGGACACTTGTGCTTTGCAACTGGCAGGAAGCAAGTAAGGACACATGCAGAAGGTGGTTGATTTGTTTGATGGGCCTTGAGGAAGCTCCTCAAGTCCATGTCCCTGGTTACTTAGCACACTAGGAGGTGGAATCCTATGCCCAGAGTGATGAGATGGGGCTAGCTAGTGGCCTTGAAGAGATGAGTGAAGATCTGGAACAGTTGCTGTGAGATGAGGGGAAAGGAGCTAACCAAAAGCAAGAATAAGGATTTGTGAGCAGCACTGAGGACCCAGCTGAGAGCAGGGACCCTGAATACTTGGATTCCTTCTCTGAGGAGCTCATGACCTTAAGAAAGTTACATCAAACTCTTCCCAGCATCCTGGGCTCCTTTTTCTGTGGGGGATGATTTTGCTATAATAATATCAGGTGCCAATAAACAGGTGGCATTCTCTGGTTTGCTTTTTCCTTCTAAATTTAATTAGAAATACATAAAGGATACCTGACACACACCGTGTCCGCCTCTTGACATTAGATGCTTGGTCATATCCTGCATTGGAAACATATGATGAGTTCTACCAAAGGGCTCTTAGATTTAAGCAAAATTTAAAGAGTCACAGGGCAACTAGTATGCAGATAATTTAATTCAGTTACCTACAGCAGCATTTTCCACACTGTGTGCCAAAAATATGTATGTCTTGTGAAATTTTTGATAGGTGTTCCTTGAGAAAAGTTTTCCTAGGTCAAATAAAACATCACTGCATTCACTACTCTCCTCTTAGAAACTCGTTACATATTAGCTTATAAAAGGCTCTGAGAAGCCCTTCAATATTGTCACTTCTTTAACTTTGTGTAATCCAGTAGAACACAGTTAGGAAACAAATGGTTTTGTATCTTGCCATAGTGCACTGAAAGCACCTGACCACATCAGTGGCCAACGTTCTGAATCTGATGGGGCCTTCAGTCTGATAGACCATCACTGGAGAATGCTGGCCATAAAGCCTTAAGTTCCTAGCATGGATGGAGGTGTTAGCATCCCAGACTTCTGGTTTTGGCTGGGCATGGTGGCTCACACCTGTAATCCCAGCATTTTGTGAGGCCAAGACAGGAGGTCACTTGAACTTGGGAATTTGAGACCAGCCTGGACAACATAATAAGGATCATCTCTACAAATTAAAAAATTAGCCGGGCATGGAGATGCATGCCTGTGATCCCAGCGACTGGGGAGGCTGAGGCGGAGGATCCCTTGAGCCCAGGAGATTGAGGCTGCAGTCAGTGGTGATTGACGACTGCCGTCCAGCCTAGGTGACAGAGCAAGACCTTGTCTCAGAAAAACAAAACTTCTGGCTGAATGGTTTGGATTAAGTCAGCCTTGCGTTTTTTCCCTGAGGCTCTTCCATGCTACCAAGGAGTGAATGGAATTCCCTAGTCACTTAATCTGAGAAGTTACTTCCAACAGGCACCACTGTGAAATAATACAGTGGCTGTATGAGGGACTTGCAGGAACTCTTAACTCAGTGTACCTTCCAGATTACTGAAGAGCTGAAAGAGGTCACTATGATGGTCTCACAACCCACTGTGCTGGAGACATGACCCCTGAAGTGAGAAAATATACAACAGGAAGTGACTTGAAGAAAATTCAGTTACCTACAGCAGGATTTCCCACACTATGTGCTGAAAATATGTATGTTTTATAAAGCTTCATACACCTGTAAACACGTAAGCTACATCCTAAAAGTGTTTTGTACATCATAAGCATGTGTGCTATGCCCGAAACAAATATGCTAGGTCTATTATCAGCATGAAGCTCTGTTAGCGTGCCTTTCACAAAGTGATTTCAGAGGGTTAAGGTTCATTAAGATCTTGATTTCTAATTTGTCATGGAGAACTATTATAAATTCTTTTCTGGCCTGTACTTATTTTATCTTAAACTTGGATGCTGACATAGTTTACAGCCTATTTAGGTTTGTTAAGTATTACATTTCACTAATCATTAATAATATGAAGATCAGTATTATTTTTAGTGAATGGAAGCCCATTAGTGTGATCTATAACTTGTGGCTAATAGGTACCTGCTAAGAGATGTGTAGTCATGTCATTGTGCAAGGATACCCAAATGTCATCATTTTGTTTTGATTTGCAAGCAGTGATGCATTGTCTGTGAATGCTCCAGCTTTTCTTACACCACAGCTACCTCATTTGCCAAATATGGGAATGATCCTTTGTTCGTGTTAATTGAAAATGACATCCTTATTCATCATATGCAATTTTTTTAGTCATTAAAATTCTGTCCAAAGCCTATCCAACTAAGGGGAACGGCTGACTAATACCCGGGGCTTGTTAATCTATTGTTATCAGCTTTCTGTTTTATCCTCCTGACATGAACAGAAACAGGGACTATGATGTCCAAACTTTGCCTTGAATTCTGTACCCAAAATGTAATGCTGGAGCAGTTATACTCATGATCTAGAAAAATTTTTGGCCTAAGTTATCCAGAAAATGTCTGGTGTCTTTCATTTCACTTGGAGGTTCAAAAACTTACGTCTGATTATATTCCCATTGGAAATATAAATTCCTATGATGAATTTCCCTTCACATTGTTACCTATCCCTTCGTAAGCATACAAAGCATAATAGTGCAATTGATTGAGATAGTGAGCTGAAATGAACTTTTGAAAGAAAAAGAAAAACCTTTAAAAATAAGCCTGAGTCTAAATTACACTGCTAATCATCACCTGAATTAAGATATAGCCATAGGCTGTATCTGCTTAACGTCTTATTCCTTCTTTGTGACCTTCTGAGAAGTAGTAAAATAAATGGCATTAAAATAATTTATATTCGCTGCCAAAAATGTGTTTTTTTAATATAATAAAGGTTTCCATCCCTTTGATTAAATTTTTGTTTATATTTGACACTTTCTTGAGGTACATAAATTCGCATGACAGTGAAAGTCCACACACTCACAGGACCCAGGGCCAGGTTGAGTTGAATTTGGACACATGACATAAATAAAAGTGGTTTTATGTTTCACCTTCATCTGGTAGGTGAGCACTCCACCTTTTCTTGTGAAACATAATCGGTTGTGACATGGCAAAATTAGATCCTGGCTATTTATTATCTTCTGAAATCAAACCCCATAACTGGGAAGGCATGTGGTAGGTCTGCTGGGGCAGCTTGCATGCAGAGAGGAAAGGGGGGTGGGTTTCCAGTTTTATAAGCTCAAGGTGATTTTCTCCAACATCTCGAACATTTTAATTAATTACCCTGAAAGATTGAGTAAATTATTATTTGAATACTTTATGGCATTACATGTTAACATTTCAAGGACAAAGTGCTGTACTTTGCTTTTCAACAATGCTTCATCTGTCAGAATATATCTTTGAAATTTATGTAGTTTGCTACAGAGTAAAGGGGGGGACAGACCTGGAGTCCTATGAATTATTAGGAGACACCAGAGTCAAATGTGATCTATTCCACAATAAAAGGAATATTTATTGGTATCTGATTTCAAGTTAGGTATTAAAAAATTAACAGTGAAATTGATTAGCTATATTTTTCTCCAAACATGTGAAACAAAATTGGCTTTCTTTGATGAAGTTTGTCTGATTTTTTTTTAACCTTCGGCAAAGCTGAAAGGCTAAGCAAATGCCTTTAAATCAGAAGGCAAAATTCATGAAAACGGTTTTGGGCATGCCAGCTTCTCCCTGGGTGCCATGCTTCACAAAGTATGTTGTAAGATATGTGCTCGACTGTTGATGCTTTTAGAGAAAAGGTCTTTCAGTTTAGATATAGAAATCTTTAAAAATATATATTTCATTTTCAAAGCATTCTTCAGCCTGCAGAAAGCCTGGCTTGCTGAGTTTGACAAAGTCTGTTTAAATGTAGAAGTGCATAATATGTCATAGGCTGTTTAGTTGATCTTTGTAACCAATAACAAGCTTCTCTCTGCAGATATAATCTTTCTTTCTCCATAAGGGCACTGAACCTTTTACTAACTTCATCCTACCATCAGTAGATTAGATTAAATCCCCATTTACTGCATCATATTAATATTTTCAATGGTGCACTAATCCAAGAAATAAATGTGTCAGTTTCTATGGCTACACTGTAATGGGCATAGCCATCAGAGAGTGCCTTAAGGCCACATAAAAGACTTAATGTACAGATTGAATAGAAGCACATTATTTATTACGAAGCTATCAAGCCGAGAAATTTAGCAATCTCATTTTTTAGATTTGCTCATTTGACCTGGGCCAATTTGCCTGACTGATAATATTGAATATTTAGTATCACAATGTTTTTGCAGTTTTAAGGATAAAGTGTTTCAGACTAATTTGATTCAGAGCAGTTTATTGAATTGAATGATTTTACGTCCCTGGAATCTTTATTAACTTCTTTTTTAATCTTAGTGACTTAAAATTTAAGTGGGACTAAGGAATAGTCTACTTTATATACTGATGATGGGAGTCTATTTAGCAAAAACAATGACAGAGAGAAATGGAAGCAAACTTATTAGGCCGGATTCTGTCTTCTGGACATGGACTGCTGGGAAGAGGGTAAAAATGGGTATGGAGTTGGGGAGTGGAATAATGTGCTCCTCATGTCTCTTCACACCCCAAGAGTCAAATAAGGTTTAATATTCTGTGGGCTTTAGTCCGGGTATGGTGGCTCACACCTGTAATCCCAGCCCTTTGGGAGGCCGAGGTAGGTGGATCACTTGAGGTCTGGAGTATGAGACCAGCCTCAACAATATGGTGAAACTCCATCTCTACTAAAAACACAAAATTAGCTGGACATGGTGGCGCACACCCGTAGTCCCAGCTACTTGGGAGGCTGAGGCAGGAGAATCACTTGAACCCCACAGGCGGAGGTTGCAGTGAGCTGAGATTGTGCCATTGCACCCCAGCCTGGACAACAAGAATGAAACTCTGTCTCAAAAAAAAAAAAAAAAAAAAAAAGAAAAGAAAAGAAAAAGAAAAAGAAAAAAAGTACTCTATGGGTTTTGTTGGAATGGTTTGATTCACCCTGAAATTTGTAATGGGAGAACCAGAGGAACAAAAGTTTGTAAAGAAAAATTTCTCTCATTCTCTTTCTCGTAAGTCTCTCCTACCTCCTTTCCTTTGGACAATAATAATAAAAATGCTAGGATCATTTGATTAAATAAGAGTCACTCAGTCAACACAAAGCCTGCTGTCTTCCTCCAGTATATTTGCATTTGAACCAAAAATAAAATTGAAAATTTCAATTTTAGGCTGGGCACAGTGGCTCACGCCTGTAATGCCAGAACAATGGAAGGCCAAGGCAGGAGGATTGTTTAAGCCCAGGAGTTTGAGACCAGCCTGGGCAACAGAGGGAGACTCTGTCTGTACAAAAATCAATAAATTAGCCAAGTGTGGTGGCGCATGCCTGTGGTCCCAGCTACTTGAGAGGCTGAGGCAGGAGGATCACTTGAGCCTGGGAGGTTGGGTCTGTAGTGAGCTGTGCTCGTGCCACTGCACTCCAGCCTGGACAACAGAGTAAGACCCTGTCTTAAAAAGAAAAAATAAAAAAGGAAAAAGAAAATTATGATTTCAGATTGGTGGTTTGGCATCATATAATTTTAAAAAAAGTTTGATTACATTACTTTTCTTAATAGTTAATGTAGATGAACTAATTTAGAAGTTGAATTCAGCCTTCAGTTGCTGGTAGCTAAAAATTGTGGCATTGGAATGTGACTGATTATTTTTCATTCACTGATCTGCACATGAAAGTGAAAGGGATTGCTTTCATTAAAGTTTGGTAGTAAAGTTCCTCTCAGATCAAAGGCTGTTTTGGTAAGTGCTATAGTGTAATATCTAGAGGATACTGAAAATTTTCAGGCAGACCTGCAGGGGCCCATTTCTATCTACTTTTTATATTTCTTTGTTTGGTTTATTCTCTTATTATTTGGCATGATTTAACATTTAAGCAGATGTAGGATCTGGACTTACTACTACAGAATATCCATTGATATATCCATTTCATTTATACTTGGCATTACACTTGGAAAATTGTATTTTAGTTTGGGATTTGGGTAGAGAATGTTTAAAATTTGTGGGTATTTTACTGTATTCTAGAAACCTGTTGAAAGACAAAATGATTTTTTCCAGTATTCCTTTACACTTCCTAAGAGAGCTACTAATAACTGTGTAAACTGCACCATTGCCAAAAGCTGACATTTCTAGAATTTCACATGTCAGTAAAACAGTGTAAAACACTATAAGGAGCAGTGGGAAGACAGGAGAGAATTAGCAGAGCATTTTAGTGGCTTTAAAGGAGTCCTCCCAATCTATTGAAGTCTTAAACTTTATGTTCTGGAAAATTCTATTTCTAGTAAGTAAAAATAACCCTCATGACAAAATTTCATCAGTGTTAATGCTAATGAGAAGTAAAAGATATCGAGAATGCATAGAAAGTTATTACCTACGAATTATTAGTAGTTTAAAATAACATGATATTTGCATGGATAGGTGTATTTTTATTTTACCAGAGAGTGTTATCTGTCTCTCACTTAAAAACTGACTAATATAGACTTTTGTGGCTATTTTCCAGTACAATATTAATACAATCATTCCCTTATTTTTCTAAAAAGTAAATAGAGGATCTTTGTTTTTAAAGAGTCATATATCGTTATCTTTTTCTTTATCTCTGTAGCATTTGGTTTATAGTTTGATAATAAAGATGTAATATTTTAAGTCCTCTTTCATAATTCAAGTAAAAAATACCTGAAAGCTTTATTTTAAAATAAGTATATACTTTTTATAAACCCAGTGAATGGAATAAGTATTTTAGTAAGAACATTCTGCGGTGCGGTCATACAGAAAGGTACTTAAACCTATGGGTAAAGAAATGTTTCCTCTCATAACATTTCTTTATAACCTGAGCATTAAAAGGATTATATGTATTGTGATACCTAAAACATTGAGTATAGCATTGTGATAAAAATTAACACTCATAGAGCAACAAGTCAACAAGTGTCTTTTGCCCTAACAGTATTTTTAACTTAAAGTTAAAAATGTGAGGGTTTTTCTACTCTGTCACTGAGGCTTGTTCCTGAATTTAGGAAGAATAAATGCAGATATTCTTCCAGCAAAAATTGTGAAAGGAAATTTCTACAGCATTTTAGCCTCTTGGTTCCTAAAAGAGTGAGTTATCGTTTCTCTCTCCCGTGGTCATTAATAATGACAGATGTACATGGTGCAGAGTTCACCTACATTATTGTCAGTAGCAGGGCTGGCAAGAGAATATTTATTACAGGAGGAGGAGGGACAGAGAGACATGATGTTGAAACAGAAGACAAGAGCAGGGTTCAATTGTTTTTTTCTGTTGAAATAAAATATAATCATTCTCCAAGCTTTCTCAATAGCATTTATTTCAAAGCACTCTTATTATAAATATATTTCATCTCCATAAATGCTCCTTGTGGTGTTGATTTTAAAATTGAAATGATGAGGCACTCATTTTTATTTTATTTTTCCAATAAACCTAATAACCAAATATATTTGAATAACTCTTAAAATATTATTTGATTGTTGATAGGAGGACCCTTTGATTGTTAAGGTCTTTTCCCATCATGATATACAGAACTAAAGGTATTTAAAATTGATGCAGCTAGCATTTGAATCGTGATTTGAAATTTTGCTTAAATAAATATTATAATAAAAAGTAGGTTCCAAGATGAAAAATTTACAAAGTGCATTTATGCAGCCTCTTCTGGACTCTCTCCTTCCACTTTCTCTTTTTTCCTCTGCCCTTCCTCCCTTTCTAATTTTAGCCTATTAAGACAACTCTTCTTGGGATTCCTTTCCTGGGTTAGTCTGTTGATTGTCCCTTATGGTACAAAGGAGAGCCTGTATTTGGAGTTGTGTTTTCTGTGCCTACTCACACTCCCTCACGACAGAAATCCAGACACAGCCTCTTCAGTGGGAATACCTGACTGACTGTGAATTCTTTAAAACAAACAAACAAAAAACAACGATGAAGGGGTTGGGGTAGGGAGAAATGAAATTGGATAAATATACGGTGCTTCTCTAATTTCAGATTAAGGAAAGGATGAGGGACATAGCTTCCTGTGTGATTTATACAGAAATCACACAGATTCCCAAGGGTAGAGGTACGCAAATGAGGATATATTAAAAGAAAACTTAAAAGCCATTTTATCACTTAGCTGACAAAAATCATACAACTTCTCAATGGTATTCTTCAGAATGATTGTAGTTGTAACAAAGATACAGTCTAGGGTATGGTACATGGGGGTCCCTCATAAATATTAGGTTCCTTTTCCCTTAAGGCAAAGTCCATATCTTGTTTATTTTCCTACCCCCTCATCAACCAGCATTATGCCCACACCTAGAAGGCATTTCGTAAATATGTTTTTGATGTACATACGTAGAGATGTAAAGGACATATGGGCATTGATTAATTAAAATTCATATCCATAAATATATGTTAAGATCACTTCTAGCTGCACAGTCATACTGTTTGCAAGCAAACTACTAGTTTGGCCTAAGTGAATTTCGCAGTGCAATTTGATGCGAGGAAACTACCCATCTCATGGCCTCAAGGCCAAGGCCTCATGGAAAACTTGGCTTTCAATGTCCAGACTGACCCATTGAAGAATGATGCTTTCAACTCCCCAATTCTCCGTGGAAGATTTTTTTTAAAAGCAAACTTTAAGGCATTAGTGGTCCTCTAATTAGAAAAATAAATGAAATATAAGCCTTTTCCAAATTAAAACTAAACCAGACAAATAAAGAGTATTAGGAAATAAAATTGAACTACAATGCAAAGATCACTACTTATGGATCTACCCAAATGGCATTAACAAGAGCAGGGCAAGATCAACACAACTAAAATGATATCTCTGTTTCAAAAAGCTGTTCTCAGATAGAATGAAATAAATCACTGCTTTAGTTGACAAATATTCAACTAAATTTTTTATTATTTTTCCCCTTTATAAGTACTTAACGATCCATTTTAAGTTGTGGGAAAATGAAGAAATATATATTCACAATTTTGGTAATGGTATAGTCTTACAGTAGCTAGGGAAGTCTGCCGTGCAGTATTCGATTTTTTTTCAATCAAGTCCCATTGTCAGTTATCTATGGCTTTTAAAACAGGATGGAGTTACCTGTTATTCCTTTGCCTCAATTTTATCCACCGCCTCACCATCTCTTTGAACTTGATGCCAAAGGAGGCTAGTGCTTCATCCTGCCTGACAAGTTCCAGTTATTAGAGCTTTCCCAAGTAACATGATCAATACCTTCAGAGGTGTTTTATTCTACTTTTCTTAGACATCATGTAAAGACACTTTTTCAAGTGCTACTTTTCAGAGATGCTGAATGATGCTCTGAGCATGCAATCACAATGTGAAACTTAAAGCTACCATTGACTTCCTCTTCTTTTGCACTGTAACAAACTTAAAAAACCTTAAGCAAATAAGGGTGTATTGCTCAGGGAGTTGCAAGAATCTTGTGTAGAAGCCATACCTACATTTTTGCCATCTCTCAACTCATTTATGCTGCAATCCCGAATTAACTTGAAAACTCCCTTTATACACAGAATCAAATTCCTCTCATTTTAACACCTTCCCTGGCCCGGCACAGCAGCTGACTCCTGTAATCCCAGCACTTTGGGAGGCTGAGGCAGGCAGATCACTTGAGGTCAGGAGTTTGAGACCACCCTGGCCAACATGGAGAAACCCTGTTTCTACTAAAAATACAAAAATTAGCTGGGCGTGGTGGTACTCACTTGTAGTCCCAGCTACTCAGGAGGCTGAGGCAGGAGAATCACTTGAACCCAGGAGGCAGACACTGCAGTAAGCCTAGATAGCACCACTGCACTCCAGCCTGGGCGACAGAGTGAGACTCTGTCTTCAAAACAAAACAAAACAACAACAAAAACAAAACCTTCCCTATACACTGTCAGATACAACATCTAAAATTTATAACTTCCACCAACACACAGGTGAACACCGACCAGTAGGTAGAGGCTTGTATTAGGCTGTTCTTGCATTGTTGTAAAGAAATACCTGAGACTGGGTAATTTATAAGAAAAGAGGTTTAATTGGCCCAGTTCTGCAGGCTGTACAGGAAGCCTGGTAGGGACCTCAGGAAGCTTACAATCATGGTGGAGGGCAAAATGGTAGCAGGCACATCACATGTTGAAAACAGGAACAAGAGGGTCGGGGGGAAGGTGCCACAGACTTAAATGACCGGATCTTGTGAGAACTCACTGTCATGACAACAGCACCAAGCCATGAGGGAATCTGCCCCCATGATCCAAACACCTCCCGCCAGGTCCCACCTCCAGCATTGGAGATTACAATTCAACATAAGATTTGGGTGAGGACAAATATTCAAACTACATCATTCTGCTCTAGGACTTTCCCAAATCTCATGTCCTTCTTGCATTGCAAAATACAATCATGCCTTCCTAACCGTCCCCAAAAGTCTTAACTCATTCCAGCATTAACTCTAAAGTCTAAAGTCCAAAATCCCATCGAGACAAGGGGAGTACCTTTACCTATGAGCCTGTAAAATATAGAACAAGGTAGTTACTTCCAAGACACAATGGGGCACAGACATTGGGTAAATATTCCCATTCCAAAAGGGAGAAATTGACAAAAGAAAGGGGCTGTGGCTGGGTGCAGTGGCTCACGCCTGTAATCCTAGCACTTTAGGAGGCTAAGGCAGGTGGATCACGAGGTCAGGAGTTTGAGACCAGCCTGACCAACATGGTGAAACCCTGTGTCTACTAAAAATACAAAAATCAGCCAGGCATGGTGGTGCATCCCTATAATCCCAGCTACTCAGGAGGCTGAGGCAGGAAAATCACTTGAACCCAGGAGGCGGAGGTTGCAGTGAGCCAAGATCACACCACTGCACTCCAGCCTGGGCGACAGAGGGAGACTCCATCTCAAAAAAAAAAAAAAAGAAAAGAAAACAGAAAGGGGCTACAGGCCCCATGCACGTGATGTTAATTAAGCCTTTGGTGGGTTCCAAGGCCTTGGGCAGCTCCACTCCTGTGGCTTTGCAGGGCTAAGCCCCTGAGGCTGCTCTCACAGGTTGTTGAGTGCCTGTGGCTTTTCCAGGCTCAGAGTGTGAGCTACCAATGGATCTACCATCCTTGGGTCTGGAGGATGCTGGCTTTCTTCTCACAGCTGGGACTGTGTGTGGGGCTTCTAACCCCACATTTCCCCTTCTCACTGACCTAGTAGAGATTGTCTGTTGGGGCTTCACCCCTACAGCAGTGTTCCTGCCTGAGCATCCTGGCTTTTCCATTCATCCTCGGAAATCTAGGTGGAGGGTACCAAGCCTCATTCACTCTTGCACTCTGTGCACCCACAGGCTTAACACCACATGAAAGGTGCCAAGACTTACAGTTTGCATCCTCTGAAGCAGTGGCCTGAGCTGTACCTGAGGTTTCCTGAGCTGAGGCTGGAGTCTGGAGTGGCCTGCATGTGAAGAGCAGTGTCCCAAGGCGTTAAAGGCCAGCAGAAACCTAGGCCATGCCCATGAAATCATTCTTCCATCCTAGGCTTCTGGGCCTGTGATGGGAGGGGCTGCTGGGAAGGTCCTGAAATGCCTCTGAGGCCTTTTTCCCATTGTCTTGGATGTTAGCACTTAGATCCCTTTTGTTTTGCCAATTTTGCTATATTTGCATAACTAAAATTTTTTAATTCCTCTCCCAAAAAGGTTTTTCTTTCTCTGCTCCATGGCCAGCCTGCAAATTTTGCAAACTTTTATGCTCTGCTTTCCTTTTAAATATAAGTTCCAACTTTAAGTCATTCCTTTGCACCCACATCTGAGCTTAGGTTGTTAGAAGCAGCCAAGTTACTTCCTCTTAAACACTTTGCTGCTTAGAAATTTCTTCCACCAGATACCCTAAATCATCACTCTTAAGTGCAAACTTCCATAGATCCCTAGGGGATGAACAAAATACAGCCAAGCTCTTTGCTAGCTAACGCATACCACATGGGACCTTTGCTGTAGTTCCCAATTATGTTCCTCATTTCCATCTGAGACCTCAGTAGCCTAGACTTCATTGTCTCTATCTCCGTCAGCATTTTGGTCACAAACATTTAATCAATCTTTAAGAAGTTATACACTTTTCTTCATCTTCCTGTCTTCTTCTGAGCCCTCCAAACTGTTCCAACCTCTGTCCATTACCGAGTTCCAAAATTGCTTCCACATTCTCAGGTATCTTTATAGCAAAGCCCCACTCCTAGGTACCAATTTTCTGTGTTAGGCTGTTCTTGCATTGCTATAAAGAAATACCTGAGACTGAGTAATTTATAAAGAAAAGAGGTTTAATTGGTTCACGAATATATAGGAAGCATGGTGCTGGCATCTGCTTAGCTTCTTGTAAGGACCTCAGGAAGCTTACAATCATGGTGGAAGCCAAAGAGGGAGCAGGCACCTCACACAGTGAAAGCAGGAGCAAGAGAATGTGGGGGTTGGGGCAAGTGCCACGCCCTTTTAAATGACAAGATCTTGTGATAACTCACTGTCACAAAGACAGCACCAAGCCATGAGGGATCTGCACCTATGACCCAAACCCTCCTACCAGGCCCCACCTCCAGCACTGGGGATTACAATTCATCATGAGATTTAGGTAGGGACAGATACCCAAACTGCCTCGATGCTGTCCCAGGCTCCTGGAGGAAGAGTCTCCCTAGCAGATACTTGCACAGGACTGCAGAGACAGTGACTGCCCAGGTCACTTGGTTCCCATCTCTGCTGTGTTATAAAGTTTCATAAACTGGCCTGTGAGACTCTACTTGTCACCAAGCTTGGGTTGTAGCATAAGTAGAATTAAGCTTTATGACTTTTGGTGACATTACTAATAATTTTCTTAATGTAGCTGTTTGTATGGATAATATTTTTCCTCCATTTCCTTTTTTCTTCATTTTTCCCCTCCAAAGTTGATTCATCTTCTCCCTGTGAACAGCGCACGTATTCCCAACTGCAACCAAGGCCTGCACGAGAAGCAAGTTGCCACTTACTACATTTCACATTTGTCTTACCATGATTAAGGGGCAAAAAGGATTGTTCCATATATAGAGTTGCCAGGCTTTCAATTGCCTCTATTCTTTATAGTCCAATAAATAAATTTTCCTTTTTTAATAGCACATTTTCTACATCATAGCCCTTAGCAAACAAGCATGAATCAATAAGTATCGAACTTCATTCAGTATCAACCATGTAAATAAAATGTCAGTGTTCAGGCTCTTCGTCTGGAAAAGTTTTAGTTTTTCATCAAGGCTATCTGGAACCTTCAGACTCCCACCAGGAGGGGATTGGAGCAGCAGCAGATCTCAGTGCCAGGAGAACACAACAGAAGGGGGCTGCATGTGTAGATGCCTATATTATTCAGGGATCTCTTTAAGAGGGATCTCAGAGACCCAGGGATCACAGCAACGAGACACACATTCCTGGGTACCAAGCATCATGCCTCACCCATTTTAGAAGTGAATGACCTCACTCCTACAGAGACTTTATGATAAAAACTAACCTAAGAAGACACTCTAAACTTAACATGAGCCCTCAAGAACAGGTGATCGATTTTCCTGCATACTTAGAGAAGAAAGGGGAAGCTGGAGTCACAGCATAGGCATTGGGTATCTGAAACAGGGTTAGGAAGTAGTGTGTTCATTGGCAGAATAAAGAGCATGCACTCCTATGGTTATGGACTTTAACTTACAGGGGAAACATTTGTGACTGAGGAAAGGTGGTTATCTGTGCCTGTGGTAGAACTTCCTCAAAGATGTTCATCCCAGAGCAGAGCTGCCTTATGGGGTGTGGGTCAGAGCTCTGCCCTAGCTCTAACACAAGGAGTGCAGGAGCTGGGTTACCCCAGCTTGTTCACTCCGCTGCCTTCAATATTTTCAGTAAAATGAGAAAATGCTACTGGCTTTTTTGGTGGTTGTGAGGTTTCAATTATAATATGCAATAAGATATATAAAATTGCTTTGTAAAGTGCTATACAAATGATACTCTAGTATTGATACTGATTGATTATGTCTTGGTAGTTGATAGACTTGGTTTTTCCTGAATTTAAGAGAGATCATATGGGATACAACTAGAGAACAGTGTAAGGCAAAATATAATTAAATATGAGACTGTTAGGTTGGGTACTAAAAAGGTTTGCCCTATGATCCCTGATGAAGAGAGCATGTTTTTGAATAGAAATATTCTTTTCACTGAAAACATACATGAGATTATTTATTTATAACAACAACTACTGCAAAAAAATTAGCATAAAATTAGGAGCATAAAATTAGCAACATAAAAAATCAGCTGTGTAAAAAATAACCATTATATTAGTCACATTGTATATTTTTATCTCTCTGAGGAATAGAGGAAGATGCCAAAAGTATAGGTGCCGAGTCTGAAATATCAGTTATTTCTTTGGCATTATTATGAATTCTTTTAAAAAAAATTAAGTAGTTATACTTGATTTGACTCCAGATTCACCAGTGTGAAAATTCTCTTTCAGCATATAGGCAAAGCCAGACTTGAGAAGCATCCACCATTCAGACAAAGGCACTCTCACATCTCCTCATTTGGTTTTTCCAATAGTGAGAAGCTCCTTGTATCTCTGGGTAGTTTACCTTCCTTTGCGTCTGAAGGACTGCTGTTTTCACTTCCTCACCAGGCTTTTCTAATCAGTGTCTTGCAGCGTGACTTTCACTTCAACCCTATCTTACCGTCTCAGGGGTATCCACTGAATTCCTCCAGCTAAATCATTTGTATCCTCACTGGATTCTCTTGGATGTGTACTGCGCAGTGGAGGTCCCTCCCCTTGAAAGATTCTTCTAACCTGGTTTACAGCGCCTTCTTCTCTCTGACTTCCTGAGCTCTCCCTTCCCTCCCTCATGTAGGCCCTTCCTGACCCCCTTTTTTTTTTTTTTGAGATGGAGTTTCACTCTTGTTGCCCAGGCTGGAGTGCAATGGCGCGATCTGGGCTCACCGCAACCTCCGCCTCCCGGGTTCAAGCGATTCCCCTGCCTCAGCCTTCTGAGTAGCTGAGATTACAGGCATGCACCACCACGCCTGGCTAATTTTGCATTTTTAGTAGAGACGGGGTTTCTTCATGTTCCTGACCTTTTAATGCTGAGCAGGCCCTTTGACTCCACCTTCCTTGCTTTCTCTCTCCCTTTGCCCTCATCCCTCTAGTAGGCACTATCTCATCAAGGTTTTAGCTATGACTGTGCTGCTGACTACAAAACCAGTATCTTCAGTTTTATATTTACAGATGTAGGGGAGGAAAAATACCTTTTTATTTTGCTCTTCTAGGTTCTCAAGTGGGGCCCCTATAAGAAAAGACAGATTGGCAAGAGAAAAGCTTACAAATATGTTCAAGCTGAGTTTTATATGGCATGGGAGCCTCCATAAAGAAATGAAGACCTCAAGCCACCTCATGTTAGAACAAAAGGTCATGAGCTGCACGGAGGAAGCTTTGCAAAGCCTGCTCACTCGATCTCTTGGCGTCCCTCTGTCTTCAGATAAGGACATTCCTTTCCTCTGGGTATACAGTGGGCACCTCTCATGTGAGGGTCTCATGACCTGCTTTGGGGGAAGGTCAGAGAGTCCCTTCAGCATCTGCTGTTTCTTAGATTCCTCCAGCTTAGACTATTCACTATGTCAAGGCACCATATTTTTGGAGTGACATGTTCTGAACCCCATCACAGATGTTTTCAGGCCGACATTTCCAAAGCCAAATTTATCCACTGTCTCCCTTTCACCATTTTTGTCATTAGGATCTTTGTTCTTCTGATCCTTGAGGGTTAAAAATCTAGGAGTCTCCTTTGAGGGCACCGTTTTCTTCATCATATTAATACATTTTGTCAATTTGTCTTACTGGATTACATCTGCGTTCCCATTTTCACCATTACCATCTCATGGTTGTGTCACTACGAAAGACTTTGTCTGCAGTCCCTGCCTTCAGTTCTGCTTACAGGAACAGACTAGCAGGTAGTCTGCTCTTCCTTAGTGACAATTTAATTTTCCCATTCCTCTAGTGGCTGCCTATTTTCTCTTGCATGGCCTCCACATAATGCCAGCCACCTCTTTCCAAAGGCCTGGAGTCTCATGCTGTCTGAGTGTTGGACATTCTCTTGTCTTTGTCTTTTCCACGCTGCTGTCGCTCCTTTAATGCTCAAGCTATACTCAAATTTTTGGCTTCCTAAGAGGCACAGAGTCAAGGGCCTCATTTTCCTTCTGAACTTATCTTGAGATTCCAATTCACCTTGATTTTTTTCTCTAACTTTAATTTCTGTCTACAACATCCAGAAGCAGTCCACTATATCTTAGTCCTTAATATTGTGCTTTTTTTAACGCAATATTGCATTGCTACCTCATCATTTTTGTGAATAAATAATGTCTCAATAATAAGATTCATCCGTCGGGGGCCAGATATTTTTCAGCTTGATCCATCCGCATATCTTACGAGGTACCTCGTAGATAGATGTTCATTCAGTACTTATTGCTTATAGATGTTCATTCAATCAGTATTGAATGAACCTGTATTGAATGGTAAGAAAGATGCTTCACTCTTCATCTGCTTCTTTTTCTCTGCTCTACAAATATTCAACATTTTGCTGAGAAATGCAAATGTATTTCTCTTATGTAGGAATTACATTTACTAGATAGCTATCAATATGTTTCTTAAGCACCCATTATGTAAGTACTTGAGCAGCACTATTAGCAGGGAACACAAGTTCCTTGCCTCTCTTCAATTGAAGCTTAATAGATATTTGTTCAGAGAACAGATAGACAGCATGTTTGCCGACAGATTTATTGTCGGAGAAGTTAAGAGTTGAGAGGTTAAGTGACTTGCCCAAGGTTACTTATTTTGTGGTCGTGGTACTTATTGCCATGGTTTGAAGTGGAAGATTGAAATTATTATCTGGACAATGCAAGCTTTAAGAAAAGAAAAATATTTAAATACCAAGGACAATGAGGAAATGGGATAATGCTTTATGAACTTTGAAAAGTAATGCTTTGTTTTTCGTAATATCCGCAAGTCACACTGGACCCATGCTATTTAAGTGAAGGGCCTCACAGAAAGTCACAATTTAGGACTATATTTTGGGACCCTCTGGAGGGCAGAGGGGTGAATTGAGTCTATTCTGATATGTCATTTCTAGATGGAACACTTAATATTATTTAAGTCAGGTCTTCCAAATCTGTTGGAGGGAAGGCTCTTGATTTCTATTAAATAGATTTATGAAGACCATGAACAGCCTTCTCTAGCACAAGGATTTGTATTTAATTTTCTGGGATACCATCCAATGATAATGTCTTAAGCACTGAAATTCTGTGATTTAAAACAAAACAAAACAAAAAAACAAGATTAAAAAAAAAGTCTCCTACTATATGTGCTGGCCTGAAAGTAAATTGGACTCTAAATACAAGAAGCATGATCCTCAGACACTCACTAACTGCAAAAGCTCTTTGGTTTCAAGCAACGCATTTCGTGTGGCTTTGCTTGATAAAGTTTTGGATATTTGTTATTGCTGTTGTTTTTATTCATTTTTTGAAGTTTTCCTGGTGGTTTTTATGTCATAGCAAGGGATGTTTAACAAAATGCATAAGTTACAATGGTTATGGAATCTGAACAAATTTCATTAATCCTGGTCCCTGAGATGTTTCTAACTCCTTCTAAGATGATAAACAGAAGCGCAGATAGAGGTTTACATGTTCCCAAGTATCAGTTATAAGTATTGTGTGTTAGTAGTTGAAGCCTTTGTTAAGGAATTCGACTCAGTTTGTCACTGTTTAGGTATAAGAGACCCATTAAAGAGTATGCCTGTGTTGGGGGTGGAGATTGGGCTTTACCTTTCCATTTGAACTTAAATTTTTCAATCATTCAGGAGACAGCAAAAATGTGAGAGAATTATTCACTTGTAAAATTATTTTTAAGTAGCTGCCCTGTCACATATTTGATGTAAATTAGCTTCATTACATTTAGCAAGTGTTAAAAGTACAAGTATTTAAATTCAAGAACAATTTTAAATAATACCAAGCAAAGTATAAGACATTCTGGAAATTTTAATGAAAATGTGAAAAGAAAATGAAATTACAACCGTATCTTATATGCTGTCAATAATAGGTTTTTGTTTTACTTAAAAGTATTATTAAACTTATGATAGTTGAAATAGCTGTGACATAAAATGGAAGAATTAGAAATAATATAAGCGATAAGTGACAGGAATTCTTTGTCATGTTTCCAAATGTAAGATACCACAGCTGGAAAAGATAGTATCATGGTCTACAAAGGTCTCAGTAGTTTCACATTTCTGTGAAATGCAACTACGTGGCTATGTTCAGGGGAAGATACTAAATAACCAATTTCTTAATTCATTTCTATGTAATTTGTCAATTATTAGCATAATTTGTGTATTTCCCTTAAAATATTAATTTTTAATATCCTGTGCATCAGGCAGTTTCCTCAGCTCTTATTCTTTATCAGGAACCCTTCCCATGTCTTTTGGTTATGATGATATCATTGAATCTACTGGAGTCCAGCAGTGGCAAAACACCAGGAAATTCAGCACTGTTTCTACCTACCAGGCAATATATTTGGGGACTTTATTGCGGAAAGATTTTTTTAGTCACCGTGGCAGAATGCCTTGATGGTCAAGGAAAGATACAATCTAAACTGGTATTTTTACACTGATCAGAAATGCAAGTCTTATTTCCTTTTTGGTTGGCATGTTGATCTATGTTGTTTTTATAGTCACAAACCTAACAAAAGCATATACTTGAACTACAACGATGTCAACACAAACATTTACCTGAACACCTGTAATGTGTAATCTTGCTGGTCCCTAGGAGGTTGGTGGAAAAGGAAGGAGAATATAAGAAAATCAGAAGAAGCCCAGGCCTTTAAAAAACTTAAAAGATGATCTCTTCGATATTTTAACTTTATATTTTTAATGTTCATTTTTTGACAAATTGATAAAATTATGAGAATATTGTGTAGCATTCTGCTCAAAGGGAAAACATGAAAACTTAAGAAAATAGAAGAATTAAAATGATTGGAATTTCCTTTAAATATCTAATTTATCCAGATTAGTCTTCTTTGGCCATGAATCATAGCATGACAGAGCCAATTATTTGAGCTACTCGATGAGTAGATATAGATCCATATTCAGCTGATATCTATGCCATAAGTTTTCATAGTCACATTCAGTCAAAATCTACTTACCTGGATAAAGTTCATAGGTAAATTGTTTAGGCTTCCTTTCATTTTGGCTTCCTGGATACCATCCTAATACTATAGGGCATTATGGTGACCAAAAATGGTGTGTGGAAGTTTGGCTATCTCTTAATTCTAAAATTAATGAGTTTTAATCTTTCTGAAATTGTTTCTCTAGAAATTCTTTATTCCTTTTGCTTCTAAATGTGCAACTCCATTTAATTAAGACATAACTAAAACAAGCTGCCGTTGGAACTTGATAATTGAACAATTAATTAAGAAAGGAACATCTTTGTTTTGGAGGACTAGTGTCCAGTGAGGAAAAGATTCCCTGAGTGGAGAGCATTCCATATGAAGTTTGATAACTCATTCACTCTCAAAGACGTAAGCAGGTGGTTGGTGCTCTGTGGTGTGTATTAAGGGTGGAGAGTGTGTCACCCTAAGTATGTGTCTTGGAGTTTTGGCATCCTGAGGCCTTCTGCTCCAAAGCCCTCTGCCCCACTCTTCCTTACTCCCTCCCTCCTTGCAAGTGGAATCTCAGTGAATCAGACACTAAACCTGCGTTAACTTTAATAGATACCCGCCCCATGTCTGCGAGCTTTTCACGATTATTGTAGAAGCAGGAACAGAAGCAACAAAATATTTACACCAAATTGCAATTTATAATGTAGCTGGTAGTCATTCCCTTGTGTAGGTGCACTCTCTGTCTGAAAAATCAGAAACACCATGTTTTCTCACTTTGAAGGATATTGCTAGCTTTTTCTGTGATTCATTTCTCTATCGTACAGGGGTTTATTTTTAAATAATTGCTTTTGTTCGGGATGCAATTATGTGACAGCTTCAGCCACCTCTCATTCCCCTCTGAGGTAATTGTACATTCTTACCTCATTTTCAAGCTTTCTATCCCATTCACCTCATCAATTTCCAAAGATGACGTTGAAACATATTTCAGATGAAATAGAGGTCACTAAATGAACAAATACTTTCTTCTAGCCACAACATCTAAAAATCTCTCTGTACCCACTATTCTTTTCTTGTTGCTCTTGGATCTTAGTAGAGGACGCATCTCTCTCTCTCTCCTTCTAACCAAGACTGAGACCTCAACCTGTGCTCTTACCTGCTTTCCACCATCTTTTCTTCTGTATCTTCAGTCTTAGGTCTCCCTGTGTGTGTGTGTGTGTGTGTGTGTGTGTGTGTGTGTGTGTGTTTTCCTTGACATAATTTATGGAATGTGCACATACTGTCTTATGGAATCTGAACAAAGTTCATTAATGCTGATCCTTGAGATGTTTCTAACTCCTTCTAAGATGATAAATAGAAGCATAGATAGAGGTTTGCATGTTCCCAGGTATCAGTTATATGGATTGTGTGTTAGTTGTTAAAGCCTTAGTTGAGAAATTCAACTCTAGTTTGTCACTGTGTAGGTATAAGAGACCCATTAAAAAGTATGCCTGTGTTGAGGCAGATATTTGGCTTTACCTTTCCATTTAAACTTAAACTTTTTAATTATTCAGAAGAGAGCAAAAATGTGAGAGAATTATTCACTTGTAAGTTTATTTTGAAGTAGCTGCGCTGTCACATATTTGTTATAAATTAGCTTTATTACTTTTAGCCCATATTAAAAATACAAGTATTTGAATTCAACAACAATTGTTGCATGTCTCTTCCATCTTGAAAATACAAATGCTTAAAACCATGTTGCCCTTGAGGTTTCTCTTCTGTCTTCATCGCTTTCCCACCGGGCGCTATACAGGTCAGGGTACCGTGTTACACATTGTCTTCACCTGTTCCGACTCCTCAGTGCCCTTCACACTTCTTAGGCCCTTCTCGCTCTGAAAGGTCAACACTGAACTCTGTGTGGCCACATCCACTGAACACTTTCCTTTTTGAAGCCTCTCCTCTCAGTATCTGACTCACTGTACAACATATCCCAGCTTTTTCTTATACCTTTCTGGCTGTTTCTCCCCAAGTTCTTCTTCTTCTCTGGACCTCTTAGATCAATAAGCCAATGCATTTTAATACACTGAAAATCATGGCTTGAAATTTTGGCGCTATCTCTGATGGAAGTGTGCTGAGCCTGCCAAAGGTGTGGTTAAGAGCCATCATCATAAGTGCCGACATTCCCTGGGGCTGGTCTCCTTTCTGTAAACATTGTTTCCTAGGGTGATCGATCCCAAATAAATGGCTTCAGCTACTAACTATAAACTGATGTCTCTAAAATTATATCTTCAATGGAGATTTCTTTCATTTCAAAACGTCTATATTCAACTGCCACTTAGGCATCTATAATTCAATATCCTGCATCTTAAATCAAGATCAAACATAACACCTCTCCTCCCAAGCCTGTTTGTTTTCCTACTGTAATCTCTAATGTGGAGGATTGTACCAAATTACCTGGCGACCCCAGCCAGCATCCACGGAGGGATCCTCATTGCTCCCTCGTTATCAACTTCTGTAGCCAATGGACTGCCAACCACCTCTCTACTCCTGAACTTAATTTCTCTCTTATTTGCTACCCCTCTATCCTTCAACACTTCCCCTCGCATAGGTCAGCCCTCCTCATTTCTTACTGGATCACTTGAATACCCATCCGTCTTGCTGTCAACTCTCTTGCAAGGCTTGCAGCACTGCTGTCCCAACTCCTGGCCATGTCGCAGGAGCCCCCTTGCATGCACTATGCCCTTGAACCTTCATGAGCCTTGCTGTTTCAATCCATCGTGAATTCACACAGCCTACTTGTGCCTGACTCAGATGCCCCTCCCTGCTTCATCCGACTGACTCTTGCAAACTCTTCTCACATCACTCCTTTTAGGAAGCCCTTCCTGCATTGCTAGACCCAACTTCAGCTCTATATGCTTCCTCTGGGCCCGTGGCCACCCTCTTCCTTATCTTAACTTTAGGATGATAGGTAATGTTGTAATTCTTAGTGAAGTGGTTACAAACCTAGGCTCCACAATCAACCTGCCTGGAGCGTGGCCAGACTCGAACATTCGTCATGATGGTAGCAAGTTACCTCATTTGCCTGTGCCTCAGTTTCCTAATCATTAAAATGGGTATAATATTACCAAGCATACAAGGTTGTTGTAAAGATTAAATTAACAAAACCTGTAAAACACTCAGAATGCCTGATACACAAGAAGAGTAAGTCTCAATAAAAGTTTAGTTTTCTTTTTACTTTCCCTTTTCTCTTCCTCTTTTTTTACTTTTTTCCGCCTTATTCTGCTCCATCTCTTCTTGTTTTCCTTTTTCTCTTCTTTCTTCTCTTCGTTTTCCTCTTTTGTCACCTCTTTTTTTCCTCTTCTTCTTCCTCTTTCTTGTTTTCTTCTTTATCCCCCGTCTCCTTTACAGCTATCTCCCCCACTAGATAAACTCTGTGGACACTGAGACTATATTATATTTAACTCTCTGCCTTATATCTTGTCATAATGTTATTTCTTATTAGACACTGGGGAAAATATTATTTTTTTTCTGCTTTTAAACAATTATTATTTTCACCGTTCAGAGTTAATGAGCATATTTCCTTAAATTAACAATAAAATACAAGGATCTTCAGGAAACCTATTGAATGCTAAATATGCAAGAATTTTAGCATCTTCTAAATTCATGATAAGCATAATAATAATTTCAGATATTTATAGAACATGATGTGACAGGCATGGTTATACACAAATTCACTCCATTATTGTCCCCAATGATAATGTCTAATATTCACAAGTTACTTTATTAATTCACATAGATTACTTATTTCTACATATGGTAATTTTATCTGTTAGTAATTACTACAATTATACCTTTTCACATCAGAAATGGAATGACAGATATGGTTTTATATCTTAGAAGGTAGGAGAGAACTGCCATTTGATCAGAGAAACGGGTATGAAAAATCTTTAGTGTGTCACATATGCAAATTAATAGGTAAAATGGAGTCTTCGTTTTTTAACCTCGTGACCCAGTTGTAATCAGGGATGGAGTTTTTAACCATGAAATAAGCGCCTCCATTTTTTTTTTTATAATAGTAGGAGCCTGATCCTTGGAGCAATATCCTATCTCTGCCATTTACGAAGAGCACTTTGGAAGGAGAGAATATGTTTAGAAATAATAATGTGCTATGTTTGTTATTATTGTAGTTTTATTTATTTATTTTATTTATTTATGTTTTTGAGACAGAGTCTCACTCTGTCTCCCAGCTGGAGTGCAGTGGTGTGATCGCAGCTCACTGTAGTCTCTGCCTCCTGGGTTCAAGCGATTTCTCGTGCCTCAGCCCCCCAAGTAGCTGGGATTACAGGCGTGCACCATCATGGGTGGCTAATTTTTGTATTTTTAGTAGAGATGGGGTTTCACCATGTTGGCCAGGCTGGTATCAAACTCCTGACCTCAAATGATCCTCCCTCCTCGACCTCCCAAAGTGCTGGGATTATGGGGGTGAGCCCCCTCGGCCGGCCAGTTATTATTTTAATTTTAAATGAGAGCATTGTTTAAGCACATCTTTAAGATTGTTTTATTTTTGTTTTTACAAATAAAGAGGGATTCTAGGAAATTTGTTTTTAACTTACTTAAAAGTTAAAAATTGGTAGCATATCAACCCCCCGGCCCCCCTTCTGGATTTGCAGTAGGATTAAGATGCAGCAAGACGGTCTGCAGAAAAGGCGCTTGCAACTTGGTATGTAACTCAGTATTTCACAAAACCTTCCCCTCCTCCACCCCAATGTCTATTAATATCTGCAGGCACATTAGTGTTCTGTGGAACACAGTTTGCATAATATTGATGTGTTTACCAGTCTGGGTTCCATCCTATGAAATGTGGTGCATTATTTTTAACAGGTTTTGTTGCATTTTAGTCATAATGAGCTTTTGGTCATAATGAGTTTGACCCTCAAGCTTGTAAGTTGAGAATAACTGACAGTGAACAAGGAAATTAATTTGCAAATTAGACTCTTGGGGAGAACTTTCGTTCACTTCTTTCTTAACAGTAGCTGGGGCCTCCGAGTTTAAATGGCCTTCATACTACAGTTCAGTTTAATATTACACAGGGCAGACAAAGTCATAGATTGTAACTGAAAGAATTTTGGGGACGTTTTGAATGCAAAGAATTTGTGGGATCTATTTAATGGTGCTGCAAGACATAATTTGAGTGACAGAGGGAAGGCAGGCAATCTGTAATTAAAGAAGAACAAGGGTTCTTTTGGTTAGTCATTGTCACAAATATTTAATATTATGGGATTTGACTTCTATCTGTTATTGGAATTTTTTTTTTTACTGCAACTTGTTAAGATCGTAAGAACATTTAATACGTTATTAATCTGTTTTGAAAAAGCAACCATGTGGTTTCACTCATTTGTAATTTAATTTGACCTAGTAATGGAGAAGGAAGCTAATGAAAGATCAGTGGTGTTCCTTTTGTACAAGTGTAGCAAACTTCCTACTTGTCAAGCCTTTAACTGTGACTTATTTGTTCATTAAATAATCCAGCAGCACATGTATGAAACTATTGTAAGTCCTTTTCTGAATGGTGGAAACTTTATTTGGCACAACTATGCCATTTAATGCTTTTTACTGTTCACAAGACCAGCATTCAGCAATATCCAAGAAGGAAGAGGGTGGTTCTGTTTTCCCTGTGGTTTGGTATACTTTCCTCCCTCATTTAAATGCTCCTCGTTTTTTCCTGTGTACCTTCCATAACTGAGGTTGATCATTTTACCAATTTGGACATCTTTTGTCTATTTGGAGGAATTCAGCATTCAGAATTGGGTTTGTTGTTTTGCTCTCAATCAAACCGTCATGGTAAATCATGGACGCATGTTATTCGCTTATTGGTTTTGTCAATATGTGAGACTTAATCTGATTATTTGATGATTTTTTTTTTCTTCAGAACATGAACTTTGGTTCTCATGTGAGCATTCAGAAGGGAGAAACCAAGAGTGAAAGAATCTTAGTTTGGAACAGAATTTTGTTCCTACCATAATCCACATAGATGGTACACTATTTTCTCTTTTTTTCTTCTGTCATCTATGAAGTAAAGATGTTTCTGCTCTGTGACAGAGCTGTGCAGTGGGAAGCCTCTGAGTTCCAGAAGAGTTCTTCTAAGGAGCTAAATGATTCAGAACAAGGCACTTAACTTTTCTGGGTCTCAGCTTCCTCATTTGTAAAAGGAAGGGGTCAGATTAGATTATCTTTAATCTCACATAAGCCAATAATCTTAAATTCGAATATGCAAGTAATAACATAGACGATATGAAACTTGTACTAAGTTACTTCCTCTTAAAAAACATTAATAACAAAACTTGTTATCTGCTTTGTATTAATTTTACATGGCAAAGGAGGATAATAATGTCTTCTAAATCACTGAAAACCACTGAAGTAACGTGCAATTGTAATCCAAATTAGTCACATTTATTCTAACCATTCTCTTACTCCTTTGCCCATTTTAAGTTACTGTGATTATATTTGGTAGTTCTTTGAGGGGGAGAAATGGTTTTTTTGTTGTTGTTGTTGTTTAATTATGAAAATGTTATTTCAGTAAATGTAATTTAATTAAAATGAGAATTTCTGCCAACTGTTTTAAATAAATACAGTATTCTTTTACTAGTATGAAAGGAGTTACTATTTGCTGTCTCATTTCCTCACTAATATGCTGGCGTGTTTAGCTTGAACCTGAGCTTGTGGAAGTTTATTCTTAACCAAAGCAGTTCCTTTTTCATGTAAGTAGGTTAAATGTGAATTGGGAAGCCTCAGGGCGCTTTTTTGTTCACTTTTAAAAAGCCCCCTCAAGTGGGCCCCTTTTAGAAACCTGGAATCATATGTTTGGAAGATTGATCCAAATTAACATTAGAATGGTTCTTTCATTTTTAAAAATTATACAGACTATTTAAAATATGCTAAATTGACATACATTGAAATAAAACTGAATAAGGAAGTAAAATTTCTTGTTTTATTCTACTTTTGTGATAAAAGAATTGGAAATCAGAGAGAAAATGTAGAATATGTTAAGGTACAATTTTGCCCCCAAAATATAGAAGGAAATGTATTTGTACAAAAGGTATAAATTAATGTCAATTTATTTACTTGTGATTTCATGTTCCCTAGAATAGTGCAAGCAGAGCACGAGTTTATATATGTTTTGACTTCCGAGAAGCTTGTTTATTTTTGAAAAAAACTACATTAATAGATTTCTAGAATTATATGCTAACGCATTTTATTCATAGAAATGCTGGCACTTGATGAAGTATGGTTAATGTGCTTTCTCATTTGCAAGTTATATAGCAGTTTTATCCAGAGTTAAGACAATGCAAACATTTTAATTTGTTGAAAAGTAGTGAGACATTCAATATGGGTAAAATTGCTTAAAGTGATTTTTTAAAAATATGCTGGAAAACTAGAGGACGACAGATTATACTTTGGCTATAATTCAGGACTATACGATCACCCAGGTCCCTAAAGGTCTCCAAAGAATGACAGAGAAGCCATGATTTTCAGACATGTGCATTATATATGTTAATAGCTTTGCAGGGAAAAAGGTCTATATCCTTGTAATAGAGGAAACATTCATTTTTAGCATTTCAGACCATAGGGAACATGGTAATTACAATAGGCACTAATATCTGGCTCCTTTCTACTCTTGCTGTCACCTCCCCCCACCCCAAGCACTTCAATAATCCCAGTGGAATGAGTCAAAGGACTTTAAACCTATGTCATTTCCAAGTCTTTTATTCTCTCTTTAGTACATTTAGCACAACATTGGTCCTCGAGGAAGGTATAGCATAGTTCGTGTACATATACACACACGAACACACACACACACGAACACACACACACACATACATGATTTATATATCACAGCAAAAAGAATTAGAAATGCTTTTCTTTACTTAGATATGTCTATAGACGTTTTGGTTCATGTGATTTACAGTGGTGATTTTTAGAAACACAAAGCTGGAATATGCTTTTATAGTTGAGATTAAGTTTAAAGCTATGTTCTCAGTAAAAGTCTATCCCGGGCCGGGCGCAGTGGCTTAGGGTGTAATCCCAGCACTTTAAGAGGCCGAGGCGGGTGGATCACGAGGTCTGGAGATCAAGACCATCCTGGCTAACATGGTGAAACCCCGTTTTACTAAAAATATAAAAAATTAGCCCGGCGTGGTGGCATGCACCTGTAGTTCCAGCTACTCGGGAGGCTGAGTTTGGAGAATCACTTGAACCCGGGAGGCGGAGGTTGCAGTGAGCTAAGATCATGTCACTGCATTCCAGCTTGGGCAACAGAGACTCCATCTCAAAAAAAAAAAAAAAAAAAGTCTATATCCTTAGTCAAGTAATCCCATCGTTAGAACTCTCTGGCCATCGTTCAGTCTTTTGGAATAAAAAAAAAATTTTGCAAATTTTATCATTAGGTGAGAAACATAAAAATAAGCAGTCATTAGCTCTTAACCTATAATGTTTGAAACATTTACCTGTCTGGATTCAGTTAACATGCAAATCTCCTTTGAATTAGCCCATATGCACAGTATTGGTAGTTGCAATGTTTGATTGAGATTCTTACAAATCCTCAGTGCTTAGTTTTTAGGTAGTTCCATTGAGAAATGCATAGGATTTCAGTAGCTAGAGCCCTGTAACTAATACCTACTCAAAATGTGCATTTGATGGCCAAAAAAATGCCTTTTCTGAAGAATTTTTGCAAGCTTATTTTTACTGAAAACATAGGCAATAAAAAAATTATGGAATAAATGTATAAACTTTTTTCTTCACTATGAAAGATTCTTACAGTTTTACCTCCTTGTTAAAGGTATTAAATTAAATCATTTACAGAAGTTAATCCATATTATCAGGAAAAATGCTAGCTTAAAGCTTGATGATAGACCTGATTGTTTTCCTTTTATTTTGTAATTTTAACTTTCTTTCTCTCTTTCTCTCTGTCACACACAGACACACACACACACCCTCTCTCTTTTCCAAATAATTGTCATTGATTGTATAATTTTTGAGAAAACCAAAAGGCATACAGGTGGCTTTGACTTCACTAGTAAGGAGTAAAGGATTGAGGAATTTTAGTTGTTTCAACCTCTGTCACTGGGAACAACTATAGAACGACACCCGTTGTTAAGTGGGAAAGTGACCCTAAGCTGTCTGCTTAGAACAGTTCATCATTGTCATCCGAAAGAGCCATTCTATTGAAGCACACTTATATAAACCCTATAAGTAGAAACTACCTCCTCCCTACTCTCATGCAACCTTCAAACTCAATTCACATTTAATTATCTAGTTAAATTTTCCATATTTATAAAATTAATATGCTTTTATGAGTAATCTTCTCTCAGCCACCACCATCCTGCACCAGCCCTTACTGGTATTTGCTCTAAAGCGGATTCATTTGGACATGTTCTTCCGCTGTGTACCTGGCAGGATTGTCTTCATTCTTCCAGCTTCTTTTAAGGAGTTGCCTCCCCAGAAGGCCTTCCTCAGCCTCTGCGGAGTTAGGACCTCCTCCTTTTCCACTCCTACCACCTCTCCTTACCCCTTCTCCACCCTCAACTTCCCTTAGAGGACGTCTCACACTGCTTCGCAACCTTTCCACCTGACTTTTAGGTTTGGGTTTTGGTAAAAAACTTTGGTTCTGTTAAAGAAGAATCTCCTGGGTGTGGGGGCAGAATTTTCTGGGGTTAGAGACACACTGGAGATCCCAAAATGCTATACAGGAAGCCTCTTCTTGGAATGTTTAGGACAAGTAAATATTCCTCAGAACAAGCTTTTGAGCTTGTAAAATCTCAATGAAAATACATAAAAAGATAAAATCTGAATCTGAAGAAGAGAAGCGCCAAGAAAGAAGATGGAGGGGCGTCACTCCCCTTGTTCTGCTGTTGCCTTCCTCCCTCTCCTGGCAGGGGCTGGGCATGGGCGCACGTGGATTTTGCTTTTCTCTAGCTCTGCCTTCCTCTTCCATGGTGATCTCCAAGAGGCTGTCATTCCAGACCTTCTGAGTTTCTTGCTACTAGATATATATAGGAAAGTGTTAAATGATGGAACGACCGACATAAAGGAGTGGGCTTTATTCAAGGGGTTGCCATCCTCTTATCATCACCTGGCCACCAACTATGAAACTGGTTAAGGATCTTTACAGCCAGATGGGGGTTTTGCTAGTAGTGACTATGGGGTGGGGGAAAAGAGGGGATTTTTACCAGATAAACATTTTAAAACATTTATTTAAAAATTGTGGTAGAGGAAATTACCGAAGAGGCCATCACAGAGAAAAAAATACTAGGTAATTACTAAACCTTTACTGAACGTTATCTTTTAGAGATACAAGCTGTTTTGTTCCTCCATTTACAGGAGTGAACTGGTTTGTGGCATTGCTTTCCATACAATCTTTTCATCAAATGCCTTTTATCTCAACAATCAGTACCAATTGCTTTGGTTTCTTTGGTTTTCGATGATCCACATTGATTATTTAGAAGCTGAAGCATTGCCATTCATAATACTTTGATCCAGTCATTTAATAACATGATTTTATGCACAAGTATACACACGCACACACTCAAACACAGATTTGGTTTACAATTTTGTAAACATGTTCTGTTTTCATTTTCTGTTTTACATTATTTACAATCTATCATTTTTACCGTACAATCTCTTGGTAATCTCCTGTAATCTTTGCTGACTTATTCATATCTCAGTAACTCTAAAAGATGCAGCTTTATGGAAGATTTTGAGTAGGGAGTGATACAAGGGAAGAACATTCAGCAGGAAAAGATCGATTGTATTTTTCAAATAGGTTTTCCCCCAATAGTAGCGTTGTTCTTCAACTAGCCTTGGTTGGTTATGAGTGGCTTAATGTTCCACTCTAAATATAAGATATAAAGGGCACCAAACAACAAGATACAGTGGCAAGTATAGTCAGTCTCTGTCAGCCCTGGTTTCCTCATTTGTAACATGGGATAATGGTATTATTTAATTTTTGATGTTACTAAGAGAATTGAATGGCATAACAGGCAAAAATGGCTTCAAAAAGGTGACAGGTATAAAACAAACATTGGCTATTAGTACTATTTTTATGTTATTATTACATATAAAATGTTTGTTTGTTTGTTTGTTTGTTTTTTGAGATGAAGTCTCGCTCTGTCACCCAGGCTGGAGTGCAGTGGTGTGATCTTGGCTCACCGCAAGCTCCGCCTCCTGGGTTCAAGCAATTCTCCTGCCTCAGCCTCCTGAGTAGCTGGGACTACAGGCACGTGCCAGCACGCCCGGCTAATGTTTTGTATTTTTAGTAGAGACGGGGTTTCACCGTGTTGGCCAGGCTGGTCTCAATCTCCTGACCTCGTGATCTGCCCGCCTTGGCCTCCCAAAGTGCCAGGATTACGGGCGTGAGCCACTGCGCCCAGCCATAAAATATTAATAGCCAGCACACTATTGGGATTGGGAGCCAGAAGGGTATAAGGAAGAAAGGAAGAGTTGCGATAAGTAAGTCTGTTGAGGTAGATTTGAGTAATCCACATGAAAAGACATAAAGACACGGGGCTATCAAATGTTGTCTTGATGGAATTAAACACTCTGTTATCAATTATTACAAAAATAGTGGGAATGCCAGCTGAGACAAGGTAAAATGATAAGGTAATAGCATCCTAATAAAACGGGAAATCGTTACACAATTTTAGAATTTTGTCAAAGAATAAATGCTTTATTTGTATTTGTCTCTGATTATGAAAAAAAAGAACTATGGTTGATCAAGGTAAAAGATAAAAAGATAAGCATACATTAAGCCTGTGTCTACTTACTATAAAAATCTAGATGATTTTCTTTCTAAAAGATTTTTTTTTTTTTTTACAACATAACATAAAAGGTGGAAACAAGACTTTGGTCACTTCCCAACACTAATGTGAACATTTTCTAGATGTTCACTACTCCTTTCTGGCCACGATAACAAGAGTTCTTTTGAAACAATGCCACAAAGCAGCACTAAATATGTGCTCTCCCACACTCTGTACATAAGGGAAATCAAGTAGGGAATAATTTTACTAACTGTTTGCCAAGGTCAACTTTTCTGTTTTTCAAAGAGTAATGTGTTTTCCTTGACAAATAATGTAATCCATTCTGCATTGAAATATGGGCCTCCTGATATGGGATTCTTTCTTGAATAATAATATAAATTCATGTTATCTAATTTGACAGTAGACCACTGTATGGACATTTAAGAAACAAAATGAGTGTTGATGTTGTTCAGAGGAGATATATTTATTAATGACTCTTTATTCTTCCTTTTCCATTCTGTATCTTTAGTAACTTGGTGATATTTCTCAGTTAAAAAAAAATTTAAAGAGTAAAATATTTCTTCTTTTTACCTTCCAATTAAATTATTTTCTTCCGGTACTTGGAATGGGGATTCTGTAGGAGCTCATCTGATCTTTAGAAGAACATCCAAGGTAGCCCCACCTTCTCCAGGCTCTTAGAAAGGAATTAAATTTTATTTTAATTTTGGTGATGTGAAGGAAGGGGAATGAGAAAGGATCATGTTTTTTGAAATTCTTTTTATATTCTAGAAGACAATTACTTAGAGCAAATTGGCTCTTACTTCACTAGTTAGGCACCCTCATTATCTACTTAAAATACCTCTATCTTCTCTCATTTACAAACAAATAGAAAAGCTGCCGGTATACCTCAATTCAAATCCTCTCTGGCCAGATTACTCTTACTGCTCTTGAAGAAGACTTTACTGTTTGCCTCCTACATTCTAGAAAGGCCAACCAGCAGTCTCACTTGGCTGAGAAGTTGGCCATCAGGGTGTGCTTGATGTGCAAGATTAAAGACCAGAGTTGGCTGTCTTCCTGGATGCCCTGGGCTGTGTTAACTTTCTTCATTGAGAGAAACTCTGACCTTTTAATAGATATTTTGTTGTTGTTAATTGTAAACAGAGAAAGGCTCCTTGGTCTAGGAGGCTCTTGCTGGATAGTGGCTGGTAGGAAAATAGTTGCAGGTGGGGAAAGGCACCATGGAGCCTCCTGAGCTCCTTCTGGAACCTGGGGAATCAGACCCTCTGACTTGGAGCGCACAACTCATCATAGTCAGCATGCTGGCTGCTAACGTATTTAAGGATGAACAGTCACAGGGCTCGCACTTAGGAGTCCCTATAGCTTGTACATCTTTAGCTGGGGCAGACCCACATGATCCTGAGAATGTGGCTTGCCTTCTTCCGGAACTTAGTGTCTCCAAAGAGAAAAAGACAGAAATGAAATTATCAAAGGTGTCTCCTTCCAGTGGGCAAGCATGTGGATTCAGCTCACCATTTCCACCAGTTACAGCTGCTCCCCTCATGGCCCCACTTGCTCCTTCTGGACCACTTGAAGGAACCAGCTCATGCTATTTTTCATTCCCACCTTTATGTCATCTTAGAAACATAGTCCTGAAATATATACGTAGTTCTTTCCTCCCAAAGCAGTGCTGTCTCCCAAGCTCAGCTCACCCAGAAAGCCACCACTGATCAATCCAGGGAAGTGAGCTGCTCCACCTTCCAAATGCTAGTGCTGCCTTGAGCAGCTCCTGAAAATTCTGCTCCTTTGTAGCAAGCTTACATGGGGAGAACTCATCTGAAATGAGATGATATTCTTAGTTGCTTAATCATTTTTTTCTTTAAGCTTTCAAATAATAAGTAAACCATTGTCTAAACAAAAATCCTTTTGAAATAGGATAGGGATATTGGTTTTATATTTTAAAAATATTATTTTTTCCGTCTAGAGCCTGGATTGACCTGTAGTCCACATTCTAGAGCACCCTTTGGGTCAAGCATAAAAAACCTGGGAGGTGGAGGTTGCAGTGAGCCGAGACTGTGCCACTGCACTCCAGCCTGGGTGACAGAGTGAGACTCTGTATCCAAAAAACTCCAAAAAACAAAAAACAACTTCCAGAAGTTTTGATGATTGAAGTTTCCTGAAGATATTTACAAAAACAGCTGATTATTAAAGGAATACATATTGCTTGTAGAAAATATGGAAAATGAAGCAATAAAAATGTGTAATTCGACCACTCAGCATGCATTTTTTCCCAGCATTCATATATATAATTATAAATATATGGTATTCATATACACACTGTTTTGTTTGTGTACACTGAAAGGCGGGGGGCGGAGAGAATATACTTTTTATTCACCCACAGCAGTTACAAGCATGAAATCTGGAGTGACACAATGTCATTTTAGGCAAGTTCTTTAATATCTCTAATCCTTAGGTGTTTGGGGTGAGGATTAAATCAGATACTAGGAACTAATACTTATTGTTTCCAGTGTCTTGAACATTGTTCTACACATTTTATACACAATAACTCTTTTTAATTCTCACAACAAACCTATGAGGTGTGTATTATGACACTTTGCCTCTGCTTGTATGCAAATAATACTTGTAAAGGGCTCAGTGTAGTGTCAGAGGTGTAATAAATACTATTTGTATGTGATTTTTTTTTCTACAAGATATGGCCAGTTTGTAACAGAAAATTTTATAGCATATTTTTCATTTTATGTTTCAATATTTTCCCTGAATCATATTTTTATTTAAATATAAATTTACTAGTTAATGTCTTCATTAATATGTAGTGCTCAAGGCAGCACTAGCATTTGGAAGGTGGAGCAGCTCATCTCCCTGGATTGTTCAGTGGTGGCTTTCTGGGTGAGCTGAGCTTGGGAGACAGCACTGCTTTGGGAGGAAAGAACTACGTTATTAAAGGGTATCAAAGGGTATTTTTCATACTCTTTTTTTCTGGGGATAAAAATTTAGATTCTTACATTAGTAAAGGCTAGGGCCAGCTTTTTGTATATTATCTGTTCAAGTAAGTGTGCAGTTTTTCTAGACATGTCATGACCTTATCTTTCCAAGCAGCTAGTTAAAACGGAGAGATCTGACTTGCTGCCAAGAAAGGGCCATTGCTTTTGTCTTTTTCTAGTTGCTCTTCATGTGGGCTTATGTGGGACTCTAGGGAAGCATGCACAGTTGGTTTTTTCAATCAGATACTTCCTAAACAGGTGGCATGTGACTTTTCAGATAACAGAACGGAGTAGAAATTTCTGCATTGATGTGCATTTTTTTATATAACGAATGACACAGACTACTGAATATTTTTTCTTGGGTTTCCATAAGCTCAGATTCAATCCTTTAATCCTTTAAGTCCTAGGGACACTGTAAAGAAAGCACCTGGCAATTTTAGTTTCAAACATTTTACTAAGGGGTCATCTTACCATTTTCACTGTAGTGGTATCAGTATAATTCTTTTTTTTCTTTTCTTTTCCTTCTTTCCTTTTTTTTTTTTTTTTTTTTTCGGAGAGGGCCTTGCTCTATCACCCAGGCTGGAGTGCAGTGGCACGATCATAGCTCACTGCAACCCCTTCCTCCTGGGCTCAAGTGATCCACCAGCCTTAGCCTCCCTAGTAGCGGGGACTACAGATGTTCACTACTATACCAGTCTAGTTTTTAAATTTTTATTTTTGGTAAAGATGAGGTTTTGCTATGTTGCCCAGGCTGGTCTTGAACTCCTAGGCTCAAGCAATTCTCCCACCTTGGCCTCCCAAAGTGCTGGGATTATAGGCATGAGTCACCACACCTGGCTTCGGTATGATTCTTGGGGTCCTTGGTTTAGAAAGACTTCCAAGAAGACTTTAAAATTATTCATTTTTTACTACCTTTTATGGGATGTTTAGCAAAATGTTTTGATCTCTTTGGCAAGAGAAATGTTTATGAGCAGTCTCATAATGTTACTTTGCAGTTACTTTAAATAAAGTTATTTTAGGACTTATAAGGGGTAAAAATTTTTATGATTTATTGTCAATGTTCTATATCCTGAGATGTTCTCCCTGTAGTCTTGTTTAAGTTGTAGGATGGGACAAATAGGACTTGGCAAGTAGATGTCCCTGATAAAGTGAGCAAGTACTAGGAATGCAGACCCAGTTGCTGATTTGGGAAAGATTCAGAGCTTTAGAGAGAGTTTTGTATTATACTTAGAAAGACCTTTCCCACTTTAAAATTAAAGTGTTTTCTACCTTGAAGAAAATGTTTTTCTTCAAAACATTTGACCCATCTAATGATTTAGTTTTGACTAAGGTGTGAGGCAGGGATCAAACACTTTTCCCCAGTGGCTCCCAGTGACACCTTTATTATGTGTTAAATTTCCCATATGTAGTGGGATCTGCTTCTAGCCTTTTTCTTTGGTTTAGTCCATTTAAGATCAAATATATGGTCAGCCATGGTGGCTGCACTGGAATCCTCACTAGCCACTGCCTCCTGGCTGCAGCCTTTCTTGTTTCCTGGAACTCTGTAGTAGGCAAAATGCTAACAGGCCAAACAGAAGGGACAGCATTCATGTGGGCCCTTGTTCTTTATTCACAAGCTCAAACATGAGAAAATGTTGCCTTTGAGGGGAGCAGGTAGAGAAAAGCCCTCCTTGGGTCTGCTTCATTGAGTCCCTGTGTGCTAATGTTGATCCATGGGTAGGGTTCCTATTGCTTTACAACAGTGCTTGTCCCCTGGGGCCTGTTTGCAGCTGATCGGAGCACAGCTCCCCCTTTGATATCACAGCAAGCTTAGTTTTGAATCAACTCTAGGAGTATACAAAGTAATAAAGCAAGCTGGTTGTCACATCAGTTCAGTGGCACATAGAGTAGTCCCAGAAAAGTCCTTGGAAAACTGTAAGCTACTACAATGAAGCTAGTTAGATTTTTTTCTTTTTCTCTTTCTTTCTTTGACTCTTTTTTTTTCCTTTCCCTCCCTCCCTCCCTCCGTCCCTTCCTTCCTCCCTCCCTCCTCTCTTTTTCCTTTCTTTCTTTTTCTTTCTTTCTTTCTCTTTCTTTCTTTTTTCCTTTCTCTTTTTCTTTCTTTTTTTTTGCTTTCTCTTTCTCTCTCTTTTTTTCTTTCTTTCTTCCTTTCTCTTTCTCTCTTTCTTCCTTCTCTCTCTGTCTTTTTCTCTTTCTTTTTCTTCCTTTATCACTATGAGCTTGTGGTGGCTGTTGGTACTTGGTGGAGAACATTTCTGTAATTTATGAGAGTATACATTTAGAGGAATGTATTTGGTTTGTGGCGAGGAAACTTCCTTTTTCAAAGTTGTAACGAGTCGGCCTTTAATATAATTCTCAGAACTATTTTTTTTAATTGTTGTTCCTGGAAATGTTACTAAACATATTTCTAAAACAATATATTTGTCTCAGTCAAACTTTTAAAACCAAACTCCAAACCTTTCTTGCCTGTAAATTACTAAATCCTGACAATTTAAAACTACATGATACAAATCATAGAAGCCATTTCCAGCGAACTCACAACTCTAAGGATAGATTGGCAAGATAAAAGGCAACAGTTCCTGATCTCGGACATTTGGGAATACTGGATGAAGCTTGGAAATTTGTCAGGTAGTTGAAAATGTTTTCTTGCCTTCTTTCTGCCAAAGGAAGGAGAGAGTACGCAAAGATCAGAATGATCCCTATATGCTAATGACCTCTGTGCTCATGCCTATTCATGAACTGTTTATAATAGAGTTAATTACAGTGTAAATTATTTATTGATATTATAACGTAAGCATTTAATAATTAAAATAAATTGGCATTATGCATATGTAGCTTTAAAATGCTGTGGGGTTTTATTAGATCTTTTTGGCCATTCATTCTCACACATTTAGCCATGCACACTGAATAGGAGATTACTTGCAAGTTAGTTTAAGTGGTTAAACTAACCACTCTTTCACCACTCTCTGATATTTTTTTCCAATATAGTTAAAATTAATTCTAGACTCCAGATGCAAAGTTAAAAAAGTTTAATAAGAGGATGCAAGATTTTCTTTTTGAAAATGTATGATATATATTTTTTTGACTTGAGAAAAATATGTTTGCTTTACATAAAGTAGGCAAAATTATTGCTTGGTCTTGAATTACTAGAATTATAAGAAAAGTGACATTAAAACATTAGACAATTCTCCTTTTTTTCCCTTTTAAATGGAAATAGATTCGACATTTGAGTATCTCAAGGCCAATGATAGGGCCTAAATCCTTAAATAGCATACATGTGTTCACAATACCACTTACACATTGATCCAAATTCCCTAGATTCCATAAAGGAAGCAGTGACTCTTGAGCAATAACTCTTACTATAAAGCTGTTTGAAATACATGACACTTAAAGAAAAATGGTATAAAAATGTCAGTACAGAACAGAACATGTTATAAAGACTACGTTTCTGGATAAAAGACAACTGAATTATTGGTCTTATGAAGGGAATGAAACAACAGTCAAGATTATGTTTTATGTTTTTTCTAGTTGAGGCAGACCAATATATTTTCGAGACAAACCTGCTGAGATCCTAGAGGCAGTGTGGTGTGAGCGCAAGGTTGCCGTAGAACACGGGCAGACACAACCATGTGTTCCGTTGTTTTTTTCAGTAGGGATAGCAGGACTTTGTTGTTTTATGGGAGATAATATTTTCTCATTGTAACATATTAAAAGATAGAAAGGGTCAGAAGATTTCTGCAATTTGGGGAGTCAAAATAGTGAGTAAAATGGTGTTATTTTGATACCGAATGGCTTAGTCAGTGAGAGTACATATTTGTGCTTAAGCAAAACATTTTTTTAAAAAAAGTTTTATCACTGACCTAAACAATGTTTGGTTTGATTGTATATATGATTTCTTTTCATCCAAGAAATGTCAAGGGCATCCTCAGAAAATAATAATTATCATTAGTTTTATTGCCATATGGAATTCAAATAAATATTGATTTATCTAAGTCTTGAACCATTTAGAACCACATTTTCCATTATTCAAGCTTTTTCATTATTTTACAATTCATTTTTCGTTATTTGGTTCTATATATGTGATACGAAAGTAGGGCACATTAAAATTTTTTATTTTACAGCTTCTACGTGTCAGGTTTTTTTCTAAGAACTTTGCAAGTATTAACAGCTTTAATCCTCATAGCACTTTGAGAGGTATATTATTAATATGCTAAGGAATGTCTTGCCAATCCTACTAATATTATCAGAAGAAATGAACAGAGATGTTAAGCAATTTGCCCAGTGTCACCCAGCTGGTGAATGGCAGAAATGGAGTTCGGTCCCAGTGAACTCTTATGTTGCCTCATGTAAAAACATAACAGCATATATGGAAATTCAGTTCAACTAAGACCATTGCTGGGGGAGAGCACCTTGTAGCTTTCTGGTAAATGGAGAAATTGAGATTTTTGTTTTAAGAATAGTCAACTAAAATCCACACTTGAATTAATTCTGAAAGTTAAGAAAGTTATAAAAGTCAGCAGAGAAGGTAAATGCTTATTTATCCTTTAACATAAATAAGCATAAATAATATGATTTATTTCCACATGACACGTGACATTTGATTTCATTAAAGTGATCTATTCCAGAGTCTAGAATCTCACTGCATGCTTTGCAAATGCACTAAGTATTGATTGAAAAATGACTTTAGTAAATTGGAAGTCAATATGTGAAAAAACAC